>NC_000008.11:128214222-128839222 GCF_000001405.40 Homo sapiens
TACAGGCATGCACCACCATGCCTGGCTAATTTTTTGTATTTTTAGTAAAGGCAGGGTTTCACCATGTTGGCCAGGCTGGTCTTGAACTCCTGATCTCAAGTAATCCACCCGCCTCAGCCCCCCAAACAAAGTGTTGGGATTACAGGTGTGAGCCACCATGTCCGGCAAAAACAAAACAAGCAAGCAAACAAACAAACAAAAAATCATAATGTTTTACACTGATTAAGTGCTTACCCTGTGTTGGGCACTGTTGTAAACTACAGGAAACAATGCATCTAACCTTTACAATAACCCCATAAGGAAGGTGCTTTAATATCCTCACATTCCAAAGTGAGGCACAGAAAACTAATATAACTTGTTCAGGATCATATTCTGGGAAATGTGGAGTTTACATTCAAGCATAGGTAGCCTAGCTCTGGAAACAATGCCTTTTTTTTTCATTTAAAAATTTAAATACCGAGGTATTTAAAAGTACACGAAGTATACATATCCTGTGGGCATGTCCCTTGATCCCAAAATTTCACTTACATAAATTGACAGAGACACACACAAATATTTCTGTATAAAAATTTTCATCAAAGTATTTCCACCAATAATGGAAACTGGAGACAATCCAAATGCTGAACAGTTAGAGCTCTATTAAATGCTCAACTTTAAAACGAAAAAAATAACATAAAGTACAAGGAAAAAATAAAAATCAGTCACAATTTCTGTATTCAGAAATAACCACAAGGACATTGCTGTGTATATCTTTCCAGCTGTTTTCTATTTTTTGTTTCTGATACAAACTTGGGGTCATACTGTATATATTGTTTTATGACCTGACTTTTCTATGTAGATAATGTTATAAATAGTTTTCAAGTCTTTAGTTTTTCTTTTACCACTTATTTTAATAGCTTTATGGTATTCTATTACTTGTACATGTCATGATTTATTTAACAAACCTTTATCATTGAACCCATGCTCGTTTAGCCATTAGTTCATGGTGCCTCAATTGATGATAACCCATCATTCACAGGAAGTAGCCCAGACTCTCTAACTTAGAGTTCGAGACCTTCCATGATCTGCCCTTACTATTCCAATTTAATCTCTCCGTGTTTTGTTTCCCTAACCATGAATTATAGCCAAATAAAAGCACTTGCTCCAACAGTGTAATTGGACATTTCTTACAGCACCCATGCAACTCTTCTTATTGCAAATATTTACCTACTGATCTAGCTATACTCTACTAGATTGAAAACTTGCAAGCAGAATATCTGCCTGAATCAATTTCCTAACCCAACATTGAAGAATCGTGTCTTGCACTTAATATACGCTCAAAAATTATTTATGGAATAAATGAAGGCAATGTAATATTATTTTTGATAGTGCAAAATTGTAAATGATTCAAATATCTAACAATAGGGGGCAACTTAAATTAATGATAACACCTTCATTCTGAAAAATTTTGAGCAATAATTATGAAAAATATAACAAATAAAAAAGTTTGTAAATAATGTTAGGTGAAAAGAAGCAGAACGTGTAATTAAATGTATACTAGAATTTTAGCTATTTTCAATATCTAAGTCTGGGGGCATCAAAAAACAGAAGGGAGCTTTGGAAGAGTGTGAGGGGAGTGATGTTTAGTTTGAGTAAACATAGTGGGTAAATATTTTTTCTTAATTTCTTCTAATATTCTTTTAAAAAGCTAGTGCATTAACAAACTACATATACCAATATATTTATGACTTTGAGATAATGTTACTGGAGAACGGGACATAAAGAGTAAGTTTTTTCTTAAGTAAGATGTTTCAAATGTTTTTTATATTACTGGAAGTAGTATAATTATCAAAAACATCTAATGAAGTAAATACCAGCATAGCCGCCATTTTAGAACATTGAGGCACAGGTTATGAAATAGCTTGCTTAAGGCCACACAGCTAGGAAATGTCTGAGTTTGGACCTGAGGTCCAGTCTGTTGGACTCCTAAGCTCATGTGATTCACCATCATGGAGTAACACCAAATATATTAAGATTGGCTAGGACCCAACAAGAAAAAAATCAGCTTATCAATAAAAACAAAATAAGAACCTACTTTCAAGAGACTTAAGGTTTTGTTTTTGAATCAGTACCTACATGTATGAAATACTACTGGGAGGAAAAGTGTGATAATTTCTTCATAGCACCCTCCCTCTTCCACCTTTCATTGTCCAGTGAATTTCTGCTTATTCTGTAATACTCAAATGTTTCCTCCTAGAAAATAGTTATCCATATCCCCCTGGCTCATGCTGGTTCTTAGAGTTTCCTGTTAAAACTTCCACTATAATACTTAACATTATGCTATTGTGTTCCCTGGAGGTAAGCTTCTCTATGTTAGGGATCATCTTCAGTCTCTATGTTTTTGTGCCCACCTGGTGGCACAATGGCCAGCACGTATGCATTTACATTTCTTTTCAGTGAGTTCTTTTATTACCCCTTTACCACAAGCATTCTTTCGAAAAACCCCAAACCCCAAAATGTGGCATAGCAATTTATCGGTGCTAAACAAATATGTAAATACGATGGCTATAATTACCTTACTGCTCCTCAGAAGCCTTTCTTTCTTAAACACAGGCAAACACTCTGATTTGTCACATTTCTAGAACACTTAATTGTCACAATGTCCTTGTGCCACATTTGAACTCATGACAGCAGGGACAGGATGCTTCCTTCCTAAGATTTTCTTTACCAGGGTCTTTTCTGTCTCCTGAAATCACCATAAAGTGGAATACAGCATTTTGTTCAAATACCTTCTCCAGGTCAGATGTGCAAGTCCTGTTTCTCTGGTATAATGATTCTCAATTTGTTTTCTTACAATTTTGAGAGTACAATCCCTTACCAAGGTCTCCGTCTCTCTCCCTTATCTTTTTCCTATCCCCTCTTCCTTGCTTCCTCTCCTGGATGATGTGGTCCTTCATTTGTCTTCTCTGTATCAATTTTCTCTGGTGTCTACCTTAGAGACTGCCTTCTGCTGCTTATTCATGCCTCAGTATGGTCTTTAGCTGAGTCTCCAAAGCTCTAATATTAATATCCAGGATTTTCCAGGATATGGACAATTAAGTCTTTATGCCTTTATTTAAGATGTCCCAGGAAAGAAAATCTGGCCCATTTGGGGTCAGGTGTCTATCTCTGGTAACTAAGCTGATGCTTGCTTGGAGAGGGTCGCATGGGACATGGCACTTGATGACCTCAAAAAGCAGGCTGGAAGTGACCACTAAATTGACAGAACACTTACAGCGCTTTTAAATTCTTACTTCCTGCTCCTCTAGTCCTATCTAATATTCTAAATGTTTCTCACATCCATTCCCATTTACCCCTCTCTTCCCACTGTCTTGGCCCTCATATATCCTTGCTTAGATTACTGTGATAGTCTCTGACTTGATTTCCTTGGTTCTGATCTCTCCCCCTAAGCTAATATACACTCCACACAACAGCCTTTGAAAAACATAAAGTGATAACATCATTTCCCTAATTCAGTATCCTCAATGACCTCTCAATGCTTACGAAATAAGGTTCAAACTCTGTGGGATGATGCTATATAAATTCTTTTAAAACTAGATCCTTTCCTACCTCCTTCATCCGTCTGCTCACGATTTTTTCACTTGGTCTTACTTGTGTGAATGACTGCTATTCATGTGTGCACAATTTTCTCTTCCCTTCTCTTCTGGGAGCGTCTGCAGCTCTTTGTACCACAGTACATAGAAGACCGGCCAAAACACAGTTGGGGCCCAAGGAATGGTGGCTGCATGCATGAAACATGAAGGACTATGGGGAGAATACAGGACTCATCGTTTGAGTCTTTACATGGTTGTTATTATTGTCCCATCTTAGCAAGTTTGCCTGAATTGTGCTCCCTGAATCCCCAGGGGTTCAAAAAAATTGTGAAAAACATAATGAAAAAACTATGTTTAGGCTTTCTAGTAGTACAAAGCCTCAGCCAAAACATCAACTTTTTCTTTGCTTTTTTTTTTTTTTTTTTTTTTGAGATGGAGTCTCACTCTGTCACCCAGGCTGAAGTGCGGTGGTGCCATCTCCACTCACCACAATCTCCACCCCCCGGGTTCAAGTGATTCTCCTGCCTCAGCCTCCTAAGTAGGTGGGATTACAGGTGCCTGCCCCCATGCCCAGCTAATTTTTGTATTTTTAGTAGAGAAGGGGTTTCGCCATGTTGGCCAGGCTGGAAGTTTTTCTAATTTTGATGGAATGAAATCAATTTAATGTAGCAACTCTACCTCATGCTAATTAGAAGCCCCAATTGACAGCTTCAATTAAAAAAAAAAACAAACAAACTAGGAAAGAATGAAGTTGCTTAAAAATAGTATTTTCTTCTTTTTAGTGAGTACACAGTCTTTAACATTTCAAATCTGTTGGGATAAAAATAATTGGTACAAAAAACTGGAAACTGCCCTAAAAAATCTGAGACTTAGTTTAGATATCTATAACATAGAGGATAATTGATGTCTTAGGTACTTTCCAGCTCAGACACTTACGTCCTAGGAAGAGACTAAAATTGTCTTGGTTCTTATCTTTATCCTTTGTTGTACCACAAGGATAAAGTGTCCTATCTCTTTGTCAATTCCCAATTCCTAAATCAGTGATTCGTCTATATTAAAGGCTAAAGAAATATTTATTGGCTAAATAACTGACCAAGCTCTGTACGTGTTCTGAGAAAGGAGAAAAATAATTATACCTGAGAATATAGATGAACAATTTAGGGAATGATGATGAGTTAGACCACATGACATTTACAAAAGACAACGCTGGGGGCACTTGGAAACATACAGTTGGCAAATTAAATAACTGTATTGCTATGTGGGAATAAAGTTAGAAAGGAACTCAAGGAACCAAGTGTTCCCTTAGGAATGGCCATAGAGCAGACAGTGAGGACAAATGGACAGTGATTTTTAGAAAGAAGAAAAAGAGACATAGACAATTATCTCACACTGAATTTAATTCTCCCACCTTGTTGGTCATAAGTCTCTTTCTTTAGTTCATGAATGAAGAAGCAAAAAGAACATGATCTATGATAACTGAGAATCTGACTCAAAAGATAGAATTTATAATCATGATGATGATGCTTATCAACATTTTGTAAGCATCTACTATGGACACTTTGTGTAATGGAGTAGGACATAATGGAAGGTGAGAAAATGATAGACTAAGGGAAACTAAATGAGATTGTCAAGTAAAGGACCTTACCCCAGTACAAATCAATGAATATTAATCCCCTCCCTTTCCCTTTTAGGGTCTAACAGACCTATATTTGAATGCAAGTGCACCAATTACTGACTATATGATCTGGACAAGTTGTTCAGCCTCTCTGAGCTTAGATTTATTACCTATAAAATGTGACAAGTAATACTTAGTTCACAATATTATTGTGAAGATTAAGTGAAATATTATATACAGAAGTAATTTGTAAGCTGCAAAGCGCTATGCACATGGGATTCAAAATATTAGCTATTCATATTATTTAACAGTTAGATAAAGTATATATAAGCCACCATGAATATGAGTGGATAATTGCCTAGAGGAGGGGCAAGAAGAAGTGTGTGACAAGAACTGAATGAGTGAGATAAGGTAACAGAAGTAATGGGAGCTGGAAGCTGGATCACAGGGGGTCTTGTAGGCCATCGTCTACAAACAACAACAACAAAAACAAAACAAAAAAATGAACAAAAAAACCCTCCTTTGTCTTTTACTCTGAGTGAAAAGGGAACTCAGGGTGATATTTTGAGCAGGTGAGTGGCATAAAATAATGTATGTTTTAAGAGATTCACTCTGGATGCTGTGCTTAGAATAGACTCTAGGGTGTTAAGGAAGAAAGGAGAACATCAGGTGGTTTTTGCAGTAATACAGGCAAAAGATGGTGGTGCCTTGAGCCAGAAGAGCAGTGGTGTGGTTGGTGAGGAGCAGTTGGATTCTGATATTTTTCTGAAA
Source organism: Homo sapiens (assembly GCF_000001405.40). Taxonomy (NCBI): domain Eukaryota; kingdom Metazoa; phylum Chordata; class Mammalia; order Primates; family Hominidae; genus Homo; species Homo sapiens. The sequence continues at coordinate 128,220,181 of NC_000008.11, forward strand.
ATAGAGCCATCAGTGCTTCCTGACAAATTGAATGTGGGATATGAGAGAAAGAATGACAGCACAGATGACTCCTATTCCTGGTTTGGCCTGAGCACAGGATGGATGAGATTCCTGTCCTCTGAGATGGGGGAGCTGCTGGTTACACAGTTTTAAGAGAGGACCATCAGGGGTTCAGTTTAGGGCATGTTACGTTTGAGAAGTTCATGAAGTATCCAAGTGGACCTATCAAGTAGTGAGTTGAAATACTAGTCTGGGACTTGGGAGATCGGGCTGGGCAGAAGATGTAACATCTGGGAGTTGTTGACATGTAGATACATGGTATTGGATGTGAGGGCGATCTGACTGCGACATCTGTCACCCCATTGATCGCCAGCATTGATTCGGCTAATCTGGCTGGCTAAGCTGGTGTCCCTTCCTTGCTCACAGCTCCAAGTGCATTCCTCCCAAAGCTGCACACTAGGTCGAAGAGGACGACCATTCCCTGACAGAGAAGGACTGGTCTTCGGTCAAGGGTATATGATTAGCTGAGCTCTCCTGCTAGAACATCCAGACAAGCTCTCAAGACCCATTAGATATATGGTATTTAAGAAATGCAACGTAGCTGACAACTATTCCACCACTGGCTTTCCTAAGATTAATTTCACCTTATTTTGGCCTAAGTCCAAGAAGTAGAGGTTTTCCCTTCCTTTCTCCTCCCTCTGCTTCTTCCATCTCTCTGTCCTACCCCAGTGAGTCCTTGCTTCTGTATAGAACCATTCAATCACAATTGAACTCTCTTGTGCTTTTCTAGTTTATCCGTCTGTCTCTACTTAGTTTCCCCAGTGCAATGACTGCACACTTTGTTGGGATTTTGCTTCAAGCCACAAGGGAAACAATAAAACTGAGGGATGTAGGAAATGAACTCATGGACTTGGCTTTGGGAGACTGGGTCACACACCACTGAGAAACCAGGGACGGAGGATTTTTGCACAACTATCCACAGAGTTAGGTGTTAAACAACATCACTGCCTTCAGAAAAACCAACATCATAAGTGCAAGTTTATTTATTCTGTATGTTCTCAGGACTAAATGCTTGTTATTTTTAGAGAGAATACAGGGGAACCAGGAGAACTGCTTTTTGCCTTCAAGTGGTGCACATGCTTTGGTAGGAAAAGTCAGTGCTACTCATAAGAAACCGTAAGAAGTATTCAGGAGAAAAGGATGGGAAAATTAGTGGATGAAGAGGTTGCTAAGAAAAAACTTACCCTCATTTAGCTATTGTGTTTCAGATTCAATGTCACATCATTTGCAAAATTTTCATTGTTTGTCCTTAAAAATAATCAATAGATCCCTGAGATAAAAAATAATCAATAGATCCATGAGATCCACAACACTTCAGAGAATAATGACCCTTGTCATATTACAAATAAAATGTACTTGATTACTGGGAAAATAGTGTACCTTCTTTGAAAAGAGAGACAGAGAGAAAATAAATATAAACACAAAAAAGAAAATCTTATGGCCCGAGAGGACCATGAGACTCTTTTTTTGATTGTGTTTTCTATGTATATATTTACTGTACAAAAAATGAGATCATAGTGTACTTGTTTGTAGATTCTTTTCTCATTGGTAATAGAGCTGAAGAATTTTCCATGTCACTAGGCACTTTCCTACTACATTGTTTGGGTATCTGCTTATTATCAATATCATAGCTATATTATAATTGTGGGATTGTGGCTTGTTTCCTTTTATGCCTTTTCAGCATCAAGGACAGGAAGTTCTTGCAGTCACAGAATGTTAGAGAACTCAAAACTCCCTTAGACATCATCTAGTTAACCTTCTGTTTTGCAGATGGGAAAGTTGCATTAAATGGATTTACAGGTCAGATGGTCAGAAAGCTACAGAACAAGAATACAAACCAAATGCCTGTATTCTGAGCCGAGTGTTCTTTTACTATAACATCTGGACTCTGAGTCAGCCCTACATCTGGGAAGTACACATGCAGTAAAAGAAGAGGGCATACTTTGGCAGGAGAAGTTTGGGGAGGACATGACAGCAGAAGTCTCTTGTGGTTCTTTTGGAACTTTCAGTTTTACTTCAAACCCTGTGACCCCCGCAAGTTTCATAGAGGGGCAAAGTTGCATTGTGTGGTGTGGCAAGCAGACAGTTTTAGGAAAGGAACTCATAAGCTCAGGTTTGCAAAACCCACAGCTGTACAAAAGTTCAGCTCTATCCAACACTCAGAGGGGTGCAAAAACCTTCTAAGAGAGTACCTGGCCACCTAGAGTCTCAATTCTGGTTTCACATTATATCTGAAGGGCTCCCATCCCTCAGCACTGAGCCCTGTGAAACCTAATGACATTTTGACTTTGCTGATTGTCAGAGATGATTTTAACTTCGGACGCTTACAAGCCACAGTGTTCTGGATGTCCTTCAATCACTCTCCATGCCCTCTTGCTGTAGAAGAGGAGGGTCGTGCTTGGAACGCTTCGAACAATCCTCAATAGTGAAAAAAGAGCAGAGAACGCTGGGAGTTCCAGCCTGCTGTGGAAATGAGGCACCACCCTCCAACTCCCTTGTCCCAGACCAAACCTGGCTATGCCACACTGTGCTTAATACCTTTCCATGACCTCAAGATAAAGTTCACATCCCTCAGCATGGCATCCAAGACCCTGTACCTCCCCTTGGCCCACCTCGGTCTCATCTCTGCCATTTTTGTTTTCAGCAACACCAATCTTCCTGTAGATTCCTGAATGAAATCATCCTACTTTTCTACCCAATTCTTCCTTTCTAGAATGCCCTTTCTCTTCTTTTATCTATGATTAATCTTACTTAGTTGGATTCGGTATCTCTTCTCTATATTTCTGTAACTATAAAATTCTATAATCTGTGATAGTTTCCAAAATATTCTTGGCCATATTTAGTCAAATGACTAAATTTTATCTTAAAACTTATGCTGCTATCTAGGATCAATGTTACTTCACACAGTGGTACATTCCAAAGCACTGACACCTGTGAAACATACAGTGTTAGTGAAGTACGGAACATCAATGTACTTAGAATCTAGAAAAAAAAATTGCTCATGTTTCCCAGCTGCAAATTATCTGGATGGCATAGATGCTTTTATCTAGTGCTACACTTAGGATATTTACTTAAATATTGGCAATGATAAAATGGTGGGTAAAAAAATTACACATTCATCAAAAGTAGGCAGGCTGATAGAAATGCATAAACATGGTACTCCTCTCAAAATTAAATTACCATATGTACATGGTTTGACTTGTCATTTATGTACTTGTATATTTATATACCCATCATCCTTAATCACCCACAAGAATGAATGAGTGCATTTAAGAACAAATGTTTGCAACATAAGCTAATAGTTAATTGAAAATTTCTTCTTGGAGGAAAAGGCTGAGACAAGACTGGAAAAGACAAACACTTTTTAGAAGAACAGTAACACTCACTGATCCCATACAGTCTGATTTTAGCTCAATCTAAAGAAAATTCCTGGTGAGACGTCTCAAAATTATTAAAGCACGCCCTACCCACCACAGAGAGAGAACGTATGAGAAAGGACACGGAATTTAGCATCAGGAAAGTTGGGTTCAACTCTTTGCACAGCCTTTTCTGGTTGTGCGATCATAAGAAATTCTTGTGACTTCTCCAAGTTTGTCCTTATATTTAATCTCAGAATAATGCTGCAACCCTGCCTGCAATTGGGTTTGAAGAGCACAAAATGTATGAAAATATTTTGAGATGCTAAACAATCTGAATTGCATCAATATGTGATTTTCCACTCACGTATACATTGTATAAAAATCAGGATCAGTAGAGCCCAGAAATGCTACTACTACTGTTAGTACTGGTGCTATTATTACAACCACTACTGTTAATAAAATATTAATGGCTGATGTTTATTGAGAGTTTACTGTATGCCTGCACTGTTTTAACATTTTACATAAATTAAGAATTTATGTCTCATAAAACTCCTATGAAGTAGTTACCATTATTTCCTCCATTTTGTAGATAAAGAATAAGAGACTCAGGGAGTTAAGCAACGTGTCTAAGATTATACAGCTAGCAATTGAAAGAACTGGGATTTGAACCCAAGCTTGAACTCCAGAATTCAAGCATTAACAATGACACTCTACTTTTTGTCTCATAATAATAGTAAAATTAGCTTACAGTGAAGTAGTGGTTTGTGTCTGCATAGTGATAATCTCCTTTTATCCCTGCAACAGTCCTGTAAAATAGAGGTTAATTATCCTTATTTTAGAGATGTGAAACTTGGGTCAAAAGGATTAAGGAATTTGGCCAAAGTCACAGTGCTCTGGAGGAGTAAAATCAGATGGTTTTCCCACTAAGGTGGCAACTAAAAACTTCTCCCAACCTGTGTCAGCCTCTGCCTTTGCTGGCACCATCTTATTGAAGAAACTGTCTGTGAGGATCCCATTTGAGTCTTGGTGTATTTTGATTTGTTTTGAGAGCTTTTTCTTCTCTGTCATTCTCTGAGACACTCTGTCTATCATGCATGAGACTAATTGTTTCTGCAAGCGTCACATGATTCTGCAGAGCTTAGAATGAGCTGCAGTGAATTTCCAGCCCAGATGCCATTGGCATTTTAGGAAATCACCCTGGGAGGATGACCCCAGGTGAACTCAACCTCTGATGTCACGGTCACCTCCCCTCCAGGTGCTGAGCTCACCACTTATCCACACGTTCTCTGTGTGGCCGTCCTTAAACAGGGCATTCACCGTGTCATTGCTTGCTGTAGATTCTGAATATGCACTCTGCTTCCTGTTTGTAGTTTTGAACACTCTAGATTCTGGCCTTGATTCACCTGTCTAAATCCTCTTGCCCGTGGTGTCTCAGTTATGCCATCTTCTCTGTGCATCACAGAACCCTGTGCTTGGGGTATTCCTTTAGCTAAAACTTCCTTCCCCTAACTCTTGGCTTGGCTAACATAATCTCAGCTTAATTAGATATAACCTGCCTCAGAAAGCCTTCCTTGTGCAGTCCTCTGTCCTCCTCTGCTCTTCCATCTCATCTCTCTTCTCACTTTAGCATTTATTACATTGCCAAATAAATTAGCATAAAATAGCCTGTTTAATTATCCATCTTCTGCACTATATTATGAGCTCTTTGAGGGTCGTGGTTTTGAGTGTCCACTATAATGTCTGCACATAGTAAGTGCTTAATAAGTAGCTATCGATCAAATGCTAATCTCTAGCTCTGAAGTCACCAAATATTTTGAAAGATTCTTTTCATTTATATCTTTGTCTCTTAGGCTATGAGTTTCTTGAAGGCAGATATTCTGCCTTGTTCAGCACTATACTCTTATACTCTGGCATGGATGAGGCCCTCAGTAAACAAGAAGCTCATTAGAATTTCAAACCCTCTAATCCTGCCATCTAACCTGTTCAAAGTCTGCCCTGCCTCCTCTGAAGTGTATCCTTTACCACAATTTCCTCATCTTCTATTTTCTCTTTATTTCTAATATCTTCATTTATTGTCTCACCTACATACTTTAGCACTTGCTGTTATACTATTTGCTCTTATTTTTCCTGTGTTTTATGTGTTTATATCTTTTCCCTGCTACTGAAAATATAAGTGGGGATAAAACCATACCATCTAATTTTCAATATATTAAAAATTACATATTGACCAGTAATAAGCACTAATTTTAGAGACAGGGTCCCACTTTTTCACTCAGGCTGGAGGGCAGTGGCACAATCACACCTTACTGTAATCTCCAACTCCTGGACTCAAGCGATCCCCCTGCCTCAGCCTCCTGAGTAGCTGGGACTGTAGGAGTGCATCACAGTCCCTGGCTAATTTTTTTAAAAACTTTTTGTAGAGACAAGTTCTCACTAAGTACCCCAGGCCAGTCTCAAACTCCTGACCTCAAGTGATCCTCCCATCTTTGCCTCCCAAAGTACTGGGATTACAGGTGTGAGCCATCGTGCTGGGATAATAAGCTCTTGTAATGTGCTACTGTGTAAGTCTTTTACATACAGATCATGTTGATATTTATAACTATAAGAGGTTGGCACTGGGGAAGCAAAGGCTTGGTAAGACTGACAGCTTTGTCTTATGTGTTATCCAGATGATGAGTGACAGAAGCAGAATTTAAATACAGACCACTTCTGCATCTGCACCGTGAACAATTTAGAAAAACAGAGAAGCAACAAAAATATAAAAACCAAGTGTAATTCTGATCCAGTATTTAGAGGCAATCATTGCTAACATTTTGGTACGTGGCTTTTGTATTCTTGGCAACCAGCTTCTATGATGGCTCTCAATGACCCCCACTTCCTGCCCTATACACTTTTGTGTAATCCTCTCCCTTTGAGTGTGGGCTGGATTTAGTGACTCACTTCTAATGAGCAGAATAAGGCAGAAGTGATTGGAAGTAACATCTGACATTAGGTTATACAAAGACTCTTCTTCCATCTTGGGTTTCTCTTTCTCTGAGATACCCCACTGTGGAAGAAGCAAACTTTTATTGTGATCAGAAATCTATGTGGCAAGGAACAGATGTCTCTGATCAACTGCCAGGAAATACCTGAGACCTGCCAAGACCCACGTCGGTGATTCTCCCCAGTAGAGCTTTATGGTGACCACCCCAGTCAACCCATGGAGTTCAGCTCTGCGAAAGGTGAAAGAGGGTGAGCCTGAGGGGCTCCGCTAAGTGAAGGCCGGATTCCGGACCCAGAGTCTGTGAGGGAGTATATATTTGTTGTGTAAGCCACTAATATTGGGGGTAATTTGACAAATAGCAATAGGTAAATAATATATAATCCTAGACACATTTATATAAATATTTGGGTCATCTATGTTTTACTATCTATCACACATCAAAATTGAATTTATTGAGTGAAGCAAACTGATGTTATGCTTGTGTTTAAGTCTTTTTTAAAAAAAAAAAACTTTAAAATTGTAAAATAGAACTGCATATAGAAAGTGCACAGTCTACATGTACAGTTGAACCAGTTATAAACAAACATCATGGTTCCAATTTCATTATACTGTATTTTTAAATGAAATAAATATGCAGAGTATATGTAAAATCAGTGACTGTTTCATCTTCAAAGAGAAGATGAAAGGAATACTAAATAGATGCACCATTTTGGGATAGTTTATGAATTAGAGTCTCTAAATCAGTATGAAATATTGCCATATACTTTTCTTTAACCAACTAAAGAGGAAATTCTTAGTCAAAATTAGTCATCAGGAAGAAGTCTAGAAATTATATCATGGTGGAGCAAACATAATGTGTGGGACAGAGTGGGGCCTCAGTACAAAACTGATGAATGGATGAATAGACTTGGAATTAAAAACATGAATTTCCACTCTCTCTCAGAACTTGGAAGTGTGTAAACGCTGTATTTGTCAATTAACATATCTGAGCCTTAGCTTTCTCGTCTTTAAAATGAGAACACGCTCATGAAGTTGTGATGTTTAAAATAAATGGCACCTTTATATAAGGCCTTCAATAAATCAATTACTAGTGAATAATAATTTCAGTTTTAGGGCACCATCTAGTAGTGATTTATTATTACACTAATATTGTACATATTTAAAATTATTTATTATTTATTTATTTACTTTTTTAATAAAACGTTTTTATCATGGTATAATACACATAACATAAAACCATTAACCATAAAACCATCTTAACCATTTTTAAGTGTACAGTTCCCTGTTATTAAGCATATTTCCATTGTGAAACTGTGACACCATCCATCTCCAGAACCTCTTTCATCTTGCAAAACTGAAATTGCATCTGTTAAACAATAACTCCTCCTTCTCCCCTTCTCCCACCCCTGGAAACCATCATTCTGCTTTTTGTCTTCCCGAATTTCACTACTCTATAAATTTGAAGTTCTTTAGGTGCCTCATATAAGCAGAATAATATAGTACTGTATGTGTCTTTTCATGACTGGCTTATTTCACTCAGCATAATGACCTCAAGGTTTATCCATGTTGTACTATATATCTGAACTGTTTTGCTTTCTAAGGCTAAATCATATTTCATTGTATGTATATTGTATATGCCACTTACTGTTTATACGTCTATGTACATTGATAAACACTAAGGTGCTACCCTCTTTTACCTGTCGTAAATAATGCTGCCATGAACATGGGTGTACACATATCTCCGTGAGACCTTGCCTTCAATTCTTTGAGATAGATGCCCAGAAGTGGAGATACTGGATCATGGCGTAATACTATTGTTAAATTTTCTGAGGGACTAACTGCCATACTGTTTTTCACAATGGCTATACCATTTTACATTCCCCTCATCGGTGCACAGGGGTTCCATTTTCTGCACATCCTTTCCAATACTTGTTTTTCTTTCTTTTTTTTGAAAAATAGCAGTCATTTTGTTTTTTCAAAAAATACAGTCATCAGTACACTTCTGACATATGGTACAACATGGATAAACCTTGAGATCATTATGCTGAGTGAAATAAGCCAGTCACCAAAAGACACATACAGTACTATATGATTCCGCTTATATGAGGCACCTAGAGCACCTCAAATTCACAGAGTAGTCAAATTCAGGAAGACAGAAATGCATGTGAAGTGGTATCTCATTGTAGTTTATAAACATGTTATTTTGGCTGGGCGCGGTGCCTCATGCCTGTAATCCCAACACTTTAGGAGGCCGAGGCGGGCAGATCACCTGAGGTCAGGAGTTCAAGACCAGCCTGGCCAACATGATGACACCCCATCTCTACTAATAATATAAAAATTAGCAGGGCATAGTGGTGCACGCCTGTAATCCCAGCTACTCCGGAGGCTGAGGCAGGAGAATCACTTGAACCCCAGAGGCGGAGGCTACAGTGAGCTAAGATGGTGCCACTGTACTCCAGCCTGGGCGACAGGGCAAGATTCTGTCTCAAAAAATATATATAAAATAAAATAAACATAAAACTTTATTTTTATTAGATGATACATGCTCATAATAAACTAATTTTAAAATATTTTTGAAAGTACAAAGAAAGCAACAAATCACCCCAAAATTCCACCAGCGAAGAAGTAAATAGCCAGCCTTAAATTTTGGTGGATATCATTCCAGATATCAGTGTGTGTCAAAAAAATGCAAGAATTGGAAGCTATTTAGGTAAACAGCTAGTTAATTAAATATCATACTGGCCATATTTAGTGAAATAAAGCATTTACTTAACTTCAGTCGAATGCAACCAGAGAAAAACTGAAGTTAAACTCAAGGAATTGCTGAAATTTAGATCATGTTTCTTTCATTGCCAGTGATACTATTTCCTCAAATATTCTTCTAAGCTTAGGTAAAAAACATGCTGAAACGAGGTAAGTTAGTGCCATGTTATTTACTTTTAACATACATATTTCAGTTTTTCATGTGGCATGAATTTTCTTCCTACTATGAAAAATCAAGTGATTCCCACTCTTAATATCTCCTCCCATTTTCTTTCGCCCCCTGATTTTTGTTTCTTTTATAGTTTTCAGTTTAAATGATTGATAACACATTCTGTTCTGCAAACAACATTTTTGCTGTTGTGTTGTCTACACTATTTAATGGATTTAGTCCTAAACACTAGTTCTCTTAAACATAACTTCTTCACTCTAGAGATGTGCTTGTTTAAAAAAAGTAAATAAATTTATCTTGTGATTGTATTTAATCTTCCAGTATATTTTACAACATGGCCCATATATTCCCTGGATTCTTTCATGCTTGAGAATATGTTCACTTTTAATATTCTTGGGTTACACTTTCCTTTATTTGACTATGTAGATTTTACTCTGATTTCTTTTGGAAAAACATTCATGTGAAGAAGTCAGAGATCAGCTTGATTTCTCCACTCCCTTGTTTTTTTTTCCTGGATGAAAGCATTCTCTATGGTTAATATTGATCAGGATACATTGAGTATCTCTATTTAAATTACGTTGTTTTTCTTCCAATTTATTCATTTTCTTATGATTTGCAGATTTAGTATAATAGTTTTCTAACATCAGAAAAAACTTCAGACATGAAGTTACACGTCTGAATACTCTTCCTTTTGTTGGGTGCTGTACTTGAGAAATACAAGTGAACTTTATGTGGGCCAACTTCGAAGTCTTTATTTATCACCATTTCAGATCGATTTATTTGCTTTATCTTTTACCTTTGTATTCACTGTGATTCCTAAAGCCTTTTTTTATGCTATTGTTTGAATTTTCAGTCGAGCCCAGTCAGTTCTTTGCTGGTTTACATTTATTTATTTAATCTGTGAAGATGTTGCTTTGGCCCTTCCTTGTTTCCTTAACTCGGTAATCTTCCTCTTCATCACAGCATATTGCTTCATCGTCTTGTTTTTCAGTCTTGTATAAATGATTCCATACTGAGTTTTTTATTGTTCTTTTGCAGATTGTGTTTCCTTTCTCTTCTGTGCTCTAGAATGTTTGCATAGTTGAAATGCCATTTCCCCCCTTTTTTTCTCAGGCTTAGGTGAGCTCTGCCCACGTCATCTCTTTGCCCTGATTCAAGGTGGGGGACACATGATTGTTCTTTTGTTGCCTTATCTTTAATAAGGTGGTCTTGTCTTGTCATTTCTAGTTAAATTTATGGGCTGGCTGTTTCTTTCTGAACATTCTTCCAGACTCTGAGGATACAGAGTGTGGGCTGACAGCTCAGTTCTAGTTGCTGGTTGACTCCACACTGGTTTCATCTGAGTCCACAAAGTGTGCTGTATCAGGGCCCACCACCAGCTGTATCTCCCCTTCATTCACCATCTCAGCACAGCGCACTGCAACAGGCTGGGCTCTGATGGCCCTTGTTCTTTCTGCTAAAGTCTAACGTGCTTCACTAGTGCTGTATTTTCTAAAAATGTTCGTTATATCACGACACTCTCCTGCTCAAAATCCTCCTCAAGCCAAAGCCCTTCAATGCTTCCTAGGCTTCTGTGTGATGGCCACTGGCAACACTCTCCTATCCCTTGGCTCGCTTGGCCCCAGTCACGCTAGCTTTCTTGTTGAGCCTCAAATCTGCCAGGCCCACACTGTCCACAGGTCTTTTGCAGTGTAGTTCCCCTGCCTAGAATACTCTTCCCCCAGATAACCACATGGCTTCCTTCCTCAAATCTGTCAGGTCTAAGCTTAGATGTCAGGATATCAATGAGGTCTTTGCTCATTTATACTATTAAATATACTTTCATATATACTGTTGTATATAGCAGATGACGTGGCACCCTCCATCCCCCATCTCTGTTATTTTTCTTTCTTTTTTTTTTTTTGAGATGGAGTCTCTCTCTGTTGCCCAGGCTGGAGTGCAGTGGCTTGGTCTTGGCTCACTGCAACTTCTGCCTCCCGAGTTCAAGCGATTCTCCTGCCTCAGCCTCCTGAGTAGCTGGGATTACAGGCACCTGCCACCATTCCTGGCTAACATTTTATATTTTTAGTAGAGATGGGGTTTCACCATGTTAGCCAGGCTGGTCTCGAACTCCTGACCTCATGATCTGCCCATCTTGGCCTCCCAAAGTGTTGGGATTACAGGAGTGAGCCACCGCACCCGGCCCATCTCTGTTATTTTTCTTCAAGGCACTTAACATCATCAGAAGCATTTTATCTTTTACTGTCTTTCATTTTTTTAAATCATTTACTTCTTCCCTCAACCACCATGAAAATATAGGACAGCAGCTTTTCTCTGCTTTGTTCCTTGTTATCTTCAAGTGCCTGGAATGGTGCTTGACATAGAGTAGGCACTCAATTATTTGCTGAATGAATGGATGGATGAATAGACAAATGTTATGTGGGACTTCTTGCCTCAAATATTCATTCTTGGCCTTTTCCTTCGCTGTCTATTTGTGCGTGTTCCCTGTTCCTACAAGTTCTTTTCCTAACTGTATCTTTGAGAAATTGAGCATGGCTTTAGTTTCTGGTGGACCAGAATCTTGTTTCTTTTCTTATTTGCTGTTTTTGAAGTTTGTTGGATAAAGTTGTAGTGTCTTTTCCTATTAAACAGTTCCTGGTGAATTTTTGGCTTGTTGTTCTTTTCTAATTTGTGTGTATTTATTTATTTATTTATTTATTTTTAGATGGAGTCTTGCTCTGTCATCCAGGCTGCAGTGCAGTGGTGTAATCTCGGCTCACCATAACCTCCATCTCATGGATTCAAGCAATTCTCATGTCTCAGCCTCCCAAGTATGCTGAGATTACAGACGCACACCACCACGCCTGGCTACTTTTTGTATTTTTAGTAGAGATGGGGTTCATCATGTTGGCCAGACTATTTTCAAACTCCTGACCTCAGGTGATCCACCCACCTTGGCCTCCCAAACTGCTGGGATTACAGGCATGAGCCACTGCACCGGGCTCCATTCTGTGTTTATTTTAGTAGGTATCGGGGAGGAAGAAGCTATGATCCTATTTTTTTTCTTTCAGTTTTACCCATTATTTGCATTAAATTATGGGTCTTCTTGAACTAGATTCTACAGATTCTAAAACAGCTGTGCAACGGGTATAAAACTCAGGCTACAACATTTGTAAAATATATGTGACTTCCTTTCTCTTTTATACTAGACCTTAATATGTACAGCAAGTATAGCAAGCCTCTGCTCCCTGGTGCTAGAAATTTGATCTCAGTTAATTTGAGATCCCTTCTCTGTACCTAGGTGATGTGTCCAGGTTTTTTGTTTAAAGGTGGGGGCATCACCTGTTGTTGAAATTTTGAGAGAAGGGAATAAAGGAATCTGTCCTGGATCATCATTTCTCTTTGGTGGCATCAGTTAAGCTATGCTTGTTCTTATGTGGCCTCCTCTTTTTGGCCCAGATGAGTGTCTGCTTCATACCCCTTCTTCACCTCACAGGGCTCTTTCAGGTCCACTGGCTCTTAGCTGCTTTGGCTGCATAGTAAATATGTATTTGGCTTGCACACTATGCTGAGTACCTGAGAACTCGCCACTTTCTCAGGTCCTATCTGGCAAACAAGGTACAGGCCCTGTATTAGTCCATTCTCATGCTGCTATGAAGAAATACCAGAGACTGGGTAATTTACAAAGAAAAGTGGTTTAATCAACTCACACTTCCGCAAGGCTGGGAGGCCTCAGGAAAATTACAATCATGGCAGAAGACACCTCTTCACAGTGGGGTCCAGTGAAGGGGGAAGCCCCTTATAAAACCATGAGATCTCATGAGAACTAACTCACTATCGTGGGAACATGATGGAGAAAACCACCCCCATGATTCAATGATCTCCACCTGGTCCCTCCCATGACATGTGAGAATTATAGGAATTACAATTCAAGATGAGATTTGGTGGGGACATAATCGAACCATATCAGGTCCCCTCTGTTGTAGAAGCCCCAGCTTTATGGGGATTCTATCAGTCTTCAACCCCACCCCCATCTTTACCTAGCACTCAGGTGACAAGACATAGGGCTCACTTCCAAGGATTTTCTTTATTCCATTATCTCATCCTATAGAATCTTCATTTAATTTTGGGAGACAGGAAACAGCTTATTTGTGACCTATTATGTATTCTCTATGTCTGGAACCAACATTTAAACTTTTGAAGATTCAAAGGCCTTTACTCTTCTGTTACTATTACTCTTCTCTGAATCACCTGATGCTACTATGTCTGAATGCCAGAATGAGAGAAGATGAGAGAGAGTCTAGAAACATCGGGAAATATCAGGAAGACTACATTACTTAATATATATCATTTCACAAATGAGCATTCAATGTATGTCCAAAACCCTGCACATTGGTTGTAGTCCCCTCAACATCCTACAAAGTCTACTCCCTTTTACATTTGGGAAACATGAGTCCCACTGAGATCCGAGAAAACCTTGTTTGAGTACTGCATTTGGGTATTTGAACAGATTTGATTTAATGCACTAGTAGAGAACGAGACAGAAATGTACTTAAGCAAAGGGGACCTGAAGGACCTACTCTGATAAACACCCTAAGAAGACTCTGACTTAAGCTCAGATAAGATTTCCAAGTTCTTCAGGAATTCTTTTACTGCAATTGGCTCAGCAACTGAATGAAGAGACTTGATAAGTTCTCACCTTTGCATGCACACATCACTTCTGTGGGGTATGGTGAAAACAGCATGGACGTTGGCTGGGAACCACCTCATTGTCATCTTGGTTCTACCCCTGAAACTCGGAACCTCAGTATGCTCAACTTGAATCTGTGGGTAAGCATATCTATCTGGCAGAGCTATGGGGAGGCTATGGAGAAATTACTGGGGAGGGGAAAGCATGTTTATTCGAGGATATGCTTCCAGTTTGCCCTCAAGGAAGGTATTGGTTGTCAGAGTGTGGCCCATTCAGGGTGAACTCTCTTTCTCACATCTTGCCACCATGTGTAAGCAGACCAGGTCTTCATCTAGCAACTGGTCACATCACCTCTATTTCTCAGTCTGTCCCTATGTGGGAGAGGCAATTGGGCATTCTTGTCTAGGTAAAGGGATGGATGAGTGGGCTCAGCGACTGCCACAGATAACTGACCATTCTAGAGCATGGTGTTATCTTCACTTCAGACCTCAGGCTTGGTTATACACTCACTATGCTGAGCTACCAAGCTTAGCTGAGTAATCCTGCTCTCTTTTGGGAGGAGTGGTGATAGTGATGTGCTTGTGCATCTAGTAACAAGACTCTGACTTTGTTTCCTATTATTCATCTTATGTGGAGGAAATACTCCTGGAAAGAAGAACAGATAAGTAGATGAAATGCCTACAATAATATGTCTGAAAGAACTTTCCATGTGGTAGGTGATGTTAATAGCTGACAGATCTTGGACATTTATTTCTGAAAGCACTTTGAAGATATTAACTTACTTAATCTTCACACAACTCTATAAGGTGGAGACTCTTATTGTCCTATTCTACAGATGAGGAAATAAAGCACAGAGAGGTCAAATAACTTGCTCAAATTTATACAGGTGCTAAGTGGCAGAGCTGGGGTTTGAATCTGGGGAGTCCTGAGACTTTGATCTTAATGGTCATGCTGTTCTTAACACGAATATACCCTGATCATGTTAGTTGCTTTTCAAATTAGTCTTTCTCTTGGTTTGCATTGTGTGTCTTTTTGCCTGGTGTAGACTCAATGAAATTCAGCCCCTAAACTGGGTGGAGGTCTGGGAGATGGGCAGGATAATTATATTTGAAGGGGATGAAACATGAGAAGGAAGTCTAAAACTGACAAGTAAAGATCAGAAGGTTTGAGGTAACCTTCCTTCCAAGATTATAAGTACAGGGCTCCAGTTCAGCCACCCTACACAGCAAAGACCACCCTGACCTCCCAGTGAGAAGGACAAAGGCTGACTCTGGAAGCTGCATGGCTGTCCCTGAGAAATGGGACTTCACAGATTTGACGTGAGGTAATCTGTAGAGTAGTGGAGAGCCTGCTGGTGGGACAATCTGCAGAGGCTGAGATGTTGAGTGAAAACTAAACTGGCAGTTTGAAAGATTCTGTGAAGAAGATTTACTAAAATGGAAATAATAATAATAATAATAATAATACTTTGTCATCTTTTTCTCTTGCTTTATGAACAAGTTTTCTACCAGACTGAGTAGAAGAGAGAGGGTTAGGCCACCATGGGGTTTAGATGTTTGGATGTCTTCTTTCTGACTTTTTGAGATAATAGCTGCTTGGAAATTGGAAAAGTTTAAAGTAAGCTGCCCACTGACTTTTGGTTCAAAATGGCAGCTGGCTGGGGCCTTCCAAAGCTGAACCTCACAGTTTTTCTTATTAAAACTGTTAAAACTGTGGGTGAGAAAGAAAATGAAGACCAACAGTACAGCCTAATGATAGAATCTGGAACGATTCATAGTAATGACAGGGTAGATGGATCTGGATTGAGAAAGACCTACGTTGGCTCCAGAATGTGGCATACTCTTACTTTCCTTCGTGAGAAAAATTCCCCTGAGAAAGCAAGAAGAGGCTTTGCTTTTGCCCACTCCCTGAACCTAGACTCAGCTCTAAGCTTTGCATCAATTGGAAATGAAGCAATCACTTATTTCCCTTCCTGAGGTGCTGGTCTCTTAAACATTATTATTTATCTTTCCTCAGCTCCCTTTTTCCCATTTCCCCCAAACCAGCCAGATTCTGCAAATCACAGCAAATTGCTGGGCACGAATTGGGACAATTAAAGTGACCACAGGGCGGCAAGAAATCATGACAAAGCTCTGGAGACAGCTGCCAAGACATGAAGACTTGGGACACTGGGACTAGCTCTGCATGCCGGGCATTGGGCTGGTCCCATCTTGCATTATCTCTAAGTACCAGGAGCTGGGCTGAGGGCTGAGGAAGGGGTACCATAGTCAAGGCAAGAGCATCACAGGTGAAAGCTGGTTATTGAGTAAGAGGTAGACTGGATTCTGAACACAAATCATGGATTTGAGATGAGAATTTGACCAAGAAGGCAACGCACAGCGCAAATCACTCTTCTTGGCATTAATACATACTGACAAATTGACCTTGTCCTGTCCGAGGATGAGTAAAACAAACAATATTATCAGCAACAACAACACCAAGAGGCTGGTGAAAAATGATGCAAAAAAAAAAAAAAAAAAGGTATGTGTGTTGAGGGGTGAGTGGGAAGGGAATAACTTCAGGAAGGCAGAGCAATCTTGAAAATGATTTTCCATAAAATCT
Source organism: Homo sapiens (assembly GCF_000001405.40). NCBI lineage: Eukaryota > Metazoa > Chordata > Mammalia > Primates > Hominidae > Homo > Homo sapiens. The sequence continues at coordinate 128,236,785 of NC_000008.11, forward strand.
AGATGATTATTTTAGACAACTGCGCAGCATGTTCAGAAACTGCATGAAGTCTTGGTCTCTCTGAAATGGAAGCAGAAGTCTGAAGGCAAGATCTGGAGGGAAATAAAGGCAAAACATGGCTTATATCAGGGAATAGTGATGGGATAAAGTAAGAAGAATATGCATCAATGGCTGGAATTAAACTCATGTGAGAGGCAAAAAGAGGCAGTATTGTTGCTCCCTAAAAGTGTATCACTGCTGTGGAGAACATAGTTGAGAAAATCTTACAGAATTGAGAGAACAGGGGACAAAGTGTGTAAAGAATGAAAAAAAACAATGATCCCTGAGCTAAAACAAAGCAAACTCATGGTAGACAGAAAGAGCTGACCCCAACTTAGGAAAACTCAAGGATAAGAGCCTCCCATCTATGTAGCTTGGTGAAACTTCCAGCCTACTGAGACTAACACAAAACCCTGTAAATATCCAGACATAAAACTATGGGTAGTTTCTGAAGATAAAAATTAGCCTGGCCTTAGTCTTCTTCCTAGCACACTAAATGCCAGAAGACAATTTGGCAGCATCTATAGAGTTTGACGAAGAAAAGGATATGCACCAAGAATATTACGTATATATTCCAGTTAGCATTCACATACACAGGGAAGAGAATGATATCACTGGATATGCAAAAGAGACAAAATATATTATCTGTAAACTGATTCTATAAACTCTCCTTGCACATTTTTTAAGACATACTGCAGACTGAGTAATAAAACACAATTAAGGACTCTGAACAAGATGGTTACCATATAGAAGGACTAGCAATAAGCAGTGATAACAATTAAAGAAGAGATAAGTCTAGTTGTCACTATTATGACTCTAAAACTGAAATAAAGCCTGAAATCCGTTCAGCACACAGAACATTTATAATGTTTAAAAGAATGTCACAATAACAATCCGGGTCCCAAGACTTCAAAGAATTATTGACAAGACTGGGAAATACACAAAATGGAATGTGGAGGAGAAAAATAAAGTGCTGAACTCATGTGTTATAGAAGACCTAAGTATTTTTATATTTGTAATGTGTTTATATATTTTATTTTTCTCCAGGTCTATCTATACAGATTTTTTATTTATTATTTCTTTTTTTTTTCTTTTCTTTTTTTTTTTTTTGAGATGGAGTCTCACTTTGTCACCCAGGCTGGAATGCAGTGGCATGATCTTGGCTCACTGCAACATCTGCCTCCCTGGGTCAAGCAATTCTCCTGTCTCATCCTCCAAAGTGGCTGGGATTATAAGTGTGTGCCACCATGCCTGACTAATTTTTATATTTTTAGTAGAGACAGAGTCTCATCATGTTGGCCAGGCTGGTCTCAAACTTTTGACTTTAAGTGATCTGCCTGCCTCAGCCTCCCAAAGTGCTGGGATTACAGGCATGAGCCACCGTGCCTGACTCCTGTATTTTTAATTTTTTGAACACAAGTTAGTACGTACTTGGCTAATAAAGAAACAGTGGAAGGTGAAAAACACAATAACTTACATGAAATAAAACACCCAAAGGTGAATTTGGTCTGAAAATTTGAAAATCTACCGATATTAGACTACCTTATAGTCTCTAAGGAGCCATTTTTGTTTGGTTTTTGGTTTTGTGTCTTTGGGAAAATGGCACAGAGGGAAGTTGGGGGTCTGTGGGGAATTCCAAGGTGGCTACTGTTCTGGCCATGGTGTGATTTCACTGTTTCACATTTTCTAGGGTAAAGGAGGGAAGAAGAGAAGTCTCAAGAGATGGATTTAAGGTTCTCCATGGTTTTGCAAAGCTCCGAGAGTGTGATGACCTTTATGTGACCCAAGAATGCTCCCACGGAATACAGGATTCCAAAAAAAAAAAAAGAGGATTCATTTATAGTAGAGAAGTGGGGTCTCCCTACTCCCCATTTTCTATGGAGCAAAGGAGTATATGTGCGACCTCAGTATTATTAGTCTATCTTTCTTGGCCTCTGCCTCCTTGCCTGGAAAGTGCAGATAATAATCTTATCTCAAATGTCCTTTAGAAGATTTAATTGAATCATGCACACAAAGCATCTAACATAGCAAGAGAAATGGTAGGTGCTTAACTGATGCTTCACCTTTACTTTCACAGCACTGTGAGATTTCTGTCAATGTAAATCTTGAGGGAAAGATGAGGGATCAATTGCCAATGGGATGGTTATTTGGAGGTTCCTGGTGTGTCTCTGAAAAGAAGGGGAGGGGGCCACAAAGGAGAGAAAGAATAATGCTACGGGAGGGATGCTAGGATCTGACTTCTGTGCATTGCCCAACAACCATGTAGTTGGTCGATTTTCCCACCCTTGCACAATCTCTTGGCACAACAATTCCACATTGTTTAGGAAATATGTTGGGAGAAAAATCCTTCCTCACTTACATTTGTAATGTGAAGGGCTAGTGCTCTTGGTTTTAATAACTATAAAACATATCTTTCTTTCTTTAGGAAAGAAAGATTGCTCTCAGTTATCCATTTTGAACACAGAATGGTGAGCAAATCAGGCTATTTATGGATACCTCTTCATTTGGTTGCATAAGATGAATGCTTCTTGGGAAGGCTGTACTTCCCTAATTCAGGTTCTTGTAGTCTAGAAAGGGAAATTCTCTTGATGAATCATTGACCAAGGCCAAGGATTGGCCAATTTTGATTTTTCAAAACCCAGTCTCTGGTATCATATTCTTTAGGAAGTCTTCCTGGATCCCCCAATATGCTGGGTTATTTAATATCAACTCAGCATTATCCTCTCCTTCCTTTTATGTTCTTCCCTGCATGAGAGAAGCTAGCCTTGGACCACATTTTCTAGATTTTTGCCAGGAGGGTTCAGGGTTGGATTCTTCTAAGAAGAAGTGTTGGTGTGGTATTTTGAAGGCAAAAGAGAAGAAGTTCTTATTCTCAGCAGCAGCCATCAGGGAGTAGGTGTCAATAGATGCAGAAAGTTTCCATTAGTTTCCTTCCGTGCATCTTCTTGAGAATTTTCCAGTTCTGCACAGCTTCCTGGATTCTAGCTTTTCCAGATTTCCTGACCAACGTGACTCCAATTCATCCCACAGTTGTTTAAGCTTTTAATTTCCTGTATTAAGTTCCTTTCTGCCTCAACTATGCACGGTGTCCTGTCTTCCTATCTAGACTTTGAAACTCCAGATTGAGTTAAACGTTCTGTTCTTAACATTATTTTAGCATCTTTTTCTTGTTATTGCTTAAATCCATAGCTTGCATCCATAGGCTGTGGAGTAAAGCAGAAACTTTCACAGTTTCTTCAGCTGCCAAGGGTTGTCAAAGGCTCTTAAAAATTTGGCCAGGTGCAGTGGCTCGTGCCTGTAATCCCAGCACTTTGGGAGGCTGAGGCAAGCAGATAACGAGGTCAGGAGATCGAGACCATCCTGGCTAACACGGAGAAACCCCGTCTCTGCTAAAAATGCAAAAAATCAGCCGAGTGTGGTGGCAGGCATCTGTAGTTCCAGCTACTCGGGAGGCTGTGGCAGAAGAATGGCGTGAACTTGGGAAGCAGAGCTTGCAGTGAGCCGAGATTGGGCCGCTGCACTCCAGCCTGGGCGACAGAGCGAGACTCCATCTCAAAAAAAAAAAAAAAAAAAAAAAGAAAAGAAAAAAATTGAAAAAGCCCTTACAGCAAACCAAGAACCTGTGCAGCTGACACATATTGGGCACTTTCAGGAACACTAGCAGCATGAACACAGTGACTGAAGATTGAAACTAAGGAAACTAATAGTAGTAAAGTCAGGGACTCTGATGAGTCATTTCAGTATCACAAGGTTAACCACTCCAATGTATTGTGACTCCTGGAGTCACTGGCTTTTTTACTATGCTTAAGATGTAACAAACTTATCTACCAGTTGAAAACCAGTTACATTTCTCCACTGCCTGCCACATAACATCAATCACTATTATAAAGAAGGATGGAAGGAATTTAGTAAAAGGTGGTCCCCAGACTGTTAGAACTGCAGAGTATATGCTCCTCCTTCTTTTAGTCATTCTTGCAATTGTACACCACTTCATCTTGGAGATCCGGAAAAGAAAATAGGATGTGTAAATCATCTCTTGACAAAATAGCAAACACATTGTAAATCAGAGGTTGGCCATTGTCTTTATCTTTTTTTCTTTCTTTCTTTCTTTCTTTCTTTCTTTCTTTCTTTCTTTCTTTCTTTCTTTCTTTCTTTCTCTCTTTCTTTCTTCTTTCTTTCTTTCTTTCTTTCTTTCTTTCTTTCTTTCTTTCTTTCTTTCTTTCTTTCCTTCCTTTCTTTCTTTCTTCCCCTTCCTTCCTTCCTTCCTTCCCTTCCCTTTCCTTCCTTCCTTTCTTTCATTCTTTCTTTCCTTCTTTTTTGATAAAGACAGAAATAGTAAATATTTTCATCTTTACTGGATACTGAGCCACTGTCCTTCCTGCTCCACTCTGCCATTATAGAGAAAACAGTCATAGATAATATGTAAATGAATGAATGAGGCTGTATTCCAATAAAACTTTATTGACAAAAACAATGGATGGGTCAGAGTGACATTTGGCCCATGGGCTGTAGTTCCTCATCCTCTGTCCCAAAGTAGATCAACTTGGCAAAGCTATTTTCTTCTAATCTGAGGAATACTCTGCCCTCATTTATTTTTGTTCCTTGGCCTTAGAAGATAGTCCTGATAAAGGGGACAGATGATGTGAAAACTAAAAAAAAAAAAAAAAAAAAAAAACTATTAGGCAAAAGTGTACAGATGGAGGAGAAAGTTAATATTTATTCAACTACTGCTGTACTTCTAACAGATTTTACAATGACTAGCTTAAGACAGACAGACCCTCTCCTTCCTCCTGCATGATGGTTCAAAAAGCAGAGGTTGGCCAGCATAGACACAGCATATCCTTAACTATAAAAACCTGCTTAAGAGAAGCACTCACATAGATTCTGCCCCCAAAGCACTCTTCTCTATGAAGCTCTTCTCATGGTGGTGGTTTGGTTGTGTATGAGGTGACCATTGCAGAGTGAAGTGAAGAATAAGCAATAATGCAAACAGTGATGACAAAGAGAAGTGAAAATGCAGCAAAGCATAAACTTGCATCTGACATTTTCTACTACATTTCATCTCTCTGCAAATACACTTTGTATGGAGCACTGTGGGGGGATAAAGAGATGTAGAGTGGCTCTTTCAGAGCCTGGTATAGATTTGATGCTCAATAAATGTGAATGAAGAATGGAAGAATGAATAAATTCATGCATAAATGGATAGATGGATGGGTGGACTGATAAGGAAGACATGTTCAGGATAGCTGGATTACAATCTGGTGTCTGCCACAAAACTGTCTATGCAACCCTAAGCAAATCATGTCACTTCCATGGGCTTAAATTTCTTTGGGGGATTGAGGTGTTTAGGCTGAATGTTTTCTAAGATCCCTTTAATCTCTGAGTTTTAAATTCGGTATCTTAATTGGTAGTGGGCAAGAGAAGGGACTCTCCCTCCTACCAGTCTTCACTGTGCCTGACTCCACCCTCTGGTGCAGTGTTCAAACAGGTGTATTACAAGATCCTCCTTGCAGCGATGCCTATCTCCACCCAGAATTACAACTCTGACTCTATTCTCACCACCTGTTCTCTTTAATGTGGATGAAGACCTCCTGCTTCTGGTTATTCAGGATTCTCGTAAGCTCCTCTTTCACAAAGGCTGAGCATCTGAGCACAAGAACCTAACTTGAGGAGTGTGCACAGCCTGCCTGATTGGAACCACTCTCCTGCAGAACCAGTGGTCCATTCCATCCCTTTGTACATGGATTGTAGGTTCCTTCTCCTCTACTCCAGCTTTCACTCCCTCTCACGGCTTTTCTCTTGTCTTGAAGATAATTTTAAAAAATCTTATTACTAGTACAAAACACATTTTTTGTAGAAAAAATAGAAAGTCAAACAAAAATTAGGTATATTTATTTGTAAAATGATAATCCAATGCAATTTACTATCAACTCATTGCTGTATATCCTTTTGGATATTTTTTCATGCATACTGTAACCTGATTTTTTTCTTTTCTTTATTTTCCTCCTCCCTCCTTCCTTCCTTCCCTTCCCTTCCCTTTCCTTCCTTCCTGCCTTTCTTCTTTCCCTCCCTCCCTCCCTCTCTCCCTCCCTCCCTCCTTCCTTCCTTCCTTCCTTCTTCCTTCCTTTCAGTTTTAAGTTCAATAGTCTTAAATATACCCACACCATTGTGCAACCAATTTCCAGAACTCTTTTTATCTTGCAAAACTGAAACTCTGTGCTTATTATGTGATAACTCCCTATTTCCTCCTCCTCCCAGGCCCTGGCAACCGCCATTCTACTTTCTGTCTCTATGAATTTGACTACTCTAGGTGTCTTATATACTTAGATTCATACAGCACTTGTTTTTTGTAACTGCCTTATTTCACTTTTGCATAATATCCTCAGTGTTCATCCACGTTGTAGTTCATCCACGTTGTAGTTCATGTCAGAGTATTCCTCCTTTTTAAGGCAGAATAATATTCCATTGTATTATAAACGGGAATAACACAGAGATTTTGCAGGCTTGGTTCCAGACCATCTGAATAAAGCAGATATCACAATAAATTATCACACATTTTTTTTTTAGTTTTCTAGTGTGTATAAAAGTTATGTTTACACTGTACTGTGGTTTAAGTGTGCAATAACATGTGATATGGTTTGGCTGTGTCCCCACCCAAATCTCAACTTGAATTGTATCTCTTATAATTCCCATGTATCATCAGAGGGACCCAGGAGGAGGTAATTGAATCATGGGGGCCAGCCTTTCCTGTGCTATTCTCATGATAGTTAATAAGTCTCACAAGATCTGATGGGTTTATCAGGGATTTCTGTTTTTGCTTCTTCCTCATTTTCTTTTGCTGCCACCATGTGAGAAGTGCCTTTTACCTCCCACCGTGATTCTGAGGCCTCCCCAGCCATGCAGAACTGTAAGTCCAATTAAACCTCTTTTTCTTCCCAGTCTTGGGTGTGTCTTTATCAGCAGCATAAATAAGGACTAATACAACATGTTTATAAAATAACAATGTACATACATTAATTAAAAATTGTTTATTGCTAAAAAATGCTAAAGATCATCTGATCCTTCCAACAGTTACTAATATAATGTTTTTTCTGGTGGAGGGTCTTGCCTCAGTGCTGATGGTTGCTGACTTATCAGAGTGGTGGGTTCTAAAGGTTGGGGTGGCTGTGGCAATTTCTTAAAATAAGGCAACAGTGAAGTTCACTGCAATTGATTCTTCCTTTCAGGAAAGATTTATCTGTAGAAAGCTGTTTGATGGCATTTTCCTGACAGTAGAATTTCTTTTATATATTTGGAGTCAATCTTCTCAAACCCTGCTGCTGCTTTATTAACTAAGCTTATGTAACATTTTAAATCCTTTGTTATTTTAACAATTTTTGTAGTATCTTCACCAGGAGTTGATTCCTTCTCAAGAAACCCCTTTCTTTGCTCATCCATAAGAAGCAAGTTTTCATCTATCAAAGTTTTATCATAAGATTATAGTCACATTCTTTAGGCTCCAATTCAAATTCTAGTTCTCCTGCTACTTTCATCACGTGTAGAGGTCTTGAGCCCCTCAAAGTCATCCATGAGAGTTGGAAACCTCTTTCAAACTCCTGTTAATGTGGATATTTTGACTTTGTTACATAAATCACAAACGTTCTTAATAGCACCTACAATGGTGAAAACTTTCCAGAGGTTTTCAATTTACTTGGCCCAAATCTATTAGATGAATCATTATCAATGGCAGCTATAGCCTTATGAAATGTGTGTTTTAAATAATCAGACTTGAAAGTTGAAATTATTCTTTGAGCCATAAGCTGCAAAGTGGATGTTATGTTAATAGGTATGAAAACAATATTAATTTCCTTGTACATCTTCATCAGAGCTCCTGGGTGACTAGGTGCATTGTCAATGAGCAGTAATATTTTGAAATAAATCTTTTTTTTCTGAGCAGTAGGTCTCAACAGTGGGCTTAAAATATTCAGTAAACCACACTGTAAACCGATGAGCTGTCATTTAATCTTTGTTGTTCTATTTATAGAACACAGGTAGAGTATATATAGTATAATTTTTAAGAGCCCTAGGATTTTTGAAGTGGTTTATGAGCATTGGCTGCTACTTAAAGTCATGAGTTGCATTAACCTCTAACAAGAGTGTAGACCTGTTTTTCAAAGCTCTGAAACTCAGCAGTGATGTCTCTTTAGCTATAAAAGTCCTAGACGACATCTTCTTGCAATATAAGGTTGTTTGGTATACATTAAAAATCTGTTGTTTAACGGAGCTACCTTCATCAATTATCTTAGCTAGATCTTCTGGATAACTTGCCATAGCTTCTATATCAGCACTGTGGCTTCATATTGTACTTTTCTGTTGTGGAGATGGCTTTTTTTCTTAAACTTCATTAATCAAACTCTGCTAGCTCCAAACTTTTCTTCTGCAGCTTCCCCACCTCCCTCAGCCCTCATAGAATTGAAAAACATCTTCAGTCCTAGGGCTTTGCTCTGGATTAGGCTTTGACTAGAGAGAATGTTGTGGCTAGTTTGATTTTCTATTCAGACCATTGAAACTTTCTTCATATCAGCAATAAGATTGTTTTGCTTTCTTATCGCTCATGTGTTCACTGGAGTGGCACTTTTAAAATTTCTTTCAAAAGTTATTCCTATGCGTTCATAATTTGGCTGTTTGGCACAATAGGCCTAGCTTTTGGCCCATTTCAGCTTTTGACATGCCCTCCTCACTAAGCTTAATCATTTCTAGCCTTTGATTTAAAGTGAGAGACATGTAACTCTTCCTTTCATATGAACTTTTTGCAGACATTGTAGGGTTACTAATTGGCCTAATTTCAATGCTATGTGTCTCAGAAAATAGGGCCATCTGAGGAGAGGGGAAAAACGAAGGGAGTGTTTGGTTAGTAGAGCAGCCAGAATACACACAATGTGGATCCATTAAGTTTGCCATCTTACGTGGGTGAGGTTCATTGCACCTCAAAACAATTACAGTGGTAATGCCCAAGGTGACTGATCACAGATCACTATAATTATAATTAAGAACTTTGAAATATTGTGAGAGTTATTAAAATGTGACAGGACATGAAACAAGCATATGCTATCAGAAAAAAATGGTGCTAATAGATTTGCTCAACTCAGAGTTGCCACAACCCCTGATTTGTAAAAAATGGAGTATCTGAGAAGCAAAATAAAGCAATGTGCAATAAAGTGAGCTGTGCCATATCACATTTTGTTTTTCCATTCTTCCATCAATGGGCACTGGGTTTGCTTTTGTGTTTTAGCTGTTGTGAATAATGCTACTATAAACACGGGTGTACAAATATCTCCTTGAGATTCTGCTTTCTGTTCTTTTGAACATATACAAAGAAGTGAAATTACCAGATCATATGGATTTTCTTTTTTAACATTTCTGAGAAACCATCATGCTGTTTTCTGCAGCGGCTACACCATTTTACATTCCTATCAACAGTCCCCATTTCTCCACATCCTCACCAACACTTGCTCTTTTCTGTATGTTCTCGTTTTATCATAACCATCCTAATGGGGTGAGCTGGTACTCCTTTTTGTGAGCTAGAAAAAGTGGGATCGCACAAGTTGGGAACTTGCATTTTCCCCTTCAATAACATACCGTGTACATGTTTTTGAATCCATACATATTCATTTCGAGTACCGTTTCTAGTGGCTGCAGAGCTTTCTGTTCCATCCCTTGCTTAATGCAAGACCCCGTGCAACTTGCTCAACCTCTCCCTGCCTCAGTTTCTGCAGTTCTAAAAGAGGGCAATAAATACCTTAAGAGAATGTTGTGAGGTGCAATGGAGTGACACATGAAAAGAACGTACCATGATTACCGGCACATTGGAGACATTCATTTAATATTGGTAATTATTGTCAATAGTTTTACTATTTGTGCCCTGCATTTGTAGATCCACAGTATTCCTCATTGACCTTGAGGTTGTTCCTGAGTTTTCAATTCAAAAAAACACATGAAAACTAGCTACATAATTGCAGTAATTTCCTTTTAAAAGCCACTTGGACAGGCCCCCTTTCTCAGAGATGAGTTTCTGAAGCAGAGAACTCCACCCTATCTGAGACCTGGACTCTGCCCTTGGCTTCCTTAGAACAGCTTTCTGTCATGTAGAGCAGGGGCCACCCCAGAACACACAGCTCTGGCCTTGGTTTTTAAAGAAGCCCTCTCATAATTCATGACCAGGCTATCTCACCTGCCGATGTGTGGACCTGAAGCTGTTCTTGGGGCCCGGCACAATGATGCCTGTCTTGGAGAAAGTGCAGTCAAATGTTTGCTGGAGTAATGCAGCATTTCCTACACCGGTCCCCTGATTGCCATCGTGGGGGCTTATCTTTACCCATAAAAGGAAGCATGAGCACATATTAAGTTGTTAACACCAGAAAAATATAAAGGCTAGAATAGAATGCCTGGGAGACTTCCTGGTGTTCTGCTATATATTGTATCTGAGGGTAGAAAGGAGATTGCACTGGAAAAGGAGAGTGGGGGGCTTTCTGAGCATGGTGGGTCTGTAAGGCCAGGTTTACTTAGCAGGTAGCGCATCAGCCTTCTCATTAAACCGAGAGTTTCTTGAGGGATCAGAAGGCCTTCTGTGCAGTGATCTCTTTGCCTCTCATATTTGACTGGCCCATCAAGGGACAGAAACTGCTAATAGCCAGGAAAGGTCCCCATCCAAAGCATATCTGTGACAGAAACGCACGTCAGAGGAACCTTGTTCTCTAAAATGAAGCTGAGTGCTGTGTGGGCCAGCCAGCCAGATGGCACTGGATTGAAATTCTGCCTCTGACAGTAAATTTTTAATATAGACTCTCTGAACTCTGCAGTCTCCTTGTCTATAAACTAGAGATGAGGTCACCTAAAATACAGGCTTTGTGTAAAGATTAAATGAGATTATAGGTGCAACATTCCAGGGGTATAGTTTGCTATATAAGATAAAGAGTGGCCACACTGCATTCGTAAATTCCCAGTCAAATGCATACAAACTGGGTGTGTTTGAAATCTGGGCACTTGCACCATGGACAAATGCCTGATTTTTATTACTTGACTTTTTAAAATATTGAAGTTAGGACTTCTAAAAGTCCAAAGACTCCAAGTTGGAGAGTATAAAAGTAGACTAGTATCAAAATACACAAAGTCCACAATGAAAGAACTCATCCTAGTATAAACTTAAGGACACTTTATGATGTGGTTTGGCTCTGTGTCCCCAACAAAATCTCATCTTGAATTGTAATATCCTCACATGTCAAAGGCAGGACCAGGTGGAGATAACTGAACGACGGGGGCACATCTTCCCCCATGCTGTTCTCATGATAGTGAGCTAGTTCTCTTGAGATCTGATGGTTTAAAAGGAGCTTCCCCCTTCACTGTGCACTCATTCTCTCTCCTACCACCCTGTGAAAAGGTGCCTTCAGCCATGATTGTAAGTTTCCTGAGGCCTCCCCAGCCCTGCAGAACTGCGAGTCAATTAAACCTCTTTCCTTTATAATTTACCCAGTCTCAGGCAGTTCTCATAGCAGCGTAAGAACGAACTAATAAACCATCATTTTTCCCCTATGGGGTGTCAATAGCATAAAAAAAGAAACTAGTTCATTTACACATTCATTTATTCCACCAGCAATTCTGAGTGTTTACTGTGTGCCAGGGGAGCTGTACCAGGCATTGAGGATCCCAATTGAAGGAGACTCAGTTCCTACCTTCCTGGTGAGCCTACTCTAGTGGAGGAGAAAGATGCCTGAATCAACCATCTCATGTCATCAATATGTACAATAATAGAGGTGCACCCAGTGGTAGCAGACAATAGAATTTTAGAATTGAGAGGAAGCTTTGAAGCTGATCAGTCCAAACCTTTCTGATGTGTGGAGTCTAGCTATAGGCATCCAGCTTTGGCCCCATCATCTACAATCTAATGGAGCTCACAGCCCATCTCCATTCCCAGCCCTTGGCAGCCTTTGGACAGCTCTGACTGTTTGAAAGTTTTTTCTTATGTTGAGCCAGTATTTGTCTCTTGGAAACTGCTACACAGCCCATGGAGTTGGTCCCATTTTTCTTCTGCATGACAATCCTTCAGATATTAAAACTCAGCTTTCAGGTGGCAGGCAAGCAGGGATGATCTCAGCCTCACATTGCACAAGGAAACAGTGGGGGCTCCTGGGACGCATCCTTCAAGACTTCAAGAAGGGACTCTATTTGACGTTGAAGGTATGATGAGACTGCCTAAGTTTGGATTTATTTTGATTTTAACTACTTGTCTTGCCAATTTTACTGTAATTTACAAAGCACATTAGCATTCATTAATTTGCAATGCCCACATATCATACTGGTAAGATGGTCCAGAATTATTTATTATATCCTTTTTGTTCACAAATAAAACAAGAGCAGGAGAGGTATTGTGCTTACTTTATACAGCTAACATCTGCTAGATCTGGGACCAAATCTTGAGGCCCTGGGTGTAGAGAAAATGCCACCCTGGTGTCTTCTCCCTTCTGAATGTAGTTGACCTACATTCAGTCAGTTCTTTCCATATTCAACTTTAAAGTCTTCCCTGAAATTTGTCTTCTTAAATATTGACTACATTGTATCACTCCCTCTATTAAAAAATCCTCCGTAATTTCTTTTAAATTGCAGGATAGACCTGCAAGTCCTTAGAATGACATTCAATGCTCTCAATGCTGCCTGCCTTCCAGGAGTTTCAGGGATAGTAGGGTGGACAGATGAATTACAAAGGAGCACACACTACAGAGATAATTCAGAGATAATTACATGCACAAGTGTTTTGAGAATAGCAGAGGAGGGTGAAGATCAGAGGATGCTTCCAACCATTGGTGATACCTGAGATGGACTTTAAGGATGTGCATGCCACCAGAGGGTCAACAGGAGTCAAGATGACCTGGAGAAGAGAAGAAGCTTGGAGGCTCTGTATGCAGAAAACTCTAAGTAATTCTGTGTTGCTGGAGCCCTAGGTACCAGAAGGGGCTTGGAGAAACATGAGACTGCACGGAAGCTCGGGCCAGCTTACTGCACTGTAAGCTGTTAAATGAAGAGGTTTGGACTTTATCCTGTATGCTGGGATGAACCAAATAGGATTTGAAGCAGGCCAGTGCCTACTGCATTTGGAATTTGCACTGGAGAGCTAGCACTTTCCTATCCCTGGGGGAAGAATGGACTGGAGTTGGAGGTGGGGGCAAGCAGAGGTGGGTGGGAGGGGAGTCAGTCTAGTTGCAGGTGATATAAGGTAACATTTCACCGTGATTCAAGTGAGAAATCAAGAAGAGTGACAGTAATCACAAGAAGAGGAAGGATTTTCATATATCCCTAGAAAAGGAAACTAGAGAAACTAATGAGACAAGTGAGTGGTTGTGGGAGATAAAGGAGAGGGAGAAGTCACACTGCTGTCATATATTTAGGAACTTCCAGATGGGGCAGAAGACACTGACTTGCTCATTGTCATTGTCATACCTAGACTAAGGTTTGCAGAAAGGAGATGTGCAGAACCTATTTGCAGAAAAATTAATTTATTTAAGCTGATTGAATAAGAAAGACCTCTCTCACCTTTATGCGTGGTGGCCAAGACTGCTGGCTAACCACTTACACTCGCTCCTTCTTTTTCCACTCCACTGGACTTTATTTCCTGGTAGTTAGGTGAGATTGTGTAATGGAGATCTACAAGAGAAGTAATATTTTCACTTTTAGGCCTCGTTCATACACACTCCTCCATGTTTTACCTTTCCTCCAGCCTGATGTGGAGTAACAGGGTGCAGCACTAAGAGAGAAGGAGACTGGTTCCTGGATTGCTTTGTGGATGAGAGCTGGCCACCTCCGGAACAGCCAGTTTAGACATTACACGAGCAGGGAATCAACTTCTATTGTGTTTGAACCACTATGCATAGATTTGTTTGTTACAGCAGTTAGCCTAGCCTAACTAATACACCTCTTCAGTTTCCTGTCTCACCTGGAAAGAGGGTGCTGCTTTAACTATTAGAGTGAGTCACTGTGCGTAGCAGATTGTATACATTGCCTCACTTAATCTTAAATGTGTTCTGCAGTTTTTCAGCACTGTTTTGCAGAAGAACAAAAAACCCTGAAGCTTGTTAGTTTGCTTAAAGTTACACCATGTTTCCCTACACACAGTGCATGAGATGTGTAATGTAAACAGTTTCTTCAGAGATTCTTTCTGTCTACTTCCCCTCTCATACTTAGAAAGTAATATAATCATCAAGAAAAAAATAGAAGGTGGAAGAGGAAGAGAAGAAGAAAGAAAAATTAGCTATCGAACTTTTCATTGGTTCAGGTCTAATTTCCATAAATGTCAAGAGAGATTAACTGGCATTTGCATTGGGCTGACTGTATGCATTCACAATGGCTGATGCCATCGCCAGTTAGTGCTTTGGAAAGCATTGCTATACTCCTGTTCCTCCATTCTTACATCGTTTCCACTTTGGGTCTCTGCTCTTTAGCCACACTAACCTCTCAGTTCCTTAAATGTGTTACTCTTCTTCCTGCCCCAGGGATTTTGCAAGTGCTGTTTCCTTTGCTGGGAGTATCATTACCCCTCCATTAGATTGGCTAATTTGTGCTCATCCTTCTGCTTTCTCCTTAAATAGCACTTTCTCAGGGAAGCCCTCCCTGACCCCAAGACTGTGGTATGTCCCCTAATATAACCTCTTATTGCAGTCTGGACTTCCCCTTTGTGGCAGTCATCAGAGTTTTTACTGTGTAATCACTTTTATAATTTAGTGTTTAGGTCTGTTATGTCCAGCTGACTATCAGCTCCACGAGGGCAGGGATGGAATCAGTCTAGTCAGTTGCTCTGTACCTGGAACTTAGCACAGTGACTGCCAAATAGTGTTGACTTCATAAATAGTGAGCAATCATGAAAAAGCAGATTTTCCTTTTGTAGAACAATAAAACTCACACAAAGAAAAGCTACAGTTTCAAATGGCTTTCTGGGAAACATAGTACAAATCTGAAATTCTGAAATGAATCAGGCTACTTGGTAAGTAGATACTGACTTAAATCTAAACCAAGTAAGATGCCATCCTATTTCAAAAGGTGAGAATAAGAGTGCAAAGGACCAGTGCAGCAGATCCCTCCTGATGGTGAGTCAGTGGTGGTGAGTCAGGCACCTCCCACTCACAGCCACCCGTGCACACTCTTGGGGCACTTTCTGTTGGATGTCAACTTGATGGTGACTTGGGAGTCGTAGGCAGTGAGCCCTTGCCCTAAAGGAGGCGGGAAGAGCATTGGAGTCAGAATCTTGTTCTGCTGCTTTCGGGAGCTAAGCAATGATGGGCAACTCTGAGTCTCAGTTCCCTCACTTGTAAAATGAAGAGAATATTATATTTCCACAGCTTACCTGTTAAGTTGTTTGCAAGGCTCAAATGTGCTAATGTCTTTTAATGGGTGGAAGTGCCTTACAGTGAGACTGGAACTTAGCAGCTACTCAAGAAATTGTAACTGACATCTAGTGCTCTCCCAATATTGGGGCTTATTTCAGATGCTTAGGACATGTTTTATTTGAATTCTGTTAATAAGGAAAAGAAGGGAATCCTTTATCTTTTGCTAGTGGATTCAAAAGCTAACGTGATTTCTGGCAAATGGTTGAAACCTGAAGACAGTGATTTGATTCCTTAATTGTGACAGTGTGTGTACCTTCTTCACAAAGTGTAAGGTATTATGCGAAGAGTAGTACCCTAGTGGGGCTACAGCCTGAATGAAATCTCTCTATGAAAGAACTTGTGGGTAGCTTGATCACTGTTAGCAGACAAGATGTTAAAGAGTTTGTCTCCCTAGATTTTGACATTCTTTGAGCACTACTATGCATCAAGTACACCCTGTTAAACACTTTTCACATGCAGTTTTGTTTACTCCTTGCCATATTTCTGTGATGAATTTATTATAATTTCTATATTAAAGATAAGAAAACTCAGATTCAAAGGGACTGAGTAACTTGGCCTTAGTCATAAAGCTAGTAAATAGCAAAGCTGGTATTTGAACCCAAGTCTCTCCTCAGCGAAATACCATGCACTTCAAAATACATTATATTTTATCTCTAGTTAAACACCTTCCATGGAGAGTAAAGGCCAAAATTTAGGTAGGATAATCTAGATGCACTTTATTAATAATAACAATAAGTTAAATAGTCATAGCATTATTGCCTGGCAATTTTTAGGAACAACTAGAGTTTCCTTTAGAATGTTGTACTTTTCTTTTCTTTTTTTTTAAACAGAAGCCTTTACTTGATGGTGTGTGAAACCTCTGAGTAGAGAGGAGTGGACAAATCACTGGACTGGGGGTGGTTTTGACCCTGAGCCTCTACTTAACGTGACTTTGGGGAAATCACACAGATTCTCTGAGCCACATTTCTCCTTATGTGTGAAATGGGGACAATTATGCTGGTTACTTGCCTACATTTGTAGTTTTTGTTTGTTTGTTTGTTTGTTTTTTGTTGTTGTTGTTTGACGGAGTCTCACTCTGTCACCCAGGCTGGAGTGCAGTGGTGTGATCTTGGCTCATTGCAACCTCTGCCTCCTGGGTTCAAACGATTCTCCTGCCTCAGCCTCTTGAGTAGCTGGGATTACAGGTGCACACCACCATGCCCGGCTAATTTTTGTATTTTTAATAGAGATGGGGTTTCACCATGTTGGTCAGGCCCAAACTCCTGACCTTGTGATCTGCCTGGCTTGGCCTCACAAAGTGCAAGGATTACAGGCGTGAGCCACCATGCCCAGCCCATTGATGGATTTTGAGAGGCTGTATCAAGATAATTGTACAGTGTTATGCAAAAGATGCCATACTGTGTCAAGGCAGAGTTACAACATAGCTTCCACTTTGTTGAATCCTATAGATCTTCTTGGCATTCTATTCCTGATAAAAATTTATGGTTGATCAGCTCTAACAACAAAAGCTCTCTTCCTATGGCTTACAGGTATCCTGAAGTATTTCAATTTTTGCATACATGGATGTTTTCTAATTGAGGGAGGTGAAATTCTACTTTGAGGTCGTGGACTTAAGGCACCACTACAATGAAATTCATTTGCTTTCATTGACGTTAGGTGAATCCTTCATTTGTGGACAGCTGTGTTACACAAACTCAATCTGTGACTGCAGTCCATGGCCTTATCTCGTGAGTCTTGTCACTGTCAGAATCAAACTCAAATACTGCAGGGACTAAGGATTTCAAAGAAGTGGTCATTTCTGAGATCACAGAAGCCTGCTCTGGGGGGTTTCTGTCACTGGCCAGAGACCCTCGATGGAATTACAGCCCTTTAGTTCATTCTTGCTTTTGTTTATTTTCTGGAAGCACCGTACTCAGCTTTCTTTGCCTTATCTGAAGAGACAGAGCCAGCCATGAGGTCTAGTCAATTGCATTTCTACAATTTTATTAGAATGGCTGGGTAGATTAGCTTTATTAAACATGAAATGAATGTCTTGGGTATTCATCAGAGTCTCCCACAGATCCTGGGGTAATTTAGTTTCTTGGGTTTTTTTTTATTTTTTTTATTTTTTATTTATTTATTTTTAGAAGTGTCTGTGGAAAGAGACTAGAACAAGGAGCCAAAGAAACCAGAAGACTTGGGTTGCTGGATTACAATTTTGTAACTTTTGTAAGTCACCTTGAGCATAGCCAGAAGCCTTATGATATTGGTTAGCCATAAGAGCAAAGTGCCATGGAGCTCAGTGGGGTGGCAAGGGAGTGGCAGGAGAAGATACTGTAGAGTTACATTTGAGTGAGATTTAAATTATTAACTTGATTTCTTCGGGCAGCCAGGGAGAGGAGCATTCTTCACAGAGGAAGCTGATTAAACAAATCAATGCAAAATGAAAGTCAATGATTGGTCTCAGAAGTGGGGCATCTTTGGCTGTGGTGGGAAAGAAAGATATACCAGCGGAGTTTGGAGAGGTAGGATTTTGGGAGCAGCTCATGAAAAGCTTATAAAACGAAGCTTATGTGGTTACACTGGATACTGGACAATTCCCAAATGCTGCTGAGCATAGGGAAGTGGAGAAGGAACACGATTAGAGTATTTTCATTATGCAGCCAATATCCAATAAAACACTTTCAAGGCAACTCAGCGAATACCTTACCAGAAAACCAAAGGGATCATTAGCTCTTCACATTAGCCCTGCATGGTATGTGAACTCCAGTAGCTATTACTTACTTAGCAGATGCAGAAATTGAGACTTGGGGGCTGGGGGTTAAATGGTCAAGGACACTACTCAAATAATGCAGGAGTTAAAAAAATTATATTTTGAGATCATGTTATATATTTCTGTTTGCTAGAATCCTACTGAATCCATGAATTCCTATGAACTTCAGTTGGAGACTAGGTAACATTTGCTATGATACCTTACAAGGGTTCCCATCTCTGGTTTGGAAGTTCTTCCAAGATTCCAAAATGAAAAGAGGCCAACATTGCATCAGTAAAAATCAGAGTCATTAATACTTAGTAGAAATATTTGGCCTCTCTTTTAATTATTTCTTAGACTCATATCACTATTTTCATAGGCTCTAGGAGAGGCTGGAACATGTCGAAAGAATGCTGTGCTGCTAGAAATTTTGTAATTTTTCTACATCAGCTCTGATAAGGTAGGCTTCAACCCCTGCTATTAATGCCACAGTGGAAGCTCAAGAGGTTCTGGGAGAACACAAGAAATGTGTCTTCACAAATACTTTCAGAGAAGATTATATATTTATACAGATTTGGCAGATAAACTCAAAGAATCCACTTGACTTGACTAAGTTTCCTGAGGGTTACAATGTTGCATCTCAGAAAATGCAAGAGCAGAACTATGAAAGAACTGGATATTTATTTCTTGAGTTGCCTTCCCAATGATTATAAAAATGAATCCTTGGTTTTGGGCATAGCACTGAGAGTTAGCCAATCTAGGTTGAAACATTCACTCTGAAAGTCATTTGTGTAAATTTTGGGAAGTCACCTGTTCTGAACCTCAGCTTTTATTCCTTTTAAGTGAGTTATAATACCATCTTCACATAAAGGTGCTCTATAAATGCAGTCATACATCTACAGACTGAGCTCAGATGCATAGTAAGTGCTCATTAAAAATTACGTGTATTTGGACTTAGTTTTTTTCCTTCAAGTTCTGGATATTTTAACTGAACTTTTGCTTTTTTTGAGATTCCACTTATAGTAATGCTAATTCTCTTTCAGCTCCTGGATTCCCTTCCAAACATTTGTAACATAGGAAGACTTTCCCAATCTCCGAGGACTTTCTGTCTTCCCTCTTTCCATCTGAGATGCCTTTTCACCAGACTCTGGAACTTCTGCATTCAGGGTCGTGTCTGAAGCCAAAGTCAGGTATTAAAAACATTCAGATATAAAAGTAAAGATCTCATTGAGACTAAGAGGAAGATCACCTTTTGAGAGTCCCCCAAAAGTTCACTTTATGTCCTACGATATAAATGCCATTCTAAAACATAAAAAATTATACTTGTTTACACTGTTGGTGGGAGTGTAAATTAGTTCAACCCTTGTGGAACACAGTATGGCAATTCCTCAAAGACCTACAGGCAGATATACCATTTGACCCAGAAATCCCATTACTGAGTATATACCCAAAGGACTATAATTGTTCTGTTATAAAGATACGTGCATGCATATGTTTATTGCAGCACTATTTACAATAGCAAAGGCATGAAATCAACCTAAATGCCTATCAGTGATAGACTGGATAAAGAAAATGTGGTACATACACACCATGGAATACTATGCATCCATAAAAAGAATGATATCACGTCCTTTGCAGGGACATGGATGGAGCTGGAAGCCATTATTCTCAGCAACCTAATGAAGGAAGAGAAGAAGACCAATTATTGCGTGTTCTCACTTGTAAGTGGGAGCTGAATAATGAGAACACATGGACACATGGAGGGGAACAACACACACTGGCCCTGTCAGAGTGTGGGTGTGGAGGAGGGAGAGCATCAGGAAGAATAGCTAATGGATGCTAGTCTTAATACCTAGGTGATGGGATGATCTGTACAGCAAACCACCATGGCAAATGTTTACTTATGCAACAAACCTGCACATCCTACACACGCACCCCTGAACTTAAAAAAGATAAAATAAAATAATAAAAATGTGCTCAATTAAAAATGAAAGTTAGAACTTATTTGTAAAGAGGGTTTTTTAAAGTTGACATAAAATAAGCCATTATCCATTTATTGCAAAGGAACTGAGTTTACAGCAAAACATAAGTCAAGTTCTAGAATACTACGGGTTATTTTTTCAAAATGTGATGATGTGCTCTCCTCATCATCAGGTTTTGATGTGGGAAATTTAGTATCTTCTGCTATTGAAATTAACATTCACTTCTTTTTCGCTTATCCACAGCCATACCCACCCTCATGCTCTGTGTTGCTCAGAAATTCCAAGAAGTTTCCTGTTGCCACACTGACAGGAACAGGCTGGAATGTACTGTGGCTGATAACTGCAATGAGGTGCATAGGCCACCAAGGCAGGCAGGCCCAGGAACAAGTCCTAGCTCCCTTCCTTTCTGCTCAAAGACTTTGTACAAGTTATTTAGCCTTGGTCATAGGTCAGGTTTCCTGGAGAAGAGAGCCCAGGACTCTGAAGTTTATGTGGAGGAAGCTACTTGAGGAGTAGACTCAGGAACAACTCTCGAGGCAGGGAAGCAGGGATTAGGCACAGGGAGAAGTGGGACCATGATGCAATTCAGTGGAGGCCCCCAGAAATCCCCACAGGGAATCCTGCCGCTGGGTTGGCCCTTCAGAATTGTCCCAGTTGAAGGCCGGGCATGGTGGCTCACACCTGTCATCCCAGCACTTTGGGAGGCCGAGGCGGGATGATCACTTGAGGTCAGGAGTTCAAGACCAGCCTGGCCAACATGGTGAAACCCCATCTCCACTAAAAACACAAAACTTAGCTGGGCGTGGTGGTGGGCACCTGTCATCCCAGCTACTGGGGAGGCTGAGGTAGGAGAATCACTTGAGTCCAGGAGGAGGAGGTTGCAATGAGCCAAGATCACACCACTGCACTCCCTCCTGGGTGACAGAGTGAGACTTTGTCTTAAAAAAAGAAAAAAAGTAAAAAAAGAATTTGTCCCAGTTGAGAAGTGGCAGGGCTCTTGTGTATCCATTTTGACCAGTCACGAATGAAAGCTGCCTTCTGAGGAGGAGTAAAAATTGGAGTGAGGAAGTTCTACTTGGCTGAGTCTACAGGCAGCAGCCAGAGATTTTGGTAGCAGGTGAAATGAGTGCCTCCATCTGGGGGCCCCCTGGGGCAGCCTACTACACCTTCCCCTAAATGAAGAGTGAGTCACAGCCTCAGGGAGGCTTAATTATTCTACCTAAAATTTCAGTGCCTTAATCTCATACCCCTTCTACCCTGCCTTATTTTTATCCATGGTATTTTCAGTAGTAATTTATTATAGTAATATGGACTCACCTACTTTATAGTGATTTCTCTATTATGTTTCTGGAACTGCTCTAGAACCCTGTCCAAACTACTTGAGGACAGAGATTTGTTTTGCTCATAACTTTGCCTAGTTTCTAGAACAGGGCTTGGCATGGACTAAACTGTTTATAAATATATTTTTAGTTAAGTGCAATAATGAAATTAATAAATATAATACAGATTGAGGACTTACTTTATGGGAAGCACTCAAGTTCCAAACACTTTCAGTAACTAATAAAATCTTCACAACTGTCAGGAGACCCTAGTATTAATTATCTCCATTTTACAGATGGAGAAACTGAGGCACAGAAAGTTTAATTATCTGGCTAAGACCTTGCAGCTAAGAAGTACTGTATTAAGGATCAGAGCCAGGCAAGTGGATTCCTACTCCAAACTGCTAAGTCCTACTCCCTTTCTTAGCAGGTCCTCACTAAAGGCTAGTCATCCCTTCCCTACCTACATTCCTTTCTTCCTTGTCACCTAGAATCTGTGCATAGTCATCACATATTTGGATGCTCCAGATATCTTGGTCGAATCTTTGCTGTTTTACAGATTCAGTCCAAAGGTGAGAGCTTGGCTCAAACTCCTACCTCCTCTTGCCTTTTTCTCAATACTAGCACCTCAGAACTTGATCGATTCATATAACTTGTTTTTGTTTGTTTCTTTCTTTTTACAAAGCCATTGACAAGTTATGATGCTGTTAGGTTTATGGTGCTGTTTTTCAGGCATCATCTTATTTAATCAGCTCATCTTCCCAGGCATATGTGCAGTGCAAGAATGGCTACCTGAATTTTATAGATGAGGAAACAGAGATTCTAAGAAGCTATTTGGAAGTAAAGTTACTAATTCTAAGTCCCATGCTTGTTCTATTTTTCTCTTTACTTTTCCTTCTTGGGGGCTAGATAATAAGAATTAAGCCTGGAATTTTTCGGCTTTCCAGATTTAGTGAAAGTCACATGGAACATCGGTAAGCATTTCACATTTGCTTTTCCCTATTTGACAAATGAGGAATCTGAGGCACAATGAGGTTACATGATTTCCCCAGATCATAGGGTGATGTCGCTGCAGCTGGGATATTAGTTTCAAAGCTCATGTGCTTTTCACCAACTTACCTGCTTCTTCTAAGTTAGCAGTTCTGAGGTCTGCTTGAAAGCCCCATCTATCTTTCCTTGAGCAATGTAATAGGGTTCATGTTTAACATTTTAGAAATAATGCTAATTAAAAGTTTAAAATCTCAGTTTACTTTAAATGAACTCAAGATGTTATCACTCTGCTGGCCCCAGAAGATATTCAAAGAGATAGTCTTGGCAGAATTTACTTATTATAAAGATTTCCTTTTCTTGAGTGTGATCAGGAAAATTTTACGGTATTTCCAGAAACCTAAGGGATTGGAGGAATATTTCTTCTCCTCTTCGAATTTAATTTAATCTCAAAGCAGCACAGGCAGTCTTCCTGAGACTGAGCTCCAGAACACAGCTTCCAATGTGGAGAAAAGTAACTTGAAGGAGACTGTCTTACAGGGGTCTGTGGAAAACCTGATGTCCTTGCTATGGGTCTACTGGAGTGACGTTTTCAGCTCAAGGGCAGGTGTGAGTGGACGGTGAAGGTGGCTGTCACCAGGCCAAAATCATATTTACTTCTTGAGAGAAATGACTAAGGGAATGCATGTTAAAATTCTGTCCTTATGGTAGAAAAACTCAATTCAGTCCCTGGACTATCAGAGCTCTTTATGACCACTGTTTGAGAACCATCACTCCAATAAAAGCAATGGTAGTTGTGGAGATTTTAAAGTCATCAAGAGGTGGAGAGACTAGTTCCCTAAGCCCTTGAAAAAGGGGAGGAATTTGAGACTTCTTCAACAAATAAAATGTGACAAATAAAAAGTGACCTTAAGTAATTTCTGAGGTTAGGGTAGAAATGCTTCTGTAGCTCCTTTCTGGCTCTCTCTTTTGGAAAATGCATTTTTGGATGGCTACCCTGAAGCTGCCATGTTGGAGTGACCACATGAGGAGACCACATAGAAAGAGGACGGGGCCTGAGGATGCCAGCTGATGCCTTGTAGAGCAAAGATGAGTCTTCCCTGCTGAGTTTGGCCCAAATGGCACCATCATTAACTAAGTAGATGATCATTACTTATTTATGCATCATGTTGGGGGTGATTTGTCACACAGCAACAGATAATCTTAGTAATAGCCAATATCATACATGGCAGATTGGAATGTCTTAGTCTCCAATAATTAACAGAGAAAAATTCTGCATGTGGAATTTACATTCCTGCATCAAATACAGGAGTCACTTCATAAAATGTTATTAAATGAACTGACGAATGAATGGGTAAATAATCTTAGGGAGATCTCTTTCAGAAGAAAAACACTTGAGGTCTATAAGTGACCACATTCATAATTGAAGCCAACCATGGGATGAGGTTGTTAAAAAACCATAGAGCCCAATTTAAAGGAGTAAATGGTTTTCTCATTACCTATAATGATTTGATCACAAATAAGTCTTACAATAATTTTGGACATGGCAATTTAAGAGGATCTAACAAACTGAAGGGTGGCCAGGATGGTGTGCAATCTCAAAAGCCTGTTCCATGACAAGTTGAGAGGTATTTAATTAGCCTGGAGAACAGAAAGGAAGACAAAGAATTGTTTCAGACCCTTGGAGAAGATGACAGGCTTCTTTTCTGTTACTCACAAGTTGGAGTAGAACAAACAGTCCAATGCTGTAAAGTAGCAGTTGGTGAACTTTTCTATAAAGGGGCAGATAGTAAATATTTGAGGCTTCAGAAGCCACATGGCCTCTGTTATGACTACTCACTCAACTCTGCCTTTGCAGCAGAAAATAAACCATGGTCAATAAGTAGACAAATGAGATGGTCATCTCCAATAAAACTTTATTTATAAAAACAGGCAATGGGCAATATTTGGCCCCCTGATATAAAAAGATTGATTTTTTTTTCAATATAAGCTTGAGTTTCCTAATAAAGCTATTAAACTTCAGAATTGCTTTAGAGAAGACTGATATTTTGTTAGTGTGTTTAAAATACACTAAATGTACTAGACTGTGACAAAATAGTCTCAACACATATATCTGGCAAACACTTCTAAAGAGAATATATACAATCTCATACAACTCAATAATAATAAGATCTTGCCTCTATCCAAATTGGTAAAAGTTTTGGACACTTCATAAAAGAAGATACAGAGATGGCAAATAAGCATCTGAAAATCTATAGTACATAATCTGTCATCGGAGAAATGCAAGTTTAAATCACAATAAGTTATCAATATATTCATTAAAATGACTGAAATGAGAAAGACTGACAATATCAAGTGTCAGTGAGAGTGTAGGCAACTGAAATGCTCAACATTGCCAGTAAAAGTATGCATTAGTCCGTTTTCACACTGCTATAAAGAAATACCTGAGACTGGGTAATTTATAAAGGAAAGAGGTTTAACTGACTGACAGTTATGCATGACTGGGGAAGCCTCAGGAAATTTACAATCATGGTGGAAGAGGAAGCAGGCATGTCTTACATGGCAGCAGGTGAGAGAGAGTGTGTGTGAGCACAGGAAAAATTACCCTTTATAAAACCATCAGATCTTGTGAGAATTTACTCACTATCATGAGAATAGCATGGGGGAAATCACCCCAATAATCCAATCCCTTCCCAATAGGTTCCTCTCTCAACACATGGGGATTATGGAGGTTACAATTTGAGATGAGATTTGGGTGGGGACACAGAGACAAACCATATCAGAATTTAAAATGCCATAACAATTTGAAAGATATATTTGGCAGTTTCTTGTGAAGTTAAGCACTTGCTTATCATCAATCAGCCATTCAAATACCAGCTATTCTCTTTATTTACCCAAGAGAAATAAAAATATATGGCCACAAAAAGACTTGTACACAAATGTTCATAGCAGCTTTATTTGTAATAGTTTCAAACTGGAACAGTCCAAGTGTCTGTTAACAGACAAATGGATACACAAATTGTGGTATATATGTACAACTGAACATTTCTCAGCAATGAAAAGAATAAACTATTGATACTACAACATGAAAGAATTTCAAAATATGTTGAGAAAAAGTAGCCAGACACAAAATACATATTTTAGTATACTGTACACATGAAATTCTAGAACAGGAAAAATTAATCTATGATGACATTTAAGATTTGTGCAAAGCAGATTAGAGGTTGTCTGGGGCTGAGGCTGAAACAGATTGGCTTTAAAAGTTCAGAAAGAAATTTTCTGGTGTCAAAGAAATGTTTTATATTGTGACTTTGATGGTGGTTATATGGTACAGTCAAACATCAGTTGTCTAATGTTAGACCAGCAGATAAATTTGCCAAAACTCATCAACTGTGTATATATGTATTTTATTGTATGCAGATTTTGTCACAATAAAATTGATTTTAAAAAGGCCAAATAGCCAGCCATTGTGGATACAGTAATAATAATAATGATATTAATGGTTAATATTTATTGCATGCTTACATTGTACCAGATGTTGGGCCAGGTGTTTTGAGAGCTGATGCTCATTTAATTCTACAGCTATCTTTAAAGTAATAGTGGTATTATCTCCATGTTACAGATGGAAAACCCAAGCCTCAGAGAGATTTAATAATTTTCTCAAGGCCATGCACTAGTTATTTGTGGAGGTGGGGTTTTAAATCAGATCTATCAGAGCCTCAGACTTCAGGCTCATTAGTTAGAAGTCTGAACCATGTAACTCCAAAAGTTCTTTCTAATTTAAGATTCTAGGAATATTCACAAACATCAGTTGTCTGATGTTAGACCAGCAGATAAGAATCATGTAGTCTGTTGCCTAATTTAAACATATTTTTTTAGTTACTGGGGAGTAGCACCATTGTTGGACAGTTGAAACGACCATTTGATTTATTGGATAGATCATCGGAAACATCATTTGGAGCATGTGATTGCCAACTCTCAGGCTGAAAAATAAAATGTGGTTGTTTTTACCATTAGGCCTCATCTTGCTGTTACCTCACAGAGCATTTATGAGTAGACCTGGTGTGATGTTGATATAATGGTATCTGCGTTATCCAAAAATAAATCAGACAGCTCCACATGTCTCCTATTCCTGGATCCAGGCTAAAGAAGCAGCAGCTACTTGCACAGCTGGGTCTAGGAGTAAGAGAGTCTCCTTTGTCCTTTCCTCAGAAGATGACCTACCAGTCTCGTCTTCTTACCCTCTTGGCTCCTCTCTGGATTTGCTGGTTCTTAAGGAAAAACCCCATGCCTCAAATAGACCTAGAGGTCAAACTGTAGGTCCTTGGGGGATTAAGATGTTGGCCTTCAGCATTTCTGATCTTTTAGGGCATTTAAGGATCTAAATATTATTTTGAATAACAGTGACCTGTAGTATTAGTAATCTTTTGTGACCTTGATGGGGTTAGGAAATTATTTTCAAATGGGGATTTACTCTCTGATGAAGGGGGTATGTTCTGTGACAAATCTCACTCCCACAACAGCTGCAACATTCTCTACTACCACATCACTTTGTGAACATCAAGCAGGAAAAATGAAGAGGCCTGGCAAAATATCCATTCCTATAGAACATTCAGCTTTCTTCTATGTAGGAGGAATCCATAGACTAAAGATTATTAAACTCTGCCTTGAGAAAGCCAGTTATATTGTCTGTTATATTGGTTGAGTCAAGCTTCTGTAGAATTGGTTCTGCCAGGGCTTGCATAACGTATCTTAAAGATAGTGAATAATCTCAGGTTCACAAGAGTAGATAATTCTCTAAAACTTGAGTAAGTTAAGAGGCAATTGGATAGATATATAGCAAATAATGTTGCACTATTGAGTACACTTTTGAACCAAAAAAAAAATCATGTTTTCTACTGGACCCAATGGACCAGTCCTATCTATCTATATCTATCTATCTATCTATCTATCTATCTATCTATCTATCTATCTATCTATCATCTTCATTAGAGTGGAAAAAAATGGCAAGGTGATTTTATTTTCATTTGTAAAGCTTTTCTACTATCTTCTCTCCTCCACTCCCAAACCCTGCCTGAAAGATTTATTATCAAGACTCTGGAACTCTTAAAGCCCTGACTAAGCAGGTTCAAGTGTGATAGAATCCTGGAAAGAATCCCTTAAGGGCCTCAGAAAACTCTTAGACTGTAGCCCCAACAACATGGCCAGCCTGAATCACAGCAGAGGACATGGCTCTGCATGGCCCCAAGAAAAGCCACAGAACCAGAGACTTAGAAGGAGCCTTAGCAATCAGGGGGCTCTAAGACCAAATTCTGTAGATGGGAGACTTGTGGCAGAGAGAGGTCATGTAACTTGCTCAAGGTCACACAGCAATGTAGGAGCAAAAGCTAGGATAGGAATCAAAATCTCCATACTTTGGAAGGCACCTTTTTTTTTTTCTATAAAAAGGTTCTTCCTCTTCTTTTGTGTGATCTGTTCACTGTTAAAGCTATTTTACATTTTCTTGATTTGTTCGGTTTTGTAATTCTCATTGGTTCCTTGAGTCAAACACATAGAGTTGTGGTGTTACATCTCATATTCTCACCATTGACATCTAATAATAAGTACTAATGTTTTGCTTTTACTAAAAGTCAGTTTGGTGCTTAGAAATTATAAATCTTGGACAAATCCCTCGATTTCTTTAAGCATTGTAATCTAAGAATAAATTGAGGAATTTGCCCAAAACTTAGTTTATAAAATAAGGCTGGATAATCCTAAACACTCAGTAGATCAGTTTAAAGATTAGCGAAATATATGTTACATTCCAAGCAGAACATCTAGCATGCAGTACATGCTCTGTAACAAGTTGGCAAACTTCTTCCATAAAGGGTCAAAGTAAACATTTTAAATTTTGCTAACCATTTGGTCTCTGCCACCACTGCTTAATTCTGCTATTATAGCATGAAAATATTCATAGAGAATGTGGAACTGAACAAGTATGGCTGTATTCCAATAAAACTTTATTTACAAAAACAAGTGGTGGGCCAGACTTAGCCCATGGGCTTTTGTTTAAAGACTCCTACTTTAAATGGCAGCTACTCAATAGTTATTGCTGTGATTATGCTAGAAATTGATGTGTGTAGCAGACGAGGATGAGTTTCCTTCAAATGCCTTCTGAAAAATTGATGATATGTTTTTCCTGCAGAAGCAAGCTGTTCATTGAGTCATTAAACCCCTTATCGTATATTGTTGAACAGAGCATTGTTTTGCAGCCATACAGATTTGTAATGCAGTGATATTTCCAGGCATGCTGAGGAACGTTCTAATTCTGGCACTGCCACTAATGCACTTTGTAATCTTGGGTGCACCTATTTTCATCTCAGAGCCTCAGTTTCCCTCTCTATAAAATAAGAGATAAGAATGATTGTCTTACACTCTCATTCAACTCTAAAATATCATGAGTCTGTGATGCAAATTTTCCATGAAGAACCTATTTGATGTGAAAGTCTCATGGACTCTGAGGAGAAACGACACATATCCTTAAGTCTTGGGGATTTAATTCTCCTATCTACTTGTGAATGTGGAAGGGGCAGGAGGGGAGAGGGTGGTCAGAGTACCAATACTGTTTGTTTTTATATCACTTTATTTTGGATACAATCCAAATCCACTGGCTTCAAAAAATCAACGCTCAACTAAGTACTTCTTAAATTGTCAAATAACATTTTCTTTAATTCAATAACATATGCCAATCACCTACAAAGATTAGTGTTGGGTGTTAAGGGAAAATCAATACTGAAGAGTCTGCACCTTTGCTCTCAAGAAGCTTTCCTTCTCATGGGAGAAGTAGACAATTTACTATAAAATAAAACCACATGGGACATATTCAAGAGGACAATAACAATAACTTCTAATAGAACAATTATAATAACCAGCATGTCTTGAGTGCCTATTATTAGCAAGATACTTCTCTAAGCACTTCAACTAATCTCCTTTGATTCTGATAATGACTCTATGAGCTAGATGCTTCATTTGTCAGATGAGAAAACTGAGGCACAGCCAGTGAGTGGCAGAACGGGATATGAACCCAACAGCCTGTCTCTAGAGCTCATGCTTTCAATCACTCTGCTATATCGTTCCCCGAGGAGCCCAGGCTTCATAACATGCGAGTGAGGCAGGAGAGACGTGTTCCACCAGAGAGGGAAGACGGAGTAGAGTAAACTTTAAAGGATAAGGATGAGAGAGAGAACATTTTTCCCACCATGTAGCAACATACTCCTTGTCATTATTAGGAAAACTGTGAGCAGAGATGTAATGCATTGTGTCTACATTTTTATAGAAAAATAACTAGAGCTAGAACTGGAGCCCAGCTATCTTGCCTCTTCTTCAAAGCTTTCCTTATTTGTTTATGATATCTGATTGGAGTAACAAGTCAAGGTTTTTGACCCACTTGGAATCTATTTGTACTATTGATTCTTTAATATTTTCTAGATAGTGACTCTTTTTTTTAACTTAAGTAGAAATATTACAGAAGAAAAATTAATCGTGATGACTTTTAATGAAAAACAGGTATCGATTGTTATAATTATTTAAAATGTACTTCTAAACTTTACAACAAAAACATAATATTTATCCATGTACCACTCAGAAGCAAATCCCCATGTATGGTGGCACTTGAGGAGCTGTGCAGGGCCTCCTCCAGACCTGACTTGTCAGGGGTGGGCTTTGAAAAGTTGCTGCAAGTTTTCTAGACCATGCTCCATCCTCCTTCATCAAGTAAATGCAAATGAATCACACCCTGATCCTTATGAAAAAACAGCATGAAACTTCTGTCCTTATTTTCTCCTCTTGATACACAAAAACTGCATCAGAAGCAGCCTTGGGAAAAGAAAGTCAACTAATTTTTTATTCACATCCCAGTGTCTGCAGCATTTTTTGACCACCCTCAAGGGTACAGACTATTAGAGTGAGAGATAAATGCAAACATGATCCTCAGGGATCATATCTGAAGCTGAATTTGGGATTACAACCCCGAGGACCTGGGCTCATGGTGATGTTGCCAATAACAATCTCAGCTGAGTAGTGAGGCTGTTCAGCTTGCTGTCAAACACCACTCACATTGCTGCATTTTTTTCCTCATGGTCACTCTGTGTGGGTGGATAGGCTTTTTAAAATCCCCATTATACAGATGAAGTTCAGTGAAGTTAAGCAATTTTCTCAGGGTCACACATTTTGAAAGAAGAGAGAACACGTAAAATGAAGAGAATGTGGGGGCCAGGGGCATGTTTTTCTTTGGTTTTGCAGTGGCAGGTGAGCAAAAGGAGGGGCATGAGAGTCAGATGGGAGGTAGCCTGAAACTTAGCTTACTCTTGTGTCTGCCAATAGAAGGTGGGGAGTGTCTCTCAGTGAATGCTGATTTATGTGTGAGTAACAGAATGAAGGAGGAAAAAAAGGAAGCCTGGTTTCTAATTTTATCTTCTGTGGCACTTTACCAGAAAGTCCCTCAAGGTGGCCGGAAGTTGGAAGCCCTCAAGGGGAGAA
This sequence comes from Homo sapiens, assembly GCF_000001405.40. Classification (NCBI taxonomy): domain Eukaryota; kingdom Metazoa; phylum Chordata; class Mammalia; order Primates; family Hominidae; genus Homo; species Homo sapiens. Next base: position 128,267,770 of record NC_000008.11, read on the forward strand.
GCTCTAGAGCGGCATGCAAAGGCTTCGGCAGATGAGAGGACACAGGGAGGTGACCCACCACGTAACCTTCCACCTGGGCCTCTTCCTCTTAGACTTCTCCCCTGCTGCTCATTTGCATAATGGATCCCCATATGGGGTTGTTTTATTTACCTTCACAAGGAGGATGAGTGCTTTAGAAAAAGATGAGATGAGGAGCTTTGATTTTCCAAAGCCCTCTTTCTACTTCTCCTGCCCTCCCACTCCCACCCTCTCTCTTTTACTCTCTCTTGTCTTTGCTTTCTTATTGTCCATATAAATGAGCACCTTGCTTCAGTGACAAATCTATTTCTTCCAGTGAATGGTTGCCAGTGGATGTTTATCTCTTTGAGAGGTTTATTCCAGGTGGATTTACAGCTATAGTGCATTTAAGCATCCCCAGCTTCTATTTCTTTAATGAAACAGGGACATTTGGAAGTTTAGGAAGTATACTTAGGTTGGCTCTGCTTTGCTAGTTATCTAGGATTTCCTAAAATAGGCTTCCTCAGTTTTGTGTAATGTGCTTGGTGGACCCTGGGCTAGACAACCAGAATCCAGAGTTGGAGAAAATCTGGTCTCTGCTTTGAATCCATTCAGCCTTTGCTAATGTACATCTTAGAAGTCACAGTTACACAAGAGGTACAAAAAAGAGCCCAAGGAGGACAGAACTTTAGGAAATTTGTGAACTCCAGGAGATTTATTGTAAAATTTTATTTGTAAGTGCATATCTCTGGGGAGACAGTTCATAACTTTCACTGGATTCTTAAAGCATTTATAAATTTAAAAAAATTAAACTATGGCCTTTGCAATCACAGCAAAAATTGTAGATAACTTATCCCTAGTTATTTACAAGTAGGATCTTCTCTTTCTTGTCACCTGCTCTGACCTACTGGGTTTCCTCCATTTGGGGCCTGGTCAACTCACCTTAAAGTTTATCTTCTGAGAGTAAACCCCTTACAAACCAGGTCAATGTTTTGTCATATCCTTATTCCCAGGACAAGGCCTTGTACTGTTAAGTTTTTACATTTTTTATTGCACTTAGCCCTGTATCTTTCAAGAGATAGGAGCTCCATAAAAAGTGGTTTGCTTAATTATGCTCTTGTCACCCAATTATCTATATAGGCCCTTGCATGTCCCCAATTCTGCCTCATCTCTGGTCTCTGTGAGGTATTCCCATCTCTCCCAAGGCAGAGAGAGAATAAAGAACATTCCTTAATTGGGGTGTGTGCACACACACATACTATGGAAGTTCTCGCATCCTAATGCTTTGTTGTTTAACTATCATGTGGAGAGAGGTGTTTGGACACCATATTAATAATAGCTCTTAGTGTGTATGTGGCACATTCCATTTTCAAGGCATTTATAAACATTGCAAGATGAAAGCTTGCACCACTCATCTTGGGAAAAGGGAATGTTAATCACCACCATGCCTGCTCCTTAAAGAGGGTCACAGAATCTGAGAGCTAAGAGGGATGTCAGAGTTCACTGGGGCAACCTTCAGTCTCTACATAAATCTCCTTTCCCTTGGAGCATACCAGGGATGGTGAGGTTTTCTCTGCAATCTCTTTCTTCAGTCCAAGCAAATTCTGCCATCCTGTAATTTTCAATTATCTATCTGTCGGTCTATCTATTAATCCATTCTCTTCTCCCTCCTTTCTTTCTTCCTTCTTTCCTTTTACTTCTTCTTCTCTTCCTCTCTGCTGTTCTCCCTCCCCCTCTCTCTTTCTTTCTCCCTCCAGAGTCCTGTTGAAATTGCAGATACAGGAACAAAATGTTAAGCGGCTAAATTTGGAGCGAATTGCTACATATCAGTAGATACTGTAACACCTGGGCAGACTGGGAGGTATGATCACCCTATGTGTGTTAATATTTCAGGCAGTGTAGCACCCTGCCACCTTCAGGTTGCTGCTAGCCTTGGTTCTCCTCTGCTTGCTACGGTTCTCTGATTTACAAGCACTCAGGGCTTCAGTTCCAGACCTTGCTTCTCTCAGCTGGCACAGCACCTTCAGATGTTACTCTTGAAACTGCTGCTCTGCCTGAAATAAGTGTATTATTCTCTCTAAAGCACTGACCTAGAGAACACTGACCAAGCTGTCTTTTCTTTTTGGTATATTATAATAGTTAAAATAAAGTGAATGTTTGTAACATGCCTGATATTTCTCAGATACTGTGATAAGTACTTCCATGTACATAATCTTCATCAAAACCCAGTGAGGGAGGTAATATTTGTTATTGCACCTGTAGATCAGGAAGCAGAGGCCCAGAGGTATTTAGTAGCTTGTCCAATGCCTCACAGCTAAGAAGCAATAGAACTAGGATTTGAATCCAGATCTGTCTGGATCTATAACACATACTATTAATATTAATATGGTATTTGTATGCTATTTGGATGCATACAGTGGGTATTTAATAATTATGATACACTCCCTTCCACCCTTTTAAACCAAGCATCCCTTCCACTATTTTATTCCATCAGGAACCTTCTATTTTTAGAGTCTATCTACCAAATAATTATATTTATAAAATAATAAAAATTTTTTCCAGTTTCATATTAACTACAGAAATCAATCTTTTAAGAATAGCGAAATAGCTAGTATTTTACTAGCATTTGCATAGTGCAGTGGTTGTTATACATATTATTTCACTGACTCTTCAATAACCCATGGAGGTTGATATTACCATCTCCATTTTACAAATGAGGAAGCAGAGTCCTGGTGGAGCTGAACTCCTCACAATCACACTGATACTAAGAAACAGAGCTGGGATTAATATTCTGTTTGACTCCAATAAGTCTGTTCTTTGGAGCAAACCCCTTCTTATGGCTGATGGTTATGAAATGACCAGTGCTTCCAAACTGAGCTGTTGCAACTTCAGGAAAAAAAGGACAAATATTTTTAAAATTTTTAATTAATCTATGCAGCTGCACTATGAATAACTGTATTATTTGCAAGGACCTCAGGTCTATTACACTAGATAACCAGTTAATTGCACTAATATTATTTACAGAAGAGATATTAGTAACAACATTGCCAAACTCTGCGTTCAGATTTAACACAATGTTTACTTAAGTAACATGGTTTTGTAATAATAGCAATAATAATATAAATGATATAATCATTAACAATAGCTGCTACTTATGGAGAACTACCACATGCCTAGTTTTGTGGTAAGTACTTTATATATGTTTTTTCCTTCAAATCCTCCATCAAAAATCTGTCATCTTTACTTTACAGGAGTTCTAGTTTCTTCAAAGGTAAGTAAAATATACAAGCTCGTGCTAATATGGGAACTAGGTGCACATCTATCTGACCCCAAAGCCTGGGCTTTAAATCAGTGCAATACTGATTTAAAGTAGAAAAAAAAAAGCATCTAATTTGAAATAAGCATAAAGAATTTCTAGGCATCTGAACAAGGGAATCTTATACCTTGAGACAAAGGAGAACATTCTGAGGACATAGGGGTAGGAGTAGAGATGAGAGGAATCGTTGACGTTTCACAAATCCCAAATTCTAGTGGTGGCCATTCCCTTCCAAATCTTAGATTCAGAGAAGCAGTTATTCCAGATGGTTGGTGCTTATCTTTTTCAATTGATTGGAAGCTTCTTGAGGACAAACTGCTGGAAGACATTCCATAGACCCTGGGAACAGTGTATGGCATATAATAGAGGCTTAACAAATTTCTTCTGAGTTAGTGTGGACTTACGGGAGGGGAGATGGGAGATGTTGTTATTTTCACAGAATGTGGAGAGGCAGACCTCATCAACACAAATCAAAAGTCTCTGTGATAGGAGAAGAATTTGAAATTGAAGTGCAGGTGACATAAAGACAGCCCTTGGGCTCCTTCCTGCTCTGCCAGTGATTAGCTGTGTAGTTCTGAGTGAGCCCATTTTCCCTCTCTGGCCCACAGAGGATGACGTTAGCTGCTTATCTTTACAAGAGAGTTGCTATGAACACCCTAAGGCAGAGCATATGTGTAACTTAGAGTAGATAATAAAATGATATAAATACAACAGCAGTGACGTCAACCACAACAGTGATATAGAGAGCTTCCTTGTGTTGATTACTTACCTAGCATTCTCAGACCTTGTCCTCACAACTACCCTGTGGGTTATTATCTCTCCAGTTTACAGATTAGGAAATTTTGAGATATAATCATTCTTAATTATATAATTATTACACACACACACAAAGTCCTGACATTTGCTCAGTTTTCTGGGAGGTGGCAGAGTAAGAGAGTTGGGGAACCAGTGACAACACCTTGTTGGCCAAAGTAAATCTTCCAGTTAAGTCTAATTCAGATTGTACTGGGAACATCTGTGCCAAACTGGATTCACAAGGGGTTCTTGAAAAGCAGAACTTGCTCTTTTAATCCAACATTTTGCACAACCCATGGTTCAGCGAAATGTTCAGGTCTTTCTGGAATGGGCCCACTAGGGATGCCTGGATTAAATTAAACTTCTCATTCTGATGCCAACTGGCCACAGGCTTTGGCTAACTCCATTACCTCATCCTCTTTGCTGTCTTGAAGAAACAAAGATAATGACACTTTCCCAAGGCTGGGGCTGGGTAAGCCTCAGTTTGTGAGTGTTTGTAAATGGCTTTGAAGATGGCGAATGTTATTTAAGTGCTAAGTATTATTACTTATTGTGGTTTCAAACATTGTTTCTCCTCCCCATTGTCAGTCTACAAAACAATGAAGAACAAGGGAGAAGAGCCTCTAAAGTATCCAAACATCTATAAATTAGGTAACTTTGGCCTGAGCTCTGCGATGGTATCTGCAAACCTAGCATTAGCTTTGCAGCATTTTCGTGTGGGCAGGTGGTTGCTTAATTTGCACTTTAACATGCCAGCAGCAGATCCTGGCACAGATTGGGCACACACTGGTAATGCAAGTGCTCTTTGGTTAGACCTGGATTGCTGAGATCAGGCTTTCCTGTGTTCTCTTTGTGATGCAAATGAGTTTCTGGAGGATCCCCTTGTCCTTTCATCATTAACATTTAATGGAAGGGAATTAACATTCATTGAGCCCTTCTGTGTGCCAGGAACTTTTATGAACATGATCTCATTTATTCTCACAATAATCTGCTGAAATAGATCTGAATGGTCCCATTTTACAGGTGAGGAAACTGAGGCACAGGGCAGTTAAATAATTTGTCCACAATCTTTTAACTATTAGGGGACTGAGCTAGGATTGGAATCCAGGATTGTGTGGCTCCAAAGGCCTTGCTGTTTTATTACATGAAATTGTAGGCAACATGCCCTACTCTACCTCCCTACCCCAACTGCCTGGTAAAGTTCCCTCCATCTGCTGCTAAAATCTCTTCTGTGCTCTTTCATTGCTTTCAAACAGAATAAAGACCACAGCCCTAATATGGCCTGGCACAGTCAGACTCTGGATCCCCTTCCAGCTTTATTAAACCTCATAGTCCATTTCAATTCCTTGAACATGCCAGGACCTCTCACCTCTGGGCTTTGGCACAAACCACCTGCAAAATTTTATCTCATAACTTCTGCTAAACCTAGCTAACTTCTGCTAAACTTTCACACGTCATTTTTTGGGGAGGATGTGTTCTCTGAAACTCCAGACCTATAGGTCTCTAAGTGTAGTCGCTGGACCAGCAACTTCAGCATCACCCGAGAACTTACGAAAAATGCAAATTCACAGGCCCCACCTGGACCTTCTGAACCAGAAACTCTGGGTATGTGGCCCAGCTCTCCAGGTGATTCTTTGCCTGGTTAAGTTTGGAAGTTTACCAGGGTTTCTTAACCTTGATACGATTAACAGATAATTTTTGTTGTTGGTGGTTGAGGAGTGGGGGGACTGTCCTGTAGTTCCCCCACCCCAAACCCCCAAATCCTACATGGTAGGATGTTTAGCAGCCTTTTAGCCTCTAACTTCTCACTGTCAATAGCACTCCTGTTCATTTCTTCACCTTCCCTCATGCAACAACCAGGAATGTCTTTAGACATTGCCTAATGTCTCCAGGGGGGACAAAATTGCCCCTAGTGGAAACTCGCTGCCTTAGACTAAAGTATATCTCCCTGTGAGACACTCCTGTAGCACCCTGAACAGTTGAGATTATGACTTAATAACTTACTGGAATCATTTGTTTAAGGCACGTCTCCATGGCCACATTTTCAGCAGCTAATACACTGCCCGACACCTAGTGGGTTCTCAAGAAATATTGTTGCACTGACTAATTGACGTAACAGCTCTGTGTTGCAGCTTCTCAAAAACCAAGACTGTACCTGAATTTTCGAGATGAGTCAGGAATTGGGGCTGGAGTGGGATCCCAGGCAAACAGGATCCATGAGATGCTTCCCAATTTGAGGGCAAGTGTTCTTCTTTCAGAACTCTAGGGACAGAGGGGCTATTGCATCTCTAGCTGGATTGGACCTACATCACTTCTTTTAAAATACGGTGGCAGAGAATATGATTAAATGCAGGAGAGAAAAAAATGTTCTTTTAGAATGATGCAGGAGGTCCTGACTAAAGATAGGCTGGGTGCCACTGGCACCGAAAGAGAAACAAAACCGCATGCTGCCCGCAAGAACAATAAGGAGATTATTGGTAAAAAGAGACTTGACTCAGCATGCCTTGCCTTGGCTTCAGTCTGCCTTGGCTTCAGTCTGCCTTGGCTTAAGTACCAGGGGTACATTCAAATTAAAAAGGAAGGGAAAAGGCAAATTCTGATCTTTCTGCCACCCCAGATTTCCTCAGACTGAGCAATTGTTTCTAGAAGGAAGGTAAAGGAGAGCTACAGAGTTGAGGAAGAGTGTCATTCTTGCTGGCATCCCTTTTCTAAGTTGATCGTCAGCATCATCATCATAGCTATGTGTCATGTGGCTGTAGATGTAACTGACCTGATAGGGGGGCTTATGGAGGTTCTTCTAACTATTGGAGGTTTACCCCTTGTAAGGGCTCTGATATGGTTTAACTGCGTCCTCACCCAAATCTTGAATTGTAGCTCCCATAATTCCCATGTGTCATGGGAGGGACGCGGTGGGAGGTAATTGAATCACGGGTGTGGGTCTTCATGATGTTCTTGTGATAGTGAGTAAGTCTCACAATATCTGATAGTTTTATAAATGAGAGTTCCCCTGCATATGCTCTCTCTATTGCCTGCTACCATGTAAGACGTGCCTTTCCTCTTTTTCACCTTCTGCCATGACTGTGAGGCTTCCCCAGCCATGTGGAACTGAGAGTCCATTAAACCTCTTTTTCTTTATAAATTACTCAGTCTCAGGTATGTCTTTATTAGTAGCATGAGAACAGACTAATATGAGCTCATACCACCACTGGGAATGAGGCCTCCTGAGTTGCATAAAAAATATTGGAGATACAAGGCCAATATCAGGCTTCATGTAACCTAAGTGATCATTACAATTTGGGAGTTGCAGTTGACATATGAGAAAGTATAGACCTAAGAGGCAAATTTTGTTTGCAAATTTATATATATTTATTTTTTTCAAAGAATATTTTATTTTTTTCTTGAAGAAATTTTGAAAAAAGAGGCAAAAATGGGAAAAATTAACTTATTTTATTTTAAAACATTTTTACTCTATTTCATTTTTTGGTTTCAGTTTGGCTATACTAACAATTTTTTTCCTGCCTTTTTTTACTTAGCATATCTTTTAAGCATGTCACCAAGTTATTGCAAAATGATATCACTTTCCACTTGATACCTAAATTAAATTTCAACCCATTTTCAAATGTAAAATCATTAAAATGCCACAGCCTTAGAAACAGAAAGGCAATAGTCTACCATTCAGAAAGCATGTACTAATGTGTTCACTTAAAGCTAACGCATGAACTCACGATTCCTTTAGCACTAGAGCTCTTGAAAAGCCAATTATTATAAGTTTACTAATTCAAAATCTGTAAGAATTTACGTATGGCTGGAGCTATACATATATGCATAGGTATAAGTTCAATCATCACTATATTCTATATGCCAAATTAATTTAACAAATCTCTATAGTTGGTTGTTGTTGCCATAATCACCTCTACAACATTTATGTGTAAGACCTTTATTTCCTGAAATTAAGAGCATTTCCTTTGAAATGAGGATAGAAGTTCAATCATTGGCTCAAAGAATGTGAACACATCTAATCTTGATAAAATGTCCAATGAAACTGCTTCCCAAGGATGTAATTTCGTTAGCAGTATTTATCTGTTGAACATACTCTTATTGGTATCAGGTGATATTTAAAATATACGATGGGAAAGACTGTACCTCAGTGTTTGCATTTCTTGGATAATGGGTCAGATTGAAGGGGACAAGGAAGTGTGTGTATTGGTTTTAGGCAAACATGCATAATATGGGAGCAAAATCCCTTTGTTCCTCACTTCATACCCTATGACATCAAGAATCTCCGTTGGGCTTTGATTAGAGTGAAGGTGTTTTTCTGCCAGAACTATTCCTTCATGCATATGGTCATAAAATCCATTTTAAAAACTGATAAAAAATAATGCCTGTCTCCTCCACTTCCACCCTCAAAATAAATTCAAATACCCATGAGAGCTGGATCTCTTACTGCAGGAGTTAAGAATAATTTGTTGCAATGCATATTTTTTCACAGAACCAAATTACTGAAGGGAGTTGTAACCTGGTTTCAAATACTCTTGGGTCTCCTCACTCAGAGCTACTTTTTGTCATTGTCGTTAGACCAGAGAGGCTGGTTTTAGAAGCCAAGTGTAGTTTCACAGCAAAGAAGTAGAGGGATGTACAACTCGTACAGAGAGGGACCTGTTTCCTTCCTTCCTTCCTCCTCACTTCCTTCCTTTCTTCTCTCCCTTTCTCTCTCCCTCTTTCCTTTCTTCCTTCCTTCTTTCCACCCTCCCTCCCTTCTTATCTTCCTTCTTTTTTTTCTGTCATGAAGTATTTAGTCTGGGACAGAATATATGGTAAATAGGGACTCACTAGAATAATTAATACTACAGAGTCTCTATTAATATCCATGGTTTATTAATTAGTTAGGGTAAAGTCCAAATTAGCTGACTGAATGAGGAATGTGGCTTTGGGTAAATTACATTTTTAAACTAACCCAAGGATATTTTGATAATTTTTTTCTCCTTCAAGTCTTACCTCAAACACTCTTTTACTTACCCCTGAAATGGAGCTTTTTACTTTCATTTCTTAGGAATTGAAGTCCTGTGGTGGCAATTAAAGGTTCTTAGACAGAAAAACTTACAACATATTATTTACTTGCAGGTATTCCTGGGTAGGACCAAAGATGCAGTTAGGAGAGACTAGGCTTCATTTCTCCAGCCTCCAGGGCATACACTGGGAACTGTCATTTTATTGTTATTGGGCTGATTTTAACATATTTGCATATTGTGTAAGTATACCACACTGTTTCCTCTTCTTCCTGGACACACAACCTACATTTCCCAGCCTTTCTTGCATTTAGGTGTGATCATGTGACTAAAGTCTGACCAGTGGAACATGATCAGATGTGGAAAACAAGAAAGAGCTCCATAAAAATGAGCATGGAGGAAAAAATGGCAGATTAAGAGACCGGAATAACTTGCAGCTGCCACTCAGAGGGACAGAGCAGTATGTAGAGATCCACACTGTGAGCTTTTCCTCTAAGAACTACCACAGGAATATACCAGGAAAGCCAAGAGTATCCCCAGAGCCTTTGAAAGAGGTGGATTGCTCCTGCAGGCTCTGTGGGACAGCCAAGGAACTGTGAGTCTGCTTGCTTTCTCACTTGAGAGGCTTGTAGCTTTGGGCAAGTTCTCAACAAGAACTGGAAGTAAACTTGATGCTGTAGGCGGGGCATAGTGGGAGTGAGACCATCCTTTCAGGGTGTGAGCTGCGTGGGAGCTGGGTGAGGCCTGTGGCTACCGGCTCTCCTCCACTTCACTGGTGACCTGAGTGATGCCTCAGGTACAGCCATAACCCCCTGGGAACATAACTCCATTGGCCTGGGGACCACATTTCCATCCCCCACAGCAGCCACAGCAAGCCTCACCCAAGGAGTGTCTGAGCTCAGATACGCCTAACCCTGTCCCCACTTGACGGTCTTTCTCTACCCACCCACACAGCTGAAGACAAAGAACATAATCTCTTGGGTGTTCTATGGCCCTGCCCACCACCTGAGATACCTGAATACTTGTCCAAAGGTAACCCTGGGGCAAGCTTGTATCCTCCCTATACAATCACAGCTGATGCACTCTTGAAAGCACCACCTCCTGGCTGGAGGCCAACCAACACAAAACCAGCACATTTAGCAAAAATACAACAAAGGACCCTCACAGAGTACACTTCACTCCCCTGCTACCTCCACCAGAGCAGATGCTAGGATCCACAGCTGAGAGACCTGAACACAGATCACATCATAGGACTCTTTGCAGACACTCCCCAGCCAGCCTGGAGCCCAATAGCTCCACTGGGTTGCTAGATCCAGAAGAGAAATAACAATTACTGCAGTTCAGCTCTGATGAAGCCCTATCTGTAGGGGAAAGGGGAGAGCACCACATCAAGGGAGCATCCCTTTGGGACAAAAAAATCTGAACAGCAGCCCTTGAGTCCCGGATCTTCCCATTGACGTAGTCTATCCAAATGAGAAGTAACCAGAAAAACAATTTTGGTAGTATGCAAAAACAAGGTTCTTTAACACCCCCAAAAGATCATACTAGCTCACCAACAATAGATCCAAACCAAGACAAAATCTCTGAATTGCCAGAAAAATAATTCAGAATGTTGATTAATAAACCAATCAAAGAGGCAACAGAGAAAGGTGCTACTTAATACTACTTAAAGAAATAAAAAACGTGATACAGGATATGAATGGAAAAACTATCCAGTGAAATAGATAACATTAATAAAAAACCATTACAACTTCTGGAAATCAAAGACACACTTAGATCACAGCCTAGGCACATAGTCATCAAGTTATCTAAAGTCAAGATGAAGAATCTTAAGAGCTGTGAGGCAAAAGCATCAGGTAACCTATAAAGGAAAACCTATCAGATTCACAGCAGATTTCTCAGCGAAAACCCTACAAGCCAGAAGGAATTAGGGTCCTATCTTTAGCCTGCTTAAAGAAAACAATTATCAGCCAAGAATTTTGTATCAGTGAAACTAAGCTTCATAAATGAAGGAAAGATACAGTCTTCTTCACACAAACAAATGCTGAGAGGATTCACCACTTCCAAGCCAGCACTACAAGAAATGCTAAAAGGTCTAAATCTTGAAACAAATCCTCAAAATTACACCAAAATAGAATCTCCTTAAAGCATAAATCTCACAGGACCTATAAAACAATAACACAATGAAAAAAAACACAAAGTATTTAGGCAACAAATAACATGATGAATAGAATAGTACCTCATATCTCAATACTAACATTGAATGTAAATGGCCTAAATGCTCCACATAAAAGATACAGAATGGCAGAATGGATAAGAACTCACCGACAAAGTATCTGCTGTCTTCAAGAGACTCACCTGACACATAGGGACTCACATAAACTTAAGGTAAATGGGTGAAAAAAGATATTCCATGCAAATGGACACCAAAAGCAAGCAGAAGTAGGTATTTTATGTCAAACAAAACAAACTTTAAAGCAAGAGTAGTTAAAAAAGATAAAGAGGGACACTATATAATGATAAAATAATTAGTCCAGCAAGAAAATATCACAATCCTCAATATACATGCATCTAACCCTGGCAATCCAAATTTATAAAACAATTACTACTGGATCTAACAAATGAGATAGACAACAACACAATAATAGTGGGGCACTTCAATACTCCATAGACAGCACTACACAAGTAATCAAGACAGAAAGTCAACAAAGAAATAATAGACATAACCTATACCCTAGAACAAGTGGACGTAGCAGATATTTGTAGACCATTCTACCCAGCAACTGCAGAATATACATTCTATTCATTAGTACATGGAACGCTCTCTAAGATAGACCATAGGACAGGCCACAAAACAAGTCTCAACAAATTTAAGAAAACCAAAATTATATCAAGTACTCTCTCAGACCACAGTGGAATAAAATTGGAAATCAATTATAAAAGGTACCCTCAAAGCCATGCAAATACATGGAAATTAAATAACCTGCTCCTGAATGATGGTTGGGTCAACAAAAAAATCAAGATGGAAATTTAAAAAAATTCTTTGAACTGAACAATAATAGTGACACAACCTATCAAAATCTCTAGGATACAGCAAAAGTGGTGCTAAGGGGAAAGTTCATAGCATTAAATGCTTGCATCCAAAAGTCTGATAGAGAACAAATAAACAATCTAAGGTCACACAAGAAACTAGAGAAACAAGAACAAACTAAACCCAAACTCAGCAGAAGAAAAGAAATAACCAAGATCAAAGCAGAACTAAATGAAATTGAAACAAAAAAATTACAAAAGATAGGGCATTAGGAGCTTAACCAGGATAAGAAGAGAGAAGATCCAAAAAGGTCGATTGAAATGAAACGGGAGATTTTACAACCCATACCACTGAAATACAAAAGTTCATTCAAGGCTACTATGAACACCTTTATGTGCATAAACTAGAAAACCTAGAAGAGATGAATAAATTCCTGGAAATATACAACCCTCCTAGATTAAATAGGAATAAATAGAAAGTCTTAACAGAGCAACAACAAGCAGCAAGATTGAAGTGATAATTAAAAAGTTACCAACAAAAGAAAGTCCAGGAACAGAGAGATTCACAGCTAAATTATATCAGACATTCAAAGAAGAATTGGTACCAATCCTATTGACGCTATTCTACAAGATAGAGGAAGAGGGAATACTACTTAAATCATTCTAGAAAGCCAGTATCACCCTAATACTAAAATCAAGGAAGGACATACAAAAAAGGAAAACTACAGACCAATATCCCTGATGAGCACAGATTCAAAAATCCACAACAAAATACTAGCTAACAGAATCCAACAGCATGTCAAAAAGATTATCCACCACGATCATGCAGGTTTCACACCAAGGATGCAGGGATGATTTAACATCTTCAAATCAATAAATGTGATACAACATATAAACAAAATTAAAAACAAAAATCATATGATCATCTCAATAGTTGCACAAAAAGTATTTGACAAAATCCAGCATCCCTTTATGATTAAAACCCTCAGCAAAATCAGCATACAAGTGACACACCTTAGGGTAATAAAAGCCATCTATAATAAACCCACAGTCAACATTGCACTGAACTGAGAAAAGTTGAAAGCATTTCCCCTGAGAACTGGAATAAGACAAGGATGCCCACTCTCACCACTCCTCTTCAACATAGTACTGTAAGTCCTAGCCAGAGGAATCAGACAAAAGAAAGAAATAAGGGGAATCCAAATTGGTAATGAGGAAGTCAAACTGTTGTCGTTTGTGATGACATGATCATATACCTAGAAAAACCTAAAGAGTCATACAAAAACCTCCTGTAACTTGTAAATGAATTCAGGGAAGTTTCAGGATACAAAACTAATGTACACAAATCAGTAGCTCTGCTATACACGAACAGCCGCAAAACTGAGAATCAAATCAAGAACTGAACCCCTTTTACAATAGCTGCAAAAAAGTAAAATACGTAGGAATATACTTAACCAAGGAGGTGAAAGACCTCTACAAGGAAAACTACAAAACACTGGTGAAAGAAATCATAGACAACACAAACAAATGGAAACACATTTCATGTTCATGGATGGGTAGAATCAATATTGTGAAAAATTACTATACTGCTAAAAGCAATCTACATATTCAGTGCAATTCCCATAGAAATACCATACCACCATTATTCTTCATAGAACTAGTAAAAACAATTCTAAAATTCATATGGAACCAAAAAAGAGCAAAAACAAGACTAAGCAAAAAGAACAAATCTGGAGGCATCATATTAGCTGACTTCAAACTATACTATAAGGCCATAGTCACCAAAATAGCATGGTACTGGTATAAAAATAGACATATAGACCAATGGAACAGAATAGAGAACCCAGAAATAAAGCCTAACACTTACAGTCAACTGATCTTTGACAAAGCAAACAAAAATATAAAGTAGGGAAATGACACCCTATTCAACAAATGGTGCTGGGATAATTGACAAGACATGTGTAGAAGAATGAAGCTGAATCCTCATCTCTCATGCTATAAAAAAAATCTACTCAAGATGGATCAAAGACTTAAATCTAATACCTGAAACCATAAATATTCTAGAAGATAACCAGAACAAACCCTTTTAGACATTGGCTTAGGCAAAGACTTTATGACCAAGAACCCAAAAGCAAATGCAACAAAAACAATAAATAGATAGGACTTAATTTAACTAAAAAGCTTCTGCACACCAAAAGAAATAATCAGCAGAGTAAACAGACAACCAACAGAGTGGGAGAAAATCTTTGCAATCTATACATCCTACAAAGGACTAATATCCAGAATCTACAAGGAACTGAAACAAATCAGCAAGAACAAAATAAACAATCCCATCAAAAAGTGGGCTAAGGACATGAATAGACAATTCTCAAAAGAAGTAACACAAATGACCAACAAACACATGAAAAAATGCTCAACATCACTAATTATCAGGGAAACGCAAATCAAAACCACAATGCAATACCACCTTACTCCTGCAAGAATGGCCATAATCAAAAAATCAAAATATAATAGATGTTGGTGGGGATGTGCTGAAAAGGAACACTTTTACACTGTTGGTGGGAATGTAAACTAGTAAAACCACTATGGAAAACAGTGTGGAGATTCCTTAAAGAAATAAAAGTAGATCTACCATTTGATCCAGCAATCCCACTCCTGGGTTTTCCTACCCAGAGGGAAAGAAGACATTATATGAAAAAGATAGTTGCACACACATGTTTATAGCAGCACAATTCACAATTGCAAAAATATGGAACCAGCCCAAATTCCCATTAATCGAGTGGATAAAGAAAATGTGATATGTGTGTGTGTGTGTGTGTGTGTGTATATATATATATATATATATATATATATATATATATATATATATATATATACTACTCAGCCATAAAAAGAAATAATGGCATTCACAGCAACCTGGGTGGAATTGGAGACCATTATTCTAAGTGAAGTAACTCAAAATGGAAAACCAAACATTGTACGTTCTCACTCATAAGTGGGAGCTAAGCTAAGAGGATCCAAAGGCATAAGAAAGATACAATGGATTTTGGGGACTTGGGGGGAAGGGGGTGATGGATAAAAGACTACTCAATGGGTATAGTGTACAGCGCTTGGGTGATGGGTGCACCAAAATCTCAGAAATCACCACTAAATAACCTATTCATGTAACCAAACACCACCTGTCCCCCAAAAACGTATTTAAATAAAAATAAATAAATAAGATATCCTAGTGTTAGTGAAGGATATGGAGCAACTAGAATTCTCATACATTGCTAGTGAGAGTGTAAACTGATGCAACTCTTAGGAGAACTGTTTGGCTCTGTTGAATAAGTCTGAATATACACATGTCCTATGACTCAGCAATTACTCTACTGGAAATGTTCCCAAAAGAAATATAGATATATGATCATCAAAATTTATAGTAGCACTACTTGTTACAGACCCAAACTAGAAACAACTTTAATACACATCAGACAGTAGAATGGATAAATAAAATGTAGTTATATTCACAAAATGAAATACTATCACAAGGAGAATTAATGATCTTCAACTACATGTGACAATAGGAATAAATATTACAAACACAATGTTGTGAGAAATAAAGCAGAAATAGAAGTGTTTACATTGTATTATTCAACTTGTAGGCAAAATTGTTCTATGGTGGTAAAAGCCAGGACAGTGGTTACCTTTGTGAGAGGTGAACAGAGTAGGAGGAAAAGGGAGGTTTCTGGGATGCTGATATTTTATTTCTTCATCTTCATGCTGGTCACATGGGTGTTCTCAGCTTGCGAAAATTCTTTGAGCTGCAATTTTTTTCAAGCTCTCTCTCTCTCTCTCTCTGTGTGTGTGTGTGTGTGTGTGTTATGCTTCAATTAAAAAAAAACTTTACTTAAAAAAATTTGATCAGAAATGTTCTACTTTCTGGTTTGGTGCTTAAATATCTCTCATGGTCTCTTCAATCGTCTTTCCTATCATTTTGGGGCTGACATGGACAAGCCATTTTTGGAGCTCCATGTTGAAGATGACGGAGCCACAAGAGGGAAGACTCCGTTTCTTGGAATCAGGAATACATCCACTTGCTGATGAACACCACCCATTTTGGATTTTATATAGGTGGAAATTTCTATAGTGTTTGGGGCATTACACATTTTTGAAATTTGTTTATAATAGCAACTAATGATACCTTGAGTAATGTTTTTATTACTTGTTAATACAAGTAAGATTAAAACCTGAAATTCATTTAAATTATGTGTCTGAGGTTTATGAGTTGGCCTTCAGGGAACCAAAGTTTTCTTACGACCAAAAGGCAGTTATCTTTCAGATCTTAGAATTAGTCAATGCCAATGCAGGGGAGAAGGTACCGGATGGTGAGATCAAGGGGTTCTGAGGTTTTTTTTGGCCCCTCCTACACTTTCCCAGCCAGACAACTAATGCCTTCATGAAGCAGAGAAAGAAAATATCGCCACAGTTCTGGCCTGTTAGTTCTGTTGAAATGTAAACCCTGAATGTTGCACTAAAATCGTATTAGTCATCTAATACTAGAAACAATTCTGAAAAAAGATAAAGCTAATACTGGCCTGTAGGTAACATTTGTGAAGCACATTGAGATCCTGGCTAGAATGCAGGGTCCTATTGCAGAGGATAAAATAAATGGTTAACCTGAAAGAAGGCATTGCCTTTCAGTAGGGAATTCCTATGGATAAGACACAAAGCTCCTCCCCCATGTTGTCAATGCACTAAGTTCTCTAGAGGCATTGGCAGTCCATATTTAAATCATAGCATTTGAGGGTACAGTTTTTGGGGCTGAAATTTCAATAAAGTCAGTTGACAATTTCTGACTTCTAGTACAGGGCTTTGGTTGGGTAGAAAGTAAAAACTCAGAGATTTGGGAAAGAGAAATAGGACTTGCCATATTTCTCTGAACATACAATTCAACAGAATGATGAATGACATCATAAATTAGACAATGGAAACCCTTATCCCACAAGTTGTTGCTAAATGCCTCTCTGAGGGTTTGTCTGGGGTGATGAGGTGCTTTCTGGACTGGATAAGTTACTTCTCTTTTCTTTGTGGATTCATTCTCTTTCAGTGCCTGAAGATATTCATCCCATTCATAAATATTATTATTTATAATAAATAAAAATAATAAATAGTAGTATTTGACTGGAGGTTGTATATATTTAACTGGGGCTCATAAATATGCCCTTACATTCTTTTTCCTTCCTATTTCCTATAACTCTTCTGAGTTCTTAATTTAAATATTTGCATATATACACTTATTTATATTTTATAGATATATTTTTCTATCAGAAGGAGCCTTGACTGGAGTCAGGAGGTTTTGATTCAAATCCTGGCAATGACTGGCCAGGTTAATTTGTCATCTGCAGAATGAGAATTGTGGAAGGGTGGGAACTTATGTTCTCTGTGAGATGCATGCATGGTGTGCAGGAAAGGTGAGTCCTCCTTTCATAGCATGTCTTCCAGGTTCAACATTTCATGATCAAGTGATATAACCTGTTCCTGATTTCATCGCATTGGTAAATCTTCTTTCCCCATTCTTGCCTTCATTCTTCTCTCCTGGAAACAATACAGGGTCATTGTGTATTTTTCTGAAAATAAGAAAGAAGAAGAAGGAGAAGAGGAGGAGGAGAAGAGGAGGAGGAGAAAGAAGAAAGGGAGGGGAAGAAGAGGAGAGGGAGGGAGAGGAAGAAGAAGGAGAAGGAAAAGGGAAAGATGAGAGGAGGAAGAAAAAGAAGAAGAAAGAAGAAAGGAAAGAAGAAGAAGAAGAAGAAGAAGAAGAAGAAGAAGAAGAAGAAGAAGAAGAAGAAGAAGAAGAAATAATTTATAGTCTTACTTCCTAGAGTTTACCCTTACTAATAACTTGACATATTTTCCTACGGTTTTTACTAGGTAAGTATATACTTAAAAAAAGGAGAAATTATGAAATTATATTGTACATCTTGTTTTATAACCTAATTTTTCACATTAATAATTAATCATCAATATTTTTCCTTGATGTTCAAGATCCATTCACATTACTTTTAAAGATTGCATAGTCTTTTACATTTAGAACAGATTATAGTTTATATAAGTTGTTTCCAAGGTTTTTTTAAAAAAAGATACACAAGTATCAGTGAACAGTCTTTAGCTGAGGCTAAATCTTTGTAGATTTCTGTGATCATTTCTCCAGGGCATATTCTCAGAAGTGAAATTATGGGGCCAAAGAACATAAACATGCTTAAACTGTGTTTTCAAAAGCATGGTGGCTCACACCTGTAATCCCGCACTTTGGGAGGCTGATGCAGCTGGATCACCTGAGGTCAGGAGTTCGAGACCAGTCTGGCCAGCATGGTGAAACCCCGTCTCTACTAAAAGCAATACAAAAATTAGCCAGGAGTGGTGGCAGGCGCCTCTAATCCCAGCTACTTGGGAGGCTCAGACAGGAAAATTGCTTGAACCTGGGAGGCAGAGGTTGCAGTGAGCTGAGATCATGCCACTGTACTACAGCCTGGGCAACAAAGAGCAAAAGTCTGTCTCAAAAAAAAAAAAAAAAAAAAAAAAAAAGAAAGAAAGAAAGAAAGAGAAAAGAAAATACAAAAATTAGCCGGGTGTGGTGGCATACACCTGGAGGCTGAAGCAGGAGAATTGCTTGAACCTGGGAGGCAGAGGTTGCAGTGAGATCATGCCACTGCACTCCAACCTGGGTGACAGAGCAAGACTCTGTCTCAAAAAAATGTTTTTAAGCACTCCCTTTTCAATTTTGAGGGTATTGACCTTAACAGTCCAGGTGAGTACTTAGTACATAATTTGTGAAGTGGAAGTGTCAAAATCAAAAGTACGTAACAGGGAAGGGGTGAAGTTCCTGGAAAAGGCAAGCCTCAAGTATTTTCCTACATGTCATCTAGTCTGGAAAATGGAATATTTCTATGGTCCTGAAGCTCCTAATTTCGCCTGCAAAGCTCTGAGAACCAAAGTAGGGTTAGAGGAAAGTGCATGTGAGTTACCAAGACAACATGAAGTCGTTGGAAAGAGCTCAAGTATTGGAATTGGAGGAATGACTTCAAGAGTTTGCAAGGCTACTTTCTACCTGTGTGAGCTTCAATGAGACTCTGAAACTTTCTGAGTCTTAAGTTTTCCCTCCAAAGAGGTGAACAATGGGCTTTCTCACTACAATAATGTGAGTTGCTTGTATTCATCAAAAATATCCATATGGGTCTTTAGAATGATGGATAAATGCTAATTATAAACATTACACACATTGAGTATACTCAACATCAGTTAAAAATGTGACTTTGGGAAGAGTCTTCCAATAAGAAAAAACTCCAAATTATTTCATTGTGAACTCTGATGCTGCCTCTATCTCCATTCCCAATTAAAAATTACATTTTAAGGTTAACTTACTTGTAAACACTTTCAAGAGACAAACTTAAAAATAACATAAATAGATGTGGTACCTTACTCTCTTTTTAAGAGGAATTTTTGGTTATTGGCAATAGATACATATGGTAGATACACTGTGACCAATAGATCAAGAGTCATGCGGAGGAGAGCACAGATCATGGTGAAAAGTCTTAATTCTAAGTGGATGAGTCATAAATCCCGAGGAAGGAGTATTAAAAACCAAAGTCTTAGGGATAGCATTAGGAGATACACTTAACGCTAAATGACGAGTTAATGGGTGCAGCACACCAACATGGCACATGTATACATACGTAACAAACCTGCACATTGTGCACATGTACCCTAAAACTTAAAGTATAATAATAATAAAATTAAAAAAAAAACCGAAGTCTTGATAGCGTTTACCGCAATGTGAAACAAATGGTAACTAGCAGTGTTGCTATTCTCTCAGACTATCTCTTTTACATACTTTGATCATAATCCAAGTCCATACAATGCAATCACAGTGCATTTAATGACTTGCTTTGTGTCTCCTGCTAGACTCTGAACTCAAGGCCAGGGGTTGGGGCTTCTCAGCTTAGTTTTCTCTGGAGCTAGCATAAAACTTGGAGCAAAACACAAATCAACAAATATAAAAAAGTATTTGAACAAATTGTTACAGTTAACAACACTTACTCATTTATTCTTTTACTACCCAATTCGTTATTTATTAATCGAACACATATTTACTGGATGCCCATTAACTAATTCCTGTACTAGTTACTGGGGGTACAATGGTAAGAAAAATCAGTGGACTCCTTCCTCTGAGAATTTCCAGCCCAGGCAGGCACTTACCAATCAAATAATTGCCCAGGAAGGTACATGTGATAAATGTCATAAAGGAAGGCTAAAAGATACCATGATAGAATGTAACTTGGTGTCCTGTCCTACTTACGGTGGGGGATGAGAAAAGTTTTCTCTGAGGAAAGGATAAGTCAACTGAGATCTGAAGTGGGAGTAGATCGAGTGTGGCCCAAAGCACATTTTAAGCAGAGGAAACTACAGGCACAAAGGCCTCGGGGTGAGACAGAGCAAGGAGAGTGTGAGAAACCGAGTCCTGGTCAGTGTGGCTGGAACGCACGAAGGGCACCCATAGCATCAGGAGGTGAGGAGGCTAGCTCTCCAAGGGATAGACTTCTAGATCATGTAACAAAGTTTGCATTGGAGTAATGGGCCAGCTCTCCAACGGATGGACTTGTAGACTATGTAACAAAATGGAGTCGGAGTGATGGAAAGCCATCAAAGAATGTTTAGCAGGAGAGTGACAGAATCAGACTCGCACTTAGAAAATCAGTGTAGAGAAAACTTACCTGATCCCCCTCTGTTTCTTTGCATATATCCTGTGTGTGTGTGTGTGTGTGTGTGTGTGTGTGTGTGTGTGTTCTCCTTGCTTATATCCTTTTCTCCCTCTGTCTTTGGATTTTTCTGCAGAGGCCGTGGGTTGTCTTTTTTAGAATAACACTCAATTTCTAAAGAGGCAGGGACCACTGAATAATCAAATGGGAGGAATTTCACGACTGCCTCTGCCTCTCCCCTGTCTCTATCTGGGCTTATCATGTAGCATCTCTCAGTAGAAAGTCTTTCTTTTGCCCTGGGTAGACATAGCTCTTGGTTTTTGAAGTACATACAAGTCAATTTAACTCACAGCAAAACCCTTTGGTCACAGACTTTCTGACTTGTGATCTGAGTTTTCACTCTACTTGATGTGCCCAGCCTTTTACCATCCCTCTCCTCTCTCACCTGGCAATCCAGTCACTCTCCAAACCTCAGGTGTTATCCCAGTCTGGATTTCATCTCCACCGCCCTGTTCTGTGTACATCCTTTGGACCGCTGTGGTACTTTAATTCGCTATCCTCTAAACTTCCCTCATTTATGAAACACCTACACATTTTTTCCCAATATTAGAACACCTTCTGTCTTAGTATTTATGGAATGTTACTCCTTAAATAAAATTTATTTACGTTCATATATATTAAAATTTAATTAGAAAGAGAATTTTTGCATATATAAACAATGAAACGTTTGAAAAGAATGTAACGGCAATGTCTTTTACTACAAATAGAATGAAATTCTCAAAATATGTATAATGTTATCAAAACATGGAATACGCACCTATGTACCAACGAAAATCATCTTATATCCCACCAGAGTTGTGTGTGCTGCATTTTGGGAATAATATAAATGGGTTTCCCAACACCCCTCATTTATTACCCCATTTTCCAAAATTCATCATTTTCCTGTGAGAGGGCTCTATTTAAAACCCTAATCTGGACTTAACATTTTCCTTTGATCCTGCAATTCTAGTATCACCCAGTAATAAGAGCAATGGCCACCATGACTAAGGCTACCATTCATGTGCATGGGCTACACGTGCATTTTCTCCAATTGTTACAGTCTCTGAAGGGCAGGGATTCTTACCCCCACTTTACATGTGCAGAAACAACCTTAGAGAAATACATTTAGTGTCCCAAGTTCATAGAGCAGTTTGTGACAGGACTTGAATTGGATTCTGGATAGGTTCTTTACTTTACCCAGGGGTGCCTGGAGCCAGAAACTATAGGCTGGGTAGAGCCAATTGTTACATGGTTAGGAATTTTGGAAGCTGATTTTTAAACACAGGCATTATTAAAATTAATATATATCAACCTAAAAGTAAATAAATTATATTGAAAACAGAGGTAACAAATATTCAAAACTCATCACTTTCTGATAATTTGACCTAGTCATGATGTCATATTGGTAGCTGGAAATTGGCCATGGGGATAGTATTTACACTACAAAACTTGGCTAATGGCTGGGCACAGTGGCTCACACCTGTAATCCCAACACTTTGGGAGGCTGAGGTGGGAGGATTGCTTGAGCCAAGATGTTCAAGACCAACCTGGGCAACACAGGGAGACTTGATCTCTACAAAAAACAAAAATTAGCCAGGCATGATGATGCACACCTGTGGTCCCAGCTACTCTGGAGACTGAAGTGGGAGAATCACTTGAGCCCAGAGGTCAAAGCTACAGTGAGCTGTGATCACCCCATTGCACTCCAGCCTGGGCAACAAAGAAGAGCCTGTCTTAAAAAAATAAAACTTTGTTAATCCTACTAATTAGGGCTTTCCCCAACTCCTATTTCCACAGAGCTGGTTGTTAAACACTTACTAGCACTGGTTGGATAGGAAGGGGTGATTTTTCCATGCATGATGTCAGTTCACTGCAGGATGTGAATACTGGAAAACACTAAAAGAGTCCAATTCAATGGAGTGTAAGCTCAAATTGATATTAAACCAAAAGGAGATAAAAGTGCAAATGATCTCCTGTAAGGTCATTAACTTGAGTGATTTACTGGAAATACCATGGCCAAGTCACAAACTTTTTTTGTGAGTAAGAAGAAAATTACAAGTCTAAGCATATTCAACAGTGAAACTTATTTGTGTCAGTGTGTTTTGGCCCAAATGATATACACATAATAACACACTGCCTTTTTTTTCTGACAAATAAGTGTTTCAAATGTAAAATAAACATTTCAGGGCTTTCTGAAAGGTTTTCCCAAATAGAACAGGAGACAGCTTGCTTGTGGACGAATGATTTCATTTAATCACAATCTATCTCTCTTTATTGTTTTTAATATATACAATTTTTGAATGTTAATATGCCAGTTACCATGTGACTCATTAACCTATGTTATTTCATTGAAAAATAATGTAGTAACTATTGCTCTCATTATAATGTTAAAGAAAGTACACCTCATAAAGCTTAGGGGACTTACCCAAAGTCAAACAACTAGCAAAACAAATTCAAGAACCCAACCAAAACTGCCTGACCCCAAAGCTTGAGTGCTAAGACAACCACACATTGCTGCCTCCACCATGTGAAAAGGACATTAACTACATTGAATGAATAAATGAATGAATGAATCATCTTATCTTGCAGGTGGATCTTAAAAAATGTTAATTGACTAGAAAACCATAATTCTGTGTAATTCTTTCACCAAATTTGATTCTTCACACTGAATGAGATAGTACATTACATGTAATTAACTTTGCAGCCCAAATACATGTCAAGGTTTTTGAGACCAGCTAAAGTCTCCTGGTTATAACAATGAGACTGAGTGGGAAATCATCAGAGAAAATTTTGTTCAACACATTTCCTCCCTCAAGTAATCACCAAGGCATCAATCCGGGGAGCCCTCTGATATGATTTGGTTGTGTCCTCACCCAAATGTCATCTTGAATTGTAGCTCCCATAATTCCTATGTGTTGTGGGAGGGACCCAGTGGGAGATAATTGAATCATGGGGGCAGTTTCCCCCATACTTTTCTTGTGGTAGTGAATAAGTCTCACAAGATCTGATGGTTTTATAATGGGTTTCCCTTTTTCTCTCTTGGCTCTCATTTTTTCTCTTGTCTGACACCATGTAAGATGTGCCTTTTGCCTTCTGCCATGATTATGAGGTCTCCCCAGCAATGTGGAACTGGGAGTTCATTAAACCTCTTTTTCTTTATAAATTACCCAGTCTTGGTTATGTCTTTATCAGCAGTGTGAGAACAGACTAGTATACCCTCCTTCCCAGACTTTGCTATACAGGGACAAAATGAGTGAATTGTCCCAAATGTCTTGACAGCAGCAGCACCACTAGGCTGGAGCCAAAAGAGCAGGGTTTGGGCCAGCTCTGTCCCTCAGGTCTGCTTTACTCTGCCCCTGTCTCTGGACCTGATTATTTAACTGGAAAATGAAGTGACTCATACAAAGATGGCACAGTAGGGGGTTTGGAGTTTCTTTAAGGTTTTCGTCTTCCCTTGATAAAAACAACAACAACAGCAATAAAAATAATATAGGCAAAACCTTTACTGAAGCTAGGGGATTACTAGAGACCAACTGCCAAATACAGTGATGCGTAGGCTGAGTGGAGGAGCAACCTCACACCTTGACCTTGATCAGGATGACCTTCTCAAAAAAGCAATTGTCAATACCTTAAAAGGTTTAGTTAGTCAGACTTTGAATAGATCATTTCTTAGTTCATTTTCTGTTGCTATAACTGAATACCTGAGACTGAGGAATTGATAAGGAAAAGAGGTTTATTTAGCTCACAGATCTGGTGGTTGGGGTGTCCAAGATCAAGAGACTGGCATCTGGTGAGGGCCTTCTTGCCACATAATAGCATGGCAGAGGGCATCACAAAATGAGAGGGCAAGAGTGTGTCAGTTCAAGTCTCTCTTCCTCTTACTATAAAGCCACCAGTCTGCTGAGCATGGTGGCTTACACCTGTAATCCAAGCATTTTGGGAAGCTGATGCAGGAGGACTGCTTGAGTCCAGGAGTTTGAGATCAGCTTGGGCAACATAGCAAGACCTTGTCTCTAAAAAGAAAAATTAAATTAAATTAAAAAAATAAAAGCCACCAGTTCTATCATGGAGCACCCCCTTTGATTAGTTTACCCTTCCAAAAACCCCATCTATAACCAACATATGAATTAGGGGGATTGAGTTTCCAACACATGAAATTTGGGGTATATATTCAAACCACAGCAGAGCCACAGATGTAAGGTCATGGAAAGGCCAAGGGAGAGATGAGATATGTCTCTCTAGAGACTCAATTTAACTCTGTAGAATAGAACAAAAGTGAAGCCATGCTGAGAAGCCATTGCTGTTGTCCACTATCCTCCTGGCTAAGCAAAACTGATGATGAACTTTTGTTTTTCTCAACACCTACCATATGCCTTGCTCATAGCAGGTCTCCCTATCTGAAGGATGAAGGGGTTAAGTGTGGTGGGCCAAACTGAAGGGCCTACAAGAAAATTTGAAAGTGCATACTGGGCTTGAACCTCTGGTTTTAACTTATCAAGTGCTGTTTTGAGGATCCGCTTTTAGGGTGGAGTCATCAGGGATGTGAAGAGTAGACAGCCTGAGGTCACTTCTTAACTCTAACCTCAAGAGCTCCTGTTGTCTTCAAAGGGTGTCTGAGGCAGTTGATCTCTTACCCAAGCCCTTGTTACACCTATGGGCTTTGTGGTGATTGAACATGGGTAGTTGATCTATCTTGTAATCAACAGGAGAATGAGAACAGGTGCTATCATCCCCTGTCTGATATCCCTGTGATGCAATAGTCTGAGGAGTCTGAGGCTTTTGTGCAGGAAAATAGTATCTCAGGTCTCCTGCTATGACTCTCTCTCTGGGCCCAGGGATGTCTGGAATCCTTTGTCATTAGAACCAGGGGGACTTACTGGAAAACTTTTGGAGCACAAGAACTCCAAAGTGACCAAGGTTGGCCATTGTGATGATTTCTGGAGAACTAGATACTAGGACTATGAGAGTCTGCTATACCTCAATTTGTCCTTTTTCTCTATAGGTTGGGGCAGAGGTTACTCTGCTTTAAATTTAGTTCAGGACATCATAAAAATCTGTATTCTGGCCCCTTGTATTTACTGATGTGGGCTTAAGGGATCATCATTTCCAGGAATCAAAACTTTGCAGTCAATAGCTAACTTTACTTGATATACTATTTGCGAGGAACTCTGTTAAGGGTTTTATATGGATTGTCACTTTAACTCTATAAGAGAAATTGTTTTTTTTCATTAGGACAAACGAAGCGCAGGGAGCCTAAATAACTAGCTGAAGGTCACAAAGTTAGTGAGTGGTACAGCTAATGAATGAACTCAGGTCTGTCTGATTCTACAACCTTAACCTATACTTTCTCTACCCTGAATAACTCTGATGGTGAATCTTTAGAAAGACGGTGAAAGATTTGGGTTTATCTGTGCTTTCCCAAAATTAATAGATGTAGGGGACCTGGGCTTGATCTCTATGTTCTTCTCATAATATATAATTTGGGAGAACCTTCTTCCTCCCTCTATCCCTTCCCACCTCCCTTTCTCTCCCTCCCTCCCTTCCTTCCTGCCTGCCTGCCTGCCTTCTTTCCTTCCTTCCTTCCTTCCTTCCTTCCTTCCTTCCTTCCTTCCTTCCTTCCTTCCTTCCTTCCCACCTTCTTTTCTTCTTGTGGTTTTTAGAGTTTATTGCTTTATGTCTAAATTGGGGAAAAAATAGGGTCTACCCGTAAGGATGTTATAGAAGTTAAATGAAATTAGAAATGTAAATAAGGATTCCCAGAGGCTCAACGTTCATAGGGGGAGACAGAAGCCCACACAGCTGGTTCTTGAAAAACACAAGCTATTATAGCAACATAGATGGACATACATTTAGTGGAATTGACAAGCTTCCCTTCAATGACTGTATTAATGGAAGAGGTGGCCTTGATTGGATGGATTGTTTTTAGGGTGCCCTTGAGGGTGAGTCAATCCACAGATTGGAACTTGAAAAGGGACTTTCACTATTGGAAGGTGACCATGGTTGGATTTCTAGGAAGTCTTTCTGTGGTGGCCTCATAGATGAATTTTCTATTTAAAGTTATCAAAGTCTGGGAAGAAAGAGCTTGCTATAAGTGAAGTCCTAAAAGAAAGAAAACAAAGAAGAGGATTCATTATGTAGTGGCTAGGAAGAATGAATAGAGGAGTAGGAAACAGAAAGGAGGCATTAGGGAGAATATGGAAGAACTGAAAGAAAAGGAGAAATGCGAGAAGAAAGGAAGTGACTGAAAGATAATTAAAAACATATAAAAGGGGCTGAGCATGGTGGCACATGCCTGTAATTCCAGAACTTTGGGAAGCTATGGTGGGAGGTCCGCTTAAGCTCAGATGTTTGAGACCAGCCTGGGCAACATAGTGAGACTCTGTCTCTACAAAAATAAAAAATAAAAAATTAGCTGGGCATGGAGGTGTGAAACTGCAGTCCTACTCAGGACTGAGGTAGGAGGGTCTCTTGAGCCCAGGACGTCAAGGCTACAGTGAGTGGTGATCATGCCACTGTACTCCAGCCTGGGCAAAAGAGCAAGACCCTGCCTCAGTATGTACATATATATTCAAATATAAGGGAGAGATAATATATGTACATATAAGGGAAAGAGAAAAGAAAGAGAGAGTTAGAGAGAGAGAAGAGAGAGAAGGAAAAGGAGGGGGATTGAGAAAGAGGAAATGAGAGACAATGAGAAAATAACTATACAAAGAACCTATTGTGTGCTAGGTATGGTGCTAACTGCTACGTAGGTAAAGTTATTTAGTTGTAATAACTAAATAACTTCATTTTACCCCCAACTTTATGTGCGTTTAGGTGATTCATTTCCAGATTCAATTGTTTGAAGTGGGTTGAGTCTATAGAGTTTTCTCTCATCAGCTCTTTCTCCTTACGTAATTATTTATTTACTTCATGTTCATTGAACATACGGACCAGGCACTATTCTAATTATTCTTAATAATTAGCTAAAGGAGCCCTGAGATGTTTTCATTCTAGTGTGTATGTATGTATGTGTATGTGTATATCATTATCATGGTCATCTTATTATTGTCAGCATCATTGTCTTTAATGTGCATTTCTCCCTTGAGAGTCTGCAAACAATTTTTATATCAGTTATCACATTGTGTGCTCCCAATATTCCTAATGAGGCTGAGATTGTTTTCTCCACTTTGAATATAAGAAAACTAAGATCCAGAGAAGGTAAATGACTTACTACAGGCCACATAGCTAGTAGCTAGGACTCATCCCGACTCCTCATCCAGTGCTCAGCCCACCGTGTACAGTCAATGTTGCTGACATAGACTGAAAAGGGTTGTCACACAATACTGTGGACTATTGGGCTCAGTGTGCACAGAGCAGACCTGCATTACATCTCAGCCACTTCTTAGTTGTTTGACCTTTACAACTATGACCTTTTGTATGTTGTATGACCTTCTTAGTTGTATGACCTTTACAATGATGTAACCTCCGTGAAGCTCAGTATTTTATATAACTTGGGGGTTATAATAGTATAAAGCTTGCTGGATTGCTGGAAATATTCAATAAGATAATGCATAGAAATTGCTTACCCAAGTGCTTGACACAGAGTTAGCTTAAGAAATGTTAGCTATTATTATGGCAGAATCTGCCACTCTTTCTTTTGCGCAATGGAATGTGGCAGAGAGGGCAGATCGGGAGCGTGTGTGTCAGTGTCCTCACTCATCCCATTGACTGAAGACTCCTTTGCCTGCTACTAACCCCACTGGGCACCAGGCCAGAGCTCTAAGGGAAGCTCCTATTTGTTCCAGCCAAGAGGAATCAGCTGCCACTTTAGTTGACATTGTGTAATGGGATGCAACCCATGCCAGCTATGACTCCCTGGGGTCATATGCTCCCAGGTCAGGGTCTTGAAAACCTTCTCTTTTTAGAGGGCTTGAGATTCAGCAGTCCATGGAAAAATGACCCCAAAATATTGTGCATATTTGTGTAAAAACGTGTTGGCGATGGAGTTAGTCAAGCAGGGATCTAGAGAAAGAAAGAAGTGCTGGTGGAGTCCAGAGAACTGCAGGCTCTTGCTTTGTAAATCGGTTAATAAACCCTGTCCCTTGAGAAACCCTAGCCCTTGTGAAATTGGCCTTGACAGGACTGTGATATGGTGTTACAATGAGCTAGGGATGTGGAGTCAGATTGGGACTTCTGTATAAATAAAATTTAATTTGTAAAGCCATGCTATGGGGTATCTGTTATCATCTCTATTTTATAAATGAGGAAATGGAAGTTCACACGTAGAGATGATCTGAACCTAGTTTTTCCCTTCTCTCTCCCCAAGATGATCTCATCTGGTCACATGTTTGACTTACCATCTACAGGGTGAAAAAGCCAAAATCTATTTCCAGGCTGTCCTCTCCTCCGAACTCTGTACTTATATATTTAAACGCCTGCTTTCCATTTCTACATGAATATCTAATAACAATCTCTAACCTGTTAGGTCCAAACAGAACACTTGAATCCTCTTCCTCAAACCTCCACCAGCTTGTTCATCACCA
The DNA here is from genome assembly GCF_000001405.40 of Homo sapiens. Taxonomy (NCBI): domain Eukaryota; kingdom Metazoa; phylum Chordata; class Mammalia; order Primates; family Hominidae; genus Homo; species Homo sapiens. The sequence continues at coordinate 128,297,213 of NC_000008.11, forward strand.
GACCTACATGTTTCACTGATTATCACCACCATACATCATGTTCCTTACACCAAAACTCTGCTAACCTGGCTGCTGGTTATTTTCCTAGGTTTCACAAATTTCCTCATCCACTGTATCCACTCTGTTAGTGAGACCTCTTAACTCTAACTTAAAAACATTTTCCACATCTGTCTGCTTTGCTCCAAATAAACCAAAAGCATCCTAGTCCATGCTCCATCTTCATTCACCTCGGCCATTATAATATCTTTCTAACTGATTTCTCACCTTCCTTTGGCCCCCTATAATTCATACTTTACACAGCTACCAAGTAGATACTTTCACCAAGGAAAATAAGCTCCTTCTCTGATCTGCTTACCATCCTCAAATGGCTTTCATAGCACTTAAAGTGAAATCCAAACGTCTTATGCTGAGCTTTCAAGCTCCTTCCTGATCTGCTCCCTGGCTACATTCTGGATTTCCTTTTCTCGTACTCTCTCTCTGGCACTCTACAATCCAGCTAAACTGGTTTTCTCTGTTGCTCCAACACCCCAAGTTCTCATCTCTGTTGGGGTCTCTGCTCTGGGTGTTTCCTCCACCTGGCTGCCTCCAGTCTTAGATCTCCACATTGCAAGCTCCTTCTTACTGTCCATTCTCAGCTCAAACATCATGTTCTCAGGGCAAACCCCAACCCCTCAACCTGGTGTAGATCTTCCTGAATAATTTCTCTTCATGTCACTCTAGTTTATATTTGTCCATCTGTGTGTCTCAATGTGATACTATCTTATTTATTTGGTTTTTCATTTATTGCCTGCCTCAATTATTGTACAACTAAAGTGTCAGTTCCAGGGGAGCAAAGACGGTGCTTCTTTCACTTCACTGTCATGTCTGTACATGGTCTGATATACAGTAGATACTCAAAAAAAGTTTGTTGATTGAATAAACAACTGCTATTCTGAGGTTCCTAAGCTTACTTCAGCTAAGAACAAATTCTACAGGGTATTAATTAGGAAGAAGGGTCAAATGGGTGTGTGAACATGGTCCCAAATATTGTCCTAAAACCAAAGTAACATTTTTTTTAAAGTTTAATTACTTTGGGTAGATTTTGGAAGATACCGAAATAAAAAAGAAAAGTTGTCTTCTCTCCTCATTCTGATTGTGGTTTTACACACCTCAATACAGATAACAAAAACAAAATGCAAATTAAAAACAAGATATATGAAACAAATATGTGTCTCTGTTGTGTGGTTTTTCTTGGGTGGGGTCCTTGGGCAGGGCAGGACCCAGGCTCATGTGCATCAGCTGGCCTGAGTCACTCTCCCTGCCCTGAGTCCAGCACAGTCACCTCCACCTGCTTCGGTTCCAGCAGCTCCTCTTCTCAGCATGCCCTGTCTTTTATTTTCCCTTTGCCCAAGTCTGTTCCACCTGGGTTATACTTTATCCCCCATCCCAGCAGCCAGATTAGCAGAGTTCATATCTCTGTGTTAAAATCTGGGCTTATTCTATGTAACCTTGAGCAGATAGTTTGCCCTGTCTGAACCGTAGTGTTCTGTTATGTAGAGTGGGAACAATACAGTGCCTACTTCACAGAGCATTTGTAAGGAATAAACTGCTTGGTACTTGTGGAGTACTCAGTGTGGCACCTCATGCATTCCAAGTATGCTGCCAAAACTTAAGGATTATGTCCCTCTGGGCTTACCCTAAAAGACAATCTTTTCCTAAATCATGTGGTTCTTGAAAATTCAGGTATTCAGTTTGAAGCATAAAGAGTTTTTCTTCTAAATGACCAGCTGTTTTATGTGTGCAGGCCCTTCTGCACCAAAAAGCAGGTTTCTTGAGAGAGAAACCATAGGATACAAAAATATAAGAACCCTTTTCACCTCCTTCCCAGTTTGCTTCTTCTCAGCCCAGACTAACTGCCAGCATTTATAGAGCGCTTTACATTTTGCTGCTGCCACTACTGTTATTACTATCATCACTATAATTATAACTGCTACTCCTACTATTACTATTCCATTCCTTCTTTTGTTATTACTCTTACCGCTGTTGCTACTACTGCTGTTACTAACACTAGCTAACATTTATTGAGGAATTGCTACATGATAGACAATATACTATGCACTTTACCTTTGTTACCCTGTTTAACAAACACAATAGTCAATAAAGAAGGCGGTGTTCACAGCAGTTAAAAATGCGGGTTGGAAGTCAGATTTCTTGGCTTTTAATCTTGGTTCCAATGATTAATAGCTGTGTGATTCTAGGAAAGTGACTCAATCACTCTGTCTCAATTATCTTAAAATAGAGATATTTATAACAGAATAGAATCAATTAGATAATGCAAGTAAAAAAGGTGTTTTGTTTTTTTTTGCAAATGCTGAATAGTGTCTGGTATGTAATCAACACTCAAGTTATTGTTGATACTAAAAACATTTTTTTTACTGTATTTAGGGGATATTTATCCCCCTACCCTCCTGCCCTTCTCTGTGTTCCCATAGCACTGTTCTTTCTGCCATCTACTGCATAGCCTACAGTATTGTAATCGTCTCTTATTTATTGGATCCCCTACCAGTTAGACACCACTTTAGAGCAGGAGAAGGAGCCTTTTTCACTGTAGTAGCCATGCCACCTACCACAGGCCTGGCACATCCTAAATTTTCACTCAACACTTGCTGAATGAATAAAGAACTGAATTTTTGGTGTGTAATTTGAAACAAGTCTTTTGTTAACCTGTTATAATATTTAATGCTCATAACAGCCTTGGAAGGTGGGACACATTTCTACTCCCCATTCCACCCTTTATTCCTTTCTCCCACAGTGGCAAAGGTTTTACTTTCCCCAATTTAGGGATGGGGACATTGAGATCCATGATGGTGAGCAACCTGGCCGAAGCCAGGCAGCTTCTGTACAGAGAACAGTGAATCTAAAACTTTGAACTCTACATTTCTAGCTGCATAGCACTGACTTAATAAATACTGCATCGACTAGATTGAAGTTGGGAAACTCAATGAATATTCTTGAATGATAAGGGTTATGCTATCCCTTTCCTTTGGAATGACATCTTGATATCGCTGAGGACAGAAAGAATTTAGAGTCCCTCCAAGGGCCTCTGAGCATTACCAACAATGTCAATTAGTGAGCATGTCCCTAACTATATTTGTGAGATAAGAAAATACCTGAGTCCACGCATTTGAGCTCCTGGTTGCCAAAAGAGTTGACTGCATGGCTGATCCACATCAATGCAGGGAAATTGCCTGTTAATCTTTGATTACCATGTTCTTGTTCAAAGAACACAGTTTCTAATTTGCCTGTAGTGTGTAGACCCAGTCATTGAAAGACCATAAAGTATTGGTTCTAGTTGGAGATAAATCTCTTAGTTTAAACATTTGAAAGATTAAACACACATATATATTCACATCTTCATTATAAAAGGCAATAAAATAAACCATATAAGTAGAACATTTAGACAAAGAGGAGGAAAAAATAACCCTTAATCCCATGACTTTAGCACAATTACTCTTAGTATGTTAATGATTTTCCTTCTACACCTCTTTCTATTTACTTTTACATTTTCATTTGTTATAATAGCATTCATATAAAACTGCTTCCCTACTTTCTCTTAGCAGTTTAACAGAATATTTTTCTTATTATTCTAACACAGTATTTGTCACCATGGTATTTCAGTGGCTAAATACTACAGTGGACCGCTGCTAAATTTCCAGTTTTCACTGTAAGGATGTTTTTTTTAAATTTAATTTTGATTTTCAGAGCCTGTAGTGAAGAAGAATGGAAATGCAGGCTCTTTTTTTATCATTGGTTGGAGCTCAAAATGCTGTCCTATTTTTAGGGTTAGGATTTCATGGTCTTCATGTTTGCAGATAATAGTTATAAAGTCACAATATTTTTATGGAGGGACTTTAGAGACTAGTTGATCTAATTGTCTCATTTTGTAGGTGAGGAGACTGAGGCCCATTGCCTATGTTCAGGGGACACAGTTGGGAAAGTGTGTGTCATTTTAAGGAACAGCTGAGAGGCCAGTGTAGCCAGACTGTAGTTGGCAAGACAGCACAGAGGGAAAGTGTGTGTGGGGGCGGGGGAGGAGGGAAAAGGAGGAGGTGGAGGGCCCCCTCATGAGGGCTTTATGATTTCTAGTAAGAAATTGAACTTTTACTCTGATGAGAGGGAGAGCCACTGGCAGCATTCTGGCTTCTGGCCTGAGAATAGCATGTAGGGGTCAAGGGTGAGAAGGAGGGAGATCGTTGGAGGCAATTGCAGAACTATAAATAAGCAAGAGGTGATGATGGCTTAGGCTGAGTGTAGCAGGAAGGTGGCCAGAGGTGGTCAATTTCTACACGTATTTTAAAGGTTGAGATGATAGTATTTGCTAGTAGATTCCATGTGGAGTATGAGGAAGAAAAGGAGTCAAGAAGAGTTGATTCCAAGTTCTTCTGGCCTAAATGGCTGAATACTTGATTTTTCCATTAACTGGGACTCAGAAGACTTCAGGAGACATAGATCAGGCTTGTGGGGAGGCGGCAGGGAGAGCCTCAAATCAATAATTTAATAATAATTTAATTTAGAGCATGTTAAGTTTAAAAAGGTTATCAGATATTCAAGTGAAGATGTCAATCCAGCAGCTGCATGGACACGTCTAGAGTGAAAGATAGAGGTACAGAAATATAAACGTGGAGGTTTTGATTGCTGAATGGTGTTCTAAGTTATGAGACTAGATGAAATCACCTTGGAAGTGAGAATAGATTAGAAAGGGAAGAAGACCAAGGATTCTTCTTTGGAGAGATGAGAAGGAGCCAGCAAAGTAGACCAAAAAGCAGCATCCAGTTAGGTGTTTGATGGCTGCATAAGATCCATCGTATGGAGGCACTGCAATTGACACGGCCATTCCACTGGGGAAGGGTGGTAAGCTGTTTTTCATGAGGACTCAAAAACTACTACAACCCACATTCTGACAAAGCTTCTTTGTATTCCCCTGAGCTTTTGCACAGACATCATCTGTGTATTGGGACCTGGTAGGCTGGTGCCCTAATCAAAGCCCTGGGAACACCTCATTTGGTCTCTGACTGACTTAGTATTTTATGTAATTTATTACAATTAGACTTGAACCTGGTTTAAGCTAACCTTTACACTGTCTCTTAAGAGAAAAAAATTCATTCAATTCAATCCAATAACCTTTATTAATTGTTTAAATTAGTTATAAGTTAGCTGTAAATTAGTTAATCTATACTGGTTAATGAATAGTATAAGCAGTATTGGCAGTGAGCACATTCAATCTACTTAGAGAAATGAACTGGTTACAAAGGCTTTCATGCATTCATTGTTTGGCTACAATGATAGAAACTCTGGTATTATATCGTTTTAGTCTTGTTGCTCATATACTATGCAGAAACTGTAGGGCAACAGAGGATGTAAAATCATAGGTTCTATATCATCCAGGGCCATGATAGAATCCAAGCTTCTACTCACTAATGGTGTAGCCTTGGAAAAAATACCTTCTCATCTCTATAATGAGACTATCATACTTATGCCTATCTCAGAGAGTTGGACAAATTACTTGACATATGGTATATTCAACATACGGCACAGAATAGATACTCAATAAAGATGAATTCCCTTGCTTTTAATTTGCGTTTAGTTTTTAAAGCCCAGCTAAAATGTCATCTAGCCTCCAGAAGGAAATTTGTTATTCCTATTTATAACAATTGCTTTCTTCTGGAAGCCCATAAAACAATTTTCTCTTATTTCACTGTCTTGAAGTGAAGTTAGGTATTTGCAGCTCTTTCACTCAAAAGGCAGATCTCATTCATGGGTGTATTTTCCCCTGAATCCCTGGAGCAGTGTGTGGTATCTGGTGTGTGCTCAATAGTCTTATCTATTTCATTACCTATATCAGAGAATTTCAATTTGGATCTGTTTAATAAGTAGTTAATAAGCTGAGGCCCCTAGGTGCATTTGAAGGTAATGGCATGTTTTGGAAAATTCTTCAAATTTATGATCTGTCTTCCCCTCTCTATTAGTCTGAATTAATGAGGGTCAACTTGAGAATATTTAATGGGATTCTCTTTCTTAGATGTGTGTTCCTGTATTTTAGGTAATTAAAAACCACCACTATCTAAACCAACAACCAACCACAAATGCTGCTTAGAATGAATTACATGGTTTTAATTTCTCACTAGCCCTGGCTTAAATTTTTTTTTGCTTTTGCTTTGTTTGGTTAAATGAGGCCCCCTGGACCCACCTCCACTATCACACACACACATACACACATACACACTTGACAGGAATGAATCACCAGGCTTACTTGTAGAGTGAGTGACAAACTCTGGTCAAGGTGGTATATGATCAAGCACTAGCTTTTTCAACCTCAAATGCTATTTTGGGGCAGAAGGAAAATTTGTCTTGCAAAAAGAGATAAATAATCTTACTTAATTTTATCATACTCATATACATATATTTGGATGATAATAAGGCAATCCAGGTTATTGAATGTTCACATGGGACTATTCTTGTGTATGGTGCTAAGAGATATACAAAACTAAATAGTCTCTAAGACTGTATTAGAAATATGAACGGACCACCACTTATTGAGCTCTTACTGTATACTTGGCACAATGCTATGCATTATACAAACATTTTTGAAATTATTTTGTGTTCTCATAGTAGCCCTGGGAGGCAGATATTATTTTTTCTAATTTCACATATATGGAAATTGAGTCTTAACTCATTTAACTAGCCTAACCGGGTCATGTGGCTGATAGGTGGAACTGGGTTTTTAAAAATCATGTTTGCTCATTCCAAAGTCTGTGCTTATGCCCACCATGGAGTACCTATTTTGTAAAACAGATTTAAAGATGAAATGGTTACAAATATTATCCTTCAAGAGCTCTAAGTCTAGTAGGAGTCAAAAAAGAAATGAAAAATAAGTCTAATATTTTAAAAAGTGTGATCTTAAGAAAGACCTAGAAAAATGCTGTAATAAGGAGAGATTATTTACTAATTGCTAGCTTCTTCAGTCTTAAGTAAGCTATCATTTCCTTCAGAAAGGCATTCCTGACAGGCTGATTCTCCTCCCATCTCCCCACTCCACCCCTACTCATCTTGTGATGAGTAACATGTGCTGAATAGCATGGAAGTTAAAACTGCTTAGCACGTGGTAGACGCTAAAAGAGTGAATGGGATGCATGCTTCATGGAAGGATTGGGTATGTGTGAAGACGAGGTGGCTACCTGGAGGGCATTCTCAATAGGGGGAGTAGTTTCAGCAAGTTGGTAAAGGCTTGGCTTCCATGACACATAGAGGAGAACAGTTTCATTTACCATGATAGGCTCATAAAGGACAGTAGGCTGGAGTCAGATAAAGAGAAGTTTCAATTCCAGGCCAAATGTGCTTCTCAAATCAAGAGGAGGGCAAACTGCACATTTCTTAGCAGATCTGTGATTTAGCAAGATTAATCGGACTTTAAGATAAATTGGGATGGAGCAGAACATACAGAAAAGAGCTTTCCAGCTGAGACAGACCTGGGTTTGAACCCTAACCTGTTGATTTACTGGGTAGCCTTGGACATAGAACTTTACCTTTCTCAGCCTCACTCAGCTTCCTCATCTGTACATCAGAATAATTGGGAATACATGTAGTATTGTTATGGAGATTAGAGTATGAGTATGCCATGTTCTTATCTTCCTGGTAAGTAGTAAGAGCTCAAAAAGAGTAGTTATTAATATTATAATAGGTTAGGGAAGGAAGAGACAGAAAAAGAGATGTCTTTAGCTAGATTTGTGCAAGAATCTGGGTGAGATTCCAGGAGGAACTGGACAAAGAGAAGAGGCAGTGATGATGAGGCAGGAAGTGAGAACAATGCAGCAGATTGAAGTTAGCATCAGAAGGAGAGAAGTTGGCTAAGTGGTAGTTAGTCTAAGAGTTATATTGTGAAAGGTCTTAGAGTCTTCTTTGAGTGAAAAATTTCATCCACAAGAGAGGATTAAAGCATGACAGAATGACAGCACAGAACCCAAGGGGAAACAGTGTGGTAGGGCACTAAATACACAGAAAAACCAATGGTAAGTCATAGCCAGAGCAGCTATAGTTTACTGAGCACTTACTTCCCCTCAGGGAGCCTACCAGAAGGCAGCATTTATTTTCTTATTTAATGCTTATTTTACTGATCAGGAAACCAAAGTTTGGAGAGACTCAATAATTCTTCAAGAGCAGAGATGTGGTACATGGCTGAGCTGGACTCCAAACTCATATACATCTGACTTTAACATGTGTGCTTTTAATTCTTTTACTAGCATATGGAAGAGACCATGGTTATTCAATAAAGGTATTAAGTTGAGTCTTAAAGTATGAGGTGTACTGTCATAGAGAGAGTAGGAAGGCACGTTTGAAGTGTGAGAAAGAACAGGAATGGCATACTGGATATCAGCTCTTTCTATCTGAGGCAGTGAGAAAACTAGCATAAGAGGCCTGGGTTATATGTTATACTATCTTTTCTCCTGGAAAAAAAGTAAAGTGATTCTTGGGTTTTCAGAATCAAGTTAACTATGAAACAAATATATTTCCGGACAGACTCTCAATAGATAATATATGTTTATGCAGAACAAAATGAGCAACAGGCCAAGCGCGGTGGCTCATGCCTGTAATCTCAGCACTTTGGGAGGCCGAGGTGGGTGGATCACCTGAGGTCAGGAGTTTGAGACCAGCTTGGCCAACGTGGTGCAACCCCGTCTCTACTAAGAATACAAAAATTAGCCCAGTATGGTGGTGGGCATCTGTAATCTCAGCAACTCAGAAGGCTAAGCCAGAAAAATCACTTGAGCCTGGGAGGCAGTGTTTACTGTGAGTCGAGATCAAGCCACTGCACTCCAGCCTGAGCAACAGAATGAGACTCGGTCTCAAAAGCAAGCAAACAAACAAAATAAAAACAAAAAACCAAATCAGCAAGAAACTGAGTTTGACATTTATAAAATTGGTAAAGTTGGAAAGTTGGGGGTAAGTATTAGAAGTGTTGCATTGGCCTGGTGCAGTGGTTAACGCTTGTAATCCCAGCACTTTGGGAGGCCAAGGTAGATGGATCACGAGGTCGGGAGTTCAAGACCAGCCTAGCCAACATGGTGAAAACCCCTCTCTACTAAAAAACAAAAAACAAAAAACAAAACCCAAAAATTAGCTGGTCATGGTGGCAGGCACCTATAATTCCAGCTACTCAGGAGGCAGAGGCAGGAGAATAGCTTTAACCAAGGCGGCACAGGTTGCAGTGAGCCAAAATCACACCACTGCACTCCAGCCTGGGCTACAGAGTAAGAATCTGTCTCAAAAAAAATGTTGCATTGTAGCACTATTCTCTATTCTCTGTTGTCGTCTCTTTGGGTCTGTCTTTTTTTTATTTTTTATTTTTTTTACTTCTTGATCCGTTAAAATTTTCTTTAAGATGGAAAGTCCTCTGAGTCTTTTCTTATAGGTCCTCCTTGCCCTATCAGTCTCCCCCGAATGTCCCCACCTCCACCCCAGGCCCATCCCTGTAACTTACAATGTCTAACAGAGCTTAGTTACAACAGCACACCTCATCACTATGTGCTACTATTCAACACATGAGCTACTTCAATGTTGAGTTATCTTCAAGTTCTTTAAAATAAACAAATCCTCTATTGGATCAAGCTTTTCTGATCAGAGCTTTGCAAAACAAGCTTACTTGATATCAATGGACCTTTATCAAAGTGAGTGAATATACAAAGAAGACATCGAGGGGGAGAACAATTCATTTTACTACGATATCTCTAGGCACCAGAACTTGGGGAATGTCTTGTAGTGAATGTTTACACTAATGGCAACAATTTGCCAAGTGCACACATAAATTTAATTTGGGGAAGCAATGAAAAATGAAAAGAATTAAGCATAAATACAGTGGGGGAAGGTTCGGGGAAGGTGCCTTCCAGGAGACCTAATTTACCAGGAGCTTTGAAAACAAACCACGACCATCGATTATCTAGTGCCAGGAATGGCTTTCTCGTTAGGCTGCAAGTGACATTCAGCAGAGGCCTTGTGGGCTGCATGTGAAGGTGTCATCCAAGGGTTGGAAAGTCCAGATTCATCCTGAAAGCAGACACATTTGCTTAATGATTTGTTTGCTGGGTAAAAATGAGCTCCTTGGAACTGTTTTTAGCTGTTTCTCATGGAGGGGCAGTCTGCTGGTTTGATGGCCAAAACATTTTGGGCCGGGGATGGGAGATTTTATTCCCCCCAAATGCCCTTTTTCATCTTCTTGCTCCACAGTTTCAAGGGCTTCCTGAGGTTCATGGCAAATTCCTGGGAGTGCCACCCCAGAGGCCGACACAATATGACCTTGGCTTATTTTTTACACTGCTCCTATCTTTTGACATCATAGCCACAGCTCCACTTACCTATATATCCACGAAATGGAAAGTTAATGGCTTCCCTCTGAATTTTTACACCCATAATCAGCATAAATATATTGGCTTCCATTTTCTTACCATCTGATTAGCCGTACCCGTCCTTCCCTCCTTTAAGGCACAGCTTCAGTTTTAACTTTAGAAGAGTGCTTTTGGAACCTCCGACCCCACAGCAAACTCTCCTTCCCTTACACTGACCAGTTTCATTTAGGGCCCTTCCAGTTCTGAAATCCTAAGTCCAGAAAATATTGTCTGTATCAGACCTCTGTCAGTCATATTACTTCTTCCAGATTGTCATCTTAAAATATTTAAGTAGCATCGATTTAATTTTCCATTCATCTATATAACTAGATCACAATCTCCTTTGGGGGCCAGACTATATATTATATTTCCTATGTGATCTTATTCCAGCTACTTAACGTCTCTGTTCCTTGGCTTCCTTACCTGTAAAATGGGAGTAGTAATAGAAACTACATTGTAAGGTTGCTGTGAAAACTAAGTGAGGAAATAGATGAAACAGTGCCTAGAAGAGTGTTGAGTAGAGAATATGCTTAATTTACTATTATCAGACATTTCATGCTCCTTTGCATCTACAACCTTTAGGAGAGTAACATGGTAAATGCTCAGCTTCTATTTAGAGTAGGGTTTTTGCATATGTTTATTTAACTCACAAAAATCAACTACAAACTCTTTTATATATAATTATGATACTATTTTATGGTATCATACATTTTATTATATATGTGCATATGCACTAACTGCCAAATATATCATATATTTATAAGTATATGTTACTTATATTATTATGGCAGACTATACATATTTGTTTATATATACACGTGTTTTATATACACATGTATTTAATGTATATTGTTCTGTCTGGGCAATTCAAAGAATTCTCAAGGGTAATTTTAGTCGTCTATAATTTTTACATGTTGTATGAAATCCAGCTCCATATTATTGAACTCTTACTGTGTACTAGATGCTTTACAAACATGATCTTATTTAATCCTCATGCTCATTCATTTTACAGAAGAGGGATCTAAGGCTCACGGTGGTTAATCAACTTGTCCAAGGTCACATAGCTAGAAAAATAAAGATGTTCAAACCAGAATAGTTTGATTCCCAATTCTCTGACAGTCCATCCCTATTGACTGATCTGGTCTGTAGGATAATAGGTATTCCCCCATTGAAAAGTGGCCAGTGGTCAACAAGGGAAATGGGCAACTGGCCATCCCTGAAAATATGGCCTTGTCATTTGGCTCCACGGGAACTTTGTCTAGTTTCCATACTCTAGGGCACCTACACTAGGCTAGGAACAACTCTTTTGGTCTATTCTTGTTTCTTTGGGAGACATCTGGGATGTCCTACATGTAATGCAAGCTGAAGATGGAAGCTAGTCCCTAACTTGGTGTCCACTGTCAGATCCCGGCCAGGTTCTGACTTCATTAGTATGATGCCATGTAGTGTTTCTTTTACTGCTGTTAAGGAGATATCTCCTGACAGCATGCAATGAGATTGTTCTTGGAGGAAGATCACAGGGAATCCTGATCAGGAACAAGCTGTATCTGAGCTCTTGGTCTGATTTGACTTGACAGAGTAACTAAGTAAAAGAGAGTTGGCCTGTGGTTCAGGACTCCCCACAAACAACTTTCTTATCTGAACAGAATGGTAATATGCTTGTTGCAGAAGTCAACAAACATTTACTCTGTGGTGAGCCCAGGGAAAAAAAAAAAGTTAGTAGGACATGACTTTTTGCATGGGCTTATAACCAGCTGTATTCCATAATAAATTCCATGTTTCTTTTGTACTAAGTTTGTTGACAGTGCTTCTGGGTGGCTTGCTTATTGTCTATAAATTCTGTATGTCCACTTGTCTTGGCTAGAAAGAAAGTGAGCAAAAACTGTGGGGCAGAGCAGATGGCAGAATGATCTCTGAGTGAGGAGTTAGGAGGCACAGCTCAAATTCTAGTTCTATCTCCTGCATTAGAGATAGAAAAGCTTGAAGAGACTTAATTATGTCACATGGAGCACATAATTAAATCTCTTCAAGCTTTTTTTATCTCTAATGTAGATAATGCTTCTAGTTTTCTCATGGCATTGTTGCATCATATTTGGTAATGTCCTTTAGAGTACTCTGTAAACTGTAAGGCATTCTGACTTCATATGAGGTTAAATGTACTGTATTATATTATAGTCTACAGTTTGGAAATGTAGAAATTTATCTTCTGTTAGCTGTAGTCTTTTATTCACCAGACCATTAAATTAACAAGACCATATATGCCCTGACTTTTGGGTAAATAGAAAATAATGGTCATATTTTCTGTCTTTTAAGAGCTGGCAATTAGTCAAGAGCATAGTGATTAAATCCCCTGGAATGGATCAGGCACCTAACCAAGTTTCTGAATGTCAATGGATTCCATGATTATTCTTTCCAAGGCAAAGACTTGTGACTCTAAGTTTTGAAAGGATTTGCAGGCTGCTATTGAATAAAGAGGGACAACTCACAGAATGAATGGAATCTATATTACAATTCCGTGATTTATGCAAATTGTGAAATGTACCATTTGAATTTTCAATTAATCCTACCACATCTGAACTGACTTTCTATCTTCTGAAATGGAGTTCTGGATGCCACTTGCTATGCACCTGCAGTCATTCATTTTGGAATATGAAATCAAAGTCACCATTGAGTTAGTGTGTACAGTCCGGAGTGTATTGAACTACTTCTGGGGAACTAAGTTTGATATCATGTTTATTTCTTCTTAGCAATGACCTCGATAGACTGTTATCCAGCGCAGAAGGAGTATTGGCATGAAGATTTCAAGATCTGAAGTAAATAAGTAAAAAAGACTATAAAAAAGTTAGCTGAAGGGGCTTTGGATTCAGTGTGCTTTAAGTCCTGGCTGCTTTACCACTTATAAGAGTTGTGCTCATGGCCAGTCACGGTGGCTTATGCCTGTAATCCCAGCACTTTGGGAGGCTGAGGTGGATGGATCACTTGAGGTCAGGAGTTTGAGACCAGCCTGCCCAAATGGTGAAACCCTGTCTCTACTAAAAATACAAAAAAATTAGCCAGGCATGGTGGCAGGCACCTGTAATTCCAGCTACTTGGGAGGCTGAGACAGGAGAATTGCTTGAACCAGGGAGGCGGAGGTTGCAGTGAGCTGAGATGGTGCCGCTGAACTGCACTGCACTCCAGCCTGGGTGACAGAGGAAGACTCCATCTCAAAAAAAATAAATAAATAAAAAATAAAAAAAATGATTTGTGCTCATGAGCAAATTATTTACCCTTTCTGAGTTTTATTTTCTTCATCTTTAAAATAAAGATAAAAATGATACCCACCTTCTCGAGTTGTTGTTGAGTAAATGAGAGAATGCATATAGAAGGCCTGTGTTGAGATGCTCAAAATGTTGACATTTCTTACCACCACCATCATCATCATCATCACTATTGCCTTTATCATTGTCATCATCATCACCATCACTATTGCCTTTATCATCATCACCATTACTACTATCTTCATCATCATCATCACTATTGCCTTTATCATCATCATTATCTTTATTATTATCATTATTACCTTCACCATCATCTATCTTAACTTCCCCACTTGTTCCTGTGGCTCAGTAGAGCTCACTTCAATTCTTCTATTTCATTCTAGCCTGTCATCTCCCATATCAAATAGTTTCTCATTTTTTTTTTCTTAAAACATTTTTTTCATGTCTTTAAAAAACTCATCTGGCCTAGCCACCTGAAGCTAACTATTGCAGGTAGGAGTAGATTGTGCCTTTTGATGCCCATGGAGAAATGGCCAGAAACTGCATTTGGCTTTTAAAATTCCAGCAGCTGGGAGATAACATATTGTCCCAAGGACAGTTGTAATACAACGCTTCTTTTTCTGGGACTTCCTTTGTTCCTCCCTTGCACTCATCCAAACTGGTACCTAGGATCCAAGAGAGTATATAATTCATGATGTAGGGAACTAGTCTTCTTGACCACTCTGTGCAAACTGCCATTTGCTTACTACCTTCCAACCTTCATCCTCTCATTTCCCATTAATTTGTTCACTTATTCATATTCAGCAGTTACTTTGCCCATGTTGTGTAGCAGGCTAGCTGTATAAAGGACAGGCATGGTGTCCTAATGAAATGTACAGTCTAGTGAGAGGTGTTAAATAGTAAGTAGGCAATTACAATTCAGTATGCTAAAGGCTACAGTGAAGGAAGCAGGTAGTGTTAGAAAGCACAGAAGAGAGGGTACCTGACCTCTCTTAGTTGGTCAGGGAAGGAATGTAGGAAGAGTTGATGTTGAAGCTGGGTCTGGTCAGTAAAAGAGGGAGGTTGCCAGTGGTCTAGCATGAGAAAGCAACATGAATCTAAGGGACAACTCCATCTCTTGGCTCTCCCAGAGCACCAGCAATCAATTCTGCCAAGACTGGCTACTTTCAGCTGTTGAGCCTTTTTCATACTTACTTCCTCTTTTCTTGAGAAGTTGATCATAGATCTCAAATATGAGGCAATATGAATGACAACCACTAGCTAACCTTGGAATTCTTCCTCCCTGGCCTTTTAGTCAAACATGTGTGTCTCATGGAGAGATTCCTAGAGGTTGTGATAAATCCAGCTAGGACTCTCTCTGACAATGCAATTCTGTATCCCTTCTTACCATAAATGGAAATAAGTCTCTCTCTGTTTCTCTCTTTCTCTGTGCCTCTACGGTGAACATGAACACTACACTTGAGACTACGAATCAAAGAGTCAAAATGAGATGTCTAAAATCATATAGCAAGTTGGTAGCAGGGCAAAAAATTTGAGACAGATTTCCTGTATGAGCAACATCTTTGCATGAATAATAAACTTTCAAGCCTCCAAAAATTTGCTCACGCTCTTCTCTCTACCTGGAATGCCTTTTATTTTATTTTTTTTTCCATTCTGCTAGGCTTATCTCAAAGCTTCCTTTAGAGGCTTCTTACAATTCCCCACTCTTCACCTCTGCTTCACTGCCCCAGTCCTGGAGAGAATTGACCACTTGCCACACTGTGCTCCGTAGCCTTGGCTGAGGTCTCTGTTTTAGAGTTCATCTTTTGCTGCTACACTTGTATATGTTAGTGTCTATAAGTTGTGTAAAGACTGGAATTATCTCTTAGTCATCTCTGTATCCTTAGGATGCAATAGGTCTTCAATGAACCTTGCTGAATGATTCAACGAACAAATTCCAGAGATGTCATATCTTATTTGAGTCAAGGTGCCTTTCAGTTTAAAGCCATCTGCAGGGTTTTGTTGAAACCCCAAAGAAGGTCACATCCCTTCCAAATAAACCTTTATCTTGACAATGTTCTTGGAGCTGGAGAGCTGTGTAGACCTGGCTATTGGCCAATATGAAGACGGGAGAAAACTCCTGTGATGGGTGGGCTCAAGATTGCCGTCATGTACATGCACTTGATAAACCAGTATTTTACAGAAGCAAATACAAACCATGGTTACTAGCTCAGATAAATACTGGGAATCCTTCCTCTGTCTTAAACAGGATTTCCTTGGTGAATTTTTTTTGTCTTCTTGGAAACATCACCATGCTCTCTGCTCCCTTCAACTGCAGTTTTCAAATCCAGGGGTCTGAGTCTGGGCCCAAGTGGCTGATTCCAAGTAGAGTGGTTTCAGAGTCTGAGAAGAGATCTTTCCTTAGCTAAGTGTAGCACACCATCTCTCTCTCTCTCTCTCTCTCTCTCTCTCTATCTCTGCCTGTACAGTGAACATGAACACTACACTTGACACTGTAAATCAGAGAGGCAAAATGAGAAGTCTAAAATCGTATAGCAAGTGCAGCAAAGTGTAGTAGAGGCTTTAGAGTCTGAAAGACCTGGGTTCAAAGTCTGGCTCCACTATGACCACTTTGGGAAAGTTACTTTGCTGCTCGAAGCCTCAGTTTCATATCTGCAAAATGGATGTTTTTCTGGAAGAGATTTGGAGAGGATTCAAGGTGACCACAAAAAGGGACAGTAAGCAGAACGAGATGCGTACTTGGTGCTTTGTAATCCCAGGTGAGCTCCCTCTCTTTCCAGGGACATGGGGAAGCCGAGATAGAAAAGAGATGTCAAGATAATCTTTTCTGAGAGTGCCAAAAGCTGCTAAACCAAGAAGCGTTTTGTATGAAAAGCCACTTCTTTTGCACCTATTTTTTGTTTCCTTTTTTGGATAGTGGCAAGGGTCAGTGTCTTCCTCTCTCATAGGCTGTCTCATTTCCCTCCCTGCTCTCAGCTCAGCTGCCTGAAACCACCAATTGTTCTTTTTCTGAATGGAGCTCCCCATGGGGCCCCTTTCCCACCACAGTGGTTGTTTGTGCCCCTCCCCCAATTCTTGCACCTCTGTCTCCCACCCCCGCTGTTGCTCTATTCAGTGACCATTTCCCAAATACCAGGAACTCAAGGTTTGTAACAAGAACAGCAACCTTTTTATTACTTTGGTCCTGGGCTGCGACCCTAAGCAGCACATCCTGTTAGAACAAAATAGGTACTGAAAGCAATAAATATAACACCACACCGAGCACCCCTCCCTGTCACATCCCCCACCCTGCCAAATTCCCCAAGAGGTGTCACAGGGGTGAGATTGAGAGAGGGTGTTCAGAACAGGCGCCTTCTCCTCTCCCCTCCACTTGTTCGCCTATTGAAGAGGATATCTCTCCTGTTTCTTTACATTGGTAACCCTATGTACATAAAACAAAATTGAAAAGGTGCAAAGTGGTGTCCAGTGAAGATCACCCGCCTCTCCTATCCTGCTTCCTTAAATTCGCCACTTGAGAGGCAAACTACTGTTACTGGTTTCTTATGCATCTCTGCAGTATTCTACACATATATGTATGGTTTTATTTTTTCACAGACAAGGTAGCATGATTTTGCAGCTGGCTTTTTGTACTGAGCACTGTATTTTACAACTCACCTCCCAGTCAGTAGATAAAGACTTCTCTCCTTCTAAACTGAGGAAGAGTCCTCATTTACATGCATGAATCAGAGTTGATTCAACAAGTCTTCTGCTGACGGGTGTTTACGTTGTTTGCAAAAATGCAGCTAATAACTTTGTGCATAAGTCATTTCCCCCGATTTAGTTCTAAATCTATTAAGAAAAATATGTAGGTTGGAGGTACTACGAGCTGGCTCAGGAACACAAACACCTGGAATTTCTGGAATGTTCCCCACCAGCTCTGATTGTCCTCCTGGGGAACTCTCACTCTCCTTTGAAGGTGGGCTCATAGGTCACTTCCTGCCTTAAGCTTTCCAGATCAGTCCCAGCCAGAGAAAGTTGCTTTATATCTTTTGGATTTCTAGGTGGTGGCTCCCAAATTGTGGCTGTGTAAAGACCCCCTGGGGGAGCTTACTAAAGCACAGATTGCTGGGCCCCACCCATCCTAGAGTTTATCATTCCAGAGGTCTGCAGTGGTATCTACAATGTGCATTTCTAACCAGTTTCTAGGTGATGCTTCTGCTACAGATCAAGACCACACTTGGAGAACCACTGATAAGCGATTTTTCTACCTCTGTGATCGCTGCTGAGTGCAGCTCTTACTGAAAACCACTTCCATCCTCTCGCCAGGCTGGATTAGCCCCTTCTGAAATACTTACCCGTCTTTCCTCAATAGGCTGAAAGCTCCATGATGGCAGAGACTGGTCAAGTGTTTATTCCATACTTTATCTTCAGGGCTTGATAGAGCCCGAAGAACATAATAGATGCTGAATAAATGTGTTAAATGAATGAATGCACTGAAATTACTGATTTATTGCATTTCTCCTAGCAAGGTTAAATGCCTTAAGTCCAGGGCCTCTAGGTCCTTAAATACCTCCCTTCTCTTAGCTGGCCTATTGCTCTGTAACTAGGGTCCCCAGTTTTACTCTGCCCGCCCTTCAGGCCTACTGTCCCTAAGGCGGACAGACAGACCGATATCTTAGTAATGTAAATTGTAAAGATTAGCAACTATCTCTATTTCCATCAATAGGGGGCTCCTTAAATAAATGATCATATGTCCATGTCAGTAGATAAAGAACTCCCTCTGTCTTTCTTGTGGCTGCACACCCTTTTCTTTTTCCATGCCACCTAGCTAGTTAAGTGCTATGGCATTGGAGGGGCAGTAGAATTTGGTATAACTAAAGTATGTGTTCCAAATCTCTACTTTGTAGATCACATTTCCACTAATGTTTGTTTTTTTAATCAATAGTTTTTTATTGACATCAATTGCCCCCAGATCTTCAGTAAAGTGTTTGAAGATATCATGGTGCTGGTTGGTGGCAAATTTCTTATGGAGACAGTAAAGGGACTCTAGGATCAGGTCAAGGAGGATTTGGTTGGCTATGCTTAAGAGCTAGGACTTTATTCTACAGGCACTAGTAGATGGGGAGTATGACGTAGGGGGGCTATGGTTGATATGCATTTTAAAGAATTCCTTTGGCTGCATCATGCAGCTTTCATTCAAGGAGACTGAGGCTGGAGGTAAGGAGAGCAGGAGGAGACTCTTCCAATGGCTACGTGAGCAGTGATGAGAATCTCAGCTCAAGAGCAGTGGGAATGGAGTTGGAGAAAAGTCTAGAGTCAAAACTGAGAGGATCTGGCCTTTGACTACAGTCACAGTGTATGGGGTGTGGTGTGTATGTATATACAGTGTATGAGTGTGTGTATGCTATGAAAGTGACACTGGTGAGAATCAGTGAGGATTAACTAGATAGTTGATGTTATCACATATTGAGTCTTACTGTACAGAGGGGACAGGTTTTTAGAGAAGCAGGAAGATGAATTCAGTGTTGACCAAGTGAAGTTAGAAATCATTAAGGGAGAGATCTTGCAGGGGGTTGGATATTCCAGTCTGAGGTTCAGAAAAGCAGTCAGAGTGGCATAGATATATATTTGAGCTTTTGGTATATTGAAATGGAATTTTCCTAAAATATAATGGACTGACAGAAATCAGAGAATTTGGAGATCACCAATATTTGAGGGTTCACAGAGGATGTAAATTCTAGGAGGAGATGGAGAAGGAACAGTGACCAAGGAAGGAAGGGTACTAGAGTGAAAGCAAGAGAGGAGTTCAAAGCCAGACAATGAGGGTGCTGATGACCGCTGGGGAGAAATCATAGGGCTGTGGAGCAGGAACCAACATACAGCATGGAGAGGAAGGTGATGACAGCAAGAGAATGGAGGCTCAACCCTACCAGCAAATTCAGATGCAGAAGGACAGAGAGCAATTAGGCTCTACCTAGATATTTCCAAACTGGTTTAACAGAACATTTCTTGATTTTTGTTTGCTTTGAAACCTGAAGGCATTACATAAGTACTTTTATAGCACTATCACTTTACCACTGAAAAATCTTGAAAACATTTAAAAATGCAACAAACCTAAAGTTTAGAATAAACGAAGAAAAACACTCCAAGGTTACTCTTTGATTTTTATGGCATTTTCGTCCACATCGTATGACAACAGGGACACAGGAAAAATGGTCATTTGAAGCACTGTTTTAAACATCTGCTCAAGTTGCCTGGCAGTCAGCTTAATTAAATATTGGTGCCGATGGGAACTGTGTGGATTGATTGCCTCCCCCGCCTCTCCCTGCAACTGGGTGTCCTGGGGCAAGTCACTTTACTCTCAAGGAAGGTGGCGTGGTTTCTCATCAGTACAATGAGATCCTTGGAGGGGAACATCTCAAACTGACCTATTGTGTCTTCATAGCTGAGGTGGAATCCAGTTTGTTCAGCGTCAGCTGGGCACAGCACAAGAAGGAAACAGTGAGAACTTGGAAAAACCTTCCCCTCCCCTTCATACCTTTGTACTTAATGCAGCAACCTGCTGTTTTGTGCCATGTACCAAATGTCAGTGTATCACAAGTTGCATGGCTGATTAGATTTTTAAAAGTTTGCTGGCATTTTGCTTTTCCAACTGATTTGTCCAAGGTCAAAATGAAATTGCTTTCAGAACAGTCTCTAGTTAAAGCAATAGAAGTCGAAAATATATGAATTTACAGTTGGATTTTGTTATTAATTGTAAGCCACCATAGAGCAGTAGTTCTAAATCTTGAGTTGTTGCATCAGAATCACCAAGAGGATTTGCTAAAACTCACAGTGCTGGGCCCCAACACCAAAGTTTCTGATTTAGTAGGTCAGGGGTGGAGCCTGAAAATCTGCATTTCTCACAAATTTCCAAGTGATGCTGGTACTGCTGGTCCAGCAGCTACCCTGCGAGAAACACTGGTGTGGAGGAAACAACCCTGGCCTTCAGATCACAGGTGACCTATTGTCTCTGAGACTCAGTTTTTTTATCTAGTAAATGGGGACATAAATACACAACAAACCAATACTTAAATTAAAAAAAAAAAAGAAGAAGAAACGAGAAAAAAAAGGAGGAAAAAAGAAAAACAAGGTTATTCTTTTTTGTATGGCATTCTCTTTCAAGCTGTGCACAGTGGGGCAGGGAGAATGATCTTTTGAGCAGTATTTCAATCATCTGTTAAGTGATCTGGCAGTCACAATTCTTTAAGTTTCCATAGTGGGAGAACTATGGATTTTTTCCCTCCAGCCTTGATCTACAGCTGGGTGACCTTGGGCAAGTCACTTCATCTCCTGGAAGGTGGCCTCTTCTGCTTGCTTTTTATTGGCCAGAAATGGATCATGTGGCCATGCCTAGAACCAATCACCTCATTTATGGTTTCTGTCTCCTTCCTTAAGACCCCAAGGATGTTGAGGACTTAGGACTGCTTTTCTCCGTTTTGTGGGTGGGCCTGTTCTAGTGGAGATGGGAAATAACTAGGTTCAAATTGTGGCAATGCTTGTGAACCTGAGCAAGTGACTGGAACTCACTGAGATCCCACGTCTCATCTCTAACATGAAAATACAAATAAAATGTTATTTCCCCGGATGGCTGTGGAAATTAAATAAAGTCAGGGACATAGATGCTTAATATTTTTCTTGGACATATAGTAAAACATCAATAAATCATAGTTATTATGTGCTTATAAATGTATGAAACAATGAGATAGTTACTCAATAAGTCCTGGGACCCATCTTAACTGAATTATGCCCAAGCAGAAAGTTAAGGTGTTAAAGGAACAACCCAAAGAACCAAGAAAATGAAGAAAAACAAAACAGCTCACCTTTCCCCAAGAAAACCTCTGAATTTTCCACTGTTAGCAGCAATGGACAGGTACCACGCTGCCTGGGAAGAAGGGGAGAAGCAGCTGGCACATCACAGAGAAGCACCAGCCCCAGAGGCCTCCTCTGTCTGCAGAGGCAGTTTTTACGGCAGGCCCTTTGCCAGATCGTAGAAGGGAAAGAAAACTCAGAGAAGCTGGGAAGGGAGAGGGAACCAGGAGAGAGCAAAGGAGACTTTGCAATTATCTCCCTGAGACTGTTTAGAATGCAGTGTTCCTCTCCACCCCCTTTCCTTTTCACGTTGTAATTTTCTTCACAGAAAGAACACAATGGAGAACATATTCCAGACTGCCAAACTTGCTGCTACCTCCAACAACCCAGACATAGGAGATAAGGAAAAAAACAGAGGCAGATTTTCCCCCCTGCAGAGATTTCGGAGATCGAAGCTCAGAAATCCAGTTACATTTGAATGTCGCATTACCTGCCCACTTAGTGGCTTTGGTGTAGTCTGTTCATGATGCTTGGCAAGTTTAGACAACTGCTTTCCTTGCCTAGGGGGCTGGGGAGGGGCTGCCTCTATCGTGGGATTTGCCCCCAACCCCTATCCACTTGAGAGGCTGGGGAGTCAGCCTGAGTTGCATGGTTTGTTCCACCTGTTTAATTGTCCACATTTTCTTCTCACTTGTCTCTAGGAAGTAGGAAGAGACTCTGGACTCATGGCTCACTCTCAGAGAGTTAAGTGGTCCTTGGAAGAGCATAGGACAGAGATGTAAGAGGACTTCAGGATGCACAGTGCCCTTTGAGGTCCCTGCCTTGCCTTCTCCATCTCTTTTCCCACTCGCCTCCCCTTGGCATTCTCTCACCTGCCACTCTGTGCCCAGCTCATTTCCCAACCTCAAGCCCAAATGAGCATCCAGGTTGTGTTTTAGCACAGATTACTAAGTTGCCTCCCAGAGAGGTTGAATATTTCCTTCAGCAGAATATATATGTAGAATCAGAACATCCATTTTATTTATCTCTTCTTTGTACTCATATGGACCTATCTAATGGAGTGGCTTTCCTAGGATGTATCTTGGTGCTGTTAAGAAACTAAGTGCTGTCTTGCTAACCCTTTGTTTTCCAGAAGACCCTGTCATCTCTGAGAGGCCATGTGGAGCAAAACACAGTCATCTTAACTGAGGCCATCCCAGACCAGCCAGCCCCCTGCTGGCTCGCTAGCTGATCAGTAATTTATCATAAGTGAGGAGTGTGTCAAGATCAGCTGAGCCCAGCCCATGTCAGAATGGCCCACCCAACCCACTGACGCAAGAGAAACAAGACACGTTTGTTGTTTCAAGCCATTGCCATTTATGGATCATATAGTATGTGTTAGAAATTGCTAAAAGCAGAGACATATCAGCAAAGAAAATATTACCTCTGCTCTTGAATGCATCACGAGCATACAAGATGAGATTAATATGGGAAAGTACTACAATGTCTAGTTTACAGATGAGAAAAAGTAAAGTATAAAAAATGCTGTGGTATGCTTAAATAGATACTGTGACACTGTGTTCGTGCTAATAGGAGAATCTCAGAACCTGGCTATCCTTAAATATTTACTCAGAGGAAAATTGTTCATCAATGAGAAAATGGAAAGAACATTTTCTTTTCTATCCTCACTTTCTTTTCCATTTTTTTTTAATTTATCACTTATTTGGCAATGTGGAGGCTATACAAAATTTCTTAGCTTGTAGTTTATTTGGAGGGATAAAAAAATAAGTGCCTAGGATTTGAATAACAATGCAAGAGTGTGAGGGCACTGCTCATCAGCCAAAATGCAGCAGTTGCTTTAAACACATCCCTCATTAGATAATAATCATATCCACTAGACACAAGCTCCTTAAGCCCGGAACTTATGTTTAACTCAAGGTTGCATCCAAGCACTAGCAGGGGACCTGTCAGATATCAGGAACTCAGTGAATAACTAATTGAGTGAATAAAGAAATGAGTAGTCTAGACAATTAGGTAAGTATTTTGATTTTGCTTTGGCTTTAAGAAGATCATTTCTAAAGAACATTCCTTTACCTTTTCTTTTAACTTTATTTAACAAGGAGATTCAAAGCATTTTATGTCTATAAAAAAGGGGAGAACTGACATTTGTCAAACACTTGTCATGTTCCCGCTGCCACGCTAGGCCTTTTATGTTCTTAATGACATTAAACCCTCATAAATGACCATAGGAGGTAGATTTTATTACTGATGTTGACAGATGTAAATGCAGCGGCTCAGAGAGGTTTAGTAACCTGACAAAATTCCACAGTGAAATGTGGAATAGATAGCATTTCTATCTTAAAACCTACTCTCCCTGCCCCACCCCATGGTGACATTGTACCTTGAATATCTTCTAGATCAATTCCTCATCCAATGACTTGTAAATCTTTTCAATTTGGTAATGATTTGCAAGAACATTCAATGAAGAGAAAGAAAGAGGAAAGCCACAGTTTAAAAGAGGACTCATACAGTTTTCAGCCAGAGAAGAGTCAGATTTACAGAGTTTATGGAATCCTAGTCGGGTAGATTAGCAAGTGGGGGGATATAATGACAGGGTCCACACACATTCCTAGATTGAAGAGTTTATGCATGTCTTCCTGCTTCCACCAGCTGTACTTGCCTCTGATTTAATTATATGCTGAGTGTACAGATGCCACTAGAATTGCAGGCCATATCTTGCTTCCCAGGAAGGGTTATTGGTTAGATGACATTCAGCCCATGGAATGCAGTGAGGGTGTGCAGGGGTGAGGGGGACAGGCAAAGGATGTTGGTTTGTTCCTTAGCAAAGGAGATAGATTTGAATTTTTGTGAGCCAAGATTCATTAATTAATTTACTTGAACATATTTACTGATTACCGTAGTGGTCACTGATTGTCTTTGTTCGCCTTACCAGAAAGATGGCCATTCAAAATACACTATTCTCCTGGACACCAAAATTAGTCCAAGATTTAGCATATAACCTAACCTGGGTGAGTGTACAATATAAAGAATTAACATGCACATTCAAGGAAAGAGTGTCTCTCAGATCTTAAGCTGAAAAAATCTTGAAAACTAGAGTTCCCAAGGGCTATTTTACCCCTCATGCTAAGACAGTGTGAGAAGAACGCCAGCTCAGAGCAATGCAAAGCTGAGACATGAAAAGAGAGAAATATTTGAGCACCTAGATCCTGCCATGCCTGAGTCCCTGGACTTTTATAGCTACCTCAAGCAGATATCCTCACTGCACTCAGCACTCAAGTTGGGAGCTGGAAATATGAGGAATGGGAATTTCCTTTCCTTTACCTGAATATAGATATTGTCTTCAACTTAAAATGGTTATCATAGAACAAGCAGAGGAACTGGAGTCAGAACTATGGAACTGAATTCTAGTCCTATTATTTATTTCTTTAAAATCTAATGATGGGATCTACTCATCTGGTCCCAAGGAGTTGGGAAGACAAGGATCTCTCTTCTCATCCCACAGTGAGCTCTCAGCCTAGTGGAGCACATGAACTTGCTAACTGGCTGAATAAAATTTTGGAAAATTAGTTGGCTTCTTGGAACCTCAGTCTTCTTATCTGTAAATGGGGAAATGTGAGAATCAAATGAGCTGTTGGACATGACAACACTCGGTAACAGTGAAGGGCCTGCTCTGCAAGAGAAGGGCCTGTCCTGGTCACCAGTGTATCCTTTAAGTACTCATGTGCTTAATTAGGTGCTAAATGCCTAACAACCACATGGTTAATGTTCAACTTGTTTGTTGAAAGAATAAAATAATCTGTTATCTAGCAAATCCTCCTCAGCTTGATGCTGAAACATTCTTTATTTTATTTTTACAACTTGGCTTAAAATGTTCACTAAGGAGGGTCTAGCTCTTGTTTGTCATGAGAAACTGTATAGAAGTTCCCTGGGGACATTTTAACCCCACCTATATCAGTTGACTATTGCTGTTCAACAAACTACCACAACAGTTATGCTTAAAAACAAAACAAAACAACTATTATTTTTCTTGAGTCTGTGGGTTGACTGGACAGTTCTGCTAATCCCAGCTGAGCTTGGCTGGTCTCACCTGGGCTTGGCTGATCTTGTCTGTTCCTGTGCATCACTGCCAGCTAGTGGGCCAGCCAGGGAATGGCTGGTATAGGAAGGCTTCAGATGAGCTGTGTCCCCTTCCTCAACAGGCTAGCCTGAGCTTGTGTTCACTGTGGTGGCATGTTTCCAAAACACTGCAGAATTGTTCAAGTCCTCTTGAGGCCTAGGCTCAGAACTGACTCACTTCCTCCATATTCTGTTTTCCAAAGCAAGGCATTGGTCAGCCCAAATTCAAGGGGTGGGGATATAGACTTCATCTCTTGAAGGAGAGAGCTATAAATCATATGGCCAGGGCAAAGGGGCAGGGAGGATAGGAATGAGAGAATGATGCCACTGGTCTATCCAGAATCTTTGAGCTAAGGTAGGAAAGTGATTTAATGCTGTTAACTCAGAAAAGAAAAAAGGTGGATCCTTTTATCTCTTCTCTCTTTATCTAATCCTTGCTGTTTTGTCTCCTGACACTGCCCTAGTGCAACTTTCATGATCTCTGCTGCCTAGATAATTAGGGTGGCTCTAAACTAATCTTTCTGGCTACAAACCAACTTAAAGACATTTATTTAGCACCTACCATTTCTCCAGTGTCCTGTTAAGCTCAAAGGGGTAGAGAAAGTTGTTCTAAGCATATAGTTCTTCTCTTCCGGGCCTCAGCCCAGGTGGGGATAGAGATATCTATCTATACTGCTGCCTGTCACCTGCAAATCCCTCTCCACCTTACCACCAAGGTTATTTTAATAAAGCTCTTCATGTTGCCTACAAAATAAGGACCGCATTTCTTAAGCTGGTATTCAAGGCTTCCACGAATTGCTTCTAATCTTTCTTTCCATGCTCTTGACTCCTTATTTCTGGAAAAGAATCCAACACTTCTATTGCATCAGAATATTTAATATTTCCTACAGTTCCCTGGCTTTATTTCCCTTAGTATTTTCTCTACTTGTATATTCTCACTTTTCTTCTCTGGCTGCTGAAATGCCACTCACTCTATTAAAACCCTGCTCAATTGTAAACCTCCTTTATAAAGCCTTCCCTTCCTAAACTACCTAAAATTGATCTCTTATTTTTCTCTGTTTCCATAGTCATTTTTTCACACTAATATTATCATCTACTTATGTTTTCCATCACACTAGATTTTATCCCCATGAGAGCAGGCCTCGGTCTTCCCCACCTCTGTGTCCATCAAGTTACCCAGGATATCTGCCTCATAGTAGGTACTGAGTCAATGCTATCAACTTGATTTGAATCTCTTCCTCCTTCCCTCCTGCTCTGCAACCTTGCTTCCAAACTTGGAGCTGGTGAGAGTCACAGCTACTTTCCAGGACTCTCTTTGGCCAGCAATGTAAGCTGCTCTTGAGTTGAGATATGCTGTAGGCTGCTGAATTGGCATGAGCTATAGGCCTAAAGAGTCCTGCTCTGTAACAGGGGACCAGTTGCGAATTGTAATCCCTCCTCTGGCCACTCTTCTGAGGCTTAAACTCACGTTGCCTTGCTCACTTTATTTTTAGGTGTCTGGCAGTTTAAAAGAGGGCTACAGCTATCTTTGGTTTATTATACTTATGCACAGCCTTGGAAACACTGTGCCCTGATTATAATAATACAAAAATTATAATAATACAGATGAGGATTCTTCTTTATTCCAAGTTTGAAACCCCTTGTTTCAGGCAAGTGGCTTGTAAACTTATGTGTGAGTAAGAATCATCTGAGGAATTGGAAGCATGTGAATTCTTGGGCGTTATCACCAGAGTTTTTGAATTCCTAAGTTTGGGCAAGGCCTAGAACTATGTAATTTTCTCAGACTCCCCAGGGGATTTGGCTGCTGCAGACCATACTTTGAGAAAAAAACTACTACAGAATTATAAGCATCAGACAATGAAGAGAAATGTTGGTAGCATTCTGGCAACTAATGTGATGCCAAAGTTGCCATCATATCCCGGAGACCAAGGAGGTCTCCAAATACCTCTACTTTCACCATGCTACTCCTCAGCTCAAGAACATGAAATGGCTCCATCTTGCCTCTTCCAGATCAAGTCCAGACTCTTCCCCATGCCATTCTAGACTCAGCCCTTCTACAATCACTTCTCTTCCAGGTCTTGCTCAATCCAGATGTATCGCTGAAACCAGGCAAATTCTCCTGCATTTCTGTCACTCACCCTTGGCTGCTTCCGGACACCTTACCTTCTCCTGGTAATAGTTCATTTCATCTCTACTGCTTTGCTTTTGGCTTGTTTTGTATCTAGTTGCTTCTTCATTAAAGATCACAATTCTGTTGAATGCCTTCCTTATACCAGGCACTGTCCCACACATTAGTTTATTTAATCATCAGATCAGTCCTAGGTTAGAGGTGTTTTCATCATCCCCATTGCCAAAGATAAGGTTTCGGGACTTGCTCACAGTCACACAACTGGTCAATGGCCTTCAAACCCACAGTGACCCATCTAAGTGCCATTGTCATTTATCTAATGCTGTGCCACTTATTTGAAGCCTACTTAAATCTAATTCTTCCTTCAAGGCTCCAGTCAAATACCTTCTTCTGAATTAAGATGGAAACCTCATTTTCTACATCTGTACATTGAGTAAGCCTGCCTAGCTTGAAGGCCAGTGTGGGGATTAAGGGCAACAAGGTATCTAATATATTGTGCACAGAGCTGGCCACAATCTGAGTGATTTAGTGGTACTGGCTGCCTGGACGCCATTTACCTAGAAACCTACACAAAATCTCTTTCAGCGGGAGAGATGAAAATCATGTGGCTTTTGAGGAATGATGAAATTTAATTATCAGAATAAACTTTCTGGCATCAAAGCACGATTTACCCTTTTCCTGCAGGTCACAGGTATCATTCAAGGATAAAGATATTAGGAAGCATTCTTCCAGCTGGAACATTTTTTATCTCCTCTTCAAAGAGTAATCTCAGGACAGCCACAGCCATGGAAACAGAACGTGGCAGGTGTAGCTGTGCCCTGGATTAGAGGCCCATTTTCCCCAGCGGGAAGGAGAAAGGCTGTGGTCAGGGAAGATGAATGGACCGGGGCCGTTTTGTCACGGTCTACAAAGAGCACATTCTCCCTGCGCCTCGATCAATCAGGCCTCGTATTGAAGGCCCTTTGCTATCACTTTTGAGTGACTTGCAGCTTTTTTGTGTCACCAACAAGGGGCTTCTCATCTGTGTGGGTGACCCAAAATTGTGATCTGGCTTGCAGCAGTGCCTGGCCCATAATCAAGAGTAGATTTATTTGTTTCTTTGTTCCTTCTCAGCCATTGGGGATGGAGGTTGTTTGGCATTTTCCCTAAGAAGAGCTCACTTGCCTGTATTTTCACAGCTTTGCCTGTTCAGTCAAGTGTGGAAGAAGCTGTTAGGTATGGTCTCTCATGGGGAAAGGAGAAAAACGCAACACTGAGAGACAATGTTGCTGGTGCTTTGATAAGACATCAATGTGGTGTGAAATAACCGGGGTGGGCTATAAAGCAAGGCCAGTGTGGCTTGATATCCGGCTGATTGGCAGACCATTCACATGTCTGTTGGTAAACCACTCACTACCTCAGTTTTCCCAAACTGTAAAACGAAGTGATAGTGCCTACCTCATCAGGTTGTTATAAGGATGAAAAATAGGTTAGCAAAACATCTGAGGCTTAGTAAGACTACAGTGTCAGGAAATAATAGAAGCCAGATTTCGAATCTATCAGCATTTACGGTAGCATGCAGGCATACATGGCTGTTTCTTCATTTTAGTTCAGCCGACATCTGCAAGGAGCCTCCTGTGCTCCTGTACAGGAGACTGTACTAGGCTAGTCTCTGAGGACATAAATATGGTGAAGATTCTGTCCTCACGAGGACAGATGTGAATTTACATCTAGTATTTATACAGTACGTGTATCCTTGGAGAAACCACAGCCCATATAATGTAAAGGGCTCACATGCAGCCCCAGAGCTAGTTATTTCCAGAATTCATATCCAAGGCTTCTGATAATACTTTTTCCACTGACCGACAACTCTTATTTTAAGAAAGGAGCAGGGCCTGTTATATCATTCTGAACAAAGGCTCTGCTTAAGCCCAGCTACCCAGAGACCAGAGCAGAGTGGATTATTGAATATAACAAACCAAATAAAAGCTAACTGAAGGCCAAAATGTGATCACATTGGGAAATGGAGCCACTGCTTTCTTGGGCTGAGCTTCTTGTCTGCTGGCTCCGGGAACACCTAGTCACCTCCTCCTCACCCAGGCACTGCAAACAGGTCATTTTGATGATCTAAGAGATGAGCCTTTGGTGATGTCAGTCTCTCCCTAGGCACAAGGCCCATAATCACATGCACTTGATCTTCACTCCCTATGTCCCTGGATCTCAGCATAGGAATGACTCAGCAAGGGTGAGCCTTTGGCCCTCCTCCAGAGAAGGGTCTGCATTGCCTCCGTGAAAATGTTACTGGCTGCATCCCCTGGCCCACCCAGGCGTATAAAGTTATGCCTTTCAGCCAATTTAGACCCTATTTAAAATTTACCTGCACTGTAGAGACAGGACAGAAATTTACTGTGTGTGTTTCCTTCAGAGAACTAGGATGAGGATTTGCTAACTTTGCCCCTGTGGATTTACTTATTTTCCACTAAATTTCACTATGAGGATATTCAAACATAGAGAAAAGTAGAAAGTAGTCGTATACCTACTAACAAAATTATGTCATTATCCTTTTACTGTAACTTGCATCATCACATATTTATTGATTGGTCTATCCATTGGTCTATCCATCCATCAACCTATCTAATTTCATAAATAAAATGTAAAGTAAGCTACAGTATCAGTATATGTTCTTCTTAATACTTCAGCATTTTAATCATTATCTAGAGTTTAATATTTTTATATCCATTTTTCCTTTTGAACATGCAATGCAATGTACAAATGTATAAATCTTAAATCTAAAGGTAAGTTTTGAAAAATGCGTATGCTTGTGTAAGGCAACCCCTAATGTGCATCCCTGGGACCACTCAAAGCTTCCTCAACTCTGTCAATCCCTGCCCCAACACCCATGCCCTACTAGAAGCAAACACTGTTTCAATGTTTTTTTTTAACCACATTATTAGTTTGTTCTATTCTAAGACTTCATATAAATTGAGTCATGTCATATGTTCTCTCTTCTGTATAAGATTCTTTCACTAAAGATAATGTTTTGAGATTCAGTTTCTACGTATTTAGACTAGGGTTTAATTACAGAGAATATTAAGACTTCTGTGAGGATTAAAAAGGATATCATAGCTAAAATACTTAAACCGCAATGGCTGGCACATAGAAGGCATGCTATAGATGTCAACTACTGATACTGTAATTGTTATTTATTCTTATGATTTTCACATCATCTTACATGTGGGAGTTGTCCTCAGAGAATATTCTAGATCCTAATATTGTGGTCCAGAGCTCCTTGGAATTATATTCTCTCTCTGTCTCTCTCTGTGTGTCTGTCTGTCTGTCTGTCTCTATCTATCTATCTATCTATCTATCTATCTATCTATCTATCATCTATCTATCTATCTATCTATCTATCTATCTATCTATCTATTTATCTTTACTTTTCCAAATAGATTATAACCTTTTTAGGAGCAGCACACATTGTACTTACTATATCTTTTTATCCATTGTAATGCTTTGTAACATGCTAAGCATGTTGGTGACAATTTATATATGCATTTCATACTAGGTAAAAATTAAGGCTTTACCTGCATGGGAATAACTTGCTTAGGAAATGGCAGGGAGGCTACATTGGTATGGAGTAGTTGTGATGTTTATCATGTTCACATCCCTGTTTCGGATGTCAAGAGTCCTGGGTTTGAATTCTGGTTCTGTTGTGAATCTGTCTTTCCTGAAGTGACTTATACAGGACTTGTGTCTCTGGATTCTTGTTACAACTCTGTATGATAGATCTTATCATCTCCATTTTACTGATGAGGAGACTAAAGCTCATGGAAGTAGCCTGAGCAGTGGAACTGAGATTTGAACCTAGACCTGCCTGATTTCTAACTCCCGTACTATGTTCTTGAAACTATGGTCTTTCTGACTTAAAGTACATATGGAGGAGAGAAGTAAGGCCAAGAAGTTGGACAGTTGATGCAACTACCAGTATGATGGTCTTTCTGACTTAAAGTACATATGGAGGAGAGAAGTAAGGCCAAGAAGTTGGACAGTTGATGCAACTACCAGTATGATGGTCTTTCTGACTTAAAGTACATATGGAGGAGAGAAGTAAGGCCAAGAAGTTGGACAGTTGATGCAACTACCAGTATGATGGTCTTTCTGACTTAAAGTACATATGGAGGAGAGAAGTAAGGCCAAGAAGTTGGACAGTTGATGCAACTACCAGTATGATGGTCTTTCTGATTTAAAGTACATATGGAGGAGAGAAGTAAGGCCAAGAAGTTGGACAGTTGATGCAACTACCAGTATGAACAGTGAACAAGATTAATAATAAATGGCTCCAATGTGTATACCTAGTACACATTGCCTCAAACAACAGGCTTGTGTCTGACCTTTCCACATTGACCATTTATTTTGGTCCTAAGGCAGCCTGGGAGGTAAATGGGCAAAGCTTATTCTTGCCACTTTACAAGTCAAGAAACTAAGATTCAGAAAGGTAAGTGATTTACACAATGTCACAAAACTAGTAAGTGGCAGGTGGTTACTGGAGGAGAGGGATGGAAGGGGGATTTGAAAACAGGTCTCACTCTTCAAGTAAAGGATATCCCTCTTGTGCTCTTACCTTTTGGAGGAGAGATAAGTTGACAAAAGATATCTGTGGACAAA
This sequence comes from Homo sapiens, assembly GCF_000001405.40. NCBI lineage: Eukaryota > Metazoa > Chordata > Mammalia > Primates > Hominidae > Homo > Homo sapiens. The sequence continues at coordinate 128,329,606 of NC_000008.11, forward strand.
TACATTTTAAATAATATGTTTAACCATTACTACTTCACATGAAGTTGTCAAAATGGTTTCAAAAATCAACTCATTTAAAAAGGTACCTGTTGATGTGCCAGGCCCTGGGCCTGTTGGCCCCGCATTCCCAGCAGACTTGACGGAATGAACCTTCCCCATGAGTGATGCTGTGCCATCACATGTTCTTCTTGTGAACCACCCAAAAGGGTTTAGTTCATTTATTCTCTCAAGAATTTTATTTACTTTCTTTATTCTCTCAAGCTATAGGCCTGAGTCATTTCATTAAATAAGTGTTCTGCTTTGGCCTTCTTCCAGCTGGCATGATACTAGACTGGCGTGAAGCAGGGAAGTGGAATCATCTTAAATTTAGCATCATGAAAATCTGTTCCTCGTGAACTCGTGGGGGCTACTCAGCATCCTCAAGACAGGGTAGTCACCTACACAGCCACTGGGCCCAGGAGGGAGACCTTCTCTCAAGGATTAGAAAGGGCAGCGTGGTTTTTCTTTACTTATACTCTGCCTGGTTGAAAAGCATGGCTAGCCTCTTCTGTTTAGAAAACAATAGAGAAGTCAGTGGGTGAACACAAGGAGGAATTGTAGAGAACAGAGGAAATGGGAGCAATAAATTTACATGTATTTTCACAGAATCCTGCGGCCACCCTGTAAGGAAAGAACACTTGTTGTTCCCAGTTTATTGTTTATCCTGTAAGGAAAGAACACTTAGTGTCCCCAGTTTATTGTCCCTCGGGGGACCAACTCATGCTAATTTGTCTGGGAATTTTCCAGACTTACCACTCAAAGTCCTACTCCTGGGAAATCTCTCAGTACTAGACAAGCAGGAATAATGGGTCACATACCGTGGATCTGAGATTCTACCTCTACTACAAAGACTGTGTTTTCAAACTTTGCACTCTCCTGCGTCTCATCCATGACGTCCTCTGATTGTCCAACCACTTTGCAATTTGGGGATTGTTATACCTGATTTACTAATGGGAAAAGGAGGCTCAGAGAAGCCAATGGCTGGTCCACGGTCCAGGGCCTAAGCACTAACAATTCAGCTCTGAAATCTAGCTCTCATGGGCTCTGAGGCCCCTCTGTGCAACTCTCCTGAAACCGACTGAGAGGTCAAGACTGACAGGTGTGAAGAAGAGGCAGCGGCTTATCTGGGGACTCCACCATCCGCTCTCAAGCTCCCCAGGTGTAATTCTCTTTCAGGACTTTAGCTTTTTATTCCTATAGGTGTTTATAGCTTTCTGACAGTGGACATGATGCAGAGTCACAGGGGAGAAGCATAGTTCAGGGCACAGGTGGGGACTGCTGGGGTCCAGGGAGTGCTGAAAGGAGCCACCCGAAGTGTGGTCATTATCATCTGCTTCCCGGCAGACAGGCTGGATGTGGGATCCAGACCTTGTGAGGGCCGGCCCGCTCAGAGGGCCAGAGGACAGCAAGGAGGGGCCAGAGGGGCAGGGCTGGACCTTTTTTTCAGACAGGAGGTGATCTGTTGAAGAAAATAGCCTTCATGTGAGTCTGATTTGACCCGACAGCCCAGACCAGCTTCAGGAGCTGAACACGCTGGGAGGGAGTGTTTTCTGTCCTTAGAACGTCCTTCCCTTGCGTGTCTGATCTGCTTTTTCCTCCCAAGTCATTTTAAACATATCACATGGGAAAGAGGTTACACATGCCCTGTATTTACTCATCCTCTCATCCAACATTTACCGAGTGCCCACTGTGTAGCAGGGCACTGTGTGAAGTGCTGGGAGTTGGAAATGAAGAAAGCATGGCTTTCTCCCTTACAAAGTGACAACGTACTGAGAAAACAGATATGGAAGCAACTAATAATGCAGTGTATAAGGAGAATGGGCTTGAAAGTTTCTCATATCTGAGTTCCCATCCTGGCTCTGTGACCTTGCCAAGTTACTCAAAACTGTCTCTGAGCCTCAGGCTTCTCATCTGTAAAATGGGGCTAATAATGCTGCCTCACAATTACTGTGAGTGTTCAGTGCAATGATACCTGCCTTGTGCTAGGTCCAATGCCTGTTGCATGGTAACTACTCAATTAACAAGAGTCATTTTTCCAGTTCTACCAGTAGCCAGTTCTAGATACTTGGGTAAGTCAGTTAATTTCTCTATGTATCCGTCTCTCTTCTGTAAATTGGGAATAATAATAGTAACCACCTAGGAATGTTGAGAAAATTAAATGAAGTAATACCTGTAAAGCACTTCAAGCAATGTCTGGCATATAGTATGTATCAAATATATAATAGTTATTATCACCAATACCAATGGTAATACAAGCTACAGCTGATGAAAGCAAAAAGAGACATTCTAGGAGCAAATTATAAGAAAAAGAGTTGGAGGCATTGCAGGGTGAGGGTGGTGTGTGTATGATATGGGGGTGTGAAGAAGCCCAGCATCCGAAGGACAGGCTTCAATGGGGAGATTAGGGTCACACATGGGCAGAGGGTGAGTGGGCTTTAGAATGAGCCAGAATTCAGGTTCTGCCACTTACTAGGTGTGTGACCTTTTGAAAGTGACTTAACTTCACCAAGCTTCCTCCTCAGTCACATATTGCTAGCATTTTGTACTTTTTAATGTCAGTCTAAGAATAAAATGACATAACTTCTGCAATTGTTCAGCCAGTGTCTGACTCAAAGGAGGCCTTCAATAGGAGGTAGCTAATTATTATGATTTTTTAGTAGAGGATAGGATGAAGGGTGGGAGGAAGCCAAAGGAGAGCGACTACGCTGTGGAGGAAAACTGATGAGGCTGGGAGGTGCGGTCTCTGACAATTTAAAATATGGAGATGTTGAATGTGGAAGCAGTTGGAAAGCTCAGTACTGTGACTCCTCGAGGCTCTTTCTTGATGCTGTACCATCTCTACCTCTCTCTGAGCCTCAGCTTCTGAGTCCTACATCCTTCAGTTTTGTCAGGTTCTAAATTTACCCTCATCGTAATTATTCACACTATGTCTCATCAGCTTGTGAGCAGAAGAACTAGTGGAGGCCAAAACTGCTGGAGAGGAAGGAAAGAAAAGAAAAGAAAAGAAAGACAACTTCAAGCAGTAGAGCTGCCCAGTGTTGACTGCAAGTTGCGGGTATTGGCCAGTACCCCTGAAATAACTCCTGGGGCAGAGTTGGCTCATGTGTCTTTGAACGTTAAAATTAGAGCGAACCAAGATTAAATGCTCCCGAGAAACTGACCAGCCTGACATTTTTCTCCTCCCTCTCTTTTTATAACTATGACCACAGTAGTAATTCAATTGGAAACATATTCTGTCCCTGATTGCTCCAACACTGGCACTAGATCATTCCCAGGGCTCGATTTTTTTTTTTCCTTATTAAATGCACACACTGCTGTTATTTTCTGCCAGGGCTAAAAATACATCTGACCGAGCAGCAAAGGCTCAGCCAGGGCCTCCTCCCTGTTCTCTTAGAGGGCAGGACCAGGCAGAACGAGCAGACTGATGGTCCTTCCAATTAATTTAGACAGCATGTTGTTTCCAAGGAAAACTGCCCCAGATACTGATATAATGGTAAAAATAAAAACGGAGTTCCAGCCTGAAAGGATGAATAACGAGAGCCTATATATCCAACCCCATTTACTACCAGTCTTTTTTCACTTCTGGCTACCACACTTCATCATTTCAAAGCACTTCATGTATTTTCAAGGCCTCTAGTCTTTGCAGATGCTGTTCCCTGGTCAGAAATTCTTTTCCTCCCTCTCCTGTGGATTTGTGATTGTGTCTTAGTTTCAGCTCAAGCACAGTCTTATTTTCAGAGCCTATGAGCTGATGCTCTGTCTCTCATACCTTCACATTTCTCCTGCCTTCTCTTGTCTGAATGCATCATCTGCATCATAATCACCAGCTGCAGGTCTGTCCACCCAAAAATCTTGAAGTTCTTGAGGGCAGGGACAATGTCTTACTGACTATTATATTTCAAGTACCTAGCACAGTGCTGGGCCCAACAGGACTGGCACTAGGGTGGGGCAAGCGAGGTATTTAAGGACCCAAAATGTAAGAAGGTGCCACTCTCAGGTGCTGACTCTGTGCTTGTACCATCCTGAGAATGAGTGCTTTCTTAGAGCTCCCATCCGAGACTCCTAGCTTGTCTTATCCCAGTCCTGGCCTTGGAGCATGAAATATCAATCAATAAATGATTCTTAATTGAAGGCTTGTCAACCATCTTTTCCTTTTGGAAATTGTCCCCTCAATTGGCATTTAGGATGGTTCTGGTTACCTTTGCACCTCTCTAACAGGGACTTCTCTGCAATCATTTTGGATTCATCTTCTTCCACCTGCCCCTAAAACATTGCTGATGAGATGCTGCTCCTCTGTGCTCCCACGGTCATGTCAACATACCACCCATGTGTCCATTCAGTCACTCGTTATTAAAGCAAACACTGTTTGTGGAGTGCTTACCAGGTGCCAAGCCCTGTTCTGGGTGTTTCAAGAGAGCCTAGAGAAACAAGAGAATATAAGTTCTTCTGTTTTCAGGGAACTTACATTCTATGATACGCACAGAGACAAGAATACAAATATATCAAATACAACGTTATTTGTCACATTGGTCTATCATTCATTATTGAGGTCTAAGACCTTGCTTTATTCATCTTTGTATGCTCAGCATACCATGGTGCCTAGTAACAGATCATGTATAAAATACAAGAATAAATGATTGATCACTTAAATAAATGAATGAAAATGTAGCTTAAGTATCAACTTTTCTATAAAATATGTTCTAAATTTCTCAGGCAAAATCTGGTTAACTCATTCATTCACTCACTCATTCATTCATTTAACAAATATTGATCGAGTGTCTCCTCTGTGCCTGGAATGGTTTGAGACATCTTATAAATTTCTGCCATGGTGCCTACCATAGTTTAGTACTATTTTTTGTTGATTTCCTGTCTCTAGCACTCCACAAGGGCAGAAGGCTTGTCTAATTCATCTCTGGATCTCTCAACCTAATACAGCAACTAGCATATTGTAGGCATTCAAAGTAAAACTTACTTGAAAGAGATATTTCAACAATTAACAAAGAAATGAAATTACCACACTATGCCATGGCAGCTAAGTGCCCTCTACTTCTCTGAAAATACCTGGGTTGTTTATTTATCTTAATGTGCAATGAAATGCAGAGGATACCCAGGTTGTGAAAAGATCTTCATCCTCATTCTGAAATCCTTCCTGCAACTTTCTACATTCCGTGACTCTGGAATGTAATTCATTTTTCTCAAATTGTAAGGATTTTGGAAGAAAATTTAGTAAAAGGCAAGAAGATTCTATGCAGCCTTGTCAATTTGCAATGTCCTCAATATAATAACTCAATGAGAGCTTCTCTCTGAGGTCAAAAAAAAATGTTTTCAAATGGACTGTTACAAACCCTTTGACTAGATTTCTTACCTATTCATGGTCAAGACTTAGGTACTAGTCTTAGAACTGCCCACAACTCATTGATGATCTTGGACAAATCACTCTCCTTCCTTGGACTTCACTTTTTCTTTCTGGAAAAGGAAATTGGGCTGAAATGTACACATTTCCTGCAATTCTGATCCTTGGAGGAGTCTGTGAGTCTGCTCCAGAGAAGAGGCTGGTTCATAAGGATTCTTGTCTTTCCTCCCAGTAGGTTGATAGGCACAAAAATGACATTCAGAGGGGGTACTTCTTGCTGTCCTAAGATGGCCATTTCATGGACATTTATTGAGAATTAACTGTGTTCCAAGATCTACTAAAAAGGGATGTTTTTGTAAAAGGCTGTATTTTTACCTAATAAAGCTGTTGTTGAAATATTTCAACCTCTTAACTAATTCCTGGGAATATACTATAATTCAGGGGGTGTCAAGTGGGCAAGAAGACAGGGCAGTGAGCTTCAATTGGGGGCTCACATCCTAATTGAGGATAAAACGGAGCACAGAGCAAGAACTCAATAAAAGCTCCAAAGAAACTCTATTACATAAATCTTCATTCTGAAGAATACCCAAAATGTATTATTTAGGGGTCAGGAGAGGGAAAAATAAAACTTCTAAGAACTTAAGTGATTAGGAGAAGGATTCATGACAAGGTGGAACTGGAATTGGACCTTGTGTGATGGGTGACAAGGTAAGTGGGGAGGAGGGGAAACACCTCTGAGAGTGAGCAGGAACTAAGGGAACCTTCTTTCCAGCCTGTGCAGTGGTTTATTTGTTTAATAAGCCAATGATAAGCACAGACCTTCTCTGAATTCTTGGGTCGATGTGAATCTGGGATTTGGGTCTACTATCCAGGATTGCCCAGAGCAGAGCCCATGTCTCATTGCTACAATGATGTGGTCTTATGTGTGGTATCCATCAATATCCTGTGTGGGCAGGTGACTTTAAGAACTTTCTCTACCTTCTGTCTGCCTATGAGTGAGTTGTACTGAAGGGGAGTCTCTTGTAGGAGAAGAAAGGAAACGCCTCTTTTTTCTATGAGACTAGGAAGAGACTCAACATTCATGGCCCTGTTGGACCTTACAGTTAAGCCTACTTCTGCTCTTTGAGTCCTTAGTTCTCAAACGTGTGGGAGATTCTGGAGGATGAAAGAACACTACCTGCCCAACTGGAAGCTAATTAGCTGAGAAGTCTTAGAGGTAAGATATTCTGGCTTCTATTATTAGAGCCTCCATTTTGGCTTATTACAGAAAGCTTTATTATAAGAATATGTGTGTGTGTGCAATTGTGGTTTGCACATATTTATGTGTGTGTGTGTTGTATGTATTTTGGTGATCACTAGCCATTTTTTCTAAAAGTGGTAAAGAGGGGAGATGGTCCTCAATGATAAGCCTCTAGGAAATTAGAGTCTGATTTATCAATTTAAAAAAATTTGCTACTAACATTTATTTTTATTGCAAAATGTACATAACATAAAATTTACCGTTTAACAATTTTAAGTGAACAGTTCAATGGCATTAAATATATTTATATTGTTGTGCAACCATCACCATCATCTCCAAAACTTTTTTTCACAAAACTAAAATTCCATCCTCATTAAACAATAGCTCTCTATTTCCACCTGCTCCAAGCCCCCTGTTACCACCGTTCTACTTCCTGTCTCTGCGAACTTAACTACTCTAGGTACCTCATATAAGGGGAATCATGCAGCATTTGTCCTTTTGTGACTGTCTTTTTTTCTGGTTAGCATAATAACCTCAAAGTTTGTTTAAGTTGAAGTGTGTGCCAGAATATCCTTCCTTTTTAAGGCTGAATAATATTATTTTGTGTGTGTACACCACGTTTTTCTTATTCATTCATTTGTTGATTAGTATTTGGGTTGCTTCCACCTTTTGCTACTGTGAATAATGCCGCTATGAACATGGGTATACAAATATCTGTTCAAATTCCTGTTTTCACTTCTTCTGGGTATATACTTAGAAATGAATTGCTGGATCGTATGATTATTCTGCTTTTGATTTTTTGAGGAATTGCCACAGTGTTTTTCACAGCAACTGTGCTATTTTACATTTCTATCAGCAATGTCCAGGGATCCAATTTGCCCACATTCTTGCCAATACTTCCTATTTTCTGGGGTTTTAAAAAATGTATATTAGCCATTCTAATGGGTGTGAAGTGGTATCTCATTGTGATGTTGATTTGCATCTCTCTAATGATTAATGATGTTGAGCATCAATTCATGTACTTATTCAATTTATTATTTTTAATGTTTCTGTATTTGCTCTTGATCTAAACTTTTCTTCCGGACTACTAAGCTGATTTATACTGAAAAGCAAATTATTTAAATTCAATATTGTTCAGTGTAACTCCATAGGCATTTATGGAACACTTTATTGTGTGCAAGAGATGGTATTCTGCTCTGTCCTGGAACTCTATGGCTGCTCTCTTGGGGCAATCATCTAACAGAGGAGACACACAGATATATAACTTGCAAACCAATCGGCCTATGAGAACTGCTACAAGAGCAGATGACCAATTTACTATAGTAGCAAGGCTGAGATTCTTGGAATATGTAGGTCAACTCTTAGAAGACTCTATGATTCATTCACTGATTTATTCATTAATTCACTCATTTATTCAGTAAACAGTTTTCAAATACTTGCTTTGCTTTAGGTAGTGTGCCAGGTAGCAGAGATGTAGAAAGGAACAGTCCCTAGAACAGTCCTGCTCCTTTACAATGGCCAACTTTCTCATTTACCTCTAAGCAATCGCCAGAGAGCCTTAGATCCCTGGACATGGCCCTCTTCTCCCCTGCTCCACTTTACTTCTGTCCTAAGCCTTTCTACTTTATTCCGCTTCATATTCACTTTCCTACTTGCTTTGTATCACCCCAGGCCTCCGTCATCTGTCCTCACCTTTTACTACTGAATTCACCTTACCTCTGTGGAAGTAACGCTGATGGTGCCTCTTTGACTGTGGCACCTTCCGTGGCCCTGATTTGCTTTCTTTGCTTACTCTCGGTATAGTGTTTGCTCTGAATAACTGTCTGCTTTGTTCCAGCTCCCAAGGAGTGAGGCTGCTCCAAAGTTGGCTGCTGCAACCAAGTTCCTTTGGCCTCTAGAAAGGAGAATTTGATGATTCCTACTTCTAAGTGGACCACAGCTTGGTGTGGAATTGACTTGTCAACACATAACACAATGTCTTAAGTGCCAGAATGGAAGGCTCATATGAAAAGTGATTTTGGAATCCAAGGGCCAGTCAAGATGTTCTTACCAAGTGGACCTTTAAGCTGAGTTTTGAGGTAGAAGGTGACACATGGGCAAGGGGTGGAGTAGGACTTTCAAGGCAGATAGAACAACATAGAAGGCATGGGAATGGTAAAAAACTGTGATGTGTGTGTCTTTGGCTGGTGCTGGTGGCAAAACTATAGATACTTTGAGCTAACTGTAGTGCTCAGTGCTGATGACAGGATATTGGAGCATTCATAACATGGCAGCTTATTCATGAAATAATTCTTATTTTTTTATGAGAAGTGGCAAAGTCATGAGTCCACACGTACCTTCTAACCCCCAAACCAGACCAACTCCTTGAATATTATTTTGGAGCAGTGTTTGATGATCAAGAGGCATGAGCCTATGATCTATATTTAGTCATGTGCTTGACAATATGGGGCCACCCTGTAAGAGCAGAGTTTCTGTGTCAGCTGGGGAAGTACTGATGTCAGGATGAGATCCTCTGATGATGTTGTCCCCAGCTTGGAAATTACTGGTAACAAAAAATGTTAGTCTTTTATATTGTTTTTTCACTGATTCTGGTTGGCTGATTACAAGGTACAGGGAAAGCATTGTGAGCTAAAAAAGCACCAGTTTAAATATTTGCATGTGGGTTGCTGTATAAGATTTTCTATATTTAATGCAAAAATTGAATGAAGTCATTCTAATGGGTATCTGACTCATTTGGAAAGTGAACACTATAGATTTGCCACATGCCAGTAAACACCCATGCATTTCTATACCTCTTTAAGTAGATGCTTCAATACTTGCTCTCATATTAGTATTATTGCCTAGTTGGCACACTTTAGTGGGAGTGGAAAAAACCATTTCATGGGTGTGAGTGGACACCAACCTGGGAGTGAGAAAATCTACATTCCAGATCTGGCTGTCTTATTGGGTGCTTGGCTGTGTGACTTTAGGCAAGTCCCTACAGGTGGACATTGAGAAGGAGCTGACATTGCCTTTTTCTAACTTGGATGGCACTAAATGGAAATTGAGTTAGGACAGAGAAAAGCAGGCTAGACACAAACAGGCCTTAAGTATCACAGAAAATTAAATCCCTGCAGAATATAATCATGGGGACTCAAATGCAACAAAAATATTAACTCTGATTTACAACATTCCCTAAAAATTTGTTTCATAATATTAATATTACAAGAAGACTGAGGAATTAGTGTCTTTAAAGCTGGTTCATTCATTCATGGTCTTCTTAAAGAGGACCTATTGAGTGGATGAACTGTTAATTGCAATTTCAAGTCGAGTGTTAATAGGTGGTATGTTTTGACCATTTACTGTGGATCAGCGCTGTTGTAAATAGTTAACAATCATTATCTAATTTAATCTTCACCACCAACCTTATGAGGTAGTGCTATTAATATCCCCATTTTGCAATGGAGGAAATTGAGGTTTGCCAAGGTTAAGCAACTTGCCCCAATCTGATGGCTGTTAAGCAGCAGAAACTAAAATATTGGTCTATCTCATGCCATAATTGCTTATCTGTTATTGCCTGTTCAATTCTTCACATTTACAGAACCCTGAAGCATTGGTTTGCATCTATATTTCCAAGGACTTGAGATTTGAGAAGGGTCTTTTCATTCAATATCCATCTAATCCACATTTTCTTTTTCCTTGTAATCCATGACGAGACAGACTTATGCCTAAAAAGAACATCCGTCTATCATTCCTTAGGTCAAAAACTTCCTTCCTTGGTGTCCTTTTATCTTTAAGATAAAATTCTGGCTTTATAACATGGCATTTAATGACCCTTTAGGCCTTTTCCAATGTAACTGTCTGGTGTGAATGCTGTATCCCAACCCAACTCCCCTCAGATCAGAGAGGTCTAGTCATTGTACATCCTTGAAACACTCCTCTTCTCCTGCCACCCTACTGACTTAGGAAAGCTCCCACTTACCCTCCTCCAGGCATCTATAACATGCCTTTTGGGGGATGACCATTTGTATGGTATCTGTCAATCCCCAGTCCTTAATGAAGCCCTACCTTGATGTGTCAAGACATCCACTTAAATCCTGCCTATATTTATTCATTTGTTCACTCAGTTACTCATTCGTTCAACATTTATTGAACATCTATATGTGCCAGTCTTTGTGCTAAGGATGTCCTGTTAAAAACCAGATAGTGCACCTGTTGTAGATATTTTTCTGTTTAATTATGATTCATTTGTGTAAAGGGATAGTAATCTTGTTGAGAGTAGATCTTTTTCCTTTTCTTTTTCTGCATCTTTGCGTCTTCAATATTGGCACATAGCAAGTTACCAGTAAATGTTTTTATTTTTTATTTTTGATGAATTTCTGAATCACATTGCTTTTTAACCTAATTTATTCATATAGTATCTGAGGAAATCAAAACATTTGTGTCTTTTTGGCAAGAATTTTATGACTATAAACTAAAGTATTGGTTTATCTCATGCCATAATTGCTTATCTGTTATTGCCTGTTCAATTCTTCACATTTACAGAACCCTGAAGCATTAGTTTGCAATGCTAAATATCATTTGTGAAAATATTATCAGGGTTTCAAAAAGTATTTTTTTGTTTTTCTTGTCTTTCTTTTTTTGCTCATTACCTTCACCACACTGAATGCAAAGCACCCAAAAGATGTTATATGAATGTAATGGTTAGGAGGTTTTTTGGTGCCCTTTACTTAACTATAGATGAGAACAGTAAAAGCTAGTTGACTTGGTATGAACATTTCCTTAAGAGTCTAAGATGTTTCTGGGTCAAAAGTTCAGATGGATTTTGCAGAACTTCAGAGGAAGAACTTCTTCATTGTAGGGGTTTCAGCCTCAAAAATGACTTGAAGTACTTTTACATCTGGCTAAATTCAATTCAACCATTTGCTGTAGCACTTACAACCCTGCACATTGTACTTATAACTTAGATACTGACTTTCTGGTAATGGTATTACCCTAAAGCAAAAGGTCTAGATGAAGATGCCTGAAAGCTGCATCTCCTAAGCAATTTTTCTGGGAGAGAGAAGCAACACACACACACAAACACATACACACACACACACACACTCTCACACACAGAGAGAGAGAGAGAGAGAGAGTGTTCCAGAGACAAATAAGTTGGAAAGTACTTCTTTACTAAGTACTTAGTAAATATCATCTTTTGTATATTTACCAAGCACATTTGCATACAAAAGACTCTGAGAAGTCTATACATAAAGAGGCCTCACTAATTGTATTACCCCAAATTATTGGACTGTACAATTTTCCCCATTCCTATACTACTTGACTCTGGCTTCTTCCTGTGACTCTATGTCTTCATTAATTCATTCAGCAAATTTGCATTGCCCAATACTGCTGGCCACCAAGGAGTATAACAAAGTCCCTATCTTCAGTAGCTCAGAGTCTACTGGGGAAGCAGATAAGTAAACAGTGGGTAAACAGGTCTGTGATATGAGCTATAATGGATGTATTCATCAGGAGCTGGAAATCAGACATTGTATTCAGGAAAGTGGAATAGAAGTAGACTTGCACCAAGTTCTTCAGAATTGGAAATTGACCAGGCCAATGGTCAAGCATAGGAGATTCCAGGCAACAAGAAGTACATGAAAGTCATTAAATATGAATAAGTGACAAGTCTGCCCTGATTAAGATACAGGGTTGAAAGAGGACACTAGAATGTGATGATATGAATGAAGCAGCAAGACAAGATCCTGAAGAACCCTATTTCTCATCTGGGTTTGTCCTTTGCTTTTTCAGAACTGATCCTTGGGTCAGGCCTGGCAGTTCTGGTTTGGCTTTTCATGCCCTCTTACCAGCAGCAGGGACAGGAGGCACACAAGATGATTCAGAATATGGGAAACTGGGTTCCAGAGTTGTAGGAGTTGGTCAGAATAGGAGGCGGCTGTAGATGCCACTGGAAAGTCCCCAAAGAATGAGTGCTCCTGATAACAAATTGTTTTTCTCTCTCAATGATTTTTGATATAACCAAATGATTCATGCTTTTCTACCTATAACACCCAGTACTGCTTCAGACACGGGTAGTGCAAGTGCGCTCACCACCACTCTGCTCTCTGCTTGAAAATTATTGTGTAAAATGGTTTCCCTAATAGAAACTGTTATTATTGACAAGTGGTAAAATGGTACCTCAGGTTCTTTTTCTCTCTCTAGATCCTGGCTGCATAATAATTTTCCTTTTGATTTTTTAAAATATTTTTTTCTCTCAGCTATGTATGTATGTATTTGTAAGCTTATAAGTGAGATAAAATATTGTTCATAAATGTTGTTACATTTTCTCATGTCCAGCAAAAAGAAAACTCCCTAGCAAAATGATCTTAAAAATGGAAAACTCTACAAGTTATTTATTCCCTCATCTGTAAAACAGTAGGGCTGGGCTAGCTTGTCTCTGGGGTCCCTTCTAACATTAAGGTAATGTTCCTGGTTTCCATGGGAGTTGGACAAAATTGTGGACAGCAGCTGTGAAAGATAATTGCCTCAGCAAGAAATTTGTCCCTCACAGACTCTGGGAAATGGTGAGCATGTATTGTATTTCATGTTATGACTGGAAGATGTGAACAATAATTATGAGAACATCCATAGAATTTCCCCCGGGGTATAAAATACAGATAAAAATCTCATAATATTAACCTTTGATTGCTGATATTCATGAAGACTGGAACTCTCTACGGAGCTCCCTGAGATTGGGACTGTGCTACTTGTCATCTGGATCTACTTGTCTATGAGGATGCCCAGGCCTTGGCTGGCTTCCAACAATCAATTCATTCATCCGTCTGACAAATATTTACTGGGCACCAGCCTTGTATAGGGCATTATTCTAGGGGCTAAGAAGAAGGATAAATAAGAGCTCACAGTGTAGAGGGGAACTCAGATATGCAGTCCATTCAACAGACATACATTGGGTGCCTAGAATGTGCATGGCTCTTGACAAATAGGAATGAAATAAATGACAACTTATGCATGTGCTCAAGCTCAAACTGATACATGGTTACTAATCCATGGTGTCTAGACTCAGAAGTTTCACAGAGGAGATAGCATAAAACAAGATTTTAAAGGAAGAGTTGGGGCTCACCAAGTGGCTAAGATGAAGGCCCTTCTATGAAGATGGAACAGCATCTCCCAAAGTACAGAGGCATAAAAAACGTGGTGTGGTTGAAGTAGTTGCGAGTGGTTGTGATGGTCGCAATATGGCTGAAGATAAGACTTGGAGGCTTGAAAGAGCCTCATATGCCGGTTCAGGAAATCTGGAGAGAAATAGGGACCCACAGAAAGATTTGGGCAGAATGCCTCAGTTGCTCGTTTGTAACACAGAACTAAAAAAGCCAACATTTATAGAAGTATTGTGAGCATCAATAATAATAAGAATAGTTGGGGGGAGGAGCCAAGATGGCCGAATAGGAACAGCTCCGGTCTACAGCTCCCAGCGTGAGTGACACAGAAGATGGGTGATTTCTGCATTTCCATCTGAGATACCGGGTTCATCTCACTAGGGAGTGCCAGACAGTGGGCGCAGGTCAGTGGGTGCACGCACCGTGTGCCAGCTGAAGCAGGGCGAGGCATTGCCTCACTCAGGAAGCATAGGGGGTCAGGGAATTCCCTTTCCTAGTCAAAGAAAGGGGTGACAGACGGCACCTGGAAGAAAGGGTCACTCCCACCCGAATACTGCGCTTTTCCGAAGGGCTTAAAAAACGGTGCACCAGGAGATTGTGTCTCGCACCTGGCTCGGATGGTCCTCCGCCCACGGAGTCTCCCTGATTGCTAGCACAGGAGTCTGAGATCAAACTGCAAGGCGGCAGCGAGGCTGGGGGAGGGGCGCCCGCCATTGTCCAGGCTTGCTTAGGTAAACAAAGCAGCCTGGAAGCTAGAACTGGGTGGAGCCCACCTCAGCTCAAGGAGGCCTGCCTGCCTCTGTAGGCTCCACCTCTAGGGGCAGGGCACAGACAAACAAAAAGACAGCAGTAACCTCTGCAGACTTAAGTGTCCCTGTCGGACAGCTTTGAAGAGAGCAGTGGTTCTCCCAGCATGCAGCTGGAGATCTGAGAACGGGCAGACTGCCTCCTCAAGTGGGTCCCTGTCCCCTGACCCCTGAGCAGCCTAACTGGGAGGCACCCCCAGGCAGGGACAGACTGACACCTCACACGGCTGGCCGGGTACTCCAACAGACCTGCAGCTGAGGGTCCTGTCTGTTAGAAGGAAAACTAACAAACAGAAAGGACATCCACACCAAAAACCCATCTGTACATCACCATCATCAAAGACCAAAAGTAGATAAAACCACAAAGATGGGGAAAAAACAGAGCAGAAAAACTGGAAACTCTAAAAAGCAGAGCGCCTCTCCTCCTCCAAAGGAACGCAGTTCCTCACCAGCAATGGAACAAAGCTGGATGGAGAATGACTTTGACGAGCTGAGAGAAGAAGGCTTCAGACGATCAAATTACTCCGAGCTATGGGAGGACAGTCAAACCAAAGGCAAAGAAGTTGAAAACTTTGAAAAAAATTTAGAAGAATGTATAACTAGAATAACTAATACAGAGAAGTGCTTAAAGGAGCTGATGGAGCTGAAAGCCAAGGCTCGAGAACTACATGAAGAATGCAGAAGCCTCAGGAGCCGACACGATCAACTGGAAGAAAGGGTATCAGCGATGGAAGATGAAGTGAATGAAATGAAGTGAGAAGGGAAGTTTAGAGAAAAAAGAATAAAAAGAAACGAGCAAAGCCTCCAAGAAATATGGGACTATGTGAAAAGACCAAATCTACGTCTGATTGGTGTACCTGAAAGTGACGGGGAGAATGAAACCAAGTTGGAAAACACTCTGCAGGATATTAATCAGGAGAACTTCCCCAATCTAGCAAGGCAGGCCAACATTCAGATTCAGGAAATACAGAGAATGCCACAAAGATACTCCTCAAGAAGAGCAACTCCAAGACACATAATTGTCAGATTCACCAAAGTTGAAATGAAGGAAAAAATGTTAAGGGCAGCCAGAGAGAAAGGTCGGGTTACCCTCAAAGGGAAGCCCATCAGACTACCAGCGGATTTCTCGGCAGAAACTCTACAAGCCAGAAGAGAGTGGGGGCCAATATTCAACATTCTCAAAGAAAAGAATTTTCAACCCAGAATTTCATATCCAGCCAAACTAAGCTTCATAAGTGAAGGAGAAATAAAATACTTTACAGACAAGCAAATGCTGAGAGATTTTGTCACCACCAGGCCTGCCCTAAAAGAGCTCCTGAAGGAAGCGCTAAACATGGAAAGGAACAACCGATACCAGCTGCTGCAAAATCATGCCAAAATGTAAAGACCATCAAGACTAGGTAGAAACTGCATTGACTAACGGCAAAATAACCAGCTAACATCATAATGACAAGATCAAATTCACACATAACAATATTAACTTTAAATGTAAATGGACTAAATGCTCCAATTAAAAAACATAGACTGGCAAATTGGATAAAGAGTCAAGACCCATCAGTGTGCTGTATTCAGGAAACCCATCTCACGTGCAGAGACACACATAGGCTCAAAATAAAGGGATGGAGGAAGATCTACCAAGCAAATGGAAAACAAAAAAAGGCAGGGGTTGCAATCCTAGTCTCTGATAAAACAGACTTTAAACCATCAAAGATCAAAAGAGACAAAGAAGGCCATTACATAATGGTAAAGGGATCAATTCAACAAGAAGGACTAATTATCCTAAATATATATGCACCCAATACAGGAGCACCCAGATTCATAAAGCAAGTCCTGAGTGACCTACAAAGAGACTTAGACTCCCACACATTAATAATGGGAGACTTTAACACCCCACTGTCAACATTAGACAGATCAATGAGACAGAAAGTCAACAAGGATACCCAGGTATTGAACTCAGCTCTGCACCAAGCAGACCTAATAGACATCTACAGAACTCTCCACCCCAAATCAACAGAATATACATTTTTTTCAGCACCACACAACACCTATTCCAAAATTGACCACATACTTGGAAGTAAAGCTCTCCTCAGCAAATGTAAAAGAACAGAAATTATAACAAACTATCTCTCTGACCACAGTACAATCAAACTAGAACTCAGGATTAAGAATCTCACTCAAAACCGCTCAACTACATGGAAACTGAACAACCTGCTCCTGAATGACTACTGGGTACATAACGAAATGAAGGCAGAAATAAAGATGTTCTTTGAAACCAATGAGAACAAAGACACAACATACCAGAATCTCTGGGACACATTCAAAGCAGTGTGTAGAGGGAAATTTATAGCACTACATGCCCACAAGAGAAAGCAGGAAAGATCCAAAATTGACACCCTAACATCACAATTAAAAGAACTAGAAAAGCAAGAGCAAACACATTCAAAAGCTAACAGAAGGCAAGAAATAACTAAAATCAGAGCAGAACTGAAGGAAATAGAGACACAAAAAATCCTTCAAAAAATTAATGAATCCAGGAGCTGGTTTTTTGAAAGGATCAACAAAAATGATAGACCGCTAGCAAGACTAATAAAGAAAAAAAGAGAGAAGAATCAAATAGACGCAATAAAAAATGATAAAGGGGATATCACCACCAATCCCACAGAAATACAAACTACCATCAGAGAATACTACAAACACCTCTACACAAATAAACTAGAAAATCTAGAAGAAATGGATAAATTCCTCGACACATACACTTTACTAAGACTAAACCAGGAAGAAGTTGAATCTCTGAATAGACCAATAACAGAATCTGAAATTGTGGCAATAATCAATAGCTTACCAACCAAAAAGAGTCCAGGACCAGATGGATTCACAGCTGAATTCTACCAGAGGTACAAGGAGGAACTGGTACCATTCCTTCTGAAACTATTCCAATCCATAGAAAAAGAGGGAATCCTCCCTAACTCATTTTATGAGACCAGCATCATCCTGATACCAAAGTCGGGCAGAGACACAACCAAAAAAGAGAATTTTAGACCAGTATCCTTGATGAACATTGATGCAAAAATCCTCAATAAACTACTGGCAAACCGAATCCAGCAGCACATCAAAAAGCTTATCCACCATGATCAAGTGGGCTTCATCCCTGGGATGCAAGGCTGGTTCAATATATGCAAATCAATAAATGTAATCCAGCATATAAACAGAACCAAAGACAAAAACCACATGATTATCTCAATAGATGCAGAAAAGGCCTTTGACAAAATTCAACAATGCTTCATGCTAAAAACTCTCAATAAATTAGGTATTGATGGGACGTATTTCAAAATAATAACAGCTATCTATGACAAACCCACAGCCAATATCATACTGAATGGGCAAAAACTGGAAGCATTCCCTTTGAAAACTGGCACAAGACAGGGATGCCCTCTCTCACCACTCCTATTCAACATAGTGTTGGAAGTTCTGGCCAGGGCAATTAGGCAGGAGAAGGAAATAAAGGGTATTCAATTAGGAAAAGAGGAAATCAAATTGTCCCTGTTTGCAGACGACATGATTGTTTATCTAGAAAACCCCATCGTCTCAGCCCAAAATCTCCTTAAGCTGATAAGCAACTTCAGCAAAGTCTCAGGATACAAAATCAATGTACAAAAATCACAAGCATTCTTATACACCAACAACAGACAAACAGAGAGCCAAATCATGAGTGAACTCCCATTCACAATTGCTTCAAAAAGAATAAAATACCTAAGAATCCAACTTACAAGGGATGTGAAGGACCTCTTCAAGGAGAACTACAAACCACTGCTCAAGGAAATGAAAGAGGATACAAACAAATGGAAGAACATTCCATGCTCATGGGTAGGAAGAATCAATATCGTGAAAATGGCCATACTGCCCAAGGTAATTTACAGATTCAATGCCATCCCCATCAAGCTACCAATGACTTTCTTTACAGAATTGGAAAAAACTACCTTAAAGTTCATATGGCACCAAAAAAGAGCCCGCATCGCCAAGTCAATCCGAGCCAAAAGAAGAAAGCTGGAGGCATCACGCTACCTGACTTCAAACTCTACTACAAGCCTACGGTAACCAAAACAGCATGGTACTGGTACCAAAACAGAGATATAGATCAATGGAACAGAACAGAGCCCTCAGAAATAACGCCACATATCTACAACTATCTGATCTTTGACAAACCTGAGAAAAACAAGCAATGGGGAAAGGATTCCCTATTTAATAAATGGTGCTGGGAAAACTGGCTCACCATATGTAGAAAGCTGAAACTGGATCCCTTCCTTACACCTTATACAAAAATCAATTCAAGATGGATTAAAGCTTAAACGTTAGACCTAAAACCATAAAAACCCTAGAAGAAAACCTAGGCATTACCATTCAGGACATAGGCACGGGCAAGGACTTCATGTCTAAAACACCAAAAGCAATGGCAACAAAAGACAAAATTGACAAATGGGATCTAATTAAACTAAAGAGCTTCTGCACAGCAAAAGAAACTACCATCAGAGTGAATAGGCAACCTACAAAATGGGAGAAAATTTTCACAACCTACTCATCTGACAAAGGGCTAACATCCAGAATCTACAATGAACTCAAACAAATTTACAAGAAAAAAACAAACAACCCCATCAAAAAGTGGGTGAAGGACATGAAAAGACACTTCTCAAAAGAAGACATTTATGCAGCCAAAAAACATATGAAAAAATGCTCACCATCACTGGCCATCAGAGAAATGCAAATCAAAACCACAATGAAATACCATCTCACACCAGTTAGAATGGCAATCATTAAAAAGTCAGGAAACAACAGGTGCTGGAGAGGATGTGGAGAAATAGGAACACTTTTACACTGTTGGTGGGACTGTAAACTAGTTCAACCACTGTGGAAGTCAGTGTCGCGATTCCTCAGGGATCTAGAACTAGAAATACCATTTGACCCAGTCATCCCATTACTGGGTATATACCCCAAGGACTATAAATCATGCTGCTATAAAGACACATGCACACGTATGTTTATTGCGGCATTATTCACAATAGCAAAGACTTGGAACCAACCCAAATGTCCAACAATGACAGACTGGATTAAGAAAATGTGGCACATATACACCATGGAATACTATGCAGCCATAAAAAATGATGAGTTCATGTCCTTTGTAGGGACATGGATGAAATTGGAAATCATCATTCTCAGTAAACTATCGCAAGAACAAAAAACCAAACACCGCATATTCTCACTCATAGGTGGGAATTGAACAATGAGAACACATGGACACAGGAAGGGGAACATCACACTCTGGGGACTGTTGTGGGTTGAGGGGAGGGGTGAGGGATAGCATTGGGAGATATACCTAATGCTAGATGATGAGTTAGTGGGTGCAGCGCACCAGCATGGCACATTTATACATATGTAACTAACCTGCACATTGTGCACATGTACCCTAAAACTTACAGTATAATAATAATAATAAAGAAGAAAAAAAAAGAATAGTTAATTTTTTTAATTTTTAATTTTTAATTTAATTTACATGAGATATTTTGATACATGCATAAGATGTGTAATAATCACATGAGGGTAAAAGGACATCCATCACCTCAAGCATTTATCCTTTGTGTTACTATTTAATTATACTCTTTTAGTTATTTTTAAATGTATAGTTAAATTATTATTGACTATATTCACCCTGTTGTACTATCAAATATGAGATCTTATTTATTATTTGTAACTGTTTTAACCACTAACTATCTCCACTACACCTCCTCACCACTATTATCCTTCCCCGTCTCTGGAACCCTCATCCTACTATCTCCATGCGTTCAATTGTTTTAACTTTTAGCTCCCACAAGTGAATGAGAACATGCAATGTTTGTGTTTATATGCCTGGCTTATTCATTTAACATAATGTCCTCCAGTTCCATCCATGTTGTTGCACATGACATGATCTCATTAAAAATCATGAACATGGATTGAAGGCTGCCTGTAAACTAAATACTGCTTTTAACACTGTGCACACTTTATCTCATTTCAATGTTATGACACCCCAGGTCACAGATGAAGAAATGGAGGCACAGAGAACTTGAGCAACCCAATGTCACCAACTATTTAGTAGAAAAGTCAGGAATAGAATCCAGGCAGCCTGAATCCAGAATCCTGTCCTCTTTCATAGTTTGTTTTATTTTAAACTTTTAAAAGTTGAATAATACAACATTTGAAGAGAAGTGCACAAATTATAAATACGCATTCAATACATGATCACAGGGGTCAGCAAAATATAGCCCACAGGAAAATTCCATCCTGCCACCTGATTTTGTAAATAAGGTTTTACTAGACTGCAATAATTCATTTATTAATTGTTGATGGCTGTTTTGGGGCTACAACAGAGTTCAGAAAGCCAGAGAAGAATGGCCCCCAAAGCCTGAACTATTTGCTATCTGTTCTTCTTCCTAAAAAGTGTTGCCAATCTTTGTGTTATCACATTGTGAGGGCAACTGGGAACCTATCATCCAGGTCAAAAAGTAGAGCATAACCAGTGTCCAGGAGCCCCTCCACTTACTTGCTTACTTCCAAACACTCTTCCTTCCCTCCAGCCCAAAGATCATCCCCACTTTGATTTCCAACATGGTGGGTTTGTTTTGCCTATTTTTTATTTTATTTTATTTTTATTTATTTATTTTTTATTATACTTTAAGTTTTAGGGTACATGTGCACATTGTGCAGGTTAGTTACATATGTATACATGTGCCGTGCTGGTGCACTGCACCCACTAACTCGTCATCTAGCATTAGGTATATCTCCCAATGCTATCCCTCCCCCCTCCCCCCACCCCACAACAGTCCCCAGAGTGTGATATTCCCCTTCCTGTGTCCATGTGATCTCACTGTTCAATTCCCACCTATGAGTGAGAATATGCGGTGTTTGGTTTTTTGTTCTTGCGATAGTTTACTGAGAATGATGATTTGCACACGTATGTTTTGCCTATTTTTGAACTTTATACAAATGCAATCACACAGTGTGTGAGTGCTTCCCTTTCAACTGCTGTGCTATGCTGAAGTGCTTAACTTAAGTCCACAAGAAATGGGAGGCCAATTTCCATTTTCTCTGACCACAGAGCAGGCAAGAACCTAGAAGATCAGGCATGCTCGCTTCTTCTTGGAAGGGTACCTACAAGGTTCACTCTTTTCAGATTGCAAGTTGAATTAGGGTCCTCTGTGTCTATCTGTATTCATTTCCTGTTGATGTTGTAATAAATTCTCACAAGCTTAGTGTCTCAAACAATACAAATTTATTCTCTTAGAGTTCTGGAGGTCAGAAGTGTGAAATAAGGATTGTGGGCTAAAACTGATGTGTTGGTGAAGTCATGTGTCTTCTGGAGGCTCCTTCATTCTCATTCTAGACTCTCCCTGTATGAACCCTCAATCTTGTAACTTAAATTACCATATTTATGCTGATAACCCCAAATCTCTTCCTGTGGTCTGCTCCCTCTTCTGAATTTCAGAAATGTATCTTTGACTCCTCAGTTGTGCATCTGGGATCTCCTGAACACCCTCCACACACCTCAGCCCCACCATCTCACATCATTACGCCTCCATCACCCACCCATCTCATTGATTGGCACCACTTTCTGCCTGGTTGCTAAAAACTAGAATCCTAGAAGTCTTTTTAGGGGGGTTTGGTTTTTTGTCTCCCATTCAATCATCAAATTAGACCACTAATCTCATTCTGTCCATTCTATATTGTTAATATTTTTTCAGTTTATCTTCTCCCCATTTCCATTGTCATTGTTCCTGGTTAGGCCTTCCCACTTTTTACCTAGCTTGTTCTACCTATAAGCCAGTCACAGCCTTGCCCCTTCCACATGGTAGCCCACATGGTCTTCCTTAAAGCAAAACCTGATTCTCTCTTTTCCCAACAAAAGAGTTAATTTTTCAAAGACTGGGTTTGTGCCTTGTTCACTATCATGCTTGCTATACCTAGCAAAGAGCCTGGTAACAGTGAGCTCTCAATAAATACATGTAATGAAATAGAGCTTTTACTTCTCTGCCTCTTTCTCACTCTCCTGTCTCTTCAGGCTTTCCTCCATTCTAAACCCTCCATCCTGTCCTAGGCTTCCTCTCTCTTTCTATCACCTGTGGGATTCAACATCATCTTTTTTCCAAGAGAACAGATCTCTGCCTTAATCACAGTGCTGGGTCCATAGCAGATTTCTGACATAGGTTGATGAGTAAATGAATCCTCATATGAATAAATAAGTGGACTCATGAGGTTTACAGGGAACATTTCCCAGGAGACACAAACATGCTTAGCTGATTTGTCAATTCCATTTGAATTGCGTATGGCAGAAAATGACAGCTGATTTTGGATGGAAGAGATTTGGAAAGCTGATGTGCTCTATTCCCCTGACTCCAGGAAACATTTCTCAAAGTGTGGAAAGTCCTGTGAGATGCTCTAGAAATCCAAAGAATATGTGCAATGATTCACCCTCTCTTGAGAACTGACAATGCACATTAACATGTTAAAGACGAACAATGCTACAGTAAAAATACCTCTTCAACATTTACCCCAGTTTTTAGTTTTATTTGAGTCTTTCCCAAACCTGGGTACCATGGAGCTCTTGTCTTCCCAATGATATCTACTAACATTCTGAGATCCAGTGGCCCAACTGATAACACTTTGAGAAATGTTAGCCTAAGGAAACATTTGCTTTTTGTGTAATAACTTTTACAAGGTGAAGAAAATTTATTGCAATGAATATTCTTCCTGCTGTAAAAGATGATCATGTTCAGAAGAATCTTCACAATGACATTTTTTTTTCAAACCTGCCAGAGCAGAAGCAGATTTTAATATTCTCTTTGTCAAAGTAAGCCTTTCCTTTAGTTAGAGGGGTGGAAGAAAACTGAGGTAATTATATAGTGACGGGAACATTTTTCCCCCCATTGAGCTCCAGTGTCAGTCTTCTCAAACAAAGGTGCCATTGAAATTGTGAATTATAAAGTTGATTTTTCTAACTTCTGGGCACCAGCTGGGCTCAGTAGGGAAGGGTCTCTGGTGTGGAGGAAAGCATTTTTAGCCAGAGATCCCTTACTGTGTCCTTCAAGGACTCTACACAGCTATTTTGCATGTCATTTGTCCATTTCACAAACATGTAGGGAACCTCTATTCTGATAGGTGCTGCCAATGCCCAGATTAACATAACCCACTTGTCACCTTTCCAAGTGAATAAGGATTTGAATAAACTCATATGCCACTCTTTCTTTTCATATTAATACATTTTAAAGTCACTCATTTTGTACCACACACACCATGTTATGTGCCTTGAAAGCTCTGATGAATTCTCATAGATACCTAGGAGGTGGTTAGCACAGCCATATCATATTTCAGGAAACTGAGGCTAAGGGACTTAGTCAGGAGGCACAGTTATTAAAGGATAATGTCAAAGTTTGAATCAAGGCATATCCATTCCATGGCTTATTGCTTTCACATTTGGACAGTGTGATGTCATTGGTAGAATGTTTGAAGATTGAAGGTTTGCTAAAAGTCAAGGTTGGGCTGTTTTGAAACAAACAGTCTCTAAGTCCTTTGTGCCTGCTTTTTGGTAGCTATCACACAGCTGCAGCAGCAGCAGAAAAACTTTTCCATTCTATCTTAGACTTCATGCAAATTCCCTCATAGCAACACTGGCTTGTGAAGAATTACATTTCCTGCTGCAGTGATTAGATAGGAGGACACATTTAAGTCCTATCAGCCAGAACTTAGCCCTGTGTTTTACTGGAAAGTTTGTTAATAAGCTTTTCATGCCAGCTTTCTCCCTCTTTGCATTGGGATAATAATTCAGGACACTCTGTTTTTCATTTACTTCCATCTACATTATTTCCTTTGAGATACCTAGTGCTCTATAGGCAAGACAGGTGGTATTATTCCCATTTATGGGAGGCAGAACCAAGGACTAGAGAGACCTGGGAGCATGACTGAATGCCACACAAACTGCACCTCATAACCACCTTTATCCTAATACTTACAAATGGTATGATCAATTTTTCTCTTGACCTCTTTTCTCTATGGCAGTGGGAATATCTTGAGGGCAGAAACTATGTTGTTCACTTGTATTTCCCTAGGATGTAACAAGAAATCTAGAATATATCAATGTGTAGAAACATTCAAGAAGTTGATCCTTGAATGGTATCCGTGATTCTGATAACTCCTAAATTTTTGCCTGTAGTCTGAATGGAATGTGCTCTGGAAGCTCAGACTTTCATATCTAAGTGCCAGCTTCACATTTCCATATAAGCATCTTTGGCATCACAAGAATAATATGGTCAAAGTAGAACTCTGGATTTCCCTTTGCAAAACTGCTTTTCCTAGAGTTTGTCCATCCTAGCAAGTAGCTTCATAGTTTTTCGTGCCAGAAATCTGAGTTATCCTTGATTCTTTTTTTTCCCAACAACTTCCAGATCTACTGGATCACCAAGTCCTCTTGACTTTCCATTCAAAACACATCCAGAATTTTCCCTTTCTTCCAACTCCCTTCTTCCACTCCATTCTAAGCCACCACTTTCTCTTGCTTGAGCTACTGCAAGTATTGTTCTCACTGATCTCCTTTCTACTCTTGTCATCCTACAATCTTTTCTCCATGCAGTACTCAGAGTGAGCTTTTGAAATGGCAAATAAAACCAACTCACTCTCGTGTTTAAAACCCTTGGCCGGACTCTCTTTTCACTGGAAAAACAAAACAAAACAAACTCCAATTCCTTCTTTTTGGTTTGTGAAGCCCTCTGATTTTCTCCCAACACCCTGGTAGCTATAATTTACCTCTCTTGGTACTCTTCATGTTCCAGCCGTGGTAGCCTCCTTGATATTCCTTAGCCTTTCTGGGTTCACTCATGCCTAAGGGTCTTTGCGCTGGCTATTTCCTCCATCTGATGCCTCCTGTCCCTTCATCCTACTTACATGACTGGCTGCTTCTTGTCATTCAAATGTCAGCCTAAAGTGACCTCATTAGAGAGGCCATTGCTGACCACCCAGTTTCAGATAGCCGCATATCTACTCTATTAAATCATCTTACTTTAAGGCTCTCTTTGGACAGCACTTACCATAATCTGATATTCTTGTTTCCTTTGTCTATTTCTCCCTCCACCAACCACCTGTCCACCTACTAGATTACACACCCCAAGAGACATCCTGACCCTCAGGAGACAGGGATCTTCCTGTCTTTTTCATTGTTATGCCCCTTGTACAGTACCTAGGACACAGCATGGGCCCCACGAATATTTATGTAATGGGTCTCAGAGGTGCCACTTTACACTGTAAAGCCATTGTTGGTATTTTTAGCAGAGTAGATGGTCAAGGACTCAAAGGATGTTGTATAATTAATTTTTGAACAAACTGGGATGAGATACATTTTTATCTTTTATTTTTCAGATGATGTAACTGACACATAGGTCAAGCAACTTGCTTAAGAGTGTAGAATCAAGTGATCAATTAAACTTGGAAGGTGAGGAAATAAATGAATCAAGCATAATTCAGATTTCTGGTATGAGAAACCACGGAGCTATTTTTTGAGATGAGAGAATGTAGAGAAAGCAGATTTGTAGGGGGTAAAACTTTCTTCTGCTTTGGGGTATTTATTCTCATAATGGCCAAGGATACACTCTTCGTCCTAGTAAAAGGGTCAGGATTTGAGCTTCTATCTTTGGACACTAAACATTATGCCGCCTTCCCCAATAGTGTGCTGAACTTTCCCAGTTTTTTTCCTTCTCTGCAACGAGGGTGCTCCCTCTAAGTAATTTTCCATATAACTTAGAGAGGTGGTGGGTCATGCATTTCTGCAGTCTGGAGATAAGAAGGATAATATTCCAAATGGGAAGTGTAAGTGATACCCCGTAAAAGAAGGCCAAGAAGGGTGTTTGCTTTGTATTTCCATGGCTGATAAATGGGGCCTTTGAAGATTCTCAGGAAAATGTGAATTTCATGGTCAGAATGAGGAAGGGGGACTGCGCACAGGAAGAGCAACCTTCCCCTCCACCCACGCTCAAGTCTGTGATAATAATGTTGCCCCCTGATGTGGACAGTTTCCAAAGAATTTCACATTGCTTCTCGCATGTGAACCTCACACCAACCTGCAAAATGGAACTTTTTATTCCTGATAAAATAAAGAGGAAACTAAGGATCTAGAGAAGTTGTTGTCCAAAGTCCTAGAGTTAGGAGTGAGCTGGGGCCGACATTCAAAGCCAGTCTTCCCGCTAGTGGTCCTGGTTCCACATACTGCTCTTTTCACAGAAACCTTGTGGCCACTCTTCTCAGGCCCTCGGCTGCTGACCATGTACTTCTATCCTTTCTACTGATCTCTATATTGCACCCACCTCGGTTCTGGAGTTCACTTTCTTGCCAAAATGACTGCAACGTTGTTTATAATCCCCTAGGGCCCCTGTTGAAGAGCTACCTGTCAGTCAGCCATAGGGAAGGTTACTGAGAAAAAAAGTCAGTGGGAAGGGTCAAGGGAGGTGTGAGTTCCTTGGTGGTAGCACTTATAACTCTGTGTCTTATGCTCAAAATTAGTGGTTCTTAAACTTTTAGGAATGCTGTGAAGAGCTTGTTAAAACCCAGTTTTTAATAAACATGCATGTGCATGTGTCTTTACAGTAGAATGATTTATAATCTTTTGGGTATATACCCAGTAATGGGATTGCTAGGTCAAATGATATTTCTGGTTCTAGATCCTTGAGGAATCACCACACTGACTGGATAAAGAAAATGTGGCACATATATACCATGGTATACCATGCAGTCATAAAAAATGGGTTCATTTCCTTTGCAGGGACATGGCTGAAGCTGGAAGCCATCATTCTCAGCAAACTCACACAGGAACAGAAAAACAAACACCATATGTTCTCACTCATGAGTGAGAGTTGAACAATGAGAACATATGGACACAAGGAGGGGAACGTCACACACCAGGGCCTTTTGGGGGTTGGGGGGAGGGACAGCATTAGGACAAATACCTAATGCATGTGGGGCTTAAAACCTAGATGACAGGTTGATGGCTGCAGCAAACCACCATGGCACATGTATACCTATGTAACAAACCTGCACGTTCTGCATATGTATCCCAGAACTTAAAGTAAAATGATTTAAAAAAAAAAAACAGTTTTTGAAAACTGAGTTGCTGATTGAGTAGGTATCTGGTCTGGGGGCTGAGAATGTGTATTACCATATGATTCTACTGCTACTTGTCTGAGGCCTACTGAAAGTAAAACTGCTCTAAAACCAGACCTGTTGCCTTCCTTGGTGGAGGTAGGGTGAGGTAGACATTCATTCACAGGTGGTATTGATAGAAGTATCTATTGGTACAGCTTCTCTGGGGGAACAATTGGCAATTCCAATCAAAATCTGAAAAGTATACTTTTCCCAACAGTTCCACTTCTGGGAACTTTACCTTAAAGAAATAATTAAGGATGTGAGCAAAAATTTAGACACTATGTGGCTGGCATTGTAGGTGTTCAATAAATCTTTGTAGAATGAATTGTTGAGTATAAAAGGTGCTCCTTGCTGAAATGTTTATAATAGGGAGAAATTGGAAGCAAACCATACATCTTTTCAACTGGATATGAGGCAGCATTAAACTGTTAGAAAGGATAATCATAATATAGCAATATATGAAAAATGCTTGTATGCTTTCATTTTGTTATACATTTTTAAAAACATTAATAATAGGATATCAATTAATTCTTGTTTATGATGAATGGGGCTTTTGATTTTTTATTTGCAATGAACAAGTATTGTTTGTCTTACTAAACAAACAAAGCCAATTTGTCTAAAATCAGCATGAAAGAATAACTATTCCACTGAGAGCTTCACTCTCTGACCCAGTATCATTTTCTATACCTGCCAGCTTGGAGGAAGCTGCATTTATAGCTGTGGACGGAGGAATTTTCTTTGCCTTTGAAGAGGCTGTTGCAATCCCAGTTAATAGAAACCAGATGCATTTGAACCTTAGCTTTCCGGAAAGCTGGGTTACTCTTTATCTTGGAGCCCACCTTTCACTCTGTCATGAGCTGTCCTTCCCTGTAGGGCTGATGTGCAAGGCTGGCTTTTAGTGAAGGTGAGCAACTTGGAGTTGTAAACATTAACTGTGTTGGGCATCATGTTAAAGTAAACTGCAGCAAATCATGTACTTCTCCTTTCAAACTTCCAAATTAGTTGGATGAT
Source organism: Homo sapiens (assembly GCF_000001405.40). Classification (NCBI taxonomy): domain Eukaryota; kingdom Metazoa; phylum Chordata; class Mammalia; order Primates; family Hominidae; genus Homo; species Homo sapiens. The sequence goes on from NC_000008.11 coordinate 128,358,406, forward strand.
ATTAACCAGCAATGATTGTTAGATTAAATTTTCAAGGGAGGTTATTGTTTGCCATATGATGATTTAAAAAATAAACAAAACATTGATATCTATTTTTTCTTTGACAATAAATATTATCACCCATAACACAAACAATATTTGGAGTTATTAGCATGGAACTCACTCATCTGGACTGTTAAAATGAATGATGTTTCCTCTGGTGGGTTGAATTGTGGGTTAATATGTACTTTCATTTTCATGGAATAGATATTGATTTTCTATGCACAAAATATGTAATAAAGTATAAAATAGTTAAGAAAGAAGATGTTACTAGGGGAAACGTGCATCTGGGTTGTTGGCAAATTGAGTCTAGAGAAGAAAATGTAGAACCTGCCAGAAATCTTTGTGATTATTGATTGCTTCAAGGATTTGTCTCAATTTCTAAATTTGTACATTGCATGGATTTTCAAGTCGGACATTCAATTTAGTATAGTGCTTTCAGCATTTATTCGCTGTGAGACTAGGAGAAAAGATTCTCAACCTTTTTTGGCTATAGTCATCTTATTTGCAGAAAGAGAACCGAGAACCTAGAACCTCACATTAAGTAGATCCCTGGTCAGGAAATGTTTGTTTATGGTAATGATGTTGATAGTAATACAAAATAATAGCAAACTTTTCACCAGTCAAACATATTCATTCCTATTTGCTACCTAAGCTAGGAAAGTAAAAATGCATTTATAGAATTTATTTCATTGTAAGAATAAATATAAAATTATATAAAATAATAAAAAATTGGGAAATACCTAAAAATAAAAAAAAAACTTTTTAGTATTACCATTTCAACACAACCACTAATACTTTTTATATCACAATTACTTTTATAAAGAATGCCACTAAGTTGAGAAAAAAAAACTTGAAGTTCAAATTGTAGATTGGATGAGAAGGCTTTTAATTTCCTTTTGACCCTGCCTCCCTTGATTCCAATGTTCTAGGAAATTCAGTTTGGAAACATCCTATTTTTTAAGTATTTTTGAGGCTTAACTGTGAAAAAATGATGAAACATTATTTAAGACACTACATCTTAACACTGATTTTTATTAGAAGCCACTGAAGATACAGTAACTTCATTCATTCATTCATTCAACAATTGAACAAATGTTCATGGCTTATATGTATTTGGAACTAGGCAAAGTGCTGGGGATACAGCAGTGAAAAACAACAATAGTACAATCTCTGCTTTTGTAGGCATGGTAGTCTGATTTAGGAGACAGACCTGAAACAGACAATCACATACAAAAACACAGATTCACACTAACAGGAATCCATAAAGAAAAATGGAGGGTTTTAAGAGATGGTGTAACCAGGAGGCTAATTTAATTGAGGAGTCAGAGGAAATCTTTTGAATGATATTCCTGGTAGAGAATGGGTAGAACTTAGTCAGCCTATGAGATGGGGTGGGAAGGGGGTAGACTAGAGGAATAAGAGGAATGGGAGTTTAGACTCTGAAGTCTAAACTTGGTGTATTTAAGAGTATGGAGGAAGAGCAGTGTAGTTAGAACACAGAGGTGTGGAGGAAGCACAGTACACCGTGAAGCTAAGAGTGCCGGGGTGCTATGGCACAGAGGGCGAGGCTGACTATGGAAAAATATTTGGATTATATCTTTTTTTTTCTTTTTTAGAGATAAGGTCTCACTCTGTCACCTAGGCTCCAGTGCAGTGGAGCTATCATAACTCACTGCAACCTCAAACTCCTTGGCTCAACCGATCCTTCTGCCCTCTTAGCCTCCCGAGTAGCTAGAATTACAGGGGTGCTCCCCCATGCCTGGCTAACTTTTTATTTATTTATTTTGTAGAGATGGAGTATCCCTATGTGGCACAGGCTGATTTCAAACTTCCAGATTCAAGCAATCCTCCCGCCTTGGCCTCCCAAAGCTGGAGTTACAGGCATGAGCCACTGTGGCTGGCCTTGGATTACATTTTAAGGGCAAAAGGGGACACCAAAATGTTTTGAGTGGACAAGTGGCCTGGTGCAGTTTACAATTTCAGAGAATCTCTCTGTGGCTTTACAGAGATTGAATTAAAGGAGGTAAGAGGGCAAGTGTGGAAGCAGGGAGGACAGTTAGAAGGTCCCTGGAGTGGTCCAGAAAATAAGATGATAATGTCTTGATTTAGGATGGCATTGATGAAGAGCTGAAGAAGGAGATTTGGGTACTTTGGAAGTGAACTTGATAAGAATTGGTGAAAAGTTAAACATGAAGGCTAGGGAGAAGGAGCGATCAGGAATGTCTTTCAGATTCCTGGCTTAAGAAACTTGATGGACAGGCGTTCTCTCAATGAAATAGGGAGGACAAAGGAGAAGATTAGGCGTTAGATGAAACTTTCAGTTTGGAACAGGTTGCTTTTGAGATAGATGTGAGACATCCAAGTGGAGAGACAACTGAATATGCAAGCCTGGCAATTGCATATGTCTTGCTTCTTTTGACGATTCTGAGAACCAATGAACTTTTCTATCTATTGTAGTTTTTGGTTACTTTACATCTAATAGGTAGCTATGAAGTAATGTGAGGCAATTTCTACATATTATTTTATTTAGCCTTATACACAGTGAAATGTCCTTCTCTAATTTCAGTTGAGAAAATTGAGACCAAGAGGAGTGAAAACATGAGACAATGTATAGATTTTGGAACTGGGTAAAATCTGCTAATAACCAGTGGAACAAAGATTCAAACCCGGGTCCTGTTCTCACCTGGATCCAAATCTTCTCATGCCATATCTGCTATTCCCTCCTTCCCTCCCTCCTTTTCTTTTCTTTCTTTCTTTTTTCTTTCTTTCCTTCTTTCTCTCTCTCCCTTCCTTCCTTTCTTTTTCTTTCTTTTCTTTTCTTTTCTTTTCTTTCTTTCTTTCTTTCTTTCTTTCTTTCTTTCTTTCTTTCTCTTTCTCTCTCTCTTGCTCACTCTTTTCTCTTTCATTCTGTAATCTATCATTCTTTCATCTTTATCATCAATATAATCTATCTCTGATCATCTGTATTTGTCTATGTAATCCTTTTAAAAAATCAATTCCTCCATCCATCCATCATTTCATCCATCCATTCATCCATCCATCTTCCCAGAAATAGATAAATCCTCAAGAACTGAAGGGTATTTAAAAGGTCACCACTTCATAGATGAGGAAATTGAGTCCCAGTAGAGAGAAATCTCTTGCCCAGAGGCACTCAGTGTTGGTTAAAATTTTACTTTTTCACCCCGTTTCCTTAACCAGTACCTTTCTTCCTTTCTTCCTTTCTTTCTTTTTTCCTTTCTTTCTCTTTCTTTCTTTCTTTCTTTCTTTCTTTCTTTCTTTCTTTCTTTCTTTCTTTCTCTTTCTCTTTCTTTCTTTCTTTTTCTTTCTCTCTTCTTTCTTTCTTTTGCTTTCTTTCTTTCTCTTTTTCTTTCTTTCTTTCTTTTTTTTTTTTAATGCCTCCTCAGAGAACAGCTCTACTTGAAGCCTAAAGAGAACACTGCCAGGCCTCTGGAGGTAGAGTTTGCATCTATTTCCAGCATTTCTCCCCTCTGGTGTTTAAATGTATGGGGTTCCCCTCTGAAGTTCTGCAGAGCAAAAGCATCAGCAGGTGGCCTCTCAATGGCTGAAACTTCCAAGGTATCTGCAGTCAGTCTGCTAACACCGTTTTTCTCCCCTGCTGCTGCAGCAAGACAGAGAATGGGTTTGTAACAGGGGACAAGATAATGATCAAAGAAAAACTTAGAGTGAAGCCTTCTTGTGTAATTGATTTGGAGGTGGAGGAGGAAGCTGCTGGCCTCCTGGCTGCAGATTTGGAATCCTGCCAGGAGTTAACTCTTCAATAGCTGCCCTCCTGAACAGCCTCAGAACAGGAGAGATGAAGCACCAGAAGAGAGTTATCAGAAGAGTGTTCTCTTCTTGTCAGAATTGTCCATTCCTGAATCATCTGTGCTTTGAATTTACCCCAAACTGGAATGATATGAAAAAAAAAGAATAAAAGGGAAAAATATTAAACCACTGTTCATTTTTGTATTGCATTAATTTAACCTAGTAGTCAAATTGATGCTCATAAGCTCAATGATTATGTCTTGGCTCATTATTATAATGCACATTTATCAAGGGCCTGTCTATGTGCTAGGCACTAAAGAACCAACAACGAAAAATACAGTTTCTTCTTGATGTGGCTCTGGGCTCCATACTTAGTCTTTTTATCCTACCATTCTCCCCCTCATCAGAATATGAGCTAGTTTCCAAATGAACAACATTTCCTTGGGTCACTGACCTTCTTTGTACATGCCCTTGTCTTAGTTGAGCAGGCTCTGATGCACCTTGGCTTCCTTTGAACATCTTGACCATCAAGTCTAATTGCAAGGAATGACTATGCTGAATCTTCTTTATTGGTCTCTTCTCCCTTTACATTTCCATTGCAATCTGGTATAACTTGGCTTGATCGAAGTTGTTTTAAAATGAATTGTTTCAGCAAGTAGGTGGGGATTTCTTGAGTGCAGAGACCGAGTCCATTCGTTTCCATCTCACTCACAGACACATGGCACCTGGCATAGAGTAGGTGCTCAAAAAGTAATGGCTTAATGATACAATGAGTGAGTGAAGAACTCACACTCCTTTAGAGATCTCAGCTCTACTCTCTACTAACCTAACATACTGGTGTAGATACTACTGTGGAGATATATATATATATATAGTATATATATGTAAATATATATACGTATATATATGTGTATATATATACGTATATATATGTGTATATATATACGTATATATATGTGTATATATATACGTATATATGTATATATGTGTATATATATACGTATATATGTGTATATATATATACATATATATATATGTGTGTATATATATATACATATATATATGTGTGTATATATATATACATATATATATGTGTGTATATATATATACATATATATATGTGTGTATATATATATACATATATATATGTGTGTATATATATATACATATATATATATATGTGTATATATAACTTTGGATGCTCAGGGGAAGATTAATCACCTCTTCCCCAGGATAGAGATAATAAGCAGATTTAACAGATAATATTTTTGCACTGGGTCTTAACGTGTGAATAGGTGGAAGAGAGAGGAAATGGCACCCAGAGGTGGAGAACAGCATAAGTAAAGGCAAGCAACTGGCCATGCTTAGTGTTAAAATACTCTGGGAGTTGTGGGAATTAGGGGCGGATAGTACCAGAAGGAGTGGGAGAGGGCAAGGTAGAGGAACAAAACACACAAAGAAACTGGTATTATTTTTAAACTTATTACACAAAATTTAGAAGTGTCCAAAAAACAAGAATTGTATAATGAGTTTGCAGCTTCAACAATTATTAATTATTGTCCAATATTGTTTAATCTATAACCCCACCCATTCCCCACCTCCATGAATCTTTTGAAGCAAATTTCCACAGGTTATACTATTTAACTCATAAATATTTCAATATGCATCTTTAAAACATAAGGACTCTATTTTGTTTTTTAAAGCATAACCACAATGTAATTATCACAACTCAAGAGTTCTACAACAATTACCTAATACCATAAAATATGCAGTGTTCAATTTTTTATTGCATTTTTTATTTTTTTGCATTTTGTTTGAATCATTTCAAATAAGTTCCATACATGTCAACTGGTTGATGTTTATCTCTGTAAATCTACAGCTTTTCCATTTTCTCTTTTATTCCATTGAAAATTTTTATTTTTATTCATTTGTTTTTCATTTTGTGTCATCCTTCAATTGTTTTATTCATTTGTTTATTTTCATTCATTGGTGTTGTTGAAGATACTGGGTTGCTTGTTCTAGAGTTTCTGACTCCAACAGTCTGGGTTTTGCAGACTGCATCCTCGTGACCTCATTAGCATGTTCTTTTTTCTTGGAGCCAGGTTCTATTTTTTGGCAAGAATACTTTATTGAAGCCATGATTCAACAATTCACAGAAGTTGCAAAATGGTGATATTCTAATTCCATGTTTGAACCGAATGTTTCCTGAGGCCCCTTCCACTTCTGAAAAGGCTGTCCCAGATGCAGAGATGGAATGTGGGAAGGAAAGAAGTGAGGAAGAGCACCTATTCTGCAGCACCTGTCCTGGGAAGGCATGAGCACAACAGATGAACAAATGCTGATGACACATTTTTCCTCCTTCAAATTTTCTTCCTGTTCAACTTTAAAGAGAAGAGTTAAAGTACCAGTGGGTGGAGAATAGGGAGAAATGTATAGAAGAGAATTAGTGAGAAGGGAAAAACAAACATGCTGCTATCTCTGTGTGTTTCTTTCTGGGTCTCAGTTTTTCTCGTCTATAAAATAAAGCCCTGCTATAATTTGAATGTGTCTCCTCCAAAATTCAAATGTTGAAACTTAATGGCCAATATGATGATATTAAAAAGTGGGACTGTTAAGTGGTGATTAGGTCATGACAGCCTTCTCCCCTTATGAATAGGAGTAAGGCCATTATAAAAGAGGCTTCAAGGGCCTCCTACCATACGAAGAGGCAGTACGTCGCCCCTCTGGAGGACACAGCAGAAAGGCGCCATCTTGGAAGCAGAGAGCAGTCCCCACTGGACAACCAAACCTGCCGGTGCCTTGATCTTGGGCTTCACAGCCTCCAGACCAGTGAGAAAATAATTTTCTGTTCCTGATATATTACCCAGCCTCTGATATTTTTGTTATTCCAGCACAAATAGACTAAGATAATACCTTTCTAGCTCTGACAGAGCCCCATGACACAGAGTCAGAGCATTTGTACAGGTGTGCTTATAAACATCTGAAGAAGGAAAGGAAGAAGGAAGGAAGGAAGAAAAGAAGGAAGGAAGGAAGGAAAGAAGGAAGGAAGTAAATGAAGGAAGGAAGGAAGGAAAGAAGGAACGAAGGAAAACACACACAAAAAAACTCCTGAAAATGAAAAGTTTTATACACAAGACTGCTCTACTGATCCACAGATCCACAAATAAACTTCAGTAAATTGACTTCATAAAACATTTTCCTTAACTGCAGTCATATTAGCAGATATATTTTGTGCTGTTATTAAATATTTTAAATGCTGCAACTTATGAGACTCTAGTAAAATTTGATGTCTATATAGCTGAGACTACAAAGTGAGCCCACTTTTGGACTCAATAGTAAGGTTTGGGGGTTAAATGGTTAATTATCTTACATTTGGATTACAAAACAGCTTCCTTAGTGGTGTCAATAGCTTCATATTAACCCCAATCTGTAGTAGTATTCTAAAATATAAATTGGACTTATTTTCCTTACTTAAAACCTTTCAAGGGCTCCTCATTACTCTAGCAATAAGCTCTAGACTTTTAGCTTTCATTGCATTACTTTCTGCTCCTTCTCATGTTTGAGTTCTGTCAGCATTCTTGGTTGCAACAAACAGAAACTAATGAGACCTAATTTAAGCAAAAATAATGTACTGAAGCAATAGTGTAGCAGCTCCTGAGTGTGTCTCTCTGTATACCCTTGGCACTCACCATTTTGATAGAAGTCGAGAGCATTCTGTTGGGAGCATTTATGACTCTACCTGCAGAATTTTTCTTGACACTTTCGTAGGCAGACTGAACGTTCCAGGGAGCTCATGCTTGAGAGAAGTCCTCAACCAATGATGGATGGAAATTATACAATAAATACCCTAGGTTCTTCATTCCTCAGATGGGACAACTCTGAAGAATAAATCAGAAGGATTGAGCTCTAGGTTCCTCCAGCAGTAACCTGTTTAATCATGTGTAATATATTGGATTTCTTTCTCTATTTTTTTTTAAATTTCTCTCTTCTCCACTCCTTTACTGTTTCCTTCCAGCATCACTTCCTCAATCCTTGTTTCAAGGTCTACTTCTGGGACATCCAACCTTGGGATATAGTGAGTAGCTCTCAGAATCACCTAGAAGGTAGGGGAATTGGGCTTGGAAAAAAATTGCAACAAAGGGAAATGATGAGACAAAACCACAGAATAAATTACCCCATACACGAGTCCAGCAAAGATACCCAGCTACTCTTGCTATACATGACTGGAAGTAGAAAGCCACTGGATGATTTTACACCTGCTATACATAGGCTTACCTACCACCACACTAGAGACCTCAGGCCACCCTGTGGTTACCACTGAAACCATTTGAAAATAATCAGTGACCTGGGAAATTCTTCTCACCGCTGCTACTGCTACCATCAGAACAAGATATTCCAATGTCTTATCTCTTAAATTCTTTGCTCTAAGTTCAAAATCTTTGGTAGAGGCAACTGATTGAGTAAGCATAGATCACATTCCATAGCTCAGTTACAAGAATATGGAAAAATAAGGATGTATACATTTTTTAGCATATATAGTGGGAGGTAGGGTTTGGTTTCTGACTAAGGTTTAGAAAGGAGGGAAATTTCAAAACACAGAAGTGGGTTCAGACACAGAAGAACCTAAAAGGAGACCACCTTCCACCAAATAACATGGAGTTCCTTTAAACCTACTTTGTCATGGCATGCTGACTCAGCATGCATATCTCCCTCTACTTTGAATGTTCCTCTTGGTCTCGAAAACTACTTTTAGAATTCAGGCTCAGATGCTACTTCCTCAAGGCCTTACCTTTGTTTCACAGGAAGGATTGAGTCTTTTAATTCCATGTGCCTTGGGTTCATCCTGGTCATGGCATTTATTGAACAGTATTATAGAAGAAGGTGTGTCTTTCCTATTATCCATAGAGCTTCTTGTAGACAGGATGACTCCCTTGCTTAACCCTTAGTATTTGACACAATACAAATCACATCGTGAGAGCTCAAGAATCTTTACCTAATAAAAAGCCAGTGACCTATTGCAAAAGAGATATTCTACCATTTAAAATTATGATGATCAATGCGCACCAAGTATCCAGGAAACATTTTGGTTGAGGGAAAGTCCGAAGTTACTTTCTTTGTCATGGTAGCTCATGGTAGCAGGACTTTGATCATTTGAAAAGGTCCCGTGTTAACAGCTTACAGGATCTAACCTCATGGTTTTTAAAGATGTATTAAAGACAATTCATTAATCTAATAATTCAACAAGCATGATTAGTTCCAGGCCTGGTGCTGGATATCAAGAATGATGTTGAAGAAAGCACTTTTCTCAAAGGAGAGTTGTGCTGGTGGAGGGCAGGCATTTTTACACCCCCTTGTAGTAGTGTGAATGCATCCCTTACTACATAATGTAAAAAAGTGCTGTAGGGGCACTGAGGAGGGAGAAATCAACTTGTTCTGGGAGAGTTTAGAAAGGCTTCCTGGAGGAAAGGTTTTCAAATTTAAGTTCTGGAGAATTTTACATGGCAGGAACATTAATAGAGGAAGGGTTCATGGAGGGGAGAGGTGAATAGGACAAGGACAGGAGGTGTAAACATTCAGGAGCTACTGGGGGACTGTGTGCTGTCCAGTGTGCTGGAGTCTGGCTGTGGTAGAGATGCCTCGGCAGAGCTGAGGCTAGTGGGGAGGAGAAGTGAGGTTGTATGCAAGCCTTGAATGCCATCCTGAGGAGCTTAGACCTCATCCTTTGTAGGAAATAGGAAGCCACTGGATCATTTAAGGCAGGGAAGTGTAAGGGAGGAAAAATAATTTTCTATTTTTTATGTTTTTTAACTGAGATTCTCCATGACAAAAGACAGATTAACAAGAGAAAAACAAGTTTATCAACCTGTACAGTTCATGAATACAGTTGGTCCTCCATATCCATGGTTTCTGCATCAACCAACCATGGATCAAAAATATTAAAAAAACAAAAACAGTGAAAAACAACACACAGTAAAACATAATACAAATTGAAAAACTACAACAATTTACATAGCATTAAAATTGTATTAGGTATTGTAAGTAATCTAGAGATGATTTAAAGAATGTGGGAGAATGTGTATAAGTTATATGCAAAGGCAACACCGTTTTACAATGCGGGACCTGAGGGCTCACGAATTTTGGTATCGTGGGAGAAGGTGGGGGTGTGGATTGGAACAAATTAGGAGTAAATCTTTAGAGTAGATCTCAAAGAAAGAGCTTAAACTTCAGACTTAAATACCATCATTTTCAGAAACTAAGAAATAAGTATGTGGAAAAAGGTTTGGTTAAGAGGAGGTGGCCAGGAAAATCACTGAAAAACAAAGGTAGAGTTTTGTTATGAAGATTTAAGAGCTGCCTTCCCTGTTGTTTAAGAGTTGTCCTTCTTTTCCTAGTGCAGAAAGGGAGATACTCTTACAAATGGAGAATTCCATTATAGATGTGAATTTCTCTTTAAAAACAGTAATCTTTCAGAGCTACTCCTGTGTCTATAGTTTTTCAAAATAACCAGTTCAAAATAATTCTTACACCAAAGAGGCATATTTTGGGGTGTCATGTTTTGATCTCCTACAGTCATATTTTGGGGTCATGTTTCTTTAGCCTCATTAGGATAGGCTCCTGAAATAATCATTGAAATAATTACTTCATCTCTCTGAGAGACTAAGGCTCTGAGAGATTGGAGTTTCATCTTTCACGAGTCACATGGCCTTCCTTAAGCAAGGTGAGAAACCCATCTGTGTCCTCCTTTTTTCATCTGCAAAATGAGATTAATAGGATTATTTAAGAATTAAATAAAATAAATCAGCCAATTTAAGATAATGCGTGGCAATGCTTAATATTTATCCCCAGCTACTATTACTATTATCATTATTGGTTTATTTTGGATCAGTGTCTCTGGCAGCAACAAGAGCCACGGATTGGAGGGGAAGTAAAGACAAGAGGCGGAACCTAGTGAGGACATAGTGTGACCTGGGGAGTCCCAAGAGAGATGAGTGGACTTTCACTCAAGCCACAGCAGTGAGAATCAAGAAGAAAGAGCTGGAAGTGAGTGTCAGGGAAGGTGAAGGAGCCAAGAGTGACTAAGAGATTTCTGGGTTCTTAGACTAGCATACGACATGCTTCATGTTTTACCCTTGATCTACCTCTCAGTCCTACCTAGTGCAATGCCCTATCGTTTCACATATGCTCTAGAACTGCTGCTCTAATATATACCTAAGAGAAACCATTTTGTTCTAGACCTCTACTCCTTTTCTCAAGAATCTCCTGTGTTTGGAACAGACTTACAACCTCTCTTCCCTAACAGTCTGGGAAAAAGAAACCTTTCCTTTTTCTTATTTCCCAAGGCTGCATTAGGTTTTCCCAGAGCATCTTGTCCTTACTCTGTCAAATACTTGTCTCACCTTTGGGATTGCTTGTTTATTTGCCTGTCTTGCTTTAGAAAATTGCAAGCTCCCCAAGGCCAGAGACCATATCTTATTTAAACTGTATGCCTGGCAACTGGCATGACGCTGCATAATAGGTGCTCAGTAAATGTTTGTTGACCTGAAATTAACTAGCTTAGGCCAGCAGCTATTTGATAAAGTCCAAAACCAGTGGTTCTTAAATGTAGTGAGCTCCTGATAGACTTCTCCAGAGATGACAGGATCAGACACAGGCTGGCAGCTGCGGGCTGTAGGCTAGGTGTATGAATTTTGACGAAAGTTCTTGGGTGGCTCTGAGGCACATGTTGGGTTCACTTGAACTCACTCTTTGTCCCTCTGTATTGTCTGTGAAAGGCCCTATTGTCCTGCCTCTTTCTCAATGAGGCTATGAGCATGAGTAACATAATAACTAGTGGAAATGCTGTATTATTTATGCAACATAAGACTGCGAGTGAAGTTCCTAGCAGTGGAGTTATTAAGCAATGCATTCTTGGCTAATGACTAGCCTGTTGGGGGCCCACTTTCAGAACACCTTTCTCTTCCACATCATTTCCTTTCTGACTTTTTTTTTTTTTTGAAAATCTATGAAACTGCCTTTACAAAATCATGACATTAAGAGAAATCTGACATAGCTCACCCCATCTTGCTTCTACCCTGTAAGCTGTCCTTGTTCATTCCTAGGCATAGATGAAGTTAGGAGGAATTCATAGTTTAACTTTAAAGTAAGGATGACAACACTCCTTCCTCAAACTGCCCTCTCCTCATTCAGGGACCAAAACAACCTTGGTAAAACTAATGAAAGGCCACAAGATTAGGATTATGAGAGGGGCCTGAATTTTGCCAAGATGTAGTCATAGTTAAATAATAACCAGCCATTGTTCAGGAGGTCACAAGATTTGTAAATTCCTCAATTACTTCTATAGATAACATCACTATTGTAGAAACTAAGATTGATTTTTTGACATGTTTTTTCAGGCTTTTATATTTCTGGTGGTCAACTGACCTCATGCAGCCTCAGGAAATAGGAAAAAGGAAAGGTTCCTCAATCAATCCTGCGACCCCCTCCTAGAGGCTGACCCAGCACATAAGGACTGCCTTTCACACCCCTATGATTTCATCTTCATCCAATCAGCAGCACACATTCCCTAGCCACCTGCCCACCAAATTATTAAAAACTCCAGTCTCTGAATTTTCAGGAAGGCACATGGCTAGATTTGTATTAAACAATTCCTTCCTTCCTTCCTTCCTTCCTTCCTTCCTTCCTTCCTTCCTCCCTCCCTCCCTTCCTTCCTTCTTTCCTTCCTTCCTTCCTCTCTTCTTTCCCTCTCACTCCCTCTCTCTTTCTTTCTTCCTTTCTTTCTTTTAAGCCAGGTCTCACTCTCCTGCCCAGGCTGGAGTGCAGCAGCATCATCTTGGCTCACTGCAACCTCCACCTACCAGGCTCAAGTTATCCTCCTACCTCAGCCTCCCAGTTAGCTGAGACTACAGGTGCACACCACTATGCTTGACTAATTTTTAAATTTTCTTGTAGAGATGGGATCTTACTATATTGTCCAGGCTGGTCTCCAGCTTCTGGACTCAAGAGATCCTTCTACCTCGGCCTCCCAAAGTGTTAGGATTACAGGTATGAACCACTGCTCCTGGCCGAAATCCTTTCTTTACTACAATACCACTATCTCAGTGAATCAGTTTTATCTGTGCAGTGGGCAAGAAGAATCTATCAGGTGATTATTAGAGGGCTTCTCTTTTTCCCCCAAGAGGATCATATTTCGGGTTTCAGGATATGACTTTGACATCAAGTTCCCTTGGGGTGAAACCTGTTATTGTAGAAGCCACTTGGAGACATCCCCTTGGAAACTTGCCAAGAACTTCCCAGCATTCAAAGGAGCTGCTCACAGTGTCAGGCAGGGGCAGGGCTTGAGGGGACCAAAAGGGATGGGAGGAAGGCACAATACACCATGTTACTTTTGGAGTTGGGAAGCAGCTCTTTCATCACTGGCCGTGTGATTTCAGGGCAAGCCCCTCTTCTCCATCATGTCCATTTCCTACTCTTTATAATGAAACTAAAATTTCCTCTCCAGGTTGCTAGATACAGTAATATAATTAGAAGATGATTCTAAAGCAAATAGCACTCAGTGAATGCCCCTCCCCAATCCTTTGTCAGATTGGGTACTCCAGAAAGCCAGGACAGAATTAAATGGATGAGAGGTTTGTTGGAGGAAATGCCCATGTAGGATAAGGAGAAATGGAGGCAGATCAGGTGGAGAGGCTTAGAATGTGATGTGGGGGTGACACCTGTAAGGGCAGAGAGGGAAAGAAGAAGAGGGATGAAGAGCCTCAGACCCACAACAGCACTGATAGAGCAGGCAGTTGGGGAAGCCAGGAGCAAAGACGGGCTGCTAGAGGAGTCTTGAATTAGGTGAAAATGGCCTGGCTCTATTGTCCTCACAGTGCTCAGTCATTAGATGGGAGCTGCCTGAGTCTCCTGAGCACCATGGTGGATCCTGAAGGCTCAGCAGCTGGCGGCTGTCTGTGGACTTCCTTCATTCTACTCAGCAGGTTCTCTGTTGAGGGGACATCTGAGCAGGTTACTCTCCTAGCATCACAGCTTCCACACACCCCTCTTTCTTCTTTCATCTTTTTTCTTGTCTATACCTTGAGGATAAAGACTTCTATTACTCACTTTATCAGTCTGCTTGTGCTGCCATGACAAAACAACACAGACTGGGTGGCAAAATTTATTTTCTCATAGTTCTGGGGGCTGGAAGTTCAAGATAAAGGTGCCAGTAGGATTCATTTCTCCTAAGGCCTCTCTTCCTGGCTCGTAGACGGCTTCCTTCTTGCGGTTTGTGTGCATGCAGCTCTTCCTCTTCTTATAAGGACATTAGTTTTAGTGAATTAAGGCTCCACCTTTATGCCCTCATTTATCCTTAATTACATCCTTAAAGTCCCTATCTCCAAATACAGTGACACTGGAAGTTAAAGCTTCAACATATAGTTTTGGGGGAGACATAATTTCGTCTGTAACTTATTCATATACCTCATTCAGTAAATGTTTCTTCCTTTCCTCCCTCCGTTGCTTCTTCAGTCTTCACATTAAAAGCCTGCCATGTCCACCCAGTGTGCTTGGCATGCAGAGACAAAATATACTATTCCTACACTTAGTGAGATGACAATCTGTTGGGAAGGAAGTACTTGGGATTTGCACTCTATGATGATAGGTGCAATGATAAGAGTGAGCCTGGATACTGGATGAACACAAAAGCAAAATCTCTAATCCTGCCTAGGCTTGCTGAAGTGTCCAAAAAACACTTTCTGGAAGAGGTAGTATCCAAGTACATTTTAAAGAATGGGTAGAATTTAGCAAGTGAAGAACATGGAAAGAGCATGCGCAAATACAAGGAACTTTGAGAGATTATAGTCCACTAAAGCAACTACTGCTACTCCAGTGTGCAGGGAGCACAGGAAAAGCCCTGAGGGATATGCTGAGAACCAGGAATGCAGGGGGGTGCAGCTGTTGGTGCCAGTGTTGCTGGTGTTGGTGCTGCTGGTGCAGGTGCTGGTGCTGTTTGTGCTCGTGCTGCTGGAGATGCAGGTGCTGGTGGCGCTGATGCTGCTGGTGCTGTTGGTACTGGTGCTGGCACTGCCTGTGGTTCTTGTTTTGCTAGTGCTGGTGCTGTTGCCACTGGTGCTGGTGCTCCTACTGCTGCTCGTGCTATTAGTGTTGGTGCTGGTGCTGCTGGTACAGATTATGGTGCTGGTGCTGCTGGTGGTACTGGTGCTGGTGTTTGCACTGGTGCTGCTTGTGGTACTGATGCTGGTGCTGGTGCTGCTGCTGCTGGTGTAGGTTCTGCTGCTGGTGCTGCCAGTACTGTTGCTGCTGGTGGTGCTGGTGCCAGTGGTGCTGGTGCTGGTGCAGGTGCTGCTGGTCCTGTTTGTGGTACTGGTCCTGGTGTTGCTGGTGCAGGTGCTGCTGCTGCTGCTGCTGCTATTAGTGCTGCTAGTGATGCAGGTGCTGGTGGTGCTGATGCTGCTGGTAGTGCAGGTACCGGTGCTAATGCTCCTGGTGCAGTTGCTGGTGCTGCTGGTGCTGGTGTTGCTTGTGCTACTGGTGCTGGTGAATGTGCTAGTGCTGGTGCAGGCGCTGGTGCTGCTAGTGCAGTTGCTGGTGCTGGTGCTGGTTCAGGCACTGGTGCTGCTTGTGCAGGTGCTAATGCTGCTGGTGCTGGCGCTGGTGCTACCTGTGTTAGTACTGGTGGTGCTGGTGCAGTCACTGGTACTGCTGGTGCTGCTGCATGTGCTGGCACTGATGGAGTGTATATCATAAGTCTGATGCTCTGCTCAGAGTTTGGATTTACCCTGAATTCTCATTACAGCATCCTTTCCCTCTCCTGCTTTCCTTCCTGTGCTTTGATACATTAACAAACTATTCCCTAATATTTCAGGGTACCTGGACTTAATCTAAGGCTCACAATGCCTTTTCTCATGTTTCCACAAAACCACAGATGCAAATGACACATTCATAGAAAGGCATCTTTCCCTTCCTCTCTGTAAGCAGAACCCGAAGCTCACAGAGATGCATCTGTTCTTATGCTATAAACAGTGGCATGTCACCATCCCCCTGTTATTAGTGTAACTGCTGTGCATGCCGAGTAGATGCCTTTATCTTAGGAGCTGTATGTGAAATGGCCCAGAAACATCATATTAAGACTCAAAAGATGCAATTTAAATTTCCTCTGGCTGTAGAGATGCCACCAACACAGTGATTACATGTGTCAAGCAAGTGCAATGCAGGAGGGTTCCCTGTAATTGTGGATCCCAGGCCATGGACTTCAGATGGAGGTGAAGACCTGGTGAAAGGGGCATGCATTGCTGGGCTGTGCTTGGGTATAGCAGGTACTCGGCGCATACGTGGGAGTTATTAATTTCAGAGATAGAAGGGGCTAAGGGAGCAGTGAGTGGAGGGATTGTTGCTGTTAATGAGAAAGATTAGGCTCAGAAAGCCATTATTGGCGTAAGGTCATGATCACACATCGAGGCAGAGTCAGGACTAGAACTCAGAACGTCTAAATGCAAATCCAAACCCACTCATTTGTTCACAAAATATATTTTGAATGCCTACTAAGTTGTAGGTTCTATGCAAAGTAATCCACATACATGGGGAATAAGAAAAGTATTTTTCTCTAAGAGTTTACTGTCTGGCTACATCTTAGAGGCATCCTGGTACTTCAACAGACACCAAAGCCTGGCCCTGGTTCCAGAGTTTCTGATTTAATAGGCCTTTGAAGGGGCCCAGGTATTGATGTTTTCCAAAGCTTTCCAGGATGAAGAATTTTCAGTTGAATGCTGCACCGTCCAACAGGTGGTTGTTGCAATGTGGCTAGTTCATAGTGCCATGTGCTATTGAGAGGTGAAGCCAGCTGGACTTCTGGGTTGGGTGGGGACTTGAAGAACTTTTCTGTCTTACAAGTGGTTTGTAAAATGCACCAATCAGTGCTCTGTAAAAATGCACTAATCAGTGCCCTATGGCTAGCTAGAGGTTTGTAAAATGGACCAATCAGCACTCTGTAAAATGGACCAATCAGCACTCAGTAACAGTACTTGAAAGTAAGCCTCTTCCCCCAGGGACCAGTGCCCAGCTAGCAGAACTACTGGCACTTATCCAAGCCTTAGAACTGGGAAAGGGAAAAAGAATAAATGTGCATACAGATAGCAAGTATGCTTATCTAATCCTACATGCCCATGCTGCAATATGGAAAGAAAGGGAGTTCCTAACCTCTGGGAGAACCCACATTAAATACCAGAAGGAAATTATGGAGTTATTGTACACAGTGTAAAAATTCAAGGAGTTGGCAGTCTTACACTGCCAAAGCCATCAAAAAGGTGAAGGAGAAAAAGCAGAAGGAAACCATCAGGCAGACACTGAGGCCAAAATTGCTGCCATGTTGAACCTCCCATTAGAAATATATATGGAAGGGCCTTTGGTATGGAATAACCCTTTCCAAGAGATTAAGCCCCAGTATTCCCTGACTGAAACAGAATGGGGACTTTTGCGGGGGCATAGTTTTCTCCCCTCAGGGTAGTTAACAACAGAAGAGGGAAAGGTACTCATACCTGAAGCTAGCCAGTGGAAAATACTTAAGACCCTCCACCAAACTTTTCATATGGGTTTTGAGAACACTCATCAAATGGCTAAATCCCTGTTTACAGGGCCAAATCTCCTCTGGACCATCCGACAAGTAGTCAAATCCTGTGAGATGTTCCAAAGGAATAATCCCTTGGTCCATCGTGAGGCCCCTCTGGGGGAACAAAGAATAGGTCACTATCCTGGAGAGGACTGGCAGTTAGACTTCACCATATGCCTAAGTCAAAGGGATTTCAATACTTGTTGGCCTGTGTTGACACCTTCACAAATTGGATAGAAGCCTTTCCCTACAAGACAGAGAAGGCTTGGTAAGTGGTTAAAGTCCTAATTCCTAGATTTGGGCTTCCCCAAAGCTTACAAAGTGACAATGGTCCAGCTTTTAAGGCCACAATAACTCAGGGAATTTCTAGGGCGCTAGGGATACAATGTCACCTTCACTGCACCTGGAGGCCACAATCCTCAGGGAAGGCCAAGAAGACAAAACACTCAAGAGGCACTTAAGGAAACTAACAAAAGAAACTCATCTCCCATAGCCTACTCTCACCCATGGCCTTGTTAAGAATCCGAAATTCTCCTAAAAAAATGGGGCTTAATCCATATGAAATGCTGTATGGATGACCTTTGCTCACAAATGACCTCCTATTTGATCAGGAAACAGCCAACTTGGTCAAGGATATAACTTAGTATGGGAAAATGAAAACAACAAACTCACACACCTTTTTAGCATACACAGCCAGTTTTGTCTACCCAGCCAAGGCATATTCTTCTTATGTGGAACTTCAACCTCTGCCTCCCCACCAACTGGACTGGCACCTGCACCTTAGTCTTCCTAAGTTCCAACACTGACATTGCCCCAGGAAATCGGACCCTATTAGTGCCCCTCAAGGCTCAAGTTCGTCAGCGCAGGGCCATACAACTAATACTCCTACTTATAGGGTTACAAAAGACCACTGCTACAGGAACAGGAATAGCCAGTTTATCTACTTCATTATCCTACTACCACACACTCTCAAGGTATTTCTCAGACAGTTTGCAAGAAATAACAAAATCTATCCTTACTCTACAATCCCAAATAGACTCTTTGGCAGCAGTGACTCTCCAAAACCGCCGAGGCCTAGACCTCCTCACTGCTGAGAAAGGAGGACTTTGCGCCTTCTTAGGGGAAGAGTGTTGCTTTTACACTAATCAGTCAGGGATAGTACGAGATGCCGTCTGGCATTTACAGGAAAAGGCTTCTGAAATCAGACAATGCCTTTCAAACTCTTATACCAATGTCTGGAGTTTGGTGACATGGGTTCTCCCCTTTCTAGGTCCCATGACAGCCATCTTGCTATTACTCACCTTTGGGCCCTGTATTTTTTTTTTTTTTTTGCAGCACAAGATTTATTAAAGCAAAAGTGAAAGTAAAACAAAAGTGAAAGTGGAGCCTCCACAAGGGTGGAAGGGGACCCAGAAGTGTTGCCGTTTTTTGGCTTGGATGTCTTATGCTTATACTCAAGAGGCACTTAAGGAAACTAACAAAAGAAACTCATCTCCCATGGCCTACTCTCTTGCCCATGGCCTTGTTGGGAATCCGAAATCCTCCTAACAAAATGGGGTTCAGTCCATATGAAATGCTGTAGGGACGACATTTGCTCACAAATGACCTCCTACTTGATCAGGAAAGAGCCAACTTGGTCAAGGATATAACTTAGTATGGGAAAATGAAAACAACAAACTCACACACTTTTTTAACATACACAACCAGTTTTGTCTACCCCTTATGACCCCTCCTCTTTTCCTTTTTCTGTCCTATAGAACTAGCTTATTTTCAATCTGCTTGTGGGTTGGTGGGCCTGATTGGTTAAAAACATCAGGCTGCAGCTAGAGCTTAAATTCCCTACATGATTGATTGAAGTCTCAATCCCTTAGCTTGCAGCTATGACTTATCTTGGCTTAGGGAAAGTCCCCTTGGATTGGTTGAAGTTTCAATCCCTTAGCTTGCAGCTACAATTTATTTTGGCTTAGGGGAAAGTCCCCTTAGGGAAGTCCCTATTGACCCTGGAAGTCCAGCCAACTTAGCCACTTAGTCCCTTAGTCCCCTCCTCAACAGGAAAGCTCAAGTGCTGTTGGGAAGTTGGGCGATGATCATTCTAGCTACTTCCTGCTGAATTAGGGCATAGAAGGGGCTCTGCAGTTGAGGTTTCCTCGAGAGGGGAGTCTTCAGTGTCATGGTGTGAGAACAGGTTGGCGGGTCAGTCTAGGGGTCCTTGATAGTAGGTGCTAGTGGTGGTCATTTTGGGCTCCATTTGTAGAACCATTTGCATGGATTCTATTCTGGAAGAGATAAATTTTACAAGGAGGTTAAAAATGCAGGGTCCATACATAAGCAACATCACAATAGCCACCATGGGTCCCAAGAATGGGAGAAGCCAGGGCATCCACTGGTTGACAATACTCCAAGGTCCTGTGTCATGGAGATCTTGTGCCTGGCACTGTATCTGGTCTCAAAGCTCTTTAACCTTCTGGATGACAATTCCGGATTGATTAACAAAATAGCAGCACTCTTCTCCTAGAAAAAGACAGGTTCCACATCTTTTGGCTGTTAATAAATCTAAGGCTCTCCGATTTTGAAGGGCTGCTGCTGCTAATGAGTTAAGCTGGCTTTATAAGGTGACCAGCAAACCTGCGACTCATTCTATGTCATCATTTAACTCTTGTGATAATTTGTAATAAAATTGGGTGGAGGTGGTAATGCCTCCAATGCCGGTCCATAGTCCTCCTAATATCCCAGCCCTGATAATGAATGGCAGGACAGTCCAGGTAAGCTGAGAAGCTGGGTTTGACAGATCTTTAAAGGCAAATAGAAATTGAGAGTCAGGATGCAGACAGATACAGAAGGAAGTGTCCTTAAGATCTAGGACTGTAAACCATTCTGCTTCCTCTGGTATCTGGGAGAGTAGAGTATAAGGATTAGGTACAACCGGATACAGAGGAAAAACTGCCTCATTGATAATTCTGAGGTCTTGCACTAACCTCCATTGTGCGTTGGGTTTTTGTATGTCTAGAATAGGAGTGTTGCATGGACTGCTGCATGGCTTTAGTAACCCCTGTGCTTTTAGGTCTTTGATGATCTTTTGTAACCCTTGTTGGGCTTCTGGTCTGAGGGGTACTGCGTTTGATAAGGAAAGGAGGTAGGATCCTTTAATTTAACTTGAACTGGACAAGCATTTTTTGCTCATCCATATTGTCCTTCCTCTGCCTAGATGTCAGGATTAACTCCCTCCTCGAGCAGAGGGCAGCAAACAGGTATTCCTTCTCCTGCATGCAATTATATAATGGCCCCTGCTTTAGCTAATATGTCCCTCTCTAGTAAAGGAGGAGGGCTCTGAAGCATAATAAGAAAGGCAAGTGAGAAAAATAAGGTTCCCCAGCCACAACTTAGGGGGTGGGAGAAATACCTAGTGACTGGCTGTCCTAGGACCACTTTGATGGTGACAGACCTGGAGGACAGTTTTCCAGGACAGAAGAGTAAAACTGAGAAGGCCACACCAGTGTCCAAGAGGAAGTTAGTTTCCTGGCCCTCAATGGTTAAGCTTATCCAGGGCTCTGTGAGGGTGATGGCATGGGCTGGCGCCTGCCCTGGACACCCTTAGTCCTGTTGTTGGACCATCTGGTTAGTGGCCTCTGGCCCAGAGGACCTTTGCCCTCGGGGGCAGTGTGCCTTCTAGTGATCACTCTGGCACAAGGGACATGGACGAGGAGACAGCTTATTGTTGTTTGGGCAGTCCTTTCTGAAACGCCCCTGTAAGCCACACTGATAACAAGCCCCGTTAGGCGGGTTGCCTGCCCAGCCTTTCTTTCTTTCAGTGCCACCGAAGTTCATCTGCCTGAGGGCCATGACTATGGTGGCAGCCTTTTTCTTGTCTCATCTGTCTCGTTCAGCCTGCTCCTCCTGATCCCTATTATAAAATGCCAAAGTTGCCAAATTCAATAGAGTTTCCAAGTTTTGCTCGGGGCCCAGGGCAGACATTTGAAGTTTTTTTTCTAATGTCTGCAGCTGACTGAGTGATAAACTTATCCTTTAAAATTAGTTTTCTTCCTTCTCCTGCGTTATGGTGGACATCATTGAGAAATTCATTGGCTTTTTTCTGGTCTTTCTTAATCCCTCTAGTATACAAGTCAGTAAATGCCTGCAATTCTAGTCTCCATGCTCTGAATCGAGGTCGCAATGGGGATCCACACTGGGAACTGCCTGTTGGCCTGTGGGGAATAGTTCCCTTTCTTCTGATGTCATTTTATCATTTATCTGGCTTAGGTACCAGAGATCCCCAAACTGCCTGGCCGCAGCTAAGGCAGCCTCTTTTTTGTTGGGAGTTAACGTTTGACCTAACAACAACATAATATCTCTCCCTGCTAAATCAAAAGATTGTCCTAACCCCTATAAGAGGTCTATGTATCCATCAGGATTATCTGAGAATTTTCCTAGGTCCAGTTTGATCTGTTTTAAGTCTGAGAGGGAAAAGGGGACATGTACTCACGCTGGGCCAAAGTCTCCTCCTCCTCCCACAGCTTGGAGGGGACACAATTGAGGGCCATTGGCACCTTTGGTTCCTTGACTATCTTTTTGTCTGGTTCCTTTTCAGGCCGTTAGGGCCAAAGGAGAGTCCTTACTAGTGGGAGGGGGAGCAGTGGGGGGACCTGGGTGTGGGGGTAGGCTTTAAGGATCCCTGGTAAGATGTAAATCAAATTGGTCCCAAATTATCCAGAATACACCTCAGAGGTGGCTTCACTTTTGAGGGAACATCTCCCATCTGAAGGGAGGGCATAGGAGTGCCCACGCTCCTAGTCATGCCCTAGTGAGCACTAGTCCTAGAGTGTCCCCTACAGTTCTAATGTCCTTTTCTTTCCAGGGTGCACAATCACCCATGGAACCCTGCTTATCAGATTTATTTGCACTTACTGATGTAGCAATTTTGCCCACACTCATTTCCTGCCCTTTTTTAGCTGCAAAAAAGGGGGCTGGGGCTGCTGGATTTTAGTGGCTCCTTACCAGTGTGCCCACAATTGTCTTTGCATCTGCAAGTGGGTCTTAGGTTCAGGGTGTATTTTGAGTTTAGAGACCAGTCACCAATTAGCATATTTCCAGGCTTGGAGCTGTCCCAGCAAGATAAATTCCTTGAAAATGGCACTGAAGCACAACAGTTTTAGGGTAGGCAGTGGCAAATTGGAGGACCATGGTTGGCGCAGTGCTTTTTGTACCTGAATTTTCTGTTCCCTATTTGCCCTCCTAAGAATATTCATTGACCTTTGGTCTTGAATAGGGGGACCTATTATCTATTATATTGTTTTTGGCCCATAGTCTGACTGCTTCGAGTGGAGAAGTTCTACAGTTCTAATTGCTGATCCCAAACAGGAAAGGTGGTAATTAAAGTGGCCTCTATAATCTGGAGTAAGTTTAGGGCAACAAAAGGAAAAATGTCCTAGGACTTCTGTCAGCCACTCACATGCCTTTTGATGTCCCGGATAGTGCCTAGGGTACAGGTTATGAGGGACAGGTCTCATATAAGTATATTGATACATATTTGCATAAGAATAAGCCTGGGGGCACCATGGGCAAGGGTCTTTGGATTGCCACTCCACTCGACTTAGGCTTCTAGCCAAAAGATTCTTAGACTCAGGGGTAGGAAAGATCCTAGAAGAGAGGGCCTAAAGTATTCTCTGAGGACATTAGGACCCAGGAGGCATGGGTCAGAAAAGGCAGGGAATGCATGCATGGGCGGCTGCAGACTAGAGGCTTCTTGCTGTGCCATGATCTTGACTGGGTCAGTGCCAGGAGTTTGGGGGACAGTTTTCCACCTCCAGCCAGCCCTCAGCTTTTCCCAGGAAAGGTAGAGAAAGGTGGAACTGGTTTCAGGCAAACCAATGCTCCCAGCCTGGAGGGCCAGGGGTTGTTAGAGAGCCCTTTCCCAGAAAGCCTCACACCTGTGTCTTAAGTCCGGTGGCAGTGCTTGTTGCTTTTAAATGGCCGATGGGTGCCTGGTGTTTTCCTCCAAGTTCTAGTGAGAAGATAGAACAGAATAGCAAGTGAAAAGGGTTCAATGTTACTGTCTGTTTTGGAGAAATCCCAGGTGGGCCCCCAGAAATGAGACAAGAGGTAATGTCCCGATCAAAGGTCTTTTCTCGATTGAAGGGCTGGTGGTCTCACGGGCTTCAAGGAATGAAGCCATGGACTGCAGCGGTGAGTGTTACGGCTCAATTAGAGAAACACACAGACCCAAAGAGTGTGTGGTGGCAAGATTTATTAAAGTGAAAGTGAAAGTAAAACAAAAGCAAAAGTAAAGCTTCCATGCAGTGGAAGTGGACCTGGAAGGGTTGTCCCAGGCCCTGTATTTTTAACCTCCTTGTCAAATTTGTTTCCTCCAGGATCGAGGCCATCAAGCTACAGATGGCCTTACAAATGGAACCCCAAATGAGCTCAACTAACAACTTCTACCAAGGCCCCTGGATTGACCCACTGTCCCTTTGACTGGCCTAGAGAGTTCTCCTCTGGAGGACACTACAACTGCAGGGCCCCTTCTTTGCCCCTATCCAGCAGGAAGTAGCTAGATTAGTCCTCACCCCATTCCCAACAGCAGTTGGGGTGTCCTGTCTAGAGGGTGGATTGAGAGGTGAAGCCAGCTGGACTTCTGGGTTGGATGGGGACTTGAAGAACTTTTCCGTCTTACAAGAGGTTTGTAAAATGCACCAATCAGAGCTCTGTAAAAAAGCACCTATCAGCACTCTGTGGCTAGCTAGAGGTTTGCAAAATGTGCCAATCAATGCTCTGTAAAAATGCACCAATCAGCACACTGTAAAATGGACCAATCAGCAGGACATGGGTGGGGACAAGTAAGGGAATAAAAGCTGGCCACCCCAGACAGCAACGGCAACCTGCTTGGGTCCCCTTCCACACTGTGGAAGCTTTGTTCTTTCACTTATCACAATAAATCTTGCTGCTGCTCACTCTTTGTGTCTGTGCCACCTTTAAGAGCTGTAACATTCACTGCAAAGGTCTGTGGCTTCATTCTTGAAGTCAATGAGACCATGAACCCACCAGAAGAAACCAACTCTGGACACACTATGAGACTTGAAATGAGCAGAAGAGTTTAAAATATCTCACCTTTTTTAAAAACTTCAAAAAAGTGGCTACTAGAAAATTAATGATACATATGTAGCTTACATAATTCTATTGAACAGTGCTGGTGTAGAGGAAGATAAAGAGACATTGACATCTTTTTTCAGTGACTGTACAATATCTCTCTATGATTCACTTACACATACACAGAGCCTACATACAAGGACACAAAGTGGCACAAAGAGGGTGACCCCAGATCATACCCCAGGCAATATAGTGGAGGTGGAAAATAACCTTTGCCCTGGAGATACACTGCCTAGGTTCCAATACCAACTGCAATGATTATTTTTTGGATGGCCTTAAGTATACTAACTCTCTGTACCTCATTTTCCTATCTATAGAATGGTAAGAAAGAGGCTATTTAATTTTCCATTGAGACAATGTTCGATATCATTATTCTCCCCTCCATTGAGATTTAGCTCTGTGACCACCTTCCATTGAACCCAAACGTTTCATTTATGAAACACATAATTGCTCCCAACTGATGCAATCCACAAGCATCAATTTAATTCCATTTCATGGTCTGTTATCATAACTCATAAAATATAATCTCTTTCCCTACTGACTTCCTTTCCGTTAAGTCTTAGGGAAAAGAGAAGTCAGATGAAAATGAGATGAGTTGCTGGCCAGGAAAAGTAGAGATGAAGTTTCTGATTCTCTTCTCCCAAACTCTTAATTTAAATGATATTTTGAGTTGGGAGAATTCCAAGCGGAAGCCAAGACAAAGTATGAAGGCAGTTTGTTTTCTAAAGTTTCATTGAGACCCAAAAGTTCATTTTTGGTAGTAGGAGTATCTGGTTGAAGACTGAACACTAGGCTGAATAGACCGATCATGGTCCAACTTGTGGTGGCATTTCTTTCATTGTCAGGCTGATGGGCTCAGGGTAGAAAGGGTCTGGTTCCTTCAAAAGCCCACACTGCCTGCTTTGCTCTATGCTACAGGAGAAAGAATGCTCCTGAGTCTTGACACCAACCCTGTTCTTCCAAGGCTGCCAATTTTCTTAGAAAATCAAAGCTCTATCCACCCCCCAACAACAACAACAACAAATAAGGAAAGTAGTAGGAATGAGAAAAAGTTATAATCTCATCAGAATCTTCCTGCAGAAGTTCTTGACCTGCAGCTTGTCTGGGATGAAGAAGGTCAGCCAGAGACCTGGAGAATGAGCTTGGAGAGAGGAATTCTCTTGGGGTGGTTTCAGCAAGAAGAGAGTACACTCTATATAGTGAATATGTTCGGACAAATCCAGATCCACTCCCTGACACCAGAGACTAAGTAATCCACCTTGGAGACTAAAGAGACTGTTAAGAAAAATCCCATCATCACTGTTAGCAACTGTGCAGCAGTTAGAAGAATCTGGAAGAGTCTGGAAGAGATGAGCCTGGCACTAAATATATGACCATAGGCAAGTCACTGGTTTCTCTGGGCTTACCTTTGCCTTAGTTTAAAGAAATATTAAGAAGTTTAGATAAGAAAATCTGCATAAAATTATCCTATTAAACGCTATGATGAGTGCTGCAAAGAGAATAAAAGGCCTTGGTGATTCTGAGCAAGCAGAAATTAATGTGATGCGGAGTCACTGGAGATTCTGGGGAATGAGCTGGGTTAAACACAATAGATTTACTGGATATTTGCTAATTTTTAAATTTGTATCTTTTTATTACAATAATAATACATACTTATAAAAACAGAGGGGAAAACAAAAAAAGAATTTCTAATCTTCCCACTTAAAAGTAGTACTTGTTAACATTTTTGAAAATTCTATACCCTATATGACTTAGTTTGGTGAAATAGAAGAGAAAATTTAGTTTTTTAATATTATTTAAACACAGATGTTTGGCTTGGGCAAGGAGGATATTTGGGTCTTGGATGGGAAATTTGGGTGAAGATATGGTTGGAGACAAGTCATATGGATTTTGCAAAAAAGGCACCAGTAGTTTTCCCTTCTTGCTTTCTTTTTTGGAGGAAATCCATAAACTCTCAACTTCTCTGTCTCCCTTTCCTGCTTTCTGACCTTCTGATTTTATGAATTTCATAAACACATTGACATGATATGCTGTGGAAAATGTGCTCTCTTACTTGGTAAAGAGAACAGAGAGCTCGAGGGCCCTTCTGTCCCTGGTGGAGTTGTGGCACTAGAGAGTGTTGTTTGCTGTTAAATGAATTGCATGTCTGTGCTGGATTCCTGCGCCGGCTGCCTGCTGAGTTGTTAATGACAGGAAAATATTGGAGCCTTCAGATATGAACCCTGCTATACTTGTAAACTTCCATGTTGCCTTTTCTGGCTCCTGGCTTTCTGGGATCTGGGCATCCTCCAGCCCCTCATACATTTTCTATAATGGGCATTGTCATACATGATATGTGGCTAGAAATCTGTAGATTTAGATAGCTTTCTGATTCCAAATAATGAGGTCAGGTAATGGGACAGGGGAGAGAAAGATGAGTGGAGTGTATATTTGTGGCAGGTATGGGGAGAAAGAGAGAGAACAGAGAGTCAGTGAGATAAGATGATGAGTGAGCAGCAAAGTATGAAAGGTAGAGAAAGAAAGGGAAGCGTGGGAGAGGAAAAACACAGAAAGAAAATCAGAGACATAAAGAATGGACAGAGAAGAGAGAAGGAAAGAAGGAAGACAGGAGAGGAGCTTGAGAGGCAAAGAGACACAGTGAGGACAAAGAAGATAGAGACAGTCGTTACCACTTAATGAGTAATACTGGATTAGATGAAATATTCACAAAATGAAATCGGAGCTATAGACCAGTTCGGATGCCACTTCCCTGACCCCTTCTGTCTTCTGACTCAAAAGTGAATGCTTTGGAGATACACACCCTCTGTTGTCATCACATGGAAAGAGTTGATGGATGGCACCAGGAGAGGAAGCTTGTTTCTTTGATGGCATTTCGTTCCATTAAAAGCATTCTACTGATCTACTTGGATTATTCCTGAGTTTCTGCAAGACTGAGGAACTTTCCAGAAGGCTCTCAGCACCTTCGAGATGATCCAGATGGCTTCTCCCTCCTCTGAACTATTACTTTTGGTCAGTCTCCAAGCATTTCCTGAACCAGGGTCTTCCTTTCTTCCAGGAGACGGCTGGAAACATCCTCCTTGAGGGTAGCGGCCACCCTGTATACATCTCTTCAGAGCCCAGCGCTGGTAGGTAACAGAAACTCACAAAGTCCAAGAGACCACCATTTGACATTTGACCTGCCCAGTGCCAACAAAAATGTTATGGGAATTCTCGTCATCTCCCTGAGCCTCTGCTTCTCATCTGTGTGCAGGTACTAATACCTAACTTGCTGATAGTACCACCTGCAAAGAGCTGTTAGAGGCCATGAGAGAGTGCTCTCCCAGGGCTTGTTATAGCATGAAGGATTTCATGCTTTCCTCTTCACTTCCTCCCACCTCCATCTCTCCCTTGCCTCTCATCAACATGGGATGAAACTGATGCCACCTGTTGCCACTAGACCTTGCCTCCTGGGGAGTGATTTCAATCCTGGTGATTGGAAGGTAGAGTCCTTTACTGCTCCCCCATAGTAGTTTGCCTTTGGGGAAATTGTGTGGATGTGCTGCTGTCCACACATCCCCTGACCTCTCAATCAACTTGCCTGGGGAACTTTTTGTTTTCGTACTGGACAAGTTATGTATGGGCTAAATTTATCCCTGCTTTTGCCTGGTTTCTAGAAGTATGATATTTCCTTAGCTCCAGAGGAGCAGAGAGGTCAATCCTTTTACTATAAAAATAACTTGAGCTGTCAATTTCCCATTATAATGATGACTTAAATGGCCTCCTTACCTTCTGACTTCCTTATTTAGTCTTTGGATCTGAGTGTCCTCATTTAAAACGGGGATAATAGCATTTACTTTCATGGGGCTATTTGAAGATCAAGTGAGGGCTTTTTAAACTGTTAAACCTATTCAAATGTTAAATATTATTGTGACAGCCTGTGCACAGTTTATTTTAGTCTGAAAGATCTGGAAATATAGAAAACATCTCCATCTTTCTGCTGTTGAGTTCCCAGTGCCCCTGCAAAATGCCAGGTAATCAGTTAATGTTTTCTTAACAAATAACTGACCTCAGATCATCAGAGGTTTTTCATCTTTCATCTTTGCTGCCTCATACTCATTTTTTAAATCTTTTTTTCTTTTAATTAAAGCCTGTGACTGTCAATATCTGTGACTCTATCCCTCGACCCATAATTCCCAGCCTCCATCCTAGCTTCTGGGATAGAGTTCCATGGATAATTCAGCAATTGCAGGAAAATTTGGGCCCCCAACAGTGAACAACAGAACTCAAAAGATGCAAATACGAGGATAATGGACCACTGGAGGCTGATCCAACACAAAATACACATTACCCTGTGCTACGTTCAGGAATAGGAGGGTTCCTGTCTAGTTGCAGAAAAAGGATAAGAGGTCATATCAAAACAGCACAGTCATCTGAAAATGGAACTTATGTCTACAAAAGTTACAGGTATGACAAGCCAAGGATGGCTGGATGTAGCTTGACCTTTCCAGCATAACTCACTGTTGGTCACATCTTACTAACAGAAGCTGTATACGCTTCCAATGACACATCATTCATTTCACCTAATCAGGGTATATGTTATACATATAGAAGGCCAGCACAATCCTGGCTGTCTCTATAGGTGTTCAGTAGAGTTGACTGATTAAATGGTTATATGCAAGAGATTTCGTATACCCATTCCCTGTATCGCTTTTTCTCTCTAGACCTTAATACTCTCTAAATTGCCATCCATTTTTCCTATTTGTCTTGTTTATTGCATGTTTCCCCCAAGATTTGTAAGCTCCATGAAAGTAGAAATGTTTATCTTCTTGTTTGTTTCTTTTCTCTGATATATACCCAGGTTTAGAACAGTCCCTGGCACATATTAATATGCACTAATTATTGTTTTTTATGTTTAGTTAAGCAACTAGTTTTCTACATAAGTGGTGCTTACTCCTTTATATAAAACAAAATTAAACAAAAACATTTAGATACTTTTTAATGTAAATACCTTAGAAAATATTACATGGTTCCCTACCTTCTCAAACAGAGCTTAAATAATAATAGATAACATGTTTAACACATTTTGCTTAGTAAAAAGTGTTTTATTGAAGTCACTCATTAATCTTCTTAATAACCTTTTTCTAGAAATGAGGGAAATAAAGCAAAGAAAGGCTAAGAGGTTTGCCCAGAGTCCCCCAGTGATTAAATTACAAACCCAGCATTTGTGTCCAGACAACCTGGTCTCAGAGCCTGAGGGCTTAACCATCACACTATACTATGTCTGAACATGAGTTAGGTTGTTCTCAAAGAGTCAATGCTTCCATTATGAAGGCAAAATCTCCTATCCCAGTGATCTCCCAAGAGATCTTGAGATGAGAGAAGCTTTTTGCCACACAGACCACAGAGTAGTGTAGTTTTCTAATTGACATTTCTTCTCCTTCATTGTCAACGTTTGTTAATTGATGTTGTGAGGACTTTCTTGAGAAGTCCTGTGGCAATGATACATCTGGTCTGCTGTATCCAACAGGAAACCACATCAAGAAGACTTTGTTTTGGTGCCCCAAGAGGATTAACCTACTAAATCCTACTAGCAAGTTTCTGGAGAACTCTATAAATTGTAGCAAATCAATAACCTCTGAAGTGTAACCTCTACTTGGACTGCAGCCATTGAGAAGATGTTCTCTATACCTTCAAGGACAGAGGTATCTTGGTGTCAGGAGGCAAGTTACTCCTTCAAGCACTGATGTCTATGTTGCTTGTGATTCTCTGTCCTACAGCTTTGATTGTATAATATATGCTGGGTTAATTTTAAGTGTGTGTGTGTGTGTGTGTGTGTGTGTGTGTGTGTGTGTCTTAATGATTTTTGTTCTTCTATTCTCTTTGCATTCCAAAAAAGCAGTGATATGTAAAAGCAAATCGGTGTGACACATGAATCTTATTTATAAAGCACAAGGCCCTGCCCTCACCTTGGTGAACCAGAAAAGAATTTTCATCTTGAAGGTGTGTCAGGTCCTAAGAATTCCATAAGTATGAGTTGTTCTGGACTAAGGCAATAATGTAGATATTGAAGCGCTCAATATGGTTTCTTGACATGAATTAAAGATATTAACGTGCATGAGCTTTGTGATGGCTAAAAATGATTTGCCCTTACATCTGAGTTTGTGATTAGGGATGGTAGATGTTAGTAGAGACCTACTTCTATATAGATTATGTAAGTTTATTTGAACCAGTTTACTGTCCTGACATTATGAAGTTCATTCTCCAGCCAGTAAGTAAAAACAAAACAAAACAAAACAAAACACATAAAATTGAGGTCAAAACAAATTTATGGCCACTTATTTCTTTCCTAAATACAGTTTTTCCCTCTTAAGACATAAATATTAACAAGTGTGGGAAGAAATTCAATGATCATTAATATTTTCATTTGATGGAATCAAAGATCCATCCTGTAGATAACAGTTTCACCACGAATTTTGCATTAGGCATAGTACCAAGAGCTTTACTGAATTAACTCATTTAATCCTCACAATATGAATTTAAAGCATGCATGGAACAAATGTGGACAAGTCTTTAGGAAAACTTCTCCCTTACTCTGTATCAGAGGAGCCAAACTTGGAGAAACCTGTAATTGTTGCCTCTGGCTAGGAATCTATCTCCTGATTTCTACTTTCAAACCTCCCATTCATCAAATACTGCCTCCCCCATGATTTTCCTACAACATGCAATTTAATTTTCCTCATTTAAAATACATCCCCAAAGCCATCTCGTTTTGTTCTCCTCTGTCATTGATCCTATTCTGTCAGACAGTGTGGTTCTCTGAGGATGTGTGATGTGCTCTTAGCAAGGACTTTGGAATCACGAGACATTGGTTTGATGTTTCTGAGGCTCACTGAGTAAGTGGTACAAAAAGCAGCATTACTTACCTCTGGGGTCTTATGAGACCTAATCAGAAAGCCTAGAGATAATACTTTGTTGACTGGGAACATGGTTTAAAAAAAAAAAACGTATTACTGAACACATTGAAGCAAGTGCTGAGCTGAGTTCATTTTTTGTGTGTTCTAGGAAACCTTAAAAGATGCCTGGGAACTAGCCGTCTTGCTCAATGTATGTCAAATAAATATTTTTAGGATAGAACCAGATACCTTCTTAATAGATAAACAGCTCTGAAACATCTCAAGAGCTTGTTCCCCAAGACTCAGAGGCAGGATAGGCAGATCCTTAGCAGGTGCTGGGTTCTTTGAAGCAAATGAGGCACCACATTTTCCTTTGATGGCTGGGAGGACACAAGACAGAGGGAGATGCTTTCTTCAGCAAAGGAGAAAGTACTCTTTTTAAGAGGCTTCCTTAATGTGGCAAAATCCTTCATCATGAGGCCAGAAGACTCAATGTCAGGCATGTGAGAGGCATGCTCTATATGGGGTAGAAGGACAACATTTGGCCAAATTTGATTCTCAAATGCAGGCATGTTTGGTGCCTCTGCACCTCTGGAAGGAAGGCTGTGTTTGTGCAGTGATGGACTAATTTCCATGGCAACAGAGTGTCTGGTGTCAGAAGAATAGAAATGAAAGCTCCATGTGCCAACACTATATTTATGTGATGTTTATCTCATTGATTCTTACAACGCAAAGAGGGCTTGATCTCTCAGCAAGCGTGCTTTTGTCCAAATGATGCCAATGCAGAAATCATGCCATTTCTATCAATATTTCACATCTAAAGGTTGGGTGTACTATTTTTGTCTTGTGAAGTTTTGATAGTCTCAATGGAGCCTTTAGGCTCCTTTCTACAGGTTTTGTTAGAGCTTCATGGGGTGGCACCAGGAATGGTGAAGGAGGCAGCTAGGGTCTGGGTTTTGGTTTCCTAAGAATGCAGCAATGTCACTGAGCAGCCACTTTCTGCAGGATGAGGAGAGTGAAAAAATGCACTCAAAGGACTGAATGGACCCTTAACTCCTAAGGGCCAACCAGACAGAATGTGAATGAGCAGAGAGGCTGGTCTGATCTATTGTAAGCACTCTGCTCCCTCTTGCTACAAGTGTCTTCTTGAAATTGATACCCTCCCCTCCACCCCTAAGAAAAGCTCACCTCTCAGCCTTGAGTCCCAATCTTTAATGCCTTCCAAGACTTTTCTCTCTCTCTCTTTCTCTTTTTTTTTCTTTTTTCTACTATGATCTGTGCCCTGAATACCTCAAACCAAAGACTTCACTCTTGGCTTCTTTCCTGACCCCAGGCTTCTCCACAAACCACAGAGTCCTATAGTGTTGCTTCATAGGCCCTTACCCTTTCTAACTCATTCCTGTCTTCCCAAACCATAGGCCTGACACATCATGGGAAACCCAACCACCCCTACCTTGTTCTTTACCCCAGATACTGGGTGTCAAGCAGTCTTTCCAAAAGGAAGGTACTTTTTATCCTGTTGGTTGGCAAGCTGCCCACAGAGAGAATGTAGATGAGCACTTTTAAAAGTGAATGAGGTCGGGCGTGGTGGCTCATGACTGTAATCCCAGCACTATGGGAGGCCGAGGCAGGCAGATCATGAGGTCAGGAGTTCGAGACCAGCCTGGCCAGCATGGTGAAACCCTATCTCTACTAAAAATACAAAAAAATTAGCCAGGCATGGTGCCATGTGCCTGTAGTCCCCACTACTCAGTAGGCTGAGGCAGGAGAATTGCTTGAACCTGGCAGGTGGAGTTTGCAGTGAGTCGAGATCGCAACACTGCACTCCAGCCTGGGCAACAGAGCGAGACTCTCTCAAAAAAAAGTAAATAAGTAGAGATTAAAATGTCCCCAAGTTACTGCAGTAATGGTTGTGCATATCTGTGAACAAATAAAACCCATTCAATTGTACACTTTAAGTGGGTGAATTGAATATATGGGATGTGAATTACATCTCAATAAAGCAATTTTACAATAGATCTTATGTATGACATGGTGACTATAGCTAATAACAATGTATTGCATATTTAAAATTTGCTAAGGGACTGCAAAAAATTATAAGTATGTGAGGTAATGCATGCTGTATCTAGATTGATTTAGCCATTCCACAGTGTATATATATTTTAAAACATTATGTGTAGACCATAAATATATGTACTTTCAACAAAGCTAAATTAAAAATAAAGCTTTTTTAAAAAAGTAGGTAGACAAATACAGCCATCACATAAAACTCATGCAATAAAAATTTTAAAATGAATGTATTTGGAGAAAATCTGAGTGGATTTAGAGAAGAATGCTGTATACACCATAGTATGGTGTAAGTGGTTTGGTGGTATGTTGTAGTATATAATATGTGGATGTGGTATGTGAATGTGTTCATGGAAGTTTATAAAAAGTTGGTATGATGGAAAAAGCTTTGGTATTTCTCCTGACAAATCACTTCTGAGCTCCTTCTTGCTGTTTGCTGCTACTGCTTGAATGTTCAATAAACATTTTGGATCACTTTATATCTTTATATGAGCCAGGCACTCTTCAAAGCAGCAAGGACACATCAGTGAGCAAGATGGGCAGAGTCCCCGCTCTCAAGAAGTCCATATTCTACGTCGGGAGGCAGACAGAAGCCAAATCAACAAATGAATAAACGGTGATTTGGATGGCGATAAATGCCAAGAAGAAAATTAAACAGAGTGATGGGATTGCAAGAGGTTGATGGTCAAAGATAGCCTTTCTGAAGGAGCTAGCCATAGTAAAGGGAAGAAATTGCCTTGCAGGCAGGGACACTAACTGCAGGAAAGTCCCAAAGGAGGGAATGAGATACAAGAATTTGGGGAGCAGAAAGAAAACCAGTGTGACTGCCCAGGGGGAGAGGCAGAGAGTGGATACAGATAATATTGGCTTTAGAGTCTGGGGTGAGATGCTTGGATTTTGTTCCAAGTGTTATGGGAAGCCACTGGGGAGCTTTGAGCTGGCATGGAGTGATTATGTTTTCAAAAGTTTATTCACTCTGGCTGCTGCGTGCAAATGGTCTACAGAGTTGCACACATGAGAATATAGGGTCTGCTAGGAGATGGCAACCATCATTCACAAGAGAGTTTTTGGGAGCCTGGACTAGGATGGCTGTGGTGGAAATGAGGGAAGTGAAAAATAGATGCTAATAATTGGAATAAAAGGATGAAGGAATGCTTTGAGAGGACATGCAAGCAAGGAAGATAGATTGGATTTCTTCCTGAAATTAGGAGTCCATTGATCTTAACCAGACTGGAGTGTTTTTGAGATGAGAAAGATGACTGGCTAACCACATTAGACTCTATTCTCACTAGATTTTTTAGACAGTGGTTCAAGTTGGGTTTCTTTCATGGAAAGCCCATTGTTTTGTTCCTATAAAGGGGGTTAATAGACTGTAACACCAGTTTAATTATACCTGTTTCCTTGACTGCTTTCTTTAGTTTAATATTTACTAAGTTTAGCATTTAGCATGTATCTCAGTATAGATGGAGGTCATTTAAAAATTCCCTGAATGCAAACTTAAGATTTTAAACTTTGCCCATCACAGGGAGATTAAGACAGTTCAGCCTTTTATAGCATATCTTGTGAAAAAAACCGAGTCTCTAAGCCTTCTTGGGTCTCTGATTATTGCTTCTTTTTAATTTTGGTGAACTTGATAGTATTAAAAACAACAACAACATAATTTCAACTACTGTTTATTGAACACCAACTAAGCACTGGGTTTCTTATACTAAATTAGGTTTACTCATCATTACAATCCAGCAGGTAGGTGTTATCACTCTTATCTAGCAAACGGGGATTAAGTGGCCCAGGGAGAGGAAGTAATGCACCCAAGATCACACAGCTGTTGCAGTACTTTCCCAGGGCTGCTGTACCAAATTACTGCAACCTGAGTGGCTTAAAGCAATAGAAATCTATTGTCTCATAGTTCTGGAGTCCAGAAGTCTAAATCAAGGGATTATCAGGGCCATGCTTCCTTGGAAGGTTCACATGGGGAGACTCAACCTCTGCTATTCTAGCTTCTGGAGGCCCTAGGCATTCCTTGACTTGTGGTTGGTTCACTCCTGTCTCTGCTCCTGTCTTGACATGGCCTTCTCCCTATGTCTCTTGTCTAGGTGTCTCTTATAAAGATACTTGTCACTGAACTTAGGACCCACCTAGATAATCCAGAATGATCTCGTCCTAGGATCCTTTACTCAATTACATTTGCAAAAACCCCTTTTCCAGATAAGGTCACATTCACAATTTCCAGAGTTAGGACATGGACATGTCTTTCTGGCAGGCCACATTCAACCCATAAAACCTGCTTACTTGTAAGTGGCAAAGCTTTTTCCTTGCACTGAAGAGCTGTGTTCACACTGAACTTTAAACATAAGAAGAGTAGATGTGCCCAGCCTTTCTTCTTTCATCCTGGTAGTCTCATTCATTCTGACAGCCTATTTTCAGTGACTATGGCCAAAGAGCCAAAAACTTTTTCATCTAAAATAAACTTAGCAGTATAATACAGTAAAAGTTATAATTATAGGTTCACAGGGGAGGAAGCCTTCCAAATGGTGACAGATATTTAAAGAACACTCTCGTGTTAAGAAAGGCTGGTCTTGCTAACTCTAATTACAAAGGAGGGTAAATAATTTCAAAATACATCTTAACAGTTTTAGGTGCAATAAAAAGCCAGCGTTAACCAAACAGTAACTGACATCTGCACGGATTGATGACACAGCTTTTTTCTTTCCTTCTTTTGTTTTTTTCTAATGTTAAATTAAAAGCTAGTTGTACCATTAAAAAATTAGGTCAAATTTTTAATCCTCAACAGCTTTCCAACCTCTGCCTCCATTTGCATTAAGCCACAAGTCTGAAGAAAACCCACAGCAACCGGGTCTGTGCATCACAGAGTGAAGCAGAGAGCCAGTCAATCACTCTCTAAAGCAGCAGGGCATCTGAGCAAACTAAACACTCTTAGTTGAAGGGAATTCTAGGCAAGCAGTTGCATAAAGCTAGCTGGATCGATTTGTCTCTAGTTTGAGTGGTCATCTTCAAGACAGTTGATTAGTTGACCATTTGTTGCTTGCTCTGCAGGGTTCCTCTCTGTCTCTCAGCGATGTGAGTGTGTCCGTCCTGGGTGATGAATGGGGCTAGACTCTCCAGGTGATAAAGAGCCATTCTCCTCTCCTCCACTGCCAGAATGTTGGCGTCTCTAACATGGCTCTCATGTAATGTTTAAAAGAGAAAGGAAAGAATAAATCTGAGCATAGCTAAGAC
This sequence comes from Homo sapiens, assembly GCF_000001405.40. NCBI lineage: Eukaryota > Metazoa > Chordata > Mammalia > Primates > Hominidae > Homo > Homo sapiens. The sequence goes on from NC_000008.11 coordinate 128,395,132, forward strand.
TAAGCTAAACTCTTGACTTGAGTGGCCACCATGCTTAATGGCCTAAACTGGTTTCTGGTGAATTATTGATAGATAGATAAGTAGATAGGTAGATAGATAGATAGATAGATAGAGATATACTTATCACAATATATATTTAATGTATCAAAATTAGGGTATATTTATCATTATATATTTATATATGCAGTTAAAAAATTTATAAAAAAATCATAAAATTATAAAACATGTTAAAGGATATTGGAAAATGTAAAAAGCCAGAAAGAAATGCAGTTCATTAACCATACTATTTGTTGGATTTTATAGCCTGCTTTTTAAAATGTAACACCATATTATAAACATTTATAATGTTGTTGTATAATCCTGAGGCATGTCATTTAAATTGGTATTGACAATTCTGTAGAGGAGTTACGCCACAATTTTACCTATCTGATCATAACTGTTGGATATTTGGGGTATTTTTTCTTCTCTACCCATTTAAGGAGGGCATGAACATATCTGAATCTAAAATCTTTCAAAAATCTCTGTCTCTCTGTCTCTCTCATATATCTATTATCTATCTATTTCCCCAGGGTAGGTATCCAGGTGTGGTCAAAGGGTACAAATCAACTTCATAGGACCAGCTGGGTAGAGCTGGAGTCTCCTTTCCTTTCTTCCTTCTTTCTTTCTTTCTTTCTTTCTTCTCTTCCTCCTTTCTTCTGTCCCTCTCTCTTTCCTATTTTCCTTCTTTTTTCCAACTTTAAAAGTTACTGAGACAATAATCTCTCTCAGTAATCCTGGAGCTTTGGCTGTTGGGAACATGCTAAGGTATGATTGATCATAAAAATCAAGAAAAGGACTTATTTTTCTCAATCAACCCCCAAGCACGTATATATATCCCAGTGGCTCAAAGAGTTCTAGAGCTGGATCTGGTTCATCACCATCTTTTCTTTTTCAGACGTGGAAAGTGAAGACAGAAAGATGAAGAAAAGTTTCCCAGAATACAACTGTGCCTAGACTCACAAACCCAGTTTCCACCCTTATTGAGGGCTGCCTCTGTTGCAGGCACAGTTACTCTGCTCCGCAGTATGTGCAGAGCACATAATAACATTTATCCCTCTGAAGGGCCCCCCTATATAGGACTTTTTTTGTTATGCCCACTTTACAGATAAGGAAATGAAGTCACAGGAAGGCCAAATTGAGTCTCTTGACTGAAATGCCAGGTCTTTTTCCACCACACCACACTATATGTCTGTCCTGGGACCTGAATGGAAAGTAGACAGGAGAGAACAGTCAAACATTCCTACAGCAGGACTGGGAAGGTGAAGGTTCTGCCCTCTCAGGAGAAGCAAACAGACCTTCCTAGCAAGTTTGTGCAGCTTTTTATGAAAATGGAAAACTCTCCAAGTGAGAATGGTAATATTTCATTTGATTTTTCCTTTAAAGAAACAACCATCCAGGAAATTGAGAGCCATCTCCCACTTCTCGGTTCTCCCCACAAGCCTTGATCATTGCAGAACAGGAAGGCCTTCCTTTGTGTTTTCTGTGTTGCTTCTGTCACTTTACTTCTCCCAGAGACCCCCTTTTCTCTTTAGCTGCCCAACTCCCACATGCTTTTTAGGATGTACCAATTTGTGTTCTTGTCTTCAGGTCTTGCCTGCTCTTATCATCCCCAGCCACTCAGAATCATTTGTTCGGCCAGTGATGGCAGGGTAGTTGCAGTGTGCCAGCCATTGCATTTGGCTCTGGGGCTCAGCAGGAAACAAGACAGGCAGGTCTCTACCAGGGAGACTATGTGTCCTTCTGGGTGCCTGTGACTGGTGGATGGGTGCAGTCTGCACCTATGCTAATGAGGCACCATCTCTAATCCAGACTGTGCTTGTTGAAGCAGCAGGATGTGAGAGGATTGTAGAATGTGTTCCCTGTGGGATATGATTTTGAAGTGTTGGGGCTCAGAGCATGATACCTCCTGGCACCTTGGCAATTGAGAAAGACTCATGAGTAAGAAGGTCACTCTGACCTTCCCCAGCCTTTCTATGTGAAGCATGGTCATAAAGGAATTCTCTGATCTACCTTGTCTGAAAGTAGATCATAAGACCCTCATTCCAAAGGGTTCTGCCCCATATGTGGGGGGAAGGAATGCTGTTCAAGAGAGACCAAGAAAAATTTAAACAGAAAGGCCTTGTTGAGTTTCTCTTCATTTATTATCATTAGATCATAACATTTTTGTTCAATCATACTTCTACATGGCTGTCTGTTCTTCATGGAACCTAAGCATAAAAACACATTTTCCCTGAGTCTTTGGGTCTCCATTTTGAAGGCTCCTGTGTCAAGTGAAACTTTGATAAGTGAATCTTCTATGCTTATTAAAAATTAATCTGTGTTTTGTTACAAGGGTCTCAGCTATGACTCTTGTGATGGCCGAGGGAAAGGTATTATTTTTTCTCCTCTGCAGAAGGAATAGGACATTAAACTTGAAAAAAGTATTTTGGAACAATACTAAAGTCAAGCCAGGGCCAGAGACATAGCAATTGAGGGGAGATTATCATATGCAGGAATTTGCTTTCATTTTCTCATTTAACCCTCACAATAACCCTTATGGACATATTGCAGATGAGAACGATGGCAGAGCTGGTTTTGACATGAGCTCTATCTGGTTCTAAAAATCAGGATTTTTCAGCTACAGAATTCTGCATTATTTATTCATTTGTGTTTTCTAAAATCTTTGTTTTTTTGGACTAATATATTAAAGTGTCAGGGACTATGCTAAGAGCTGAAGATACAGGTTTTAATAATAGTTCCTGGAACTCACATTCTAAAAGGGAAGACAGACAATAAATACATAAATAAAAAATGTGTAATTTCACAGAGAAATAATACTTCAGAGAAAAATGAAGTTGGGGATAGAGAACAAGGGGACAGGGACTAAGAACTCCAATACAAGGGACACCATGGGGGAAGCATCTGGAAAGGATACTGATAAAGTGACGTGAGCAACGTGTTCTCAGGTCTCAAGATCCATGGCCAGTAAAAATGAAAACAACTTATGGACAGAAATAAAGTTGAAGACCTTTAAATTTGGCAATTAAAAATACATAAATACGTTTTCAAAATTCCCAAACAATTACTTTATCACTATGAATTTATAAAGATCTTAACATTTAAAAAAGTGAATATATTTAGCTTCATAAAAATAATTTCACTCATTTTTTTCTCATTTTATTGCAGATTGTTGAGTACTTGACCATGGACTGACATTTGAAAACCATTACTTTTGTTCACAAATGTTCTGTGTTTTGAGGAAGGACAGGAACTGCACCCTGGTAGTTTAGTAATAGTAGTAATAGATAACACTTACTGAATTTTTTGAATGCTTTAGATGCTATGCAACAAGCTCTTTGCATTATTGAATTGAACTCTCACAGCAACCCTATAAACTGGGTATATAAGGGATAGAAACTAGCCCTTTCCCCTGGTGAAAAACTGAGAATTTCAAAGGTTTAGTTTGCCCAAACACAGTTAGTACATGAATGATATGGTTCGGGTCTGTGTCCCTACTCAAATCTCACCGTTAATTGTAATAATTCCCACGTGTCATGGGAGAGACCTGGTGGGAGGTAATTAAATCATGGGGGTGGGTCTTTCTCATGCTGTTCTCATGATAGTGAATAAGTCTCATGAGATCTGATGGTTTTATAAAGGGGAGTTCCCCTGCACAAGCTGTCTTGCCTGCTGCCAGGTAACGTGTCCCTTTGCTTTTCCTTCATCTTCCACCATGATTTTGAGGCCTCCCCAGCAATGTGGAACTACGAGTCCATTAAACCTCTTTCCTTTATAAATTACCAGTCTTGGGTATGTCTTTATTAGCAGAACGAGAATAGACTAATTCAGCAAATAACAAGATTCTAGTCTAGAGTCAAGGCAGAGCCTATCCTCTTAAATATGGGAGGGATTTGAACCAGAGCTTGGCTGAGTACAGGGAGGAGATAGAAATACATCTTTTGGCATTTTGTTGGCCCTGTAGCTTTTGGTAGCTTCAGGACAGGTCATATGTTCCTCTTGCATCCTGCTGTAGTGGACGTCTCTTTTTTAGCCTTCTCAATGTCCATTCCCCCTATTTCTAGCAATGAACACTTGTTTTACTTTGGGGACTACCTCATTCCATTGACTAGAGTTTTGGTGGGACTGCCCCCCATGGTGTCCCACTCTCTCCTTGACAAGGGGTGGGCAGGTGACTTGAATGAGGCCAGAGTCTTTTGCCATTGAATACGTCTCTTGAGTAGAGTAACACAAACCCTGAAAACAGATGAAGCTGATGTGTCCCCATTCCAAATGCCCTCTGAAGAAGAGACTGTCCTTGAATTCCAGGAACTGCTTTGATCCTTGTTCCATTTTAATTGTGTTGGTAGGTTTGTTCTCTTACATTCATCTTCAATCCTAATACATTTCCTTTTTGTATAGGTTAGCCAGAGTCTTTCTCTGTTGCATGCAACTGGGTGGCTGAGCCTGGAGAATTAGAAACCCTAATCAGAGACTCCTAAATCAGAGAGATCTCTATTCTTATCCTAACTCCACTATTTTCTAAGTAGTTGGCATTGGAAAAGTTACTTAATCTTTCTAAATATGTTCTCTTACCTATGAAATAAAAATATAGCAGACATATATAATATGCTAAACAGAATGTCTGGACTTAATCACACAATTTACTTAGCCTTTTCTTATCGATTCCTTAATAAATATTAGCTTCTCTGACTTGCATTGGTAAATTATAGAGAGCCATGTTTTCCCTCAATTCAAACTAGAACCAGATAGTTCATACAGTACCAAACATAGATAAATATTAGGAAAAAATCACACAATTAAAATTTTACAATATCAGAGCCAATGATAAACTGAAAACACATCAAAGCAGAAGACTATAGAGGATTTATTGAAGTAGAGATTCTACAGATTTCAGAGCATTAAGAACTCACAAAATCTTACAATCCATTATCTTAATTTCAAGTATTTAAAAAGTTATAATTCCCTGTTTACAGTTGAGATAACTGATGGCCTTTCACTTGACCAGTGTTTATTGAGTATCTACTGTGTGTGTCACATTGTGCTAGGTTCTTGGGATAAGGAGGTAAAAGATACAGCCAGTAACGGGATCTGGACTGCATCCAGAGACACAAGAATTTATGGACTCTACAAATGTATTTGAATAATGAAATAAATACTGGAAGGGCGATCAGCACATCTGGTCTGTAATCTTGGATCTAGGGATCTGTGCTACTTGTTAGAACACTAGCCACAGAAGCAAGCAAATTCCTCAGTTTTTCAGTTGGTTATCATAAAGTTTATTTCTTGCTCACAAAGAAAGTTCTATATAGTCATTCTTGGTTAAGTGTGGACATTTTTCCACCTAATAATTCAGGGACACAAGATTTTTCCATCTTGTGGCATCGCCATCTTGAAGAACTTCCGGATTCTCTATATTCAGTCAGAAAGTTGGGGAAGGGAGATTGGAGGGAGCACAGTTACTTTTAAACCCAAGATGGTTCAGGCAACTGAGATGCCTGGGGTGGATGCCTGTGGTTGCCCTAGAAGTCCATTGATAAGAGTGATCTCATGTCCTCACCTGGATGTAGGGAGATTGGGAAATGGACAGCCACTTTTCAGCAGCAACTCTATAGCACAAAGTAAAATAGAAACCCTTGGTGAAGATCCAGCTATCCCTGCCCCTCTGATGGCAGAGCTTTTCTCCCTGGGCTTCCAGTCCCTAATATTAAAATAATTACTTTGACCTCAAGATGACACATTCCATGATTCTAAAACTCTCTGAAAATTAAGAGATGGTAGGTTTTTATTTGCTCTACCAAATTTAAGGTTCCATTTGTCTATCAACTTACACACACACACACACACACAGAGTATTAATAATCATATTTCAGGCTAAGCAGCCCAAATCCAAAGCTATGAAATCTGTAGCACTCCAAAATCTGAAACTTTTTGAGTGTTGACATGACACTCAAAGGAAATGCTCACTGGAGCATTTCAAATTTAGGATTTTTGGATTAGGGATGCTGAACTAATATAAGTATAGTGCAAATATACCAAAACACAACAACAACAACAACAAAAGCACCTCAAACACAAAACACTTATAGTCCTAAGCATTTCGGATAAGGGATACTCAACTTCTGTATTACTTTGATACTCCTTTGTAGCTTTTATCTAGAAAATAGTCTATATATCTTAACGTAATACCACACATATCATACCTTGACAGGTAAATATTTAAATATTTGTGTACGATGGGGGATGTGTAAAGTTTGTCATATCTAAGTAAATGTTTTTCTGGCTTTATTCATTTTGAGGACAAAAGATTCTGATATTTTGTCTGTCGTTAAAACTGTAAGCTTTAATTCAGAGGTTAATTTTCTTCTCTTTCTTCCACTTTCTCTCTTTTTCATCTCTTTTCTCCTCCTGTTTCTCCTCCTTTTCATCTTCTTACCCATTTTCATTTTCTTGAAAAGTTGAAGAGAGACCTAAATCAACTGACTTGGTAAAGAACAGTTCACTTAACGTAAATCAGGGGAAAGTGTGAATTTTATGTTTGAAAGTCTTTGGATATGCAAATTGGACCAGGCTCCATATGATGTAAAATAGCAAGCAAGAAAATTAAAGGGAAATTAAATCTTACTTACAAAATCTTACTTTTAATATTTCCCTACATTTGTCCTTTAATGAACTGGTACAGAACATTTTGATTTTTGTCAGGTTTTTTTTTTTTTTTCCAAATTAGACCGGAACATAACACTGTAAGGATGATTAGTCATCTACACTTATGATAGCTGTCTCACTCAATCATTGACTCACAGGTGGGAGATAGTGTTGAGAAAATTACCTCTGAGTCCCTATAGCTCTGTCTCTATCTCTGTTTTTACTTGTATCTTTAACTATATTTAGTATTGGTTTTTATTTGGGGGACTAGATTGTTTTAAATAATAATGTGCCATGAGTTGGTAAAAATCTGGAAACAGGCCAGGTGTGGTGTCTCACGCCTGTAATCTCAGCACTTTGGGAGGCCAAGGCGGGCAGACCACGATGTCAGGAGTTTGAGACCAGCCTGGGCAACATGGTGAAACCCTGTCTCTACTAAAAATACAAAAATTAGCTGGGCACAGTGGCAGGTGCCTGTAATCCCAGCTACTCAGGAGGCTGAGGCAAGAGAATTGCTTGAACCCAGGAGGCAGAGGTTGTAGTGAGCCGAGATCGTGCCACTACACTCTAGCCTGGGTGACAGAGCAAGACTCCATCTCGGAAAAAATAAAAATAAAAAAATAAAAAATCTGGAAACAATTTCCATTTTCCTCCCATGGCCACGACTACAAGATATGGATTCTAGGCACTAGGCATTTAAGCAATAATATGTTAGCCCTCTCTCCAGTAGCAGAGACAGATATGCAGAAGCGGTGTACTGAGAAGTTAAGTAACCCATCTAAGATCACACTGCTTAAAAGTTAACAACACCGGGATTTCAGAGTTGATGCTATTAACCACTACTCTGTATTGATATTTTTGTTGAGATAGAAATGATGAGAAGGTGACCATTGATAGGCAGAGAGACAGCAAATGCAAGTCCCTAAAGTCAGATTTCTCTGTTAGAATCACAGAACATAAACATTTCCTCTTGGGAGGGCTTCAGAGTTCATTCATTACTCTTGTTTAATAGATGAAGTGACTGAAGATTTGCAAGGGGCAGGTCATATAGCTAGACAATGGATTCAGGTGCATGCCCCATTGCTTCAGAATCAACTGATGACACTGGAGGTAGGAGGTTCTCCTAAACTCTAGGTTTTATTTGCCAGCTCTTTGCCTTTTTCTTAATAAACCTTGGCAGTGTGTGTTTTTGTCTCAATCTATTTATATCCCTGCTCAGATGTCATTTTCTTCCCTGGCATGGAATAACTTGTTCACTCTGCCTTTATTGACTATCTGCAGGTCTCTCATCCCACACTGCGACAAGAGATAGGGTTATAGCATGGAGATAATAGAGCCTGCTCTGTTGCTGCTAGATATTTGATCATGACAGAATCATTTAACTTTTCTTTTTCTTTTGTTTCTCCCACCTGTAAAATGGGGCTAATGATGATGCATATCTTATAGGGTTATAAGAATAGTAAAATGAGGTCAACATGGAAAGAGCTTAGAGCAGTGACTGGTGTATATAAGAATAATGTAGTGGAATATTCCTATTTGAGGAGATTATAATCTAAAATAGGAGATGGGCATTAAAGAGGTTTACAAAATTATGACAAGTGCTGTGTTAAGGGAGACCCAGGTGTGTGGGCACTTGCACAGGACAAATACTTTGCCCAGCCTGGAGGACGTGGGGACTCCAGGAGTCTAGGTGGATGTCTCATCTGGATGGGGTCCAGGGGAGAAGTGAGCAGCTCCTTATGCTCCTTTAGAACAGGGTAAGCCATGGCCGGGCATGGTGGCTCACGCCGGCAATCCCAGCACTTTGGGAGGCTGAGGCAGGCAGATCATGAGGTCAAGAGATTGAGACTATCCTGGCCAACATGGTGAAACCCCGTCTCTACTAAAAATACAAAAACTAGCTGGGTGTGGTGGCACGCACCTATAGTCCCAGATACTCAAGAGGCTGAGGCAGGAGAATCGCTTGAACATGGGAGGTAGAGGTTGCAGTAAGCAGAGACTGCACCACTACACTCCAACCTGGCGACAGAGAGAACAGGGTAAGCCTTGTGGTGAAGGACAGGAGTCGGTTGAGCTAGGAGAGATACATGGAGGTCAAATCACGTAAAGCTCTGTGTGTCAGGCTGAGGAGTTCAGACTTTGTCTTCAAGCCAAGGCAGTCCAATTCTTAGACAAATCTTTCAACCCAACTGTTTTGTGATGGGGAACCCAGAAAAGAGAATTAAGATTCACTGAGTGCCAGCTCTGCCCTATATGCTTTATCTCAGTTCCCTCACTTATTCCTCACCACAGACTACAGGGGAAGGATTATTACAGATATATAAACTGAGGCTCAGAAAAATAAGCTACCAAGAGGTTGCATAATTAGAGGCAGAGCTGTGATTTATATCTTACTCTGTCAGACTATGGATGTTTCTTCTACCATGCATAACACATCAAATCCTAAAGAAAGAAAATAAAAGCTAAATGAACAAAACTGAAAGCACCCAAAACCTTGCATGTGATATGGGAGGATTATGTTCCAAGGAATCCAAAAGTGTTCCTAAAAGTTTAAATTATGCAAAAATGATTATTTAAAACATTAAAAATTGGCTTGAACTTTAAATGCAAGTAGAATTCATTTTCTTGTGTAATTTCTTGCCCAAAGAACCTATTTTTTTTCTAGCTTATTTAAAGTGACATTAGAAAACAGAAGAAATTTATTTTAAAATGCAGGAGGATGACTGACTGGTAGTGATTTTGCAAGAGACTGAGTAGATAATTTAGCATGGGACTGTGAGGGTGATTTTGATAGGATTTTAGAAGATTTCTTGAAATATCTGTCAGGCGAGTCTTGAGCACAAGACTGTTTTTTCTCTCAACAAGGGGGCACAAAGCAAGCCCATTCCTGAGAACTGCTCTCTGGTTCTGTAAACTTCTCTGCCTTGGTAAATATCTGGAAGGCTTTTTGGTGCCAACTTTTATAATTTCCCTACTTTTAAAGACTTCTTCAGACTCTTCAATAAAACTCATCTTTTAATACTGTCCCTGATGATCTGTTTCACGAATTTCCTATGTGTGACTTAATTTGGTATTTGGTCTTTACTTTCCAGATGGTCAGCTTCAGTCCGTGGAACCTTCCAATACTACCAACAATTCCTCACTTTCAGCACACAAGTGGTATCTATCTTTGTCCCAATTGGCTTACTGTTAGTGTCAGTGCTTTCATTTATTACCATTTCCCACTCATCTTTATAAAACACTGGGACAAATTGCAATAAAACATTGCAATAATTACACAAACTTGACTGCAAAATATGGTGTTGATGCAGTGTGTCCGAGCTCTGATTGTGAAATTGGTTTAAGGGTGTCAATGTGAAAAGCAATTGTGTGGAAATCAAGGACTGCTTTAATACATTTATTTCACAAACACATTGTCTTAGAGTACCTTCCCAGAAGTAGATTCCGACACAAGGATTTGTGTGAAAGTGGTGTTTATTAAGAAGCATTCCTGGAAAAACCTCCAGAGAACTGGAGAAGTAGGACAGGGCAAGGAAGAAAGGCAATCAAGGGTACAATGCACTTATTACAAACACCGTGAAGAAAACCAGCAAGGAAAGTCCTGCAGGTGAGCACTGCAGACAGGGAGATCACACATTAGTGTTTTCCTGATCAGGGAACAAGGGAGCTAGAGTGTTTACAGTTATCACCCCGTTCCTTAGCAAATGGCTAAGGCTATGCAAGTTCCCAGCCTTTAGCTCTCTATGTTTTCATGCAGGCAATCCAAGCTGGACTTCAGGAGCCTGGGGCAGCCCTCAGAAAAGAGAAGCAAGTGCTGGCTGATGGACATGAGAGCACTCTCAGTGAAAGTATGCAGGAAAATGATAAAAGGATCCAAAGAAATATGGATGAGACCCTCTTCCCGGCACTCTCTTAAGGTGAAGTGGAAAACAGAATAAACATTGCCTCCAACCACTCTCATGGAGCTTACATCTGGATAGGGGGAAAATAGGCAATAACAAACAAACAAACAAATTAATTAATTAATTGCCCTTTGTGATATGCGCAATGAAAAAATAAGAAAAGCCTGATATGAAGAATAAGAAATCTGGGGTATATGGTTGCTCAGTAAAGAATTCTCTCTGCATGTGAATTTTAAGCTAGTGGCCTAAATGATAAAAGGGAGTTAAACCATTTGACAGGTGGAAAGAGGAATGTATTTTATGCATAAGGAATAACATGCAAAGTCTCAGGGTGGAAAAGTCAATGGCATGTTCCAAGGCTTAAGAGAAGATCAGAAAGGCTGGAGCCTAAAGTCGGGAGGGTGAAAGGGTATTTCAGTTATGTATTGCTGCCTAATAAACCACTGAAAACTTAGCAGCTTAAAACACAATTCACCGAGCTGCAGTCATTCTGCTGTCTTGACTAGGGTTGGGTGGTCTAAGATGGCCTTGTCCAGGCAGCTGCTACTGGTTCTTGGTGGAGCCATGTCTCCAGTAGGTTAGCTTGGTCTTCTTCACATGGAGGCACTATTCAGGGAGGCAAGGGCAGAGGCTAAAAGTCTCCTTCAGCACAGGTGCCTTGTTGCAGAAGGCAGAGTGTCACTTCCACCAAATTCTATTGGTAGTCACAAGAGCCCACTAGATTCAAGGGATGAAGAAAGTTACTTAATCTCTTGATGGGTGGTATTGCAAAGTGTGTGTCCATTTTTTTTTATCTACTACAGACAGAGACTGTGATTTGAGATGTGCCAGGGGTCAGATTAAGCAGGTCATTGTGGAAGGTGTTTGGATTGTTGAGATGTGAGAGTATCCAATAAGCAGTATCCATCATCATCAAGATCTAAATCAACATAGAAATAAGATAAAGTGTAAGATGCATGCAAATCAAAATCCTTCCTTCATCTCATAGGATTTAAATTAAGTCTGTGGACGACAAGTGGAGTGTCTAATAAGAACCTATAGTATTAAACAGAATTACTCACCGAGGCACTGACCAGTCCTTCTGATGACTAGACACATTATCTTGAGCAAATTGCTTCACTTCCTTGTGTTACTGAGAATAAAACGAAATAATGCTTGCTAAGTTTTTAGTCCAGTGCATGGCAGGAGATGGCTGTTCTATGAAATTTGCAATTGTTTTTAAGAAGCATAAGCAGCTCTGGGTGGTTGATTTGCATAAAGTCCACGGAGGGTGGTATACCCACTGTTTTCTTCTTCCCTATCCTCTTTATGAAAAGACCCTATTTCTTGTTCTGTCACAACTTTTCCCTTCCTTTTTTTTTTCCAACCTTTTTGACATTCACATGTACAAATGTCTTCAGCTTAAGGAGGAAGGGAGCTGAGGTAGACAAGAACTTTGCAGAACTAAACAAGCAGACCCTCAGGGTTTATTATCATAATGAAATTGCTGGTGAATTAAAATAACAATAACCAATAAATTCTTTCAAAAATGTTATTATGAAGACAAAAGCTGTGAGAAGCAGTACTTTATATCAGCTGGTGTGATTGTTTCTAAGGTGACAGGAGAGATGTGTGCCTATACACAATGCAATATTTTCTCAGGACAACACTATTAAAACACATATATGTATATGACTGTAGGCACTCACACAACCAAACAATTAATTGTTTCTGCCTTTCATACTTTGTATAGAATTGCAGGCAATCTACAAATTCCATAATTTATTGGATGTCACTTCTCATACAGAAAGGATGCCATTATATTTGACATATTTATGGAACTGGTTAATACTAAGTATTAAATACATTATTGAGGGTTTAAATCAAGGCAAGTGACTTCCACCCAGTACGCAGAGATTTGCAACTTGCTGGCCCCATTTTCAGAGTGAGCTCACCAGCTATGGAAAAATTATTACATGGTTGAATAAAAAGGAAACAGAAGAGCAGAAATGGCATCCAGCACTTAAGAGCAGTGCCCTATGAAACAGCTAAAGGGGATAGCAAAATGCAGTTTCTCAATTAAAAAAGAGAATGAGAAAGAAAGTACACACACACAGAGGTAGATGGCACCCCTAGGCACTGAGAGACTATAAACTGATCTAGAGACTGTAAGGACTCTTGGGAGTTAGTTTTCCTTGGACACGCACTGCACTTATGTGTCTTGCTTAATTTTCTCTAAATATTTCATACAAGAAGAACAGCTTATTTTAGAAAATTACTTTACAGTGCACAGGATAATTTTACATGGTCATATTTGATTTTCACAGTCTCATGCACTTGACCTTATTTCCAGCTCCAGCTTACACATGAGGAAACTGAGGTCTGAATAGCTAAGTGACTAAGAGCCCCTGACATGTGACAGGTACTAGGCAAAACTGGCATCAGTCTCAGAGCATCCAACTCAAGACTCTCTGTGCTTTTTACTATGTTAGGGTGCTTCTGACGTCATTTCTCCTCTCCAACCATAGAATACAGTTTCCATGGCTAGTGAAGAAAATATTTCTTATATTTCAGTGGTAATCCTTGGAGAATCTTGCACCTTCTGGACTCATGGGAGGAACTTAATATATGTTGATGAAGGGAAAGCCTTATTGCCCTGGGAGTGAAAGGACAATCATTTCTTGCTTTCCTACCTTCAGCTCCACAGTTTTTTGTTAGAAGTATTCCCAGCTAGTGTGTGACAGAGCTCTTTTAATGCTTTATTCATTGCATGCATTCTTATTCAGTCATTAAACCTAGCTGGGTTCCAGAGTTTCTCGTTGTTAACTTGGGGCTATTCTGTTGGCCTCAGACTGCTGCTGTAAGGATGAAATCTGATTAGAATCTAGCCTCTTAGCAAAGTGCCTGGAATTTAGTGGGCACTAGTTAAATGATAGCTACTGTTATTGTTGTTGCTTCCTCCTAAGTTTCAACTTCTATAGAAATCATCTTGTTCAGGAATTTTACCAAATAATGAGTCCAACAGCTTTTTCCTAGTCTTTCTCTCTTTAGTCTATGTCTACTTTAATCAGTGCTGTTCGTGCCCTCATGATCATATTGACTCATGATGGTATCAGCTGAGGTTCACTCTTTCCTCATTTCTCATTCCTGGTTTCTCTCCCACATTTCTCCATTGGTCAGACAACACTTACTGTTAATTTAATGACCTAATTTATCCTTCTAATGATGACATTCTTAAGACTGAAAGAAAAATCCAGGTCAAGTTGCAACCACCCAACACAAACCAGATGATCAAGTGCTCACCCTACTCATAGACTTTTGCCAGACGTAGAACTCACAGATGTTCTCCTTTAGGTTTCCCTATTGATTCCTTGAGAGAAGTCTGTGCCTTGTCATCCCCAAAGACTCCTTCCAATAAACAAACTCCACCAAATGGGATTCTTCTGGGAAGTCTTACAACACTAAGCCCCTTGAACTTTTTCACTTAAAAATGTGTTGCCCTTGAGAGCCAGGGCTGGAGGCTCTGCTACATCCTCACTGGCTGCTGAAGTTCTGAAAGATGCTTATGCTGTTTGGTAAATGGCTGCTGACCTGAGCTTCGCATAGGCCCATGTCACCATCCTCTGCTCTGACCTCTCCTTCAAAATCCTGGGATCTCCCACTATTCAGTAACTAAGGGACTGATACCCAGCCCAGCACCATGACTGAAGTTCTGCTGCTGTCCTCCCAGGGCCTTGGGAGGATCTGGCTTGTCACTGCACCCCCTACCCCAGGGCTTCTCTCTAAGTCTGGAAGCCCCAAGGGGGCAACACCTGGAGGGAAGTTCTGTTACCTACTTCCTGCCAATCTGTCAATTAGCAAGCAATGACTCTCACACACCACTCTTCATCCGAACGTGCCCCTTGTTCAGAGGACGTAAAGACATCAGCAGGAAAAATGGTCCCCATTTTATCTTTGACACTCTGGTAAGGAAAATACTCATCTATAACATTTGAGACATCATCCTTCAGTCCTAGTTTTGCTCTTAACCTGCCATAGGATCTTAAGCCAGTCCTTTAACCTCTGTTAGATTTTAGTTTCTCTAATATCTGGCTTAGCACATGGATTACTAGGAGAATTGTAGATAAGATGGGCACCAAAGTGGTTTGCAAGTAGTTATTTGTTACATATGTATAAGATGTTAATATTATTGCTGTAATTATGATTAGTTAGTACCACCCAGGACCAATGGGTCTATTTTCAGACAGTATTCTTATACCAATTTGCACCTCATGGCACTTTAGAATGTTAGAGCAGAAAGAGAAGTTAGAGATTATCCAGTCCAAAGATGAAAAACTACCAAATATTTAGATTAGGCTTAATTTCTTTCTCTCTCTCTCTTTTTTTTTTTTCTGGCAAGAGGTTTTTGTTTTGTTTTGATTTGTTTTTTAAATTCAGTTACCAACATTTAAAAATCAAGAGATTTTTACATCATAATACAGATTTCTGGCATCTTTTACAAGAATTGGCCTCTGTTCCTAATAAATCATACAGGGCAAACATTGGCTGGAGCTCAGTAGAGCTGCCTCTTATACAAAGTGTACATGCACTACAGTTGCCTGGGTAGCCCCTGCTTCCCATCCCAGGCCTCCCCCCATTTTCTAACATCAGGTTAAGATGGGCCTGGGCCCATTGTAGGCTTTTGAGTTGGCCATCTGCCCACCCCCATTCCTCCCAGTTTGTACTACCCTATTACAGATGAGGAAACTGAGGCCCCCCACCCACTCTTCCTTTTACTCTAGGTGTCCTTATTTACTAGATTGCTTTTTGTTGTCTGGGTCCATGTTCTGTCTTCCCCAACACATTAGGAGACCACATCTTCTCTTTTATTATTTTATTTTATTTCACATAATTTAATTTTACCTTATTTTATTCTTAACTAACTGCAAAGTTCATTATAGAGTGACTTGAAAATAAATATTGACAGACTTTCTGCTTCTCTTGAAAACATACTACCAAGTCTAAGTAAAAATAGTAATAACACAGAAAACATTTTATTATTTTATATTACTGCAATTAATAGCTACCAGAGTACATACATATTCATGACCTCATTTGATCTACAAAGGCTCTGATAGAGAGGGCAGATGATGGCATTGCCTTAAAGCAAGCTCATATAAACAGGTGTCCTCAAACATGAAAGCTTTATGCAAATATTCAGCATTTTATTCCTACTTATAAGAGCAGGAAACATGGGACAGAGAAAAGAGAGTGGAGCCAAAAATAAGACACAGAGATGGGACCAGAACAAGGCCTCCTGTTTTTGTCTAGAGCCCTGGAAATATGGACAGAGATGGAGAGAAACTTAGGAATAACTGATTTCAAATTCTTCACTTGACACAAGGAGAAACTGAAGCCCCAAGAGGGGAAGTTACAGCCTCTGCTTTCTTTTACAACTGAAGGAACTAGGTTTAGAATATAGAATTGCTAGAGATTGGCCAAGCATTCTATTCTGATTCTCAGACCAATTTCCCAAACCCATAGCGAGATGTTTATACTTAAAAAATATGAATAAAAGGAGTTAAAACTAGTGTAATTGTTTAAAAAGCTAAGGTCATCATACTGTTTCAATGCATTTTAATGCTGCATTGATTAATGCACAGCAATTTTTCTCTTTACTGAAATCTGGTTTTTTTTTAAGTGAATCGATAAGTATTGTATATTCTGACTCTCCACCTTCTTTTGTCCTTCATTTATCCCCTAAACCTCTTATTATTTCTTTCTCATTGTCTCAGCTCTCCTGCTCTATTTCATCTGTATGTTGTGGTGTCATAGAAAGAGTCCAGACCTGGAGCCAGAGGGAGTTGAATTCAAACACCTTGATTTCTTATTATCAGCTGTGTCAAGATCAAATCACTCCTCTTTGGCATGCTGTTTTTTTCTAGAAGTATTACTCTTGCCTTAGCTATTACCATCCCCTCTCTTGCTTGTAGGTTGATATTTACTTGCTAATTCACTCTCAGTGCATTGTTTTTGAATCTTAGCCTAGTTTTTTGTTTGTTTGTTTGTTTGTTTTGACAGTCTGCTTACTGCAACCTCTGCCTCCCAGGTTCCAGTGATTGTTCCACCTCAACCTCCCGAGTAGCTGGGATTACAAATGCCAGTCAACATGCCCAGCTAATTTTTGTAGTTTTAGTATAGACGGGTTTTCACCATGTTGGCCAGGTTGGTTTCAAACTCTGACCTCAGGTGATCCGCGTTTCTTGGCCTCCCAAAGTGCTGGGATTAAAGATGTGAGCCACTGTGCCTGGCCAGCCTGGTTTTAATGTTCATAGGATATCACTACCTGTGCTGGTCACCTCCAGGGTCTAGGGCAGATAGTGGGGTGGTTCTGCAATTTTCAAGCTGTGGGAAATTGAACACTTCTTAAACCATACTCTTTAATCCTCATTCATTCATTCATTCATTCACTCATTGAGCACTTGTAATGTGGCCAGGAGTGTTCTAGATACAGGATATACTGCTGGAAACAAGATAGCAGATTTTCTTACATGACAGAAGAGGAAGACAGAAGACAAAGAGATCAACTGTGAAAATACCAGATTGGAATGAGCGTTATTCAGATATGGTGAAGTTTCCTCTTTACGTGCTCCAGTTGGGTCTTGTACGTTCTCTCCAGTTTTGCCTAGTACCCTGTAATTATTTCTTTGTATATTTGTCTTCTCCATTGGAATTCAAATTTATGAAGAGACAAAACGTTGTCAGTTTGCTTCTAAATTCCCACTTCCTACATGATGTCAGCTACAGTGAATGTGCTCAGTTAATGCTTGTTCATATTTTCAATACTGACTTCATGTTTGGGCACATCTTATATTTTCCTATTCGTGTTTCCTTTATTTTTAATTTCTTAACATACCTTTAAAAATGTATGTACTTTTATAAACTACTGTAAATCTTTCTGGAATGAGAAAAGCTTGTACAAGTAAGCAGCAAACAAACAAATAAATACATGTGTAAATAAACCTAAAGGGTGTCAAATCAATAAATGGATAAATTAATAAGTACGTAAGTCTAGGTTAGACAACGCTTGAGTTTGAATGCAAACTTTCCAACTTCTACTAGTTTTGTGACCTTGGGAAGGGAGCTTGTTTTTGCTGAGCCTCAGTTTTCTCATCTAAAGAATTGGGCGAATGATATCTGCCTCATATCCTGAAAGGATTACATAGTGTTATGTATATAAAGGACTATGTACAGAATAACAATAGCTCATCTCTTTGAGTGCTTAGTCTGTAACAGTGCTTTATATTTATCAAAGACTGAGACATGGTAGTTGATAACCCTATCAAATTGTGATAAGCAATCCAATGTTGTTAATCATTACTCTACACATTCAGTACTATAAAGTAGGCACTCGATAAAAGATAGCCACTGTAAGTATTATGTTTATTATCTTTTATTGCATGATCTCGTTAGCAATATTGAGCAACCCACAGAAAAGTATTTTATGAGAAGTCAGAGCATATACCAACACTCCTGATGTAAACCCTTATAACCCCCAACCAGGATGAATGTGTGCCCTTGTTTGCTAGGGTCTATCCCTGGTTGGCCTTGCTATCCTACTGTGAGAGCACCCTCCCCTTCTAACAAAACTGTCCTGATTTAATATAGCCACCTATCCTAACCAGTTCACATTCAAAGCCAAGAATGCACAGAAGACAAAAGGAAGAAAGGGGAAGAAACAACAAGTGTTCATTCTGCAAACATGTCTTCCTCCTCAGGAACACATCCTCAAAAGAGGCTTTGATTTATGTCTTCTGATTCATGGCAGTTGGAGGCGTGGAAGATTTGTCACCTTGGATTTTGAGGGTCTAATTATTTTCACTCTAAAACTATGTCTTCACCTCTGAGGAACGATACAGGGATGGTGTGCGAAGTATCATGTTAATGGGAGGGCTACAAAAATCAATGGCAGGATCAGGGATGGGGGCCATTTAATCTCATTTCTGCAGCTCAAGATGCTAGCACATCCGTCTTTCTCAAGAGTATGCACACAGCTCTATTAGGTGCTGGGCGTGCTATAATTCTACTGTAATTGCAATAACATTATAAATTATTGTCATAACAGCATAGAGTGAGTGCATCAGAGGTCTGGTTCACAGCTTGTGTTTTCTCTATGTGCAACCATTTATTTTTGGAGATGGTACAAGGAGCTGTGAGCATAAATATGTCCGCATTCTCACATCACATGATTAGTCTGCTGTCTGCCTCTCTGAGCAGCTTTGCAAGATCCTGCAATGAACTGAGAGAAGGGAGCTCTGTGTTCTATACTTAGCATTACTACTATTTGTATAACCTTGTGAAGGTCATAGTCCTTCCCTCACTTTCATGGTATCTAAAATGCGTGCATTTAATTGAATCACAGACTTCTAAATTTCAACCAGTTTCTTACCTCCTAATTTCTTGTCCTTTTTGTATATTACATGTAGAATTTAATTTTTTTTAAATATGTGTCTATGCACAATACAACATCATTGTACTTACTGTGTTATGCAAATAGCATGCATGTTGGTGTAGAGAGGAAAAGTAGTTTTCTCCAGGTTTGACTGTTTGGGTGATAGATGGAGACAGAAAGCACAAATGTTTTCTGTTTATTGTGTGCAGTTACAGTCTTTTCTTTGGCTTTCCAAAACTTCTGTTCTAGCTTATTGTCACTCTCATGAGATTTGGTGCCATGTCCTGGAGACAACAGAAAGTTGGTATTAAGAAAGTGCCTCCATTACTTTCTCCTCTGTGTGTCTACCCCATCTCCTGTGCTTTAGAGGTCCTGGGGTGATCTCAACAACACCATAAATCTCCAATCTCTTTTACCTCCCATGGATAACCCTTGAGTCTGCAGGCATTCTTGGGATTCAGCTTCCATAGATTTTGAAATTGAGTTTGGAGGCAAAGTGGTCTTGTGCATGTTTTTCAGGCAGATCCACACTATGCCATCTCTTCCCAATCTTCCATTCTTGTTTTCTGATAGCAGAGGGGCAGGTTTAGAAGTCTATGGTTAGATAACAAATCTAAGAATGAAAACCTCTTCTTGAAAGTATCTCTCCTAATCTTTTCTATAATGCTTATGAAATCTTTCTCCATTGACTTTGAGGAAAGGTAGCATACACCTTCCTCATAATCATTATATTCCCAAAGACAATCTCCATCGCACTCTTTTTTTTCTGTACTGACAACACAGGGGAAGGAGAAAGTGAAGGGAAATGTGTTTTGTTTTTGTTTTTGTTGTTATTTTGGAGGGGCTTATCCTCTAAATTCTAGCTCTGCATAACTTTTCAGGAAGGTGGCAAGCCCCAAACATCAGTGGTTGTCTTAATGAAAAGAGTGTTTTGCTCTTTTGACCTTATTTTTAAGTAGTAGCTAACTTAGCACAGTATCCAGAGTGACACTTGTGAAATAAAATAGAAATTATTTCATATCACTCCTCTGCTTAAAACTCTCCAATGTCTTCCCATATCATTCAGTCAAAGAAAAAGATTTAAAAATGATATTCAAAGCCGTATTTAACCTGGTTCCCATTTTTTTTTCTGTTGGTACTTCCTCCCACTCATTTCTAGCTTCCTGTACTGTGGCCATTCTATACTTCATTGAGTTTTTAAAAAACCAAGACATTTCTGCCTTAGTGTTTTCCATGCTTACCATTTCTTCTGACTGAAATATTTATGTCTTCTTCCTTCACTTCTTCAAGGTCTCTGCACAAGTGTCTGGGAGCTCTTCTCTGACTACCCTAGCCAAGGTAGCAACTCCTCTTTTCCTTGGCATGCTCTATCTCCCCTACTATGTTTTTTTTTTCCAGATAGTTCTTTAATATTATCATTTGATATGTAATATATTTTTGTTTGCTGTTCATCACCCCTCCTTAGAATGAAAGTTCATAAGGGCAGAGATTATTGTTTTTTTTCTTAATTATTGCACACTCAGTAACCAGAACAGTGCTTGGCATATAATAGGCATTCATTAAGTGTGTGGTAATAAAATTGAATACATAAATTATTGAACCAAGACTGTTATTTTTCTTCCTTCCTATTGTGCCTCTATCTAGCTTGTTCTCTTCTTCCTGCTTAAAAAATTACATGCAGTAATTCATGTTATTATAAAATGCTATATAGTGAAAAGCCTTCCTTGGAATCTTCTGACTCATTAAAATTTCTTTGTGCATATACAAGCATTATACATATGTTGGCTCTCCTTTACCTGCTTTCTACTGTTAGGGTTTTTTTCTACTCTTTTTAAGTTTGTTTCTTTCTGTCTTCATCTCTCAGTCTGTTTCTTTCTTTCTTTTGCCTGGCTGCCTGCCTGCTTTCCATCCTTGATATATCTCTCCCCTCCCTCTGTCTCTCTTTTTGTTTTTTCTCTCCTCTTTTTCTTCAGTCCCTTCACTTCCTTTTTGCTTTTCTTCTCTTTATCCTTTATGACTCTTATTGTATTCTCTTCAATATCTATACCTTTTGTTTTCCTTCGATTTTATCTTTGTGCATAAGATGGCTTTGCTTTTTTCTTCTACACCGTTGCTTAGCTATTTTAGCTTAGCTTTAACCTCTTTCTGTTATATATTTTCTAAGATACTACCTTTTTGTTTGTGGTCTTCTTTAATCAGCACAATTGCTTTATATATATTTTGAGTTATTGTCTGTTGTTACCATAATCTCAGCAAATTTAGATGGTCTGTATGATTCTTTGTGAGTTGTGCCTTCTCTGCTTCTCCACCAAACTTGCTCACTTGGTTCTCTTATTGTAACAAAGAAGGGTGATAGCTTTTGCACTTTAGATCATGAACCTCACATTTAGGAAGTGTGTCGTTGCTGATGTTTTCTGAGATTTGACATGCTAGACCTTCTTTTCACTTCCTCCCATCTCCACATTTGCCTTCTACCAAACTCAGTTTTGGCAGCCTTTTTATATATTTGTGAATTTTAGCTGCCTCTTAGTTTAACTAAATATGGAACTTACTGGCTTTAAGAAATGATTCTTGATGTTTTTAAACTGTGATTTCTTTGAAGAGAAGTATAAAATGCCGATTATTTTATTATGTTCATATAAGAAATGCTTATTCCTTGTTTTTGACTGTTTTGATTCTTATTAGAATTCTCTAGAAAGCATATTGGGCAAATTTCCTAATTTTTTAATGTTTTGAGCTTTCTGAAGTAAGAGTATTTGGGGCTTTCATTCCAGGAGTAGGGATAAAAGTTTGTTGAATCAACCACCCTCTTTCATTGAGTCTCTTATGAAAGAGTTGCCTAGAGAGAGAAATGTGAAGACTATGAAAATACAATTCACATCTAAAGAAATTTTGTTTTGTTATTGGGAGAAGTACTGCCAGATCTTACTAATGTTCTTGCTTTATAGAAAGCAATGTTTATTTATGATAATATAACATTACATCAGAGATAGAAGGAACCACAGATCCATCTTGCCTAATACATCAATTGAAAGATGAAGAAACTGAGTAAAGAGTCTGAAATAGACTTGATCCACAGTTCGAAGGCCACAGTGTGGACCAGAAGAAGGTCACATGTAAAAGTAAGTCGGAAGATCTAGGGAAAGTCAGGTTCTAAGACTGTCCAGACTGCATATACCAGTGGGCAGGACAACTGTGTGTATTACAAGTTTGCCTACATAGCCACCTCTTTCTTCATCTTACCTTTGAAAGCTAAAACAGTCAGCTGGATGAAGTAATGATCCTACATAGGAGGCAATGATTATACATAGGAGGAGCCCCGAGTGTTAATCTTGCTCTATTCTTCTCAAATGCATGCTCTAGTGTGTTAGTCTCTCAAGTCTCTTTTTACTTGGAACTACTGAGGCAACCACAGCTTTACATCTGGGCTTGAAGGGTAGGTAAAGCTCCTTGTGCCTTTCCATGCTATGTGTTCTAAGCCCATGTCTCCATCCAAAATAACCAAAGAGCTTATCACTGGAGTATCGGGCAAAAACCCACCTAATTATAATAAAGTGGCATTTCGTTTCTTATTTGCCACTTTCTCTTTTACATACATCTACCTTTCTTAGAGACTTCATAAAAAAAGGTGGGTGGCCCTTGGGGGGATGTAGGTATTCATGGATTCTATAAAGACCATCAATAGTATCCCCAAACAAATTATCAGTACATTTCAGCTATCTGTTCCATTTCTCCCCATTTACCAAAGCTAGTTGAGAAATCTCTATTTTATCATCTATGTGTACAAGCACAGTTTAGCAGGGCACTAGCAGAAATTATCTTCAACTTTAATTGTAGCCACGTAACTACTTAAGCAAAATCACATGTTTATCACTTCCTAATATCTTTAAGTGTTGTTTCAATCTGTGCCACAGATGTACTTTAAGATGTATTGTAGGCTGACCAGGCTGACTTTGGGAATGTTTGGATTATGATTGCATTAAGAGTGCAAGCATGGCTGGGCATGGTGGCTCATGCCTGTAATCCCAGCACTTTGGGAGGCCAAGGCAGGCAGATCACAAGGTCAGGGGTTTGAGACCAGACCAGCCTGGCCATCACGGTGAAACCTCATCTCTACTAAAAATACAAAAAAATTAGCCGAGCATGGTGGCAGGTGCCTGTAATCCCAGCTACTTGGGATTGGGAGGCTGAGGCAGGATAATTGCTTGAGCCCAGGAGATGGAGGTTGCAGTGAGCTGAGATCACATCACTGCACTCCAGCCTGAGTGACAGAGGGAGACTCCTTCTCAAAAAAAAAAAAAAAAAAAAAAAAGAGTGCAAGCAAATAGGCCACAATGGGAATGAACAAAGCAGGAGGACTGATGAGTTCATAATGGATCCTCTCTTTGGTAAGTGAAATGGCACCTGCTCCTCTTTGAACATCACTGGAGCAGATTACTTTTCTTTCCCTCTGTGCATTGTTGAAATCAGGGTTTCTTGATTTAAAAAAAAAAAACAAAAAACAGTTTTGATCCAAACTTTTGAGGGTTAGAATGAAAAGAATGTTTTAGGCAGAGGAAAGTATAGGCAGAGGAGTGCAAGTAAGTGGAAGGATGAATTCAGGATCATCAAATGGCTTGTGTGGCTAGAAGTTCTGAACAGGGAGAGGAAATAGTTGGGGTGAGTCGGGATGGGAGATGGTAATGGGAATGGGCAAGGGCTTGGTTTTGAAAGATGTGGACTGACACATTAGGGATCATGGACATTATTCTTTGGACAATAAAACAGTATTACATGATTTTAAGAATGAGAGTGATATGATTCAGTTCATATTCTGGAAAATTCATTCTTACTAAAATTTTGAGAATGGAATTAAAGGAGATAATATTGGACATAGAATTAATTTTGGAACTATTTTGATAGAGGAATATGACATCAATGATGATGACAGCATGTCAGACACTGCTAATCATTTCCGGTACATTATGTGGGTTAATTCTCATCACAACTCTGAGATAGAGAATATAATTTTCCCTGTTTTATGAATGAAGACATAGAGGTCACACAAAGGCGAAGAGGCTGAACTGAGATTCCACTTCAGTAGGTCAAACTGTAGAGGTTGAATGTATTCTGGAGTTCAAAACACACCGCCTGAAAAAAGCCAGTTCTGTAGCTCATAGATTGCTAGATCAGAAAAGCACCTATTCATTGTATTATTTTGTTTCATCTGTTGACTCTTTCCAACTTTGATTAGCTTAAAATATATCATTTTTTTTTGCAAGGAAATTGTCGATATAAGTGAGGTAACTGACTTGACACTGAAACTTCTCTTATGCATCCCTGGGAGGTTTCCTGTGGAGTTGCAAAGAAGAAGATGAAAATTTAATCCAGTAAAGATTTTCAAATGAAGGGGATTCTTCCTCATATTTATAGAGACTTATGGAAAGTATTGTCCCAGAAGTGTTCTGAAATCCTTGAAGTCAAATGTAAGTCAAACAAATTATACTTAATAGTAGGGCTGATATTCTGCAAATATAGGAAATTTGGTCTGTTTTCCATTTCCATAAAAAAATAAATTAGTGCCCAGTGCTATCACTATTGGCTAAAAATAAGTTTCCTGAATGTTAGGTTCAAAAGGGGTTACATTTTAGATTATAAAATTAGAATACCATTTAGGCATTCAATTTTCACAGAAAATGAATTGTCTTTAACCTTTCAATAACTCTAGGATTTCGTTTCTTAAGATAAAATAAGGAATAGATTACTTTCTCAAAACACCTTAAAATAAATTAGGTTACTCGCTTTCCTTCTTCTCTCCCTGTTTTCCCTCTCCCTTCTTCTCTTCTCCCTTCTTTCCTCTCTTCCTTTCTTCTTTTTCTCCTTCTCGCTCTCCCTCCCTCTCTTTTTATTTAAGAATTAACTAAAAGCCAGGGCAATTCATTTGAGGGGAAAAACAGCTCCTCTTTCTTCCTCCTTTCCCTGTAAAATCTGCTCACTGTTGACAGAATGTTGATTTAGAATTACATTAATTGACAGTGAAAGACTTCATATAATCCTGTTTATATGACCTCCAATAATGTTGAAAGATCAAATAAAAACCCTACTCTGGCAATTTTCCGAAGCCATCATAGACTGTAGCAGAAATGATTTAGATGAACGAACTTCCAGTTTCCACAAAATGTGAATTTGCATTTTATATGAAACCTGCCTCATCAGTCAACCAGCCTGCTCCAAAACGATGACTTCTGTTTGACCAAGTGCCTGCTTTTCTTTATAGGCAGTTTCAAGAAATCCTTAATTATTGTTCTTAACAAACCGCATGTGCTGTTAACTTCTCTAGATGAATGATCACGAAGTTGTAGCGTCATTATTCAAGAGGGACACCAGTTTCAATGTCAGTGGCAACATCCTTCACTAACACCCTTGGCAATAACCCTTAGTTTTGGCTGGGCCCGGTGTCTCACGCCTGTAATCCCAGCACTTTGGGAGGCTGAGGCAGGCGGATCACGAGGTCAGGAGATCGAGACCATCCTGGCCAACATGGTGAAATCCCGTCTCTACTAAAAAAAATACAAAAATTTAGCAGGGCGTGGTGGTGGGCACCTGTAGTCCCAACTACTCGGGAGGCTGAGGCAGGAGAATGGCATGAATCTGGGAGGCGGAGCTTGCAGTGAGCCGAGATCCGCCACCGTACTCCAGCCTGGGCGACAGAGCGAGACTCTGAAAAAAAAAAAAAGAAAGAAAAAAAAAGAAAAAAAAATAACCCTTAGTTTTAGCAGAGGTCATCTTAACCTTTTAACATGTAGATATTGAATAAAAACTGAGTAAGGTCTCTGAAGGATGGTCTAAAAATGCATAATGGAATTTTAGAGAGTATTGACTTATATTTGACTTGGGGCACATCTTTTCTTCATTTTGTATGATCTATACATTTGCTTATGCTGTTTATATAACTTCAACATACTAAGCTGCTTATGTAACCTTCAACCTTTTCTCTTCTACTCTCGAAATAATACCTTTGAGGGTCAGATGCTATTTTTTGTGTTGTCTTTGGAAAACAGAGTATAGTGTTCTATGGTCTGTCTTCAGGTTTCTTGAATGAAACTTTATTTCATTCTCTTTACTCTTTACCTATGTGACATCTCAGGACTGCTTTTTGATGTAACAAGAAGTGCCATCATTTTGAAAACCAATTTAAAACTAGAGAAATAGACATATTTTTGGTTGTGATTCCATGAATATGTTCTTATTGGTAATGTCCAATACTGAAGTTTCTGGATGCAGAGTTTGAACAGAACAGTATTTGGAACATATTAGATATCAAATAATATTTGCTTTATGGTTGAATAAATATGAAATCCTAGGGCTTTTTCTTTATTTACTTTTTCTACTTCCCAGACACTAAGTACTATCCTTGCATATAACAGAAAATTACTGTTTTTACACTTTCACCTAAATGTTTTCTTGCCCAATAAGCTGTGGCTAAAACCTATTCAAACTTACATTTACATCCCAAATACACTGGCTCGGGACAACCCCACCCACACTTTTGCTTGTTGGCTGCTCAATAAAAAATTTAAACCACTGTCAAAATGCCCCATTGTTTTGGAAAATTTTTAACAAGGTGTGTCACACTTGCCATCAAACTAGCCTCAGTTGTAAGTTCCATGCTGGATCCACCATGTTGTCCTCCTATCCTGGCTCCCTGTGGCTAGAAAAAAAAAAAAAAAAGCAATCATGTTTGTAAAGTGACTCTAGAAGTTCCTCATTAAATATCTGTAAAATGAATAGTTGTTGCTTATGAGGCTACTTGAAGCCAGATCAATGCTGCCATTGATAACAGTGTCCATCTTTAGAACATCAACGTCAAGTCTACAGAGCTAGCTCTTAAAAGTCCTCCTCAGACATTTTGTCCTGCATCACTGGTCTGGATGGAAAATATACATAAACATATTACTTGGCAAATTTATTTAGCCTTGAATCTGTTTTTCTTGATGCATTTAAACTGATGGTGGAAGGAATTGATTGAACCCTGTAAAAAAGAGGGAGGCAGGTTGAAACATGTAAATTCAAGAATAAGAGCTGGTGCCAATAAAATGCTATGGCAAAACAAAGACTATTTCACATCCTGTCATTCTGTGAGCAAAGGGATCTGGAGTAGATTGATTCAGAAATTGGAAAAGGGTGGAGAATGGGTTCAATCCACCAACCAGGAGTTCTGAAATTGAAAAAAAAAAAAAGAGAGAGAGAGAGAAGTCTTTAGATGTGTACATGTGTTCAAGAAGTTTTGGATTTCTGCTGGTTTGTTAGCCAATAAAGATCTGGCACTGATCTTCCCCATCCTGGGAGCAATGAGGACCCACCCTGGCATCAGTGAAGGAGCACCATTTCCTGCAGGGATTGGCTCTGGTGTGCTAGGAACAAACAGTGCTAGGAATCAACAGCAAAATATGTGCAAATGAGATGGAAATAATGGAAGTCAGTGATGTGGGTGGCAGAGGGCCATTGTTTTAGACAGAGTTGCAAGTGATTGAACAAATCTAGGGTGTGAGCCATGGAGATGTCTGGGAAAACAGTATTCTTGGTAGAAAGAATGTTATGTGTAAGAAACTCAAGGTGAGGGTGGTCATGGTTGAAATAATAGTGATCTCACAATCTTATGGGGCTACTGTGAGGATAGCATGTAGCAACATATGTGAAAGGGCCGGGACAATGGGGCTTAGTCATTTCTTAATAAATGAATGTGGAAAAATGAGAATTCACACTTGCTGATTTTTGAAGAAGTAAAACATAATAAATATATACCTACAGCCAGATTATATGAAAAACAATTGAATCCTTCAATGATTCAAAAGCTGTACACTTCAGAATCTCATCAGAGTTGTCTCTCATTAGAGCTGATGTTGGCTGTCAATGTTCAGAACTGTGGAAAGAAAGTCTGATTTATAAGAATCTGTAGCAGGTGGCCGGGCACAGTGACTCACATCTGTAATCCTGGCACTTTGGGAGGCCAAGGTAGCTGGATCATGAGGTCAAGAGATTGAGACCATCCTGGCCAACATGGGGAAACCTTGTCTCTACTAAAAAATACAAAAAATTTAGCCGGGCATGGTGTCAGGCACCTGTAGTCCCAGCTACTTCGGAGGCTGAGGCAGGGGACTCACTTGAACCCCAAAGGCAGAGGTTGCAGTGAGCCGAGATCGTGCCACTTCACTCCAGCCTGGTGACAGAGAGAGAGCAAGACTCTGCCTCAAAAAAAAAAAAAAAAAAAAAGAATCTGTAGCAGGTGTGGATTCTGAAGTAAGAAAAATCATGTCATTTAGATCATTATCATATTAGTCAGAGTACATAGGAGTAGCTGCTATAATAAGCAATCCCCTAAATGTTTTCTTCTCACCATATAATTCAGTGCAGATCTTGTTTGTCAGTTAACTCTTCTCCAAATGGTGATTCAAGGATGGAGCCTCTTGCCATTTTGCATTCCTGCCGTCTTCAACATGCAATCGTTGTAGAAAGAGAAGAGAAATATGAACATGCATATGAAACTCCTGGGAGGTGAGGGGCACCTCACCTATGCCTACATTCCATTGTCCAGACCCCTTATATGGCCCCACTAAGGTGCAAAGGGGCTAGAAAACATAGTTGTCCTCAATATCTGGGAGGAAGTAAAGTATTTGGTAAATACATAAGAACACAATTTCTGTGCACAGACTTTATAGTCATTATCTCATTTACATCTGTGAGGTAGAAGCTATTATTTCAATTTATTTCCTGTGAGGGCACAGATAAAAGTTTATAGAACTAATGAGTGTCACACAAAGATCCTATCTCAGACCTATATGACGCTAAGCTAAGTATTTTTCCACTCAAATAGTAATAGTCACTAATTACTACCTTATACTTTGTTATAAGCAATAGGGTATAACATCAGAAAGGCTTGACAGAGCAGAATCCTGGGGCATCTTTCTGCTGTGTCCTTCAGTAGCTTGGCAAATTTGGGAAACAACCCTGCATTCTCACATGTCAGTTTCCTCATAAGAAATGGGACTACTCAATCCTCAAGTTCCCTCCTAAACTGAAAATTCATTTTTTTCTCATTTTTTAAAGTATGTCTATTGGAGAATTACTTCTATGTTCTTTTAATGGTCCTTACAGGTACTACAGAATATTGGAGAAAATGCTCCCTTAGAATTATATCCATACAGAATACTCAGCACCTTCTAAATTCCCTGATCCTCTCTTCCTCTTGGAGAATTGTCCATTTGTGAGCAGACCCCACTGTCAAAGAGCAGCTGATTCCTGTTGGTTTAGGGAAGCGTCTAGTGTGACTTGTGTTCAGCAACCCCTTGTCTCTTTTCCAGAGCACCCTGGGAATATAACTTGCCAAATCGCTTTCACCCTAAAATTGGCATGAAATGTGCCCATTCGGGCTTCAGAGAGGCTTAACTAATAAAGCAGGAGGTTGCTGAGGAAAAGCAGATACTTGTGCTACTCAGGAATTCCATGTGCCAAGAACCCGCCCCTCCTGGCTCCCTGGGGGAAGCTGAGGTTTTACAGATTTAAAGTCAAAGCTGCAAGTATGGCCCTCAGCCAGCTTCCTGGAAAGGGAATAAAAGTCTCCATTAGAATTTTTTCCCACTTCTCTTCACCATCTCTTCTACATCTGGCTGGAGCAGAACTTGCTTTCTCCTCCTCTACTCCTCCTCCTCCTCCTCCACTCCTCCTCCCCATCTTTCTCCTCCTCCTCCTCCTCCTTCTCTTCTTCTTGTTTTGTCAGAAAAAAGGAGGCTGTTCTTTGTTCACAGGAATGACGAACAGTGGCAAGAAATGATGTCAAATGATAAAAATGCCACCAAGATAAGATGGTAATTTTTGCAAACCCGGGCCTGAAATGGGTGACAAGTTTTCAGAATGTACTTTTTAAAATTGTTTTTTCAGAATATTTCAAGTGCTGGGGATGCTAAGGATGAGGGGGAGACATCATCAGAACCAGCCAGGGAGAGCACTAGCTGGCTACAATTTTTCTGTAAGCCCAGGGTGGTCTAACCCTTTCATTCATTTATTTCAAACACTTTTATTGAGCACCTCTTCTATATCAGACATTGTGGCTGGTAACGGGACAACAGCCGCTTAATGGTCCCCCTACTTCTTCTTGTTCCTTTTCACCCTTTAATCCAGTTTTCTTCCCATATAGAGGTCAAAATGTCCTTTTAAAATACAAAAATCAAAGGTCACTTGCCCAAGAAAAACCTTTCAACGGCTTTTCACTGCACTTACAACCATCAAAACTCTACCTGTCTCAGCTGTCAAAGCCCTGCCTGGCCTGGCCTTGTGTCTATTCTGTACTTATCTTGTCTCTTTCCAGACTCCCTGTTTCTTACCATTTTCCATCATACAAGCCTCCTCTTAATTCTTTGCACACATCACGTTCTTGCCAAAGCAGGACTTTTGTGCTTTCTATTCCTACTACCTGAATGTTCTAGGCCCAATTCACTGTGGGCCTGGATCCTTCTTTTCCTTTAGGTCCCTGCTTAAATTCTACCTCCTCCAAGAGCGATTTCTGACCACCTGTCTGTGCTGGTTGGCTTTGACCTATGTCCTATACTATATCGTTCATTTATTTTCCTTCCTAGGAGTTACCACAATCCATAATATTTAACTTGTTTATTTGTTTGTTTTCTGGCTCATTGACTATTTCCCCTATTAGAATGGAAGCTGTCTTACTTTTTCAATGTGCATACGGTGCCGAAGAAGGTCTAGGCAAAGCCTTGTCCCTGTTGCTGTCAAGCCACTAAGGAGACAGGTGTTTCAAGGCACAACCCAAATACAGGGAGAAGTGCTTAGGTGGCCAAGGAAGGCTTCACCAGTACAATGAATTTTGACCTGGGCTTTGAATACTGAGTGGTTTGCTGATGGAGAATGTGGGCTACAGCTTTTCCATGTGTTGAATAATGAAGGGAGTGTTTTGTGTGGTGTGCAGTGTGCAGCAGCTGAAGGAGGGAGAGAGATATTCGCAGACAGCTGCGGGCAGATCTCACAGCATTTGGATGATGCAAAGTGGAGAGTGTGTCAACCTCCCCTAATACCTTGAATCTAGGGAAAAAGTGTATTCCTCCAGCTGCTGACACTCAGTGAGAGAGTGACGCCTCTATTGAAAGTCGTCTCCTTGGTGTGCTTCTGAAGGAGAAGACTCCACTTAACTATAATTAATTTCTTGCCCTCAATATTGTCCCCAATTATATCCTTCACGTGACTTTAAACCCATGCTTGGGTATCTTCGAGCAATGTGGAAGAAAGGGACAAAGAAGACTTGCCATTTTTATTTTATGCTTCATTAATGACTTTCAAATATGCCTTTTGAAGAAGAATCAAACTGTCATTACTGTTGGATTAAGGGCGGCTTAGAGTGATAGGATGGTGCATATGCTTTTAGCAAGTCAGGATTGAGTCTGCTGCCCCAGAGTGGGCCTGAGTGCCCTGCAAGTGCAAAGTTCTGTGAGAACCACAGTGTGAATGGGAAGTCGTTGCTGCAGGATTTGCATTTTCTTCACAGAGGACCAGAGGTGGTAGAATAAACTGGGTCTGTCCCAAAATAGTAAACTGGAAGGTCAAAAAGGATTTTCCAGGATTTTATTTGGTATCATTACCTGTTAGCACTGACTGGTGAAATTTTGCTTTTTATGAAAGCCATTTAGGCAAACTAATGTGTTTTTGGAATTGCAAGTAGAGAGGCTGGCTAAGGAGAGTGAGGAAGTGTTACCCACTGGTTATTAGGTGAATTTGAATCAGACAGACCTGGGTTTGCTTTTTGGTTCTGTCCCACTTCTAAGTTGTATAATTTTGGCAAAATTATATAACCTCTCTGAGCTCCGGTCTTTCTTTTGTAAAACTGGAGTAATAATTCTTATCACAGAGAATTATAAATGCTAAAGAGATAATGCACACAAGATGCTGAAGATTGTATCTGGAATACAGTACACATCCATATAGATTAGTGAATTATTATTCTTTGTTACTCCTACTATTACTAGAATGATTTCTATATATATTTACTAGACTATAAAGTGTGCACAGGCAGAATCCATATCTAATTCCTTTTTTATCTCCCATAGCAGCACGATAACTAGCACATAAATAGCTCTTGACAAATATTTATGGAATGATTTTTAATTATTAACACATTATCTTAAGTTATTAATACTTGCTTAGTGATTTTAATTATTATTAAATTATTTGTTCAAGAATCATTTGAATACATTCTTTTTTTTTCTCTTGTACTCATTTTTTTTTTAATGGATTTCAGCCAACCTCTATGGAAGAAGGAAGAGAGGGGGAAGCAATATTTTTATGTGGTTGAGAATAGGGGCTTTGGAACTAGCCAGTTGGATTAGAGTCCCTGCTATGTGGCTTTCTAGCCTCAGATTTTTCATCTATATAATGGGATGATACTTACAATAGCTACAATCATATATAGCTCCTAGGTTTGTGGTGCTAAGTACTTAACCTATGTTATTTCATCAAGTCTTACAAACACCTTGTGAGGGGTGAACATACCAAGGTAAGACTGGATGAGAATAGCAAAGTGCCTGGTTCATAAAAGAGGCCCAATGTCAATTAGTTTCATCTCCTTCTCCCTTCCTCCATTTACTAGACACTGAGGTGCAGACAGGTTCTGGACCAAACTGCTGACTGGCTGGGCTGGGCTTCCAAGTTCATCAGCTGAGTCCCAAATCCACGCCATTTCCACATGGCCCTTGAGTTTCCATCAGAGACAAGTGGGGAAGTTATCTTTGCATGTGTATGAACCCCTCTGTTTCTTAGCTAGAAGCCATCTTCATTTAGCTGTCTGGAGGCCTTGCAGAACGAGTCAGTCACATGCCTGCTCCAGGGCCATTTTCCAGGTGACAGAGACAAATGCCATACTTGGCCAGGATATAAAGATCCTCCTGGACCAGCAGCCCCTATCAATGTACTTTGCCGTTTTGTCTATGAAGGAGCCAGCATTTCTGACCAGTAGCTTCTTTATGGGCAGTGGCTAGCTGTGCAATTGGTTTGAGGTCTCACTGAAGCTACTTTGCCTCTTTTTAAATAGCCAATGTTAGGGCATTGCTGAAAAGCCAGAGCTGAGTCACCTTCAATGCAAGCTTCTTTTGTGTCTGCAGCTTCTTGCCAGAGAGGCTCTATCTGATTTTCTGATGCAAGAAGCTGCAAGCTTCTTTCTCTGCCACAATGTCATCCTGTTGGCTGGCTCCATCCATAAAGTTCAACAAACCAGTTCAACCTGGAGAGAGAGAGGGAGAGAGAAGATTTAGACTCTAGGCTGAAACCTGAGTCCTCCAGGTAATGGCAAACAACTGCCATGACTAGGCAGAGTGAGAAAGTCTCATTTGTAATCTGCCTTCCTGCCTTCTCATCTTGCAGCTACTATTCATTTTTGAGCTGGAAGACTTTACCTCAAGCAAGAGTTTTGACTCCCTGCCTTAAGCCTTTGTTTCTGCATCTGTAAATTGATGACTATGATTGCTTAACTCACAAGATAGTTGGGGGACTAAATTATCTAACAGAAAAAAGGAACTCTCCCGGGCCCCTGACTGACACCTCAGACTGTGCTGGGCTCTTGTGTTGAATGCTTTCATTGGCCACTACATTCTCCCTCCTTAAAACCCTTCATCCAAATTATGCAATTCATTCTGCTTCTTGCTTTATATCTGTCATCCTTTCTAAAACATCCTTCCATTAGACTGGAAGCTGTTTTACTTTTTCACCAGTGAATAGGGTAACAAAGAAGGTCTAGGTAATGCCCTGTCCCTGTCACTGTCAATCCACGAAAGAGGCAGATGTTCCAAGGCACAGCCCAAATTCAGGGTGATAATTTCAGTGCCAGAGGGAAGCAGGACATTATGGAAGAAGTGCTTAGATGGTCAGGGAAGGCTTTATCAATAAGGTGAAGAACAGGAGATCTAATTGTGTTGGGGCTACGTCAGGCTCACTCACTGCTCTATGTGGGCTATCTAGCTGAGAACCTGGCAGCCATTTGGGGGTGCAATAAATATTTGTTGAATGATTAAGCTACAAATTATTTAAACAAACTTCTAACTGGTTTCCACCAGTCCCCTGCATACAGCTTTGCCCCTCTCGAAACCATACATCTCAGAGGTGATAGAGCAATCTTTATAAAGCAAACATCCAGCATTTCCTTCCTTTCCTTAAGCCCTGCTATTCTCTCTAGAGTCAAGGAATCATGTAGCTCCCCATTCTCACTCACTGGTCTTTACTCTTTGAATTTCACTTCTTGTCTTCTTGGTGTATTTGGGTACCCACAGGACACCGGGACACTTAGAGCATATTCGTTCTTTTACATAAGATTCTTTTTCCTGACTGAAATCTCCTCTTCACTCTGGTTATTCTTGGAGAACTGCTAGATGTTTACCACCTCCGTGAAGTTTTCTCCAACCAGACAGCCAAGTAGTATTGACTACTCCTTTCCTTGTATCCCCAGCTTTATTAGACCTTTCATTTCCTAATTGCCAGTCACATATTTGTCTTCCCTCAAAAAGATGGCACATTCCAGAGGGGCATGGTATACGTAGGAATGGTAGTCAGGTAGATAGGAGTGGAGGAGGGAGGCAGGAACCATAATGATGAGTGTGCCCTTGTGAGGGTGAATGAATGCTCTGGGTGAGAGGACTGGAAAGATGGTTGGACAAGTTTGCATCAGAAATGGTGGCATTTTTAATCCAGGGCAAATGCAGGGCACTCTACATCTGTCAGGTCACCTGCAGCAGCAGCAACTGAGACTGAGTCCCGAAATAGACTGCACAGCAGGCGAAAGTGTGTGTGCCAGTGCTCCCTTCGCCGAATACTGGCACATGGCCCAGCATCAGGCACATATCCAAATTAGGCTTGAATTCCCTCCGTAAGCAAACAGCAGGACAAGGAACACAAGTGCTTGCTAAGTTTGAGTGGATCAATGCTTTTTGTGCTAGAGATGGCCTAAAGCAGCTCTAGGATTCAGCCAGGTCCCCTTGCTGAATCAGCTGGGGGCTCAGTGGTAGTGCTGCATGTGTGTGACTGGAGTTCTGCCTCTGACTTTAGAGAACTGTTTATTTATATCCCCTAATATCCATCTGGATTCTGGATAGTTTGAAGTATAAAATAGAAGTGAAGGGCATGGTAGAAAGAGCCCAGGCTTTGCATTTTGATGGAGGTGGGTTTTTCCTTCTGAGTAACCATGACGAAGCCACTTAACTTTCTGAGACTCAGTTTACTATTCTATGAAATGGAAATAATTATGGTACCTGGGTTATAGGTGATACTGTAATGTATCCCTGTGTTTAGCGCTTAACATAGAGCAGGTTCTCAACTGGGGGCAATTTTGTCCTCTAGAGGACATTTGCCAATTACTAGCATTTTTTATTTTCACAACTAGGAAATGTTATGGCATCTAGCAGATAGAGGCCAGGGTTGCTGCTGAATATCCTAAAATGCACAGGACAACTCCTCACAACAAAGAATTACCTGACCCCAAATGTCAACAATGCTGATGTTGAGAAAATCTGCCTTGGAGTAAGCTTGGCCATCTGGAGGCACTAAAAAGTGTAGCTATTAAAATATAATTATAATATCTTTCCCACTTACATGTACTGAGTATATATTTAGAAAATCTGGAAGAAGCTATGGTGCATTAAGAATGACTATAATTTCTTTGGCACTCCACCCATTAAGAGGTGGGGTCTCTGTTGTCTGTCCTTGAACCCAGACAGGCTCTGCAATTGCTCTGAACAACAACAACAATATGACAGAAGTGATGCCATGCTAGCTTATAAAACTAGCAGTTTCCTCTTTCTGCCTTTTGGAACACCTTCTTTGGGAATCTCAAGCTAGCATGTCTGAAGTCTGACTTCCTAAGAGCACCATGCTGGAGAATTCAATTGTCAGCGAACCCATTGACAGTCCCAGCTGACTCCAGCCTTCCAGCCACCTCAGCCAAGTCACCAGCCATGTAAATAAACCTCTTGGACTCTCCACAGCAGTCCATCCAACAACTGAATACCACTGGTGAAGTATTGTAGTCAACATCCCACTGAGAAGAATTGCCCAGTTGACTCTTGCCTGCATTGCTGCTCCAAAATATTGGAATATATAATAAAATGGTTATTATTTTAAGCTATAATGCATTGGAGATAATTTGTTTTGCACCAATACATGACCAAACAGAAGTAACAGATGTCCTCAGGTAATTTATGATGTCTTGAAAAGACCTCATAACTAAAAAAGAGAAAAATGAAAAACCAAATATTTGTATTTAAAAAATGTTAAGATACATTCATTAAATGGAAACTAATACAGAGTTCTTGAAGTTTACTGAATTGGAATCACGGAAGCAGATTTTCTCAACATCAGCATTGTTGACATTTGGGGTCAGGTAATTCTTTGTTGTGAGGAGTTGTCTTACTCTTTAAAAGACTTTGGGCAAGCTTCTTAACCTCTAGAACATTAGCATCTCTAACTGTACCTGTTGATAATAATATCTGCTACATGAAGTTATTCTGAAAGTTCCACTGGAAAATAGATATAGAAAAGTTCCTAATGCAAGTATTAGCACAAAATTAGTACTTGTTAAATGTTTGCTAAATTTAAATAACTTTAGAAGTTAGTAAGTAAAGGATTAGCAAGAATTTTTGTTATGGGGGAAAACACACAGGAGGTGTAAACCTTGAGCTAAATTATAAATTGTTATAATTTCAAACTGTTTCTTGCCTTGAAATAGGCAACATTTTAATTTGCAGTTGTTTGTACATGAAGAAATGCTACAGTTCTGTCTGGTGAGTGGCCTCAGGTGACTATCCTAAGAATACATTTGTGTATGGGTTAGGGGCATTCTGAAATATAATTCTATCTATGGACATACAGGGCTTCAGTCAGAGAGAGAAATAAAGACCTGGTAACTGGGTATACAATGGAAGCCAAATTTCAATGATAAACTGTTGATCACTCAGAAAAAAATCCTTCAGTGCTTAAGGGGCAAAACTAGCAAAATGGATTTAGCAGCTCAATGCAAACATTAGAGGGAGTGGGAGTCTTGGTGCTGTTTCAGTGCAGTGACTATAATATTTAAACAACCAGGTTGGAAAGGTACTTGCATATGGGAAGAAAATGGTTTCAAATCACTCTGAAGGTCTGAGCAATCCTGTTGTGGGACCTTCTTTGAAAAGAAAATCATGGGAGCAAAAAGTATTTCCTTACAAGAGAAGAAAGAGCACAACATTGTCTGAGCAGCAGTAGCTCTGGAGTGAGCCAATGCAAGAGGCTGGGTCTGCAAAGAGCACTGAAAGCATTGACCTCCCCAGATGCATTAGAAAGGGCCCAAGGCAGCATGGAAATTGATGTTGGTGACTCTTGAGCCAAAGACCTAGGGAGAGCACTAAGCAAAAAGAACAAAGCTAGAGGCATCATTTTACCCAACTTTACACTATGCTGTAAGGCTACAGTAAGCAAAACAGCATAGTACTGGTACAAAAACAGACACAAAGACCAATGGAACAGAATAGAGAACAAAAAATAAATGCATACACCTATATCCATCTGATCTTTGCAAAGTCAACAAAAATAAGCAATGGAGAAAGGACTCCCTATTCAATAAATGGTGCTGGAATAGCTGGCTAGCCAAATGTAGAAGAATGAAACCGAACCCCTATTTTTCACCATATACAAAAATGAACTCAAGACAGAATAAAGATTTAAATGTAAGACCTCCAGCTACAACAATCCTAGAAAAACACCTAGGAAATACTATTCTGGACATTAGTGTTGGGAAAAAATTTATGGCTAAGTTCTGAAAAACAATTGCAACAGAAACAAAAATTGACAAGTGTGGCCTAATTAAACTGAAGAGTTTTGCACAGTAAAATAAATTATCAACATAGTAAACAGACAACTTACAGTATGGGAAAAATATTCTCAACCTACATATCAGAAAAAAGTTTAATATCAGAATCTATAAGGAACTTTAAAAATTCAACAAGCAAAAAACATATAACCCCATTAAAAATGGGCAAAAGACATGAACAGACACCTCTCGAAAGAAACATACAAGTGAGCAACAAACAAATGAAAATATGTTCCACATCACTAATCATCAGAGAAATGAAAATCAAATCACAATGACATATTATCTCCCAGTAGTCAGGATGGCTATTATTAAAAAGTCAAAAACAACAGAAGCTGATGAGGCTGTAGAGAAAAGGAAATGCTTATACATTGTTGGTGGGAATGTAAACTACTTCAGCCACTGTGGAAAGCAGTTTTGGGATTTCTTATAGAACTTAAAACAGAACTGCCATTTGACATAGCAATCCCATTACTAGGTATATATCCAAAAGAAAATAAATTGTTCTACCAAAATAAAACAAAAAACATATGCACTGTGTGTTGATCACAGCACTGTTTAAAATAGCAAGGACATGGAATCAACTTTGGTGCCCATCAGTGGTGGACTGCATAAAGTAAATGTGATATATATATACACCATGGAATACTGTGAAGAGAAAAAATTATACAATCATACTTTACAGCAAAATGGATGCAGCTGGTAGCCATCATTTGAAGTGGATTAACCCAGGAACAGAAAACCAAGTACCACATGATGTAGTTTGGATATTTGTCCCCTTCAAGTCTCATGTAAAAATCTGATCCTCAGTGTTGGAGGTGTGCCATGGTGGGAAGCGTTTGGGTCATAAAGCTGGATTCCTCACAAATAAGATATTTCCCTCCCCATGGTAATTAATAAGTACTCACTAGTGTGGTTGTTTTAAAAGAGGTACACCCCCTTCCACCTCTTGCTCCTTCTCCCGCCATGTGATATGCTTAGTCCCCCTTTGCCTTCCACCATGATTGTGAGCTTCCTAAGGCCCCCACCAGAAGCAGATGCTGGTGCCATGTTTCCTATACAGCAGACCCATGAGCAAAACCGTGAGTAGAACCATGAGCAAAAATAAATGTCTTTTCTTTGTAAATTACTTAGTCTCTGGTATTCCTTTATAGCAACACAAAACTGCCTAACAGAGAGCATGTTCTCACTTCTAAGTAGGAGTTAAACATTAGGTATTCATGGACATAAAGATGGCAACAGTAGATACTGGAGACTACTAAAAGAAGGAGGGAGGGAGGGGGACACAGGTTGAAAAACTAACTATTAGGTACTATGCTCACTACATAGGTGATTGGATCATTCATACCCCAAACCTCAGCATCACACTATGTACCCCCTAAATCTAAAATAAAAGTTGAAATTATTTAAAAAAATAGAGGAAATGAAAAGCAGAACACATACCAATGAAACCATGGCTAGAAAAGAGGTGGGCTTTGCCTCTACTTGATTACACATCCTGGTACATGCCTTCCTCCACAGAGGTGAGCCTAATTCCATGCCTTCCCTGGCTGTGTCTGCATTTCAAGTTCTGCCGTCAACTTCTTCTAGCATGCAGCGCTCATCTTTGTTTTGCTACAAAAAAGTTTCCCCTGGATTTTCTTACCATTTCTTTTCCCTAGTTGAATAAGAGCAGGGTAATTTGAAGATAAAAATCTAGGACTTTTAATAAATGCACAAATTTATAAGTATCAAATCTTAGAGCTATGATTTAACAACTTTGTCACTTTGGGAAAGTCAACAAAACTTTCTGAACCTTGCTTTATTCATCTGTGAAATAGAGATAGTAAGTCTTTTCCACAGCTATGTTGAGGAAACAGACATTAAAATACTCTGCAATATTATTTAGAGAGTCTTTGGATGAATATTTTCTTATCTACTGCCCAGTCTAACCTAGAAAGGTCAGATTAAGAACTCAGCATCATAGAAGTCAGAATTATTAATTATACTTGAACTTATACCCCTTTAAAGGTTTATGTCAGGTTATTTTTGGGCTGAGAAATTCCAAGATATTGGGGAACGTGAATATGAGCCATGGTGATTTGGAACTGTGTGGTCTTTCTCAGTAACTACCAAGGGACCAAAGGAAGACAGAAAATAAGGGTACAGGAAGCTCTTTACCTCTTTTCAGAGTGTTCACAATCATTATATGATTTGAGCCTTAAATTTATTCTGAAGCAGGAACAGGAGAGATTACTATTGTTTCCCCAGTTTACAGGTGAAGGCAGTGAGCCAGAGAGAGTCTAAGTTTAATACCTGCTTAATATACAAGCTTTGGGGCATGAAAACACTTGCCAGAATGTGGTCCATCTGTCTTTGTTCTCCTGAATACGTAAGTACAGGTCAAAAGGAAGGGGCTAACATCTTCTAAAACGACAAATATGCCCATGGAAATAAAAATGTTTCCGTTTAATCCTTATAACGACCCTTCAAAAAGCCATTATCATCTCCATTTTATTGACCATAAAAACTAAGGCTCGGTGAGGCTAAGGTAATTTACAACCCACCACCGCTATGCAGCAAGAATGTGGCAAAACTTGAATTCGAACTCAGCTCTTCTGTTCAAAGCCTATGCTCCTTTTCCCCAGTGGGCCTCCTATATGTCCAGTATTTCATGCCAACAGGGTACTATTGCATATCTAAAACAACCTTCTGAATTTTTTTTTCTCTAATAAAATGACAAGGCCCTCAGCAGAAAGATATTTCAATGGCAAATGGTAAATCTCACACCCGCTGGCATTTCTCTTTGCTCTGTTAATTTAGTTCTTGAGGGAAAAAAAAAAAAGAAGGTTACAATCAGCGATTTTACCACAAGAGTGGAACTGACACCCTTAGCCAGCTGTGACCGAGTGATCCATTATTCATGGAGCACGCTGGCTCCATTCCTCACCTGCCCGTCACTGCCTTGCATTTCTATCCATCCTTTAGGAATGTTTTCATCCATCCTTTAGGAATGTTTTCAGATCGCTACCACACAGAGGAAGCCCGTCAGTCTTGTTATGCCTAACAGGCATCCCTTGTCTCACTCTAGTTAGCTCAGAAGGAAGCAAATCTTGTCAATTTCAATGTCATATAAAAGATCTTTTCATTGTGGTTGTCATTAACTGAAGACGTTTCTCACTGTAACCCAAAACTGAAGTATTCTATGTGATTTTAGGCAACTTGGAAGCAAGTAACAGTTAAAAAAGAAGCCCTAGCAAGGGAGCCAGTAGTTCTAAATTTCAACTGCTGTGGCTGAGGTGATGTTTGATTATGGCACCCATGTGAGGACCACAGGGAGGGGAACTCAGTCAAGAAGAATAGACTAAATCATATTAAATATAGTGTTGTTTCTTTTTTGCCTAAAGCCATGGAGATTGACAAAATCTCTGTCAGCAGTGAGAAAGACTTCATTTTGTAGGTTGAAGCAAAAAATATAACATTTACTGAGTATTATTTTTGTAAGGTTCTAATTTGGGGCATTCCCCAGGTCCTATCCTCCTTAATCCACCAACAATTCTTTGCTAAAGAGGAGGTTACTGGAAAATAGATAAGTGAAGTAATTTGATTAAGGTTCTACAACTAATAAATGGGAGAGTTTTGAATCTATACCAAAACTTGCAACTCGAAGTCCAGTTCTCTTTTTACTACACATATGGTGTTCATGGACAGTCTCAGAAACTTAACAGCAAACATGACACAGAAAAGTATTAGCAGAGTTTGTTGGACCAAAGAGGGAGGACAATAACACCCTGGGCATTTATAGGAGTTCAAGTCAATGTTATTAGTAATTAAAAATAGCAAGAGCTGGGATAATAAAAACAAAGACAGTTGAGTTCAAGGTATATGACCTTTGAGCTGAATGACTGAGTGCTGGCTGACTGCAGAGGGGCTGCCTAAGAACTCTTTGTAGTAAGCTCTCATAGAAGGAAGTGGTCCTAGATTTGTATATAGATATGAGCTGAGACTAGTGTGGATGGAGAAAGCAGAGGACAGAACCAGGCAACAACAGGAGGAGGATCTAGAGCAGGAATTAAAAGAGAATCTACCTCAATAAATGCTGGCTGAAAATTTCTGTAATGCCAAGTGAGGAGGGAGTGAGGGAGCTAATAATGTATTTGGACTTGATTTACAC
Source organism: Homo sapiens (assembly GCF_000001405.40). Taxonomy (NCBI): domain Eukaryota; kingdom Metazoa; phylum Chordata; class Mammalia; order Primates; family Hominidae; genus Homo; species Homo sapiens. Next base: position 128,437,146 of record NC_000008.11, read on the forward strand.
ATTTAATAGCTCGTTCTTCAGCGCTAAATTTATGACAGATTGTGAAGCTACCAAACAAACAACCCAAAAGGTTTTGTCCTTACTGCATACAAAATACAGGTATATATCTGAGCTCATGTAAATATTTGGGTTTCATTTTTTTATGTAACATTATATAACTTTACATATATATATATATGCTTATACATATATAGAGATATGTGTAAACATTATAGAATTAACTCTCTTTCTCTCTCTCTCTCTCTCTCTGTGTGTGTGTGTGTTTATGTGGTGGTGGGGATGGTAGGGATGGTGGAGTTATGATTTTTTTCAACCAACCCTTCTGTTAGGTTTTTTAAACCCTAAGTAAGAGAATCCAAGATACTACTAAAAAGTAGAATCTCTGTCAAGCGGATTCAACTATCATTTTAATTTACCTTTTTGATGACTAGAGTGGATCAGTAGTCATCTGTCTCTAAGGACAGTTCTTATTTGAATATGGAAGCTCTTACACGGTCATTTGAGATAGCAGTCATCAACCATCAGAGGCTGTTTGGTTCAGCTGGTTAAACATTAATGTTGAAGCCAGATTGGAGGTTTCAGGATCTGGGTGGGTCTGTAGCTCTATCACTTGTTTGATAAGAACAGCAGGGTTCAGGGTAAAGGAATGGAGATGGATACCAACAATAATTGATTTTGGTCTTGATAGACAGCAAAACAATGTGACACAGAAAGTTTCAAAGCTCTGGAATCAGATTATTATGGTTTCAAGCATGGTTCAGCTGCCTACTCGTTTAGCATCTTTAATAAATTAATTAATCTTTCTGAGCCTAGTATTCTAATTAATGGTGTGTGAATAATAATATTATCTTTTAACATGGTGGTCGAGAGTAAAGTAGCTTACATATATGTGAAACACGTAACACATTATCTCACCCATAAGAGGCAATTAATAATTGGCATTTATGCACATCTTTCTTTATCCACCCTCTATCTATCTACCAACCTATCTATCACTCTATCTCACCGCTAAGAGTAGTTGGTTAAGTTTAAACTACTGTATTTTCCAGATAATCTCAAAGCAAAGAACAAGTCTCTAGTTCACACATTAACTTTAAGATTATTGATTCATAAAGTTTGACAAATATAGGTGCAAGTAAATGGTTATTAGACAAAATTATATACAATTTTGAGGATTTATTTAGTATTTTAAAATTAAACATAGAATTTCCATAGTGTGTATTATTAAAAACATATTTTAAATTAACACAATCAATAAAAGCATTAAGAATTGTATGCACTTTCTAGATTCTTTACTATTTTAAGAATCTGTAGCCCGAATGTGGTGGCTTAGGCCTGTAATCCCAGCACTTTGGGAGGCTGAAGCAGGAGGCTGACCTCGCTTGAGGTCAGAAGTTCAAGACCAGCCTGCTAACATGGTGAAACCCCATCTCTACTAAAAATACAAAAATTAACCAGGCGTGGTGACAGGCACCTGTAATCCCAGCTACTTGGGATGCTGAGGCAGGAGAATTTCTTGAAGCCGGGAGGTGGAAGTTGCAATGAGCTGAGACCATGCCATTGCATTCTGGCCTGAGTCTGGGCAACAGAGTGAGACTCCATCTCAAAAAAAAAAAAAAGAATCTGGTTATAATTTCCAAAATTTTGTTAACATATAGTTAACATATAGATAACTGCTTATTGATCTCTCAAGAGTTTGATTATTAGACTCATTAAATGATGTCTGAAAAAAGAATACTATTGTTAATTGTGATCATGATAAAATGTGCCAAAAGTATATAAAATGTTTGGGTTTGGTGGCTCACACCTGTAATTCCAGCCCTTTAGTGGGCAGAGGCAGGAAGATTCTTGAGGCCAGCGGTTTGAGACCAGCCTGGGCAACATAGTGAGACCCTGTGTCTACAAACAAACAAACAAAAACATAGCCACGTACAGTGGTAAAAACAAAGTGGTAAATGCTTATAGCCCTACCTAATTGTGTGGCTAAGTTGGCAGGATCATTTGAGGCAAGGAGTTTGAGCCTGCAGTGAGTTTGGATCATGTCACTGCACTCCAGCCTGTGTGACAGTAGGAGATTCTATCTCTAAAAAAATAAAAATAAAAATAAATTTAAAAGTATGTAAAATGAATTAAATTATTAGTAAAAACTACGGAGGACAGTTGGAATGCCATGTATAGCTGGTTGTAATTGTTTGTTATTGACCAGCCTTATTTCTATACTCTGTTGTACTCATGATCTATATCCCATGGTAAAGCTATCACACACATTCACATGATCACATATTCCTCTCTGGTTATATCTCTCCATTTTTGCATATCTGTACATTCAGCTTATTTAGCAGCATGTTGAATAATCTATTTTGTTTATTCGTTTGTTTGTTCTTTCTTTTTTTTGTTCAATTTCTATTGGGAGTTCAATATATTATAGATATTTCATTAGGTTCTATGGACACAATGTAAACTGAGACATAATCTTCATTTTAAAGAAGTTAGTGATGCAGTATACATAGATGAGGAGGCTTTATAAACATGCAGACAATTATAATATGGCTTTTCACAGACAATAATAATGTGCCATAGATTGTTTTGGAGGGCCAGTTAACCCAGACCTGAAGTCTGAGAAAGCTTCCTGGAGGACATGACACTTAAGCTAAAATATTTTAGATAAAATAGGTCATTCCCAGATGAAATTGAGTATTAACATTTTAGAATACAAAACCAATGTACAAAAATCACTAGCATTCCTATACACCCACAATAGTCGAGCTGAGAGCCATATCAGGAAGGTAATCCCATTCACGATTGCCACAAAAAGAATAAAACACCTAGGAATGCAGCTAACCAGAAAGGTTAAAGATCTCTATAATGAGAAGTATAAATAGCTGCTCAAAGAAATCAGAGAGAAGACACAAACAAATGGAACAGCATTTCATCTTCATGGATAGAAATAATCAATATTGTTAAAATAGCCATACTGCCCAAAGGAATTTTTAGATTCACTGCTATTTCTATCAAACTACTATTTCTATTCTTCACAGAACTAGAAAAAAACTATTTTAAAATTCGTATGGAACTAAAAAGAAGCCCAAATAGCCTAAGCAATCCTAAGCAAAAAGAACAAAGCTGAAGGCATCACACTACCTGACTTCAAACTATACTACAGGGTGACAATAACCAAAACAGCATGGTACTGGTACAAAAACAGACACATACATTAATGGAACAGAATAGAGAGCCCAGAAATAAAACTGCACACTTACATCATCTAATATTCAACAAAACTGACAAAAACAAGCAATGGGAAAAGGACTTCCTATTCAATAAACAGTGGTGGGATAACTGGCTAGCAATATGGAAAACATTGAAACTGGACCCCTTCATTACACCGCATACAAAAATCAAGTCAAGATGAAGACTTAAATGTAAAACCCAAAAGTATAAAAACCCTGGAAGACCACCTAGGCAATATTACTGTGGACATAGGCATGGGCAAAGATTTCATGAGAAAGGCTTCAAAAGCAATTGCAACAAAAACAAAAATTGACAAATGAGATCTAATTAAATGAAAGAACTTCTTCACAGCAAAAGAAACTATCAACAGAGAAAACAGATAACCTACATAATGGGAGAAAATGTTTACAAACTATGCATCTGACAAAAAATTACCAAAGCACCTATAAATAACTTAAACAAACTCATTAAAAAACACAAACAACACCATTAAAAAGGGGACAAAAGATATAAACAGACACTTTTCAAAAGAAGACATACCTGTGGCCAACAAGCATATTAAAAAAACGCTCAACATCATTGATCATTATAGAAATGCAAATCAAAACCATAATGAGATATCATTTTACACCAGTCAGAATGGCTGTTATTAAGAAGTCAAAAAATAACAGGTGCTGGAGATGTGAAGAAAAAGAAACACGTATACACTGTTAGTGATAGTGTAAATTAGTTCAACTATTGTAGAAAACATTGTAGCAATTCTTCAAAGACTTAAAAACAGAAATACCATTCTACCCAGTAATCCCATTACTGGATATATACCCAAATGAATATAAATCATTCTGTCATAAAGACACATGTAGGCCTGTGTTCACTGCAGCACTATTCAGAACAGCAAAGAAACGGAATCAACCTAAATGCCTATCAATGGTAAACTGGATAAAGAAAATTTGGTGCATATACACCATGGACTACTATGCAGCCATAAGAAATAATGAGATCATGTTTTTTTCAGGAACATGGTTGGAGCTAGAGGCCATTATCCTTAGCAAACTAACACAATAACAAAAAACCAAATAGTGAATGTTCTCACTTAAAAGTGGAAACTAAATAATGGGAACATATGGACACACAGAGGAGAACAAGAGACATGGGGACCTACTGGAGGATGGAGGCTGGGAGGAGAGAGACTCTCAGAAAAAATAACTAATGGGTACTAGATCTAATACCTGAGCGACGAAATAATTTGTACAACAAACCCCCATGACATAAGGTTACCTATATAACAAAACTACACACATGCCGCTGAACTCAAAATAAAAGTTAAAAAAATTAAAAAAATTCTAAATGGAGGGAATAGCATATTCAAATGCTGTGAAACAAAGAATGAGCAATATTTTGAAGAACAAAAGGTAGTCTAGCATAGGAGTATTAGACACCGTGGTGTAAAAATGAGTAATAAAATTATATCTCTTGAGGAACATTTCATCTGTGATGAAAGAGAGGAATGTATCAGAGGATCAGAGGAAAAATGTGTTAAGTGATACGTATTAATGTGTGCAAAGTCCTAAGGAGGTAAAGCGAGAGTGACTCGGTTTGCCTGGCAGTCAAGGAAGGCGTCACACAGGAGGTAACTTCTCTCTTTTGCTTGATCATAAGTACCCTGAAGGCGGAGATCTTGTCTTACATTTTTTTTATTATCCATTTTGCCTAGCATAGTAGCAGGTACCCAAGGAGTGTTGGATAAATTCCTGATTTAATGTTATTTGTTGCAATGACCCCTGGGAGGCTGGAGCAGAGGCTGGTAGCATAGAATGTTGGGTGTGGCTGTGACACGCCAGGTTAGCATGAGGGTGCTGCCCATGCCACGTGGCTGTGGCTCTTGTCCTGGGGATGCATAATTTCTATCAACTCACTTTTATATTCATTCATTGACATTGACCACCTCAGTGTTGTGCACTGATTCCATGCTGGTGAATATAAAGACTAATGGCTCATGCCCTTGCCCTTGGCAAGCATGAAGTTGGGAGACAGAGATGTAAACATATTATTACATCAGTGTGACATGAGAAATACCCTGACAGAGCACAAGATACTACAAAGTGAAGAAGAAGTGATGTTTTTTGGTGGTTGAGGTTATTAAGGTGTGAGCAGACCTCGTCCTTGGTTTCCTTCTCTTCTGTCTCTAGGGTCTTCTCCTTAGTAGCTTATTCCATGCCATGTTTTCCACTAATCTTCATGAGGCTTATTTCCAAATCTATTTCCCCAGCATGACCTCTTTCCACAGCTTCATCCATATAGATCTAATTCTTATTTGACATCTCCACCTAAAGTCCTGCTGACACCTCTAACTCAATTTGTTCAATGCTGAGCTCATCTTTTTTCTACAAAACCTGTTCACCATCCTGCTCCCTATTTTGTTAACAGCTCCCTGCTGAAGCCAGTGATGCAGGCTCTAGTGCACATTGATAACTTTGAATCAACCCTTTTCTTTCTTCACTTCTGCATCCAACTATTTTTTGTTGATTCTATTTCTGTGCTATCACTCCTGCCATTTTCTCTCCTTCCTGCTACTGTTATCCTATTTCAGGACCTCATTTTCTTTCTCTCATGTAGGTAGTGTACTTTTAGCCATAAGAGTAACACGACTCTCTATTTAGCAAAATCAGATCTTCAAAATTCTTCTCTTGATGGAGACTTTTCAGGTGAGGAGGAGGAGGGGGAATTTAGACTGGTGATTCTCAACCTTGGTTGCTATTGGAATTAACCAGAATAACTCTGGAAAACACTCATGCCTTGCTTCTACTCCCAAAGGCTCTAATTTAATTGATCCAGGATGTGTCCTGGAGCATCAAAGTTTTTTAAAAATATCTCCACATAATTTTAATGTGTAGTTAAGGTTGAGAACCACCAAACTAGACCAAGAGAACCCACTTTTCTCCCCTTTTTGATTGACATTTCCACCACCACCACTCTTGCTGGAAAAGTGAAAAAACTTTTGTACCTCAAGACAGGATGGAAATTTTCAAAGACTTTTACAAATACTAAACAGAAGGGAAATTTTAAAAATGAAGTATGAAAACATCATACTTATACTATGATAGTTAGCTTTCTCTAATCTAAAAGATGAATATATCAATACAACACAGTAGCTACAGCATCTGTTTAAAAAATAATATATAAACCTAGAGGCATAAGAAGATTCCACTCTCTTATTCATTCTCTCTGTTTCCAATTTTCTCTACCTCAGTCTCAAGCATTATTGCCAAATTTATTCTCTTGAAAACCAGCTTTTAATATATCAATCCCTTTCTCAAAATTTTTCAATACCTCCTCATCACTCACTGGAAAAAAAATTAAAAGTTCTTTCCTAATTTGATCTACAATTTACTATTTCAACTTTCTTTACTGTAACTCTCTTTCATACATTCCTGCCTTCTGGACTTTGCTTACACTGTTCTGTATCATTGCCCCCTTCCAATTCCATTTGTATAAAGTTTTGTAATCCTTAAAGATTCTGCTCACTTACCATCTCCTCTGAAGAGCTTTTAGAGAACATTGTAGAAGCAATTTTTCCATCCCCTTAAATAGCACAGTCCTTTTGTTGTCTATAAAACTAATTTATTAATCATAAAAAACTTTCCGCATTGATATTTTTTGGTTCATAAAATTAATTATTTCCACCATTTAATATTTATTGAGTACCTGCTGTATGGGCTTTGTGCTAGAGATATACATAGACCATTTCAGACAAGGTCCCTGCCCACGATGAGAGACTGAGCAGGATACAAGGACTTTAATTAAGCAGGTGACACTGTTATTTGTGATTATGTCTGAGAATTGGAGGGAAAAAGTAAATGAGCATCAGACTATGAACTTTCATACTCTGTTAATAAAGTGTATCATCTTTCTAAATGAAACAAGCAATTGAACCAATGATGATTATGCCCCTAACTCTAAAGACTTGGTCTTAGAAGTAAGTGAGCTAATGAGAAATAAGCCCCTGATTTTGATAGAATAATCTTGGAGAAATGAGACTAGTGAGGATCAGTCTATAGATTCTGATAGTAAGGTTTGGGGGGTGCAGGGGAATCTGAGGTTTGGCATTGGTCATAACCAGCTTCTGCAGTCCTCATTTTCCTGATTGGATGATCTCTGAAGACTCCACTTGATTTTTTGGGTCTTTCCAATAATAAACACTGGTAGTAGGAACCCACTAGCAGCCAGGCTGTGAATTGTGTGAAGACACTAATGTCTAATTTGTCACCAGCTACATCCACCATGCAGGAGAATGTCAGGACAATGAGGGTCTCCTGGCTTGTGACCAAGGTGGGAAATTGGGGCAAAAAGGAAAAGGTACTAATAGTTCTTGCTTTAACCACTAAAAGAAATAATCAGTTGTGCCCTTTTACTTTTAAAGGCTTGATATTGAGCCTTCACTGTAATGAACCCTTGTAGGGGGTTTGGAATATGTGGCATCCCTTTAATTCCTCTAGTAATTTCAAAGAATAAGAAGGCCTTTCACAAATAATTTATCACTTTTTACCTCAGTTTTACTTATTAAAATACATTTAATACTTTTTTTTTCTTTGAGACGAAGTCTCGCTCTTGTCCCCCAGGCTGGAGTGCGATGGCGCCATCTCGGCTCGCTATAACCTCTGCCTCCCGGGTTCAAGTGATTCTCTTGCCTCAGCCTCCCGAGTAGCTGGGATTACAGCATTTGCCACCATGCCCAGCTAATTTTTGTATTTTTAGTAGAGAGGGGTGATCCGCCCACCTCAGCTTCCTAAAGTGCCGGTATTAAAGGAGTGAGCCGCCATGCCCAGCCCATTTAATATATTTTTAATCACTCAGATTAGATGATAAGTTTCTTGGAGGAAAAATCAACTTACCTGGGTATTCCTTAAAAATGCCCACTGCTGTGGCCGGGCACAGTGGCTCACCCCTGTAATCCCAGCACTTTAGGAGGCTGAAGCAGGAGGATCACCTGAGGTTAGGAGTTTGAGACCAGCATGACCAACATGGAGAAACCCCATCTCTACTAAAAATACAAAATTAGCCGGGCATGGTGGCACAAGCCTGTAATCCCAGCTACATGTGAGCCGGGGAGGCAGAGGTTGCCGTGAGCCAAGATTGTACCATTGCGCTCCAGCCTGGGCAAGAAGAAAGAAACTCCATCTCAAAGAAAAAAAAAATGCCCACTGCAATTCTTAGTACAGAGTAAATATTTGATAGCTACTGTTTTATTCAACAAATGAATGAACAATAACTATTAGTTTGCTAAGGCTGACTTAGTAAAGTGGCAAAGTACTACAAACTGAGTGGCTTTACCACTTTTTGTGAGAAAATAAACAAAAGATGTTTGTTATCTCATGGGTTCTAGAAACAAGGTGTCCAGAATCAGGGTGTCAGCAGGTCTGGTTCCTTCTGCAGGCTGTGAGGGAAGGATCTCTTCTGGGTCTCCCTCCTTAGCTTGTAGATGACTGTCTTCTCTCTGTGCCTCTTTCTATTGTCTTCTCTCTATGCCTCTATGTTCAAATTTCCCCTTTTTATAAGGACAACGGTCATATTGTAGGGCCCACTCTAATGATAACACTAACTTGATTACCGCTATAAAGACCTATTCACCAAATGAGATCACATTCTGAGGCACTGGGTGTTAGGAATTTCACATATGAACTTTGAGCAAGGAACACAATTCAACTCATAACAATGAATAAAGTCTCCAAAACTCTGTGTGCCCTTCTTTCTTCTACTTTCTCCATTTGTTAGACTTATTCTAGAACAGCACTGTTCAATAGAACTTTCTGTGAGAAAGACATTATTTTCTGTCTTAGCTCTTTAATATGCTAGCCTGTAGTGAAGGTAGCCATTCATTTGAAATGTGGTTACTGTGGCCCCCAAAACATGAATTTTTAATTTTATTTACTAGTAATTTACTTTAATTTAAATGTAAATAGCTGCATATGGCTAGTGGCTACCACAGTGGGTTTCACAGTCCTAAATGTTGGGAGATTGGGCCAAATTACTCATCAAAAGTAAATAGTTTACATGCCTGAGATTTGGAATAACATATCCAATGTGAATTCAGATTTGCATGGTTTTTAATATGAGAGATAAATATTAGCAACATATATTCCTCAAAGAGATAAGAATTAGATAAGGCAGAAAATGGAGGTTGCAAAGCTACAACCCATAAGAGCCAGGTGGTAACATATGCAGAGGCAATGACTTGGAAGGGAGAACTGATATACCAGCTGTGTTAAATGGCAGCAATTGGGCTCCAGTCCAGCAAAATGTTAGCTAAAAGGAGGTAGTTCCAGTATTGTTGGATCTTCTGCTGTTCCATGAAAAGCTGGAAATCTAGACTTTCATATGGAAACTCCTGATTTTTAATATTGACAACTGATTTGATAGTCTCCATGAGCAGTTTAAATCTGGTTAAACACCAACAAAACATCCCATTGGCTGGAAATAGATTTGAGACTGGAAATAGAATTGAGACTTCCAGGTTGCAAGTTCTGTTTTGAAACAAAAACTTCACAAAAACTTCCTTAGAAGAATTTTCCTTGATCCTATTATCCAAATATTATAGAACTCTTGGAAAACATCAAGTGTAAATAATATACCTGAATAATGAGGTCTTTTTATATACTACAATTCAGAGAGAACTAAAATAATGAAACTTTGAGATGAATGTATTGTGAATTTTACTTCCAGAAACTTCTAACACCTGCACTAGGCTGTGATGTTCCCAGGACTGACAGATGTGTTCCTGTCTCTGATCTTTTCTCATCAATTCAATTTAGAGAGCAAAAAAGAGGAGCCGACAGAAGGAAGATTGGTAATTGCCAGCTTTGCAGATGTTCAGATCTCTGTTTGACATACAGAGCTTCTCTTAAAAGACAGAGGATAAGAAGTATATATAATAAGTTATTTACTTCCTATGAAAACATTTGCTTTTACTTAAATTTTTTGTTCATAAAATTAATTTTTTCAACTATTTAGCATTTACTGAGCATTTGTTTTCATGCCAAGTCACTGGTATCATGTTGGGGATAGTGCACAGGCTAGATCAATCAGTCATGGTCCCTGCCCACAGCAAGGTTGAAAACTGAGAAGAGTAACTAAGATTTATGCAAATATTCTTCATGGCACTAATTCCAATGATAAGAATTGCTATGAAATAGAAGAGCTGAGTGCCGGGAGATCTTGAAACAGGGAATTCTAATGTTGTCTGGCAGAAGAAGTGGGGACAAGAGAGTTAGATCACCAAGAAAAGAGGTGCAGACAGGGTAAGGCGAGAAGGGTAGGGTGGGTGATATCCTGGGCAAAGAGAGAAGTTTAGGACTGCCCAAGAGCCAAGAGCAGGTCATTTTACCTGGAGAGTAAGAAGGAGAGGGGGTAAGGTAAGATTGACCAGGTCGTGTGGGGATTTGAGCTCATTTTCAAAGACAATAACAATTGGCCTAGTGGAAGCGTTCTACTGAGAATGCAAAGAAAGAATTGGGCTCTTGGATCCAAGTAATCTGCAAGTCAAGGCTATTTCTCAGTGGGGTTTACACCTCAGTGCACAACACCCAACCCCAATGCAAACTTCCCCTGTGCTTGGACAGTTTAAATATCACTCTGGTGATTCTCAACTGAGACTATTTGGCCCCTCAGGGACAATTATTTGGCAATGTCTGCAGACATATTTCACTGTTTGATTTGTAGGGGAAGAGGAGGTGCTAGTGGCAGCTAGTGGGAAGAGGCCAGGGATACTGCTAAATGTCTTATAATACACTGGGCAGGCAGCTATGTCACCTCCCACCCCAACACACACATAACAAAGAATTATCATTTCCAAAACACATCAATAATGTCAATGTTGTGAAAGCCGAGGTTAAAGTGAACATCAAAGGAAGCTGTAATAAATGGGACTGGGAGATAACAGCAACAGCAAGTAGAGATATCAAGAAGCAGGCCTGGAGGGGCAATAGCTCAGTTTTGTGGCTAAGTTTGCAAATCTGAAATTATGTTATAATACAAAAATTATATTTTGACTATGTGCTTCTTTCTTCTCAATATACCAACTGCCAATGGCATCTTTCAAATATCTGGCCTAGGTCAATCAGCCTCATTTGCCATAGTAACCCTAGCTGTGGTTCTCTATGATCCACATCAAAATAAGTGTTGACAATATCGGCTGAATAAATACATGGATATTGTCTTATTTCTAAAAAATAAAATTTTGTATAATTATGATAACTATTGAGCTACTAACTTGAGAAAGGCATACTCCAAACTTTAATGTAATCCTTACAGAAACCCTATAAGGAGCTTATTAGCTATAACCAATAGAGGAAGAAACAGAGGCCAGTCAAGAAACGAGAGTGGCTTAAATTAAGTTTTTTAGTAGAATGGATGGTGAAATATAACCATATTTGGACCTGTTTTCTAGATGGATGAATAGGATCCATTAAGGGGTTAGATGATGATATTGAGGAGGGGAGGCAAGAATGATCCCCAGTGTTTTACTTGTGAAGGATGGTGGCTGTGGTGCTATTTACTGAGAAGAGGAAGATTTAATGGGGAATGAGTTTGGGTGAGTGGTGGCAAAACCCATAGTATGGCTGTGGACTTGTTATGTTTGAGAACATTCTAGTGGAAAAGCTGAATTGGCCATATGTCTTAGGGTGATAGGAGAGAAACTCAGGGAGAATATGCATTTTAGAGTGAGCCATGTATAAATGGTAAGTAAATCCAAGGACTGGATGAGCTCCCTAGAGAGGGAAGGCAGGTGTCCAACCCTGAGCTCAGAGAGCACACGAGGTGTACTTTGTGACCAAGGTGTTTAGTCTCTTTACATCTCATTTTTCTCACCATAACATGACGGTTATAAAAATTGCTCACAGGTTGATGATGACAACTTGATGGAGATGATATTTCATAACAACCTTGCATAGTGCCTTGCACGAGGTTTGGACATCAAATTCCTCTCTTTCAGTGTCCACGCCACTGTCCTCTGATAAATGAGATCTCAAGTGTGAATATTTTGATCATTAAGGCACTCATTTTAAATGAAAACTGAATAGATTATACGATTAGCATTAGAGTTTCAACAATTTTACAAAGTCCTGAATCAGTCTCAAGTTAAAAGTGAGAGACACCCTTGTGCTCAATCTATACCTGGAAGTTTCAAAATGTTTTGCAAACAACTCAAAGTGGCTTTCTACTGCTTCAAAGGCCTCAGAAAACCTCATGTGTCTGCAGGTATGAAAAAGAAGGGTTGATTGAACTGGAAACAAAAAGGGACTCATAGTGTCACTGTGCTGGAGGTGAGTGAGATAAAGAATTTCTTTAGAAAGAGTTTTCATAAAATGTTCACTTAGTCAGTTTCCTTTTTCTTTCCCCAATATCTCAGCTAAATCTTGTTGGCTAACATGGACTTGGACACTGACACATCTTCCCATCTCTAGCCTCTGGCTCTAAGTTCTATTATTTTTATCTTACTCAAAAATTCATTTTCTAGCTTAAAGCCGTCTCCTGCCATGAACCCACCCATGAAACACAATGAGAAACCAATGTGAAAGAAACAATCCACATTGTATAAAATAGTGTACATCCTTTACTTTGCTGAAATGCATTTTTAAAAATTTAAGAGAAACAAAAAAACGATTATTTCCACTATGAGAAAATCAATTGGTTCTAGGGGATCAAAACAGGGTATCAAAAAAGCTGCTCGGATCTTGGTTCCACAAAGAGTACCCTGAGTGATAATGAGATATTGTTCAATAAAGTAGGGATGGCTAGACAATTGCAGTGATATAAAAACTTAATGCCAAGGCAATTTTTTTTCCTCAATTGGAGCAAGGCTATCCTCTATTTGCATTTTTTTTTCTGCTGGATCCCAAAGAACATTACATAACCTAATGTTATTACTAAAATTATCTCTGTCCATGGAGCGGGAAGTAAGTAAAAAGTTGCAAATAAGATAGATAGAAAGATTTTACTTCATAATATAAGTGGGACTAAATTGAATTGCAAGAAAGATTCTTTCTGTCTGATGGGTCGCGTATAAGTCAAATTAAGACGTATATTAAAAATTGTTCAATAGAGGAGCTCTACAATCTAAAACATGGTTCAGGGGACTAGACTAGGCTGGCACAGATAGAAGGGTAGGCCCTCTGCATAGAAAAGTAGAAGTTGTTTACCACACAAAGCCTGGATCATATCAAGAATGAATGAGAGAATGTATGAATCAGAGCTAGATTAAGCTATGATTGATGATAATTGAAGGTTACTATAGAGAAAAATTACCAGCCTGTTCACTTTTCTGTAAATCTTTCTCTAAATTATGATGTATAATTTATATATGCTAGTAATGAACAGACAATTTATATTATGCTTTTAATGCAAAGACATATTTTATAGGGAAACAGTCAGAGACTTGCTCCTCTGCTGGGCTACTTTTGCCTGCTCAGTCTTACCTCTGGGCCCGAGGAGTCAGACTAAAAACACCGTTCATCTGTTGGCAGTTTTCCAACTTGTGTCTTGGAAAAATTTAATATGTTTCTTTCAGATAGGTCATGTAAATGTAGAACCTATTAACCATTGAAGACTTCTTGAGCAATAGAAGGCAATACATTAGAGCTATGCTGCTCAAAGTACGTTCTGTAGACTGATGCTGATGAGAAGAGCACAGAAATCGAAAGCTAGCATTTAGAAACTCTTACAGCAATTTGATGTTGCCGTGATATGTAAACTAGTTACATGAAGTGGAACTATGCTATATCTGTAACTATTTGAAAATTTAAAAACAAAAACACAGCAAATAAACAAACCAACAAAATCACAAGTGTGTAAAAAGAACCAAGTTAAAGAAACCAACACCATCTTGTATTTTGGTTCTAATGCTTGGAGCTGCTTGATGAGAATGGCCACCTATTTTTCTGAGTTGGAGTCATTTGACTCCACTTGGGGACCCACTTCAGGATCTGAGACAAGTCGTTTTCTTGAGAATGGAGAAAGGAGTGATATTCTATGAAGCCCAAGCTCAACATTTATCCTTCAAGTAGCTGTTTATTAATTACTACTTGCCAGCTGCTGTGGGTTCTAGAGCTATAGATATGAATAAGAAAGCTTCCCTGAACCAAAGTGCTTAAAGTCCAACTGGAAAGGCTTCTAAGCAAGTTATTACAATATAACCTGATGAAGCCAGTCAACTTTTCTCCTTTCTTTCTCTTCTTCCTTCCCTGCATCCAGAAATACTTATTTTCTACATTTATACCTTTGTAAATATGATGCTCACTCTATTTTAAATAGTATGCATTACACCAAAGACGTGGTGCTGAATAAGGATGCTATCCTTCCTGTCACACAGGGAACTCCTTTATGAGAGAGACAGACATCAACTAAATAACTACATAGCTTATTTAATTAATTAATTGAGCAGGAACTGCCACATATTAAAAGAAAAAGAACTGTAAATGCGTGTGCCAGGAAGACATAAACTTGATTGAACACACAGTGAGGGTGGATGGGTCAGTTGGGGAAGGTGTCCCTGAGGGTAGAATGTTTGAGCAGAGCGCTAAACAGTGTTTGGAATTCATCCCAATGAGGAAGTGGATGAAGATGTCTTCTGCAGAGACAGCATGTACAAAGGTCCTGTGGCAGAAAGAAAGCCACTGTGGCAAAGGTGCTATGGGAGAGGGGATTGCCCTGCTTTGCCTGTCAACTAAAGCCGTTAGAGTTTACATATTATTTATACCTACTAATCTGGCTCTCACTTCATATCTTTTTTCTCCTCCCCCCCAACAGTCATAGTAATTGGATCTATGACTGTTCCCTTATTCGAGACCCTGTGTTGTAATGTCTCGCTTTCTCAAATGGAAGTCTTTTCTTTCTTCAGAGAACTTGCCTTCTCCCAGTTCATGCCTGGAATTTTAGTGATAAATTGTATTACCTCCTTCTTGATCCTTGGACTAAATTCACCTGTCCAGAAATGCACCACCCTTCGACCCTGTCCGTCCTTTGCTTTGGCCAAACAATACTCCTGCGTCAATCGTCCCTCACACTAGCTAATGCTGACGGCTTTCCTGGCCTCACATCTAGTGTGGTATCAACCCATATAAATAGAATACTCAGCTGGCTGAAAAACTTTCTCTAATTGCAGGAATTTAGCCCACCTCCTCCATGTTCTCCCCCATTCATTCCATGAACTTATTTAATGTGAAAGGAACTTTCCTGATCTTCTCTGTCTCCCTTCAATTGTCAATTCTCTGTTCACATCCTGTCTTGACTTACAGCATGTCCTCATAAAATATGGTGCAGTGAGAAGAGAATAGACTTTTAGGTCAGATCAACTAGGATTAAAGTCCAGCTTGGATACTTGTTACCTGTGTGACCCCAGGAAAACATATCACCTTCTCTGAGCATTAGTATCCTGTATAGCAAACAGGCTTACACAATACTTAGCCTCTGGTTGAGACTACTACATGAGGCAATGTATAGCACCTGCTTCACAATGAATTCCTTCTTTCTAGCTATCCAGCTTGTGTTTTTTTTTTTTTTTTTTTTTTTTTTTTTTTATTATTCAGTCTTTTTTTTTTTTTTTTTTCTTTTTTTTTTTTTTTTTTTTTTTTATTATACTCTAAGTTTTAGGGTACATGTGCACATTGTGCAGGTTAGTTACATATGTATACATGTGCCATGCTGGTGCGCTGCACCCACTAATGTGTCATCTAGCATTAGGTATATCTCCCAATGCTATCCCTCCCCCCTCCCCCGACCCCACCACAGTCCCCAGAGTGTGATATTCCCCTTCCTGTGTCCATGTGATCTCATTGTTCAATTCCCACCTATGAGTGAGAATATGCGGTGTTTGGTTTTTTGTTCTTGCGATAGTTTACTGAGAATGATGGTTTCCAATTTCATCCATGTCCCTACAAAGGATATGAACTCATCATTTTTTATGGCTGCATAGTATTCCATGGTGTATATGTGCCACATTTTCTTAATCCAGTCTATCATTGTTGGACATTTGGGTTGGTTCCAAGTCTTTGCTATTGTGAATAGTGCCGCAATAAACATACGTGTGCATGTGTCTTTATAGCAGCATGATTTATACTCATTTGGGTATATACCCAGTAATGGGATGGCTGGGTCAAATGGTATTTCTAGTTCTAGATCCCTGAGGAATCGCCACACTGACTTCCACAATGGTTGAACTAGTTTACAGTCCCACCAACAGTGTAAAAGTGTTCCTATTTCTCCGCATCCTCTCCAGCACCTGTTGTTTCCTGACTTTTTAATGATTGCCATTCTAACTGGTGTGAGATGATATCTCATAGTGGTTTTGATTTGCATTTCTCTGATGGCCAGTGATGATGAGCATTTCTTCATGTGTTTTTTGGCTGCATAAATGTCTTCTTTTGAGAAGTGTCTGTTCATGTCCTTCGCCCACTTTTTGATGGGGTTGTTTGTTTTTTTCTTGTAAATTTGTTTGAGTTCATTGTAGATTCTGGATATTAGCCCTTTGTCAGATGAGTAGGTTGCAAAAATTTTCTCCCATGTTGTAGGTTGCCTGTTGACTCTGATGGTAGTTTCTTTTGCTGTGCAGAAGCTCTTTAGTTTAATTAGATCCCATTTGTCAATTTTGTCTTTTGTTGCCATTGCTTTTGGTGTTTTGGACATGAAGTCCTTGCCCACGCCTATGTCCTGAATGGTAATGCCTAGGTTTTCTTCTAGGGTTTTTATGGTTTTAGGTTTAACGTTTAAATCTTTAATCCATCTTGAATTGATTTTTGTATAAGGTGTAAGGAAGGGATCCAGTTTCAGCTTTCTACATATGGCTAGCCAGTTTTCCCAGCACCATTTATTAAATAGGGAATCCTTTCCCCATTGCTTGTTTTTCTCAGGTTTGTCAAAGATCAGATAGTTGTAGATATGCGGCATTATTTCTGAGGGCTCTGTTCTGTTCCATTGATCTATATCTCTGTTTTGGTACCAGTACCATGCTGTTTGGGTTACTGTAGCCTTGTAGTATAGTTTGAAGTCAGGTAGTGTGATGCCTCCAGCTTTGTTCTTTTGGCTTAGGATTGACTTGGCAATGCGGGCTCTTTTTTGGTTCCATATGAACTTTAAAGTAGTTTTTTCCAATTCTGTGAAGAAAGTCATTGGTAGCTTGATGGGGATGGCATTGAATCTGTAAATTACCTTGGGCAGTATGGCCATTTTCACGATATTGATTCTTCCTACCCATGAGCATGGAATGTTCTTCCATTTGTTTGTCTCCTCTTTTATTTCCTTGAGCAGTGGTTTGTAGTTCTCCTTGAAGAGGTCCTTCACATCCCTTGTAAGTTGGATTCCTAGGTATTTTATTCTCTTTGAAGCAATTGTGAATGGGAGTTCACCCATGATCTGGCTCTCTGTTTGTCTGTTGTTGGTGTATAAGAATGCTTGTGATTTTTGTACATTGATTTTGTATCCTGAGACTTTGCTGAAGTTGCTTATCAGCTTAAGGAGATTTTGGGCTGAGACGATGGGGTTTTCTAGATAAACAATCATGTCATCTGCAAACAGGGACAATTTGACTTCCTCTTTTCCTAATTGAATACCCTTTATTTCCTTCTCCTGCCTGATTGCCCTGGCCAGAACTTCCAACACTATGTTGAATAGGAGCGGTGAGAGAGGGCATCCCTGTCTTGTGCCGGTTTTCAAAGGGAATGCTTCCAGTTTTTGCCCATTCAGTATGATATTGGCTGTGGGTTTGTCATAGATAGCTCTTATTATTTTGAAATACGTCCCATCAATACCTAATTTATTGAGAGTTTTTAGCATGAAGGGTTGTTGAATTTTGTCAAAGGCTTTTTCTGCATCTATTGAGATAATCATGTGGTTTTTGTCTTTGGCTCTGTTTATATGCTGGATTACATTTATTGATTTGCGTATATTGAACCAGCCTTGCATCCCAGGGATGAAGCCCACTTGATCATGGTGGATAAGCTTTTTGATGTGCTGCTGGATTCGGTTTGCCAGTATTTTATTGAGGATTTTTGCATCAATGTTCATCAAGGATATTGGTCTAAAATTCTCTTTTTTGGTTGTGTCTCTGCCCGGCTTTGGTATCAGAATGATGCTGGCCTCATAAAATGAGTTAGGGAGGATTCCCTCTTTTTCTATTGATTGGAATAGTTTCAGAAGGAATGGTACCAGTTCCTCCATGTACCTCTGGTAGAATTCGGCTGTGAATCCATCTGGTCCTGGACTCTTTTTGGTTGGTAAACTATTGATTATTGCCACAATTTCAGAGCCTGTTATTGGTCTATTCAGAGATTCAACTTCTTCCTGGTTTAGTCTTGGGAGAGTGTATGTGTCGAGGAATGTATCCATTTCTTCTAGATTTTCTAGTTTATTTGCGTAGAGGTGTTTGTAGTATTCTCTGATGGTAGTTTGTATTTCTGTGGGATCGGTGGTGATATCCCCTTTATCATTTTTTATTGTGTCTATTTGATTCTTCTCTCTCTTTTTCTTTATTAGTCTTGCTAGCGGTCTATCAATTTTGTTGATCCTTTCAAAAAACCAGCTCCTGGATTCATTGATTTTTTGAAGGGTTTTTTGTGTCTCTATTTCCTTCAGTTCTGCTCTGATTTTAGTTATTTCTTGCCTTCTGCTAGCTTTTGAATGTGTTTGCTCTTGCTTTTCTAGTTCTTTTAATTGTGATGTTAGGGTGTCAATTTTGGATCTTTCCTGCTTTCTCTTGTAGGCATTTAGTGCTATAAATTTCCCTCTACACACTGCTTTGAATGCGTCCCAGAGATTCTGGTATGTGGTGTCTTTGTTCTCGTTGGTTTCAAAGAACATCTTTATTTCTGCCTTCATTTCGTTATGTACCCAGTAGTCATTCAGGAGCAGGTTGTTCAGTTTCCATGTAGTTGAGCGGCTTTGAGTGAGATTCTTAATCCTGAGTTCTAGTTTGATTGCACTGTGGTCTGAGAGATAGTTTGTTATAATTTCTGTTCTTTTACATTTGCTGAGGAGAGCTTTACTTCCAACTATGTGGTCAATTTTGGAATAGGTGTGGTGTGGTGCTGAAAAAAATGTATATTCTGTTGATTTGGGGTGGAGAGTTCTGTAGATGTCTATTAGGTCTGCTTGGTGCAGAGCTGAGTTCAATTCCTGGGTATCCTTGTTGACTTTCTGTCTCGTTGATCTGTCTAATGTTGACAGTGGGGTGTTAAAGTCTCCCATTATTAATGTGTGGGAGTCTAAGTCTCTTTGTAGGTCACTGAGGACTTGCTTTATGAATCTGGGTGCTCCTGTATTGGGTGCATAAATATTTAGGATAGTTAGCTCCTCTTGTTGAATTGATCCCTTTACCATTATGTAATGGCCTTCTTTGTCTCTTTTGATCTTTGTTGGTTTAAAGTCTGTTTTATCAGAGACTAGGATTGCAACCCCTGCCTTTTTTTGTTTTCCATTGGCTTGGTAGATCTTCCTCCATCCTTTTATTTTGAGCCTATGTGTGTCTCTGCACGTGAGATGGGTTTCCTGAATACAGCACACTGATGGGTCTTGACTCTTTATCCAACTTGCCAGTCTGTGTCTTTTAATTGCAGAATTTAGTCCATTTATATTTAAAGTTAATATTGTTATGTGTGAATTTGATCCTGTCATTATGATGTTAGCTGGTGATTTTGCTCATTAGTTGATGCAGTTTCTTCCTAGTCTCGATGGTCTTTACATTTTGGCATGATTTTGCAGCGGCTGGTACCAGTTGTTCCTTTCCATGTTTAGCGCTTCCTTCAGGAGCTCTTTTAGGGCAGGCCTGGTGGTGACAAAATCTCTCAACATTTGCTTGTCTATAAAGTATTTTATTTCTCCTTCACTTATGAAGCTTAGTTTGGCTGGATATGAAATTCTGGGTTGAAAATTCTTTTCTTTAAGAATGTTGAATATTGGCCCCCACTCTCTTCTGGCTTGTAGGGTTTCTGCCGAGAGATCCGCTGTTAGTCTGATGGGCTTTCCTTTGAGGGTAACCCGACCTTTCTCTCTGGCTGCCCTTAACATTTTTTCCTTCATTTCAACTTTGGTGAATCTGACAATTATGTGTCTTGGAGTTGCTCTTCTCGAGGAGTATCTTTGTGGCGTTCTCTGTATTTCCTGAATCTGAACGTTGGCCTGCCTTGCTAGATTGGGGAAGTTCTCCTGGATAATATCCTGCAGAGTGTTTTCCAACTTGGTTCCATTCTCCACATCACTTTCAGGTACACCAATCAGACGTAGATTTGGTCTTTTCACATAGTCCCATATTTCTTGGAGGCTTTGCTCATTTCTTTTTATTCTTTTTTCTCTAAACTTCCCTTCTCGCTTCATTTCATTCATTTCATCTTCCATTGCTGATACCCTTTCTTCCAGTTGATCGCATCGGCTCCTGAGGCTTCTGCATTCTTCACGTAGTTCTCGAGCCTTGGTTTTCAGCTCCATCAGCTCCTTTAAGCACTTCTCTGTATTGGTTATTCTAGTTATACATTCTTCTAAATTTTTTTCAAAGTTTTCAACTTCTTTGCCTTTGGTTTGAATGTCCTCCCGTAGCTCAGAGTAATTTGATCGTCTGAAGCCTTCTTCTCTCAGCTCGTCAAAATCATTCTCCATCCAGCTTTGTTCTGTTGCTGGTGAGGAACTGCGTTCCTTTGGAGGAGGAGAGGCGCTCTGCGTTTTAGAGTTTCCAGTTTTTCTGTTCTGTTTTTTCCCCATCTTTGTGGTTTTATCTACTTTTGGTCTTTGATGATGGTGATGTACAGATGGGTTTTCGGTGTAGATGTCCTTTCTGGTTGTTAGTTTTCCTTCTAACAGACAGGACCCTCAGCTGCAGGTCTGTTGGAATACCCTGCCGTGTGAGGTGTCAGTGTGCCCCTGCTGGGGGGTGCCTCCCAGTTAGGCTGCTCGGGGGTCAGGAGTCAGGGACCCACTTGAGGAGGCAGTCTGCCCGTTCTCAGATCTCCAGCTGCCTCCTGGGAGAACCACTGCTCTCTTCAAAGCTGTCAGACAGGGACACTTAAGTCTGCAGAGGTTACTGCTGTCTTTTTGTTTGTCTGTGCCCTGCCCCCAGAGGTGGAGCCTACAGAGGCAGGCAGGCCTCCTTGAGCTGTGGTGGGCTCCACCCAGTTCGAGCTTCCCGGCTGCTTTGTTTACCTAAGCAAGCCTGGGCAATGGCGGGCGCCCCTCCCCCAGCCTCGTTGCCGCCTTGCAGTTTGATCTCAGACTGCTGTGCTAGCAATCAGCGAGATTCCGTGGGCGTAGGACCCTCCGAGCCAGGTGTGGGATATAGTCTCATGGTGCGCCGTTTCTTAAGCCGGTCTGAAAAGCGCAATATTCGGGTGGGAGTGACCCGATTTTCCAGGTGCGTCCGTCACCCCTTTCTTTGACTCGGAAAGGGAACTCCCTGACCCCTTGCGCTTCCCAGGTGAGGCAATGCCTCGCCCTGCTTCGGCTCGCGCACGGTGCGCACACACACTGGCCTGCGCCCACTGTCTGGCACTCCCTAGTGAGATGAACCCGGTACCTCAGATGGAAATGCAGAAATCACCGTCTTCTGCGTCGCTCACGCTGGGAGCTGTAGACCGGAGCTGTTCCTATTCGGCCATCTTGGCTCCTCCCTCCCAGCTTGTGTTTTTAAACCTTATTTCATCACAGCAAAAACTAACCCAGATAAAAAGAACAGTGAATCCACACATCAGACAAATGAGAGGTAACTTACATTGTCAGTTTTAGCCTCAGTCACCTTACTGAGGAGTCTGATATAGACACATGTTGTCTTTTTATTAATATCTCACTTAGCTGATATTCTATCACAGAAGCCAGTGTATCCCCATGAAATTCTCTTTAACTTTTTTATTAACTAATTAATGGAATTGGGGAGATAGATATCATTTAATGGAATACTTCTCCCTCCCTAAGAAAAGTTTCACATGCATAAATTAATAAGGTCATGCATTTGCACTTGGCCAAGTGCTGGCTCTTACAGCCATAAGTGCTACGTGGCTGTGAAGTAAGGGGAAGAGAAAGAATGATTAACTGATGTAGAAAGAGAAGGAGGCAGAGGGTTGGGAGTCTGGGTGAGAAAGCAGAGGCAAAGCTGGCCCTGATAGGAAGAGATGAACTAAATGTAATGGGATGATGTGAGCCGGGGTAGTGGGGGAGCAGGGCTGTGAGGAGGGCCAGGCAGAACAGCAGCGAGTTTCTTAGGACAGCAAGCTTACAGTCTGATGAGCAGGACAGGAGGGTTTACACTGAGCTGCAAGGTATGGGGTCCCACCTAAATGCTGCCACTGTGTGATGTGGGGAGGTACAAAGCTTCAAAGGGCTCAGCTCTTGTCTTAAAAGAAGTGATAATCTGGGCCAGGCATGGTGGCTCACGCCTGTAATCCCAGCACTTTGGGAGGCTGAGGCGGGTGGGTTGCCTGAGGTCAGGAGTTTGAGACCAGCCTGGCCAACATAGTGAAACCCTATCTCTACTAAAGATACAAAAATTTATCTAGGCATGGTGGCAGGTGCCTGTAATCCCAGCTACTCGGGAGGCTGAGGCAGGGTAATTGCTTGAACCTGGGATGCGGAGGTTGCAGTGAGCCAAGATCATGCCATTGCACTCCAGCCTGGGCAACAAGAGCAAAACTCCGCCTCAAAAAAGAAAAAGTGATAATCTAGAGGAGGAAAGAGACTTTCATTACAATAATGTGAGAATTATGTGTCAAATGCCACGATGAAGGGATAGTCTATGAACATCCCCCTATGAGGGATGGTCATTGCTTGTAGACCATCCCCCCAGAAGATGGTATGTGCTCCTGGGGAAGTCAAGAATGGCATCTCAGTGGACGTGTCTGTCTTAGGTCAGTTTACAAGCAGCAGAGCCTGAGGTGGGATTTTATTTAGGGTGAACTCTTAGAGGAGCCTGATAGCAAGGGAAGCAGGATAGGGCAGGGGAAGCAGCTCTGCAAAGATGTGCTTTCAACTTGTGCCACAAAGGTTGTCTCATCCAGAGGCAAGAGGCCTGAGCTGTCATTCCTCTTCGTCAGTCAGTCATTTGCCATGAGAGGGTGGGAGTATGTGGTCACCTCCTAGACAACTCTGGGGGAGGTGGCTCTTGAAAAGCTCTTTGGAGAAGGAAGCATATATGTATGATTTTCAGTCAATATCTGTAGCAGCTGATAAGTCAGTTCACCAGCACTATAAGTAGTAGTTGAATGGGGCACTCCCAGCATTCACTTCAGTGACATTGGAAGTGGTTCATTTGCTGCAATGAGTTGGAGGGCGATACAGAATTCCATGGAGAAGCAAAAGTATGTGCAAAGGCCCAAGAGAGTTGGTGGGTGGAACTGATTTGGCTTAGAGGGGCCAGCAGTCAGTTTTGGGTGAGATGAGAGTGAGGGATAGGCTATAGGAGATGCGGCTGAGAGAATGGTGATTAACAATGTGGGCTTGGGAGTGACACAAATTCAGGTTTGAATTCTTACTGAATGTTTACTGATTATGTGGCCTAAAGCAAGATACCTTACTTTTCCTTGCCTCAGTGCCCTCATTTGTTAAATGGGCGTGATGACTACCTTTCAGGATTGTTGTGAGCATAGAATAACTTAACGAAAGTAAACCACTGGGCACATTAGCTGGGGCATATTAACTTTCAATAAAGGCCAGTCTTGATTATTACAAAGCTGAAAATGTTGAACTGATTTTGAAAATTTTGAAATCTATTCCAAGGAGGTTGGACTTCATATAGAAATAATAATAATGATGATGGTAATAATAATAATTATTATTAATAATTAATGACAACATCAGTAATAGCAGCAGAAGCAACTAGAACTAAGATGTCAAATGGGGAGCCAGTAGATGTCTTTACAAGAGTAGGGAATTTGCAGGCCTGTGATTGAAAAAGATACATTGGTCATTTCTGGGGAGAATTGGTTGGTGATAGAGAGAGAAGGGCAGGAGAACCAGCTACAAGACTCTCTCAAAAGTCGATGTAAGAGACAATGAGAGCTTGAACTTGGTCAAAAGTGTGGACCAAGAAGGGACTGAGCCAAGACCAGAGCAAAGCCAATGAAACTCCATAGCAACAGGGCTCAATTTGCATTCATGGGTCTTTGCCACCTGTCCAGTGAGCAACTCCAACTACACATAGTACAAACTCAGTCAAGGGTGGCTTTCTGCTTTGGGTAAGGCCTTTTAGTGGAAAAGGCCTTTGTGAGATGCAAGCTGCCCCTGGTAAGGATGATCCAATGATGCTCGTGAGCCTTCTCTGTCACTTTTATTGAGTTTCTGTATACTCTAATTTATTAATAAAGGGACAAAGGAGGAACATGGGCATGTTTTACTCTTGTCATTATCTGGAAGAGTTTTTCAATGAAACCATTGAGCATAAGGTAATTGCTGTTTCTGCTGAAAGCTCATCTCTATACAGAGTGACCTTGGCTACAATCCCTGATGAAAATGAGGAAACATGCTGATTTAAGTTGGTCTTATAAAGGCCCTCTACTGCAGCCCTGCTCTGGAGGAAATCAATAGACGTATCTCAGCAGATAAACACAAATAAAAACATCCTGCTTAGCTTTGCTGAATTCCCACCTCTTCTCACAAGTAAAATGGTAAAAATAAACTCATTACCTCTAGAACCTATGGAGTTAGATTTGATGATGTCATGTCTCTTCCAGAAGTACATTCTTACTCTTTGACTTCCCAAATTATATTAATAATAGAAGGTAACAGCTCTAACATTTATGGAGCAGTTATTCTGTGGCAGGCACCATGTTAACCACGTCATGTATGGTATCTTATTTAGATTTCATGGTCACCATATGCAGTAGTTAATATTGCAATCTATTTTACAGATGTAGATACTGAGGACTGATAAAATTCAACAGAAAGGTGTGTAGGATAAAATGAGGCACCCAATGTACATGTTTCTAAACGCTGTGCATTCTGAATTCTATCCCTTGCCTCTTCTTTTCACTCATTTTAAATTATACTAAAATGTTAAACACTCAGAACAAATCTCCTATCTGGTCATTTGACGGATATCCATGGAAACCCTGTATGTTTTCTACACTTTTTGGTTGTCAATTAACTACCACAATGATTGCTCTTCTCATGGACAACAGTGACATGATCCTACGTTGTACTGTATTACCCTCTACTTGTTTCATGGGTGGGATTCATCACCCCCAAACACAGTGAGGGCCTAAAGGGCAGGAACTATTTTCTACTTTTGTGTTTCCCTTATACCATCCATCAACAAGCTGATACAACAAGAACCCAGAAATTGAATCAAATTTTTTCCAGAGTTATTAGACTATAGCTCTTTATATCTTGTTGCCTGTGCCTTCTTCACTTTTGAATGTAGATAAGTCTAAGGATTTATCTTATAGAAAGGCTTAGCCCATTGAGAAATGACTAAAATCACTTGGAAGAAAGGCACCATATATTCTGATATGTACATATGTAGGCTTGCATATACATTAAATAGTTGGATGCATATTCCTTGATTAGTATATATATTTATGTTGTAATTCAACCAATATGTAATGAGAGCCTAATTATGAGCTGAACGCTTTACGAGGAGCTGTAATGCAGCAGTAACTATGCATAGTGTAATTCTTATGAAGCTTATTATTTAATAGGGGATAGAATAAACAGATTTTTACCTATATGTACGTTTTTAGAATCTACACATGACATTTGCACATTGCTACTTGGATTTTTGATAGATAAATATAAACCTACCTGGATATATGAAACACTTGACACAAATTGTATCTATTTATTCAACAAACATTAAGTGAGCATTTGCTACAGTACAAGACAATCCTTAGAGGTGACACATTCTCCTGGTTCTGGGGCAAAAGCCATCTTATTATGAACCCTATGTTGGGGTAAGTTCAGAAAACCATGCACTGTTTCTTAAGATTAAACTTCTATACATGTTGATTTGCATCCTAGCTCCTAGCAGTCACTAGATAAGTGACTTTGAGTATATTATTTAACCTCTGATTAATCTCATCTGTAAAATAGAGATAATAATGATACCTACTTCACAGAGTTTCTATAAGGATTAAAAAATATTTTGTAAGTTAAAAGCTTAGTTCAGGCACATTGGAAGTCCTTAATATCCGCTAACTACTATTATTTAAGGTGGGGGTAGTGAGAGCAGCTGCCTAGTAGTGATTACTATCTAACGATTTTCTTCTGGAGATCTGCTGGCTACAACTCCATGTTCTTCATGTCATTATCTCTCTCAGGGAGGAGCACAGAGCCCCAATGAATGGGATTAGAAAAGGTGCTGTCTGCTTCATTGTTCCACGTGCCCCTCATCTATTAGCACAAAGCCAGCACTCTGGGTGGGCAAGTAACTTTGCTCTGTTTCCAAACAGCTAGAAACATCCTTTTCCCTGAATAATATCCATGTTAGGCTTTCAGAGCTGAGTGAGTAATAAGATACTAGGGAGAGTCCTGGATAACAGGTAAGTGGAGTTGGAACCACTTCCAGAGCAAAGGATAAATGCTCTTACTTGGCTCATAGGCCTGACATGACATGAACAAAAAACCAGAGTTTTCTAATTGAACCTAGAAATCAACAACTGCTTGTTGCAGTCAGATAGCTGAACTGAGTTCACTCCAGTGAAAGTTTAAAACTTGGCAGTCACTCGTATGTGCTATTTTTTGCTGTCTAAAGCTATCAGGCTTTGGAGTAGCCATTTTTACCCCTCTTAATGCAGTTCTTACTTTAGTGATGGTAGTAGAGGTATGTGTGCACACATATATGTGTATGTGTATGTGTGCACACATATATGTGTATGTGTATGTGTGCACACATATATGTGTATGTGTATGTGTGCATTTTATGCCCACAAAAGTTACTTAGAAGGAAATCTGCAGTCTGTCCATCTCTGTAGCGCCATTGCTTCTAGCACAGGACTGGCACACAGTAGGCATTCAGTAAAATGTTATTACTACTTGCTGAGTCAGTGAAAGAGTGACATTGATCTGCTGCAGCTCCATAATGCTTATAACATCAAGTTTAAAGGCCTCAGTTTGGCTGTCACATTTCCTCATAGATGGAGGAATGAGAGGGTCATATCTTGAATACTCAGCTCTTTCTGCCTCTTCTAACCCAAGAGAATCTCCTCTAACAGTACCTTGCCTCTCCAAATGCAGCTGGCTGACTCACTATCACCTCTAAGCTGTTTTCTTCTCAAACTTGTCAACTCTTATTCAACATCGGATCTTCCAATGCAACCTCTGACATCCTCCCCTCACCCCAGGAAGTCATCTTTCAAATTTTGGGGGAAATGTGACACCATATGTTATTCCCATCATATTTGATAGCTCACATTGATCACCTATCTTCTGAACTTCACTGCTGAACATCTGTCTCAGTCCCATGTTATGACATTTATTAATCTAGACCATTTACCTCCCTGCCTCACCCTTGAAATTATATTTATCCAGCCAGACTGTGGGCTTCTTGAAGGCCAGGAACAATATTTCTTTTTCTTGGACCTTTCACCATCTTCCCTATAGCATCTAGTGTAACATTAGGTATGGAGAAACACAGTAATCACAGATATAATAAAGAGTATTTGTTTCCTTGTAGAGAAATAAAATAGTAATATGTGAGAAAGAAGGGGAGAGACAGAGAGAGAGAGAGACAGAGAGACAGAGATTTTCTCAGAAAAAAATATATGCTATTTTCTGTGCCAACTAGTTTTCTTGTTAATAGTATTCCACTCTTGAAGCTCCCTATTCAAGCACGGAGTACTTATTACAACCATCCGCATAAATAATATATGCTAAAATGCTTCTCTGTGCCACAAATATTGACCTTGTTTAATAATTGATGATGGACTCCAGTACTACCCTGGAACCATGCTGACACAGGTTTGTGCCCTTTCCACTGGCCTATATTTATAGTTTTTATTTCCTTAAGTTAAAATTTACCTTAATTTCTTTGTGGAAAAATATTTTCCCCCAGGACTCTAATATAATACTGGAAACTGAAATCAGTAAGGCAGGTATAGTAGAGATAAAAGGGGGGATTCTTACTCCATCATTATAAACAAAACCAAGCTTATTTTCTTTAAATGACATTCCTGACATGTCCCTTTTTTCTTCATAATTTTTCAAAGGCTTACCAATTGCCAAAGAATAATACAAAAAAAAAAAATAAGACTTAGTGAAGACTTACCTGGTGCCAGTTTCTCTATAAGCACTTTACTTGTATTGCTTCATTTAATACTCAAAAAGTTTTCTTTACTACAGATAAGAAAACTAGACACATTAAGTAATGCATTTAACATACTTAGAAAGTAGTCTGAATCAAAACCTTAGGCTCTAAATGACTATAATAAACCAGCTCTTTGCTTATACAACCATGTAGTAGAAAATTTCTGGTTTTGCTTTCTCATCACCCTTTCATATGGGAATAGTGCTTTACTTCTCTTTCAAAAACCATTACTCCTAAGCTTTCTGTCCACACTTAGCTCACAGTAACTGAATAAATGATGGACCTTTGACCAAAATCCAGCATGAGATTGATTGTAAAAATGATTTCAATTTTCCACCTACCTTGTATTCATGCCCTTTTCAGTGTGACTTTTCAGCTCTTCCCTTTAAGTTCATCCCAGTCCTTTAAATATGGACTGGCCTCACGACTGAGTCAGGCCAATAGAATGGAGAAAAAGTAATGTGCTAATTCTAAGTCTAGACCTAAAGTTGTCTTCTGAATTTCCACCATCTCTATTAGAACCATGCCAATGCCATGAGAAAAGTATGGGTCGAACTGCTAGAATATGAGAAACACATGGAGGAGAATCCAATTGCTGTAGCTGAAGCTAATGTACAACAGCCAGTCTGTCATTGCTCAAAGATGCTAAGAATCCAGAAAAGATCAGCACAGCCTCCGATTGTCCCACAGCTGACTGCAGATGCGTGGATGAGCCCAGCTGAGACTAACAGAACCAAACCCTGCCTACAGACTCATGAGCAATGATAAATTATCACTACTTTAACCTATGAGTTCTACAGGGATTTGTTAGCTAGTAGAGACTTTCTGAAATTTTGGATGTAGCTATTGGGAAAGATGTAATATCTATTTATTGACATTGCTAAGCTATTAGGATTTAAGCTGAAATTGTTGGTAGTCATTTTCTACCTGAGAAGAATTTGCATAAAAATGCAAACAAAGAAACAACAGGTATAAAAGATTATGGAAACATATTTCTTTATTTTATTTTATTTTATTTATTCTATTTTATTTTTATTTTGTTTTTGAGACAGAGTCTCACTCTATCACCTAAACTAGAGTGAAGTGGCACAATCACTGTTCACTGCAGCCTCAGACTCCTGAGCTTAAGTCATCCTCTCACTACAGCCTCCTGAGCAGCTGGGACTACAGGCGCACACTGCCACGCCCAAATAATGTTTTATTTTAAGTTTTGGTAGAGATAGTGTCTTGCTATGTTGCTCTGGCTAGTCTTGAACTCCTAGCCAAAAATAATCCTCCCACCTAGGTCTCCCAAAGTGCTGGGATTACAGGTGTGAGCCACCATGTCCAGCCTTGAAAACACATTTCCGATAATATTCTTTGAGCACCTGGAACTACCAGTGCCTAAAGCCAGTATACACTTGGACTTTCTTGTGACATGAATTAATAAATCTCCACACCGTCCCTTAAAAAAAATAAACAGTAGACATGGGTGCCTGCTCCATATAAACACAGTGTTGATTAATATGATCACTGTAGACTTTACTGTATATTCCAATGCACATCAAATATCTACCTTTTTCTGTCCCTTTGCTCCAATAGATTCTCATCCTAAAGTGTCCTTTGCACATATCTTTATCAAGCCTTTATCATTTGAAGTCTGAACCTTGCTTCAGAATCGTTTGAAAATAACGTCAAGGAGCAAAAACTAAGTTTATTAGTAAGAGGCAGAATGGAAGATACTAAGAATAGAGAAGAAGGAATATTACGCCTTGGAATAGATTTGACTCAAGGTCAGAATCATTAACTAATTCATTGAACAAGTAGTTTTCAAGTGACTCCATATATGTAGAACTGTGCTAGGTCTTGAGAATACAGAAAAGGAAAAAAACTTTCCTGCTGGAAAGTACAAAAGTGTATTTTCTAGCAAAAGACACAGATACATACAATGAATGCATACACTGATGGATAAGAGAATTTCTGATGAAGATAAATGTTTTAACATTAATGCAGCCAGGTAGTATGAGGAAAGTGACTCAGATGGAATTGGAGTGGTTGAGTGGTCCCAGAAGTCTCTCTAGGAAGTGATGTTGAGCCTGGAGAATGACAAGCAGCCAGACTGAAATGATCCAAGGACCTGGATCCAAGCACTTGTCCGAAATGAGCATTTCAGATAGAGGTAAGCGCAGTACATGGGTTTGAGAGAAGTCCATGTTTTATGTTTTTTTTTTTTTAATTTGGATGAAGAGAAAAAGTAATAAAGTGAGGTGAGTGTGGGAGGACTTGGCAAGAGACGAGGCTGGGGAAGCTGGCAGGAGTCTTCAGGCCATGGTAAGTAAGAAGCTGGGATTCTATTCTAAGCCTGATGGAAAGCCATTGAGGGTTTTTAATGGGAGAATGGCAGGATGAATTTTATAGTTTTGAATTGTAGAAACTATATGAAAGATAGATTGTAGGACTGGGAGTGACTATAGGGAGATTTGTTTAAAAACTTTGTGGCAGTTCAAGTGACTGATGATGCTGGAAGCTTAGACTGTACAAGAAGCAATGCAAAGAAAAGTGGAAGTATTTAAGACTGCCACACAATAGAAAGAAAAGACCAGGAATTGTCAACCTAACATTATCACACACACACGCACACACACAACTAAATCTCACTGATAATCATATTGAAATTAAAATCAAATAAAATCACCTAAATCTTAAAAAAAAAAAAAAAAAGAGTGGCCTTTTTTTCTTTTCTTTTCTTTTTTTTTTTTTTTTGAGACGGAGTCTGGCTCTGTCACCAGGCTGGAGTGCAATGGCGTGATCTTGGCTCACTGCAACCTCTGACTCCCAGGTTCAAGCAATTCTTCTGCCTCAGCCTCCTGAGTAGTTGGGACTACAGGCACGCACCACCATGCCTGGCTAAGTTTTGTATTTTTAGTAGAGACAGGATTTCACCATGTTGGCCAGGATGGTCTCGATTTCTTGACCTGATGATCTGCCCACCTCGGCCTCCCAAAGTGCTGGGATTACAGGCGTGAGCCACCACATCAGGCCGATGAGTGGCTATTTTATATTTCTTTTGTACTTTTGTATTTCAAGATGAAATAAATTAACGAGAAATATCCAAGACATATTCAGACCCAGATATACACATATATTTAGCTGTATACAATTAGAATAGTTGTGCTATGCATATAGTTTTATGCAATTGTTCATTTGATATTAAGTTACTAATTTAACACATATTTATTAAAAGCCAATTATCCACAAATATTTTTCTAGGAAATGGAGGCTGAGCAGAGAATGAAAGAGGCAAAACATGTTATAGTTCTCATGGAGCATGCATATGCCAGTTTGGAGAGACAAACAAGACACAAGATAAGGAGAACACATAGATTTTATGTGGTGGTAGGAGCTAGTTGAAATAAAAGAGAATGTTGAGAGGAGCTGAAATTCGTAGAGAGGGAAACCACAAGTATATTTCCATCATCTTAATAATTAACCAAACATTTTAAGGACTTCTCGATAGCCATTATGTTAACTAAACTTTAAAAACCCTATTTATAGTAACTGCATATATTCACTGTGTTCAACATTCCTATTAAATTCAGACATTTTTATTGCTGCTAATTTTCTCTGTTATATATCATTATTTATAATTCTCTGCAGACACCTAGATTCATCATATTTCTTTCAGCATGAAACTACTTAAGGCTCTTGAAGCCCATACCAAATTTCCTTCCAGGAAGGAGTAATAATGTGAATTCGAAACATCAGTGTTTAAGAATGCCTTACCTCTGAACGTTCACTTGGGGCTCCCATTTCATGAAACTGAAGAGGCAAGAAAACATGGTCATCTCGAAGAGGCCTTACTACATGCTTAGTTTTGAACTAGGAAAGCCAACAAGGTCCACTGAGACCAAAATTAGCATTTGAAAGAGGAAAAATTGAGGCTCAGAGGAAAGAAGTTACTTGGCCCTATTATCAGCAAATTAGCGACAAAACCTGGACTGTATTCCAGATTATCTAACTCTCAGTCCTTTTACTCCTTGATTTAATCATCATCATCAAGTGGGTGGACCTCAGAGTGTCCAAGGTAATTCATGTATGAGCAGCAAAATTACTTTTTATATCGCATCTGCAGGTGTGTATACCGTGGGGCTCCTTACCCTTTTTTATGGGAATCTTATTGGAATAGTTTAGGCAGCTATAGTGCTCAGTACCAAGGAGAGCTCCAGTAAGCATGTAGCCCTTGATGTCCTTCACACTTTGAAGCTTATTATCCTGAATAATTTAATACTGTCTGTGTTTGCTTCTGTCCTCAGGGAAGAACTTTCTAAGCCATAAGGGATCTGACATATTAGTGCTGGTGCTTATCCCCCAGAATAGAGGTGCAGATCTTTTCACAGAAACTGCTCACAATTCACACATATCAGTGTGGGCTGTAGAAGTGAGTTCCAACTAATGGAATCAGAGCAGAAATGATGTGTGCCACCTTCATGTCTGGAGCATAAAACCTCCCATGCACAATCTTCTAAGATCTTTTCCACTGGGACAGTGACACTCAGAGCAAACTTGGAAGTTACATGTTATACAGGACAGAGCTGTTGCAAACCAGAGTCTTTAAGTGACTGAGTGGAGAAGAACTACTGCAAACGTAGCTCCTGCACCCCAATGAGAAAGAAGTAAACATCTTTATTCTTAAAGCCATTGAATCTTGAGTTCTATTTGTTTCAGTGGTTTGCAGTAGTTTGTACCACCTATCCTACCCTACTATAGGTGTTTTTTCATTATCACAGTTTTCTGCATTTGTTTGAAACTATCCTAACAGTTGCTATTCCCAACTAATTCTATGTTCCTCAAGTCCTTCCCCTTACTTAAACCTCATTTACTTCTTGCACATTTATCTCAGCTCTCAATACTGCATATGTAAAATCATAAGTCAATTTATCTTATCCTCTTTCATTTTCCTCTCTCATTTAGTCATCATCACACCTATCTTAAAATTTCTTATCTTTTTCTTCCTTCTTCTACCGGAAGAGATACTTTTATGTCTGTACTCTCAATTCCACCTTCCCTCACCTTCCAGTATAACTTGACATAACAATTATCTGCAGCTTTTCTTATAGCACCAATCCTTCATTATATGTTGCATTCAGCCCTTCTGTCTACACAATGTTGTGCTTTTTCTTCTCAATCATTCCTCATCTCTCTCCTTTTCCTTCTTTCTTTTTTTCATTGCTTTCTTTACCTCAAACCTATCTCTATTCATCACCAAATTGTGAGAAAGGTCAGCCCACACCGGCTGCACTGACTTTCAGTACAGGGACTTTTTTTCCCCTTGAGGTCTGATGTGCTCCATGCTGTCCTACATGGGAATGGCTCTTGTAAAGGTCAGAATCACATTATTAGTGATGTTCAGTTTTAGTGATTATTAGAGCTCAGTTCCACTCTTCTTGACCTCTGTCTACCTTATGATCTTGTTAATTTCTTTTTCTTAATGGATCATCACCTTCCTCTTTAAGCTAATGGAACTCCAGTTTTTCTACATGTTTCTGTTTCTTCTTAGCTGACTTCTCTCCCTTTATGCTAAAATTATGTGTTCTTTTAGGGCCTGACTTCAGTACGTGTGAGCTGTACTCTCTTTCCAATATGACTTCTCACTGCTCCAGTCATATTGAAGTAATTGCTAGGCTTCACATTTGAACAATTTCTGTGACATTACTCTTGTTATTATTTACCTTCATTTCTCAAATATTTATTGCAATCGTACACCTTCTTCTGGTTAAAAATCAAATGTTATGCCCTCTATGAAGCTTTCTCTGAATGTCCCAGGTAAAAACAAACTCTATCTCTGTATGAAATCTTTTTATACTTTATACCTCTACCATGAAATATTTTATAATGTGGTTGTTTGAATAGAGCCAGACACATAGTTGGCCCTTACCAAGTATCTTTTCTTTTGAAAGGAAGAATAAAGAAATGAAGGAAAGATTCAGAGGTATCTTTTCTTCTCCCTGAATAATTTTGTGAAACGGCAACCAGATAACACATGCATGGTCTGTGACCATCAGAATCCTGAGCATAAATTGCAGTTTACCTCCACGAGGCTTGTGTGTTCTGTGCCATTTTTCCCCCTTCCTTTTTGGAGAATGATGAATCAGACTCATCATGGTATTCAATTAATTTCACACAGCTGACTCCTGAGGGAGTTTGTATCCAATGCCCTCTAACCGATGATCAATCATGCTCTTGTGGTTGGCACCCAAGGCAGCGGGAAGCAGGCCCATGACGTGATCCAGGTTGTCGAAGAGAATGTGTCCTCATCCAAGCAGGAAAGGTTTTGGTGACCTTTGATGGCATTTGAGATAAGTCATTTGCTCTGGCTTTTCTGAGGCCATATTGATCTTGCCCAGGATTCAATTTTAGACAAACAGGCGACATAATTTATGTAAACTGGGCAGGTAATTAAACTCTTCTCCCAGGCAAAAAGGTCAGAGCAGAATATTTAAAGTTTCATTTCTAAGTGGAAGCAGTTAGCTAAAAAAAAGAGAAAGAAATCTCACTGGGATTGTCATGTTGCCAACTGTTACCCTATAAATTATTTGGTCCGGATTATCTTGCTAGGAATAGGTTTGAGTTCTCTTTGCTGAAAGAGCTACAAAAGGTGAGATACTCATTAAGCACAAAGTTTCATGTTTAAAATGACTGTGGAGTAGAATACTTAGTGTTAGACTGTGAAAAAAAGTTCAATAACTTTTTCAGAGTGATTTTAAGATAATATCAGACTTAAACCATTTGAGAGTAATTTACTAACATGATGATGTCCTATCACCCTCAAATAATTCAGTGTTCATTTTCTATAAACAAAAACATTCTCCTGTGTAATCACTAAACAACTATCAAGATCAGAAGTTAACATTACTATCATCTAATCCTCAGACCCCATTTAAATTTAAGTGTTGTAATAATGTCCTTCATACCAAAAAGATGCATTTTAATTTTGTGTTTAGATACTATGTCTCTTTAGTTTCTTTCAGTCTGGAAAAATTCCTCAGTGTTCCTTTGACTTTGAAGACCTTGACATTTTTTGAAGAGTACAGGCCAGTTATTTTGTAAAACATCTACTTTTAAAAAATTACATTCGTGGTATGCACCTCTGGCAGGGATATCATTGAAGTGATGCTCTGTCCTCCTCATTGTTTAATTTTTTTGCTTTCTAATAACTTATGATTTCTACTTGTCCCATTCCTGGTGATGTTAATTTTGATCACTTGATTAAGTGGGTTCTGACAGGCTTCACTGCTGTAAAATTATTCGTTTCCCTTTGTGGCTAATGAGTATGTTGAAAAATGTACTGTGTATGAAACTATGTAAATATTCCATTATTCATCGGCCTTTCAATTTATTCATTGATATATTTCTGTCAATAAAAACACTTGGATTCTCATTTTACTCAGTAAGTCACAATCCATTACTCTTTGTATTTTTTGTTGCTTTAAGTTTCTGTGTTTGAGCAGTGGGAGCCCCTTCAAGCTAGCTTATGTGTCTTGATGTGTCCCCATCTGTCTTTGATGACTTCTTTATATTCTGGCCAAGATAGGTGCTCCAGGGTCATTTTGTACTTTCCCTGTCCCAGCCTTAGGGTCAGCCATTTCTCTAAAGAAATATATATACATTTGGTTGAAAACAGTATTTTGAAGCCAAGATGTGAGTGCTATGTGTGCTCATTGCTATTGGAGGATTCCTACTCTCAGGTCATCTCTGAGTCCAGAGCTAGGGAACATATGCAGTTTCATATACACCAGTTATGCATGTGCACACATTTCCATCTTAATAGGTGCATTTATCTATCTGTATATTGAAAATCCCAAGCTTACATCAATTCCTCCAATTCCACTTCAGTGCCACAGGGTTCATTCTGGTTTTCTCTTTTTTTCTATTTCTATCTCCCTTTTCCAATTTCTAGAATCCTGACTCCCATGATCCTTAATTCATTTACTTATTTGAGCATTCCTCTTGTATATGACCAGTCCCTTGTCACAGGTCTGCTCACATTTGCAGAGACCACTGGCTCACCCTGCATGGGTTGTCAATTCTCCCCTGGGCCTCTCATACCACTGATCTCAAACTACCACTGCCAACCCCATGATCACTCATGAACACCCTCCTCAACCCTCCCAGGCTCTGACACACTTGCCCGCCACCATTGCTGCCCGTTCCCCACTGCACAGATGCCCTCCTCTCCTCACTTGGGCTCCAACACTCCAGGCTGGGTTGCTGCTGCTCTTGCTGCTGGGTTTTCCATTCCCTACACGGATGCCTTCTCCACTGTGCCCAGGCTCTGGTAACCTGCATCAGGCTGCTCCCTTCTCCCCATGTAGAAACTTTCCTTAACTTCTCAGGTTCTTATACCATGCTGGGATACCCTCTACATAAATGCCTTAAATGCCTTTTCATCTTTCTTGGGCTCTAATACCCCATACCAGATAGTCCTATGTGCATGTTCTCCTTATCCTGCTGAAGCTCCAATAACCCTGCGGTTTGACAGTGCCACACAAAGGTCTTCCAGATGCCACTCTGGCTCTGACACTCTATAGCAGCTGTTTTCCTCCCCCTAGGATGCCTTCCAGCATCCCGCTTAGGCTATAACCCTTTGCACTGGACTCTCCTGCCATGTAGACACCCTCTTTCTGAGCTCAGCCTCCCATTCTTACACAGGGCTACATCCCTCTGCTCCTTCCACCCACAGGCTCCTGCTTTGATCAGCCCCATCTTATCACCAATATATTGAATTTTTTGGGAAAGAAACAGAAAGAGAAACAGTTTGATAATTTTTAGAAGTTGTTGTTATTATTTTTAAAAATTTTAACTGGAAAAATGAATGCAATCTTCTTTGTGTGGATATGTGTGTCTACCAAACAAAATGCGGACTATCTACATAATGAAATACTATTCTGCCACATAAAGAACAAAATCCTGTCATTTATGGCAACATGCATGGAACTAGAGGTCATTATATTAAGTAAAATTAGCTAGGCATAGAAAAACAAATATTTCATGTTCTTACTCCTGTGTAGGAGGTATAGACGTTGATATCATGGAGGTAGAAAGTATTAATAGAATGATAGATATGAGAGGCTGGGGTATGTAGGTAAGAGAAAATGAAGAGAGGTTGGTTAATGAATATAAACATTCAGTTAGATAAAAGAAATAAATTCTCATTTTCAATAGCACAGTAGGGTGACTATAGTTAAAAGCAACACATTTTATATTTTAAAATTGCTTGAAGAGAAGAGTTGAAATGTTTCCAATAGAAAGAAATGACAGATGTTTGAGGTTATGGATATTCTAAACACTCTGATTTAATTATTACACATTGTATGCATGTATCAAAATATCACCTGTACTTCGTATATACAAATGGTGTACAATATGTACAAATATGTATAATTATTATGGATCAATAAAAAATTTAAAACCTTTTTTTATTATAAAGTTCTGGCATATTTGTCAGACATTGAGTATCAAAAAACTAGGGTATTCTGCAATGGATTTCTATTTTCCAAAAGGATTCTAATCTCTTTGTTTTCTAGTGGTCAAGTAAAAGCAGCTGGTTTCCATAATCTTCCTATGTAGGTGTGATTTTATAATATTATAATATTAACATCTGTAAAGTCAGTGTTCCCAGAAGAAACCAGGTGGTGCATAGGCATGAGGGTAATTTAAATAGGGTCTAATAAAGGGACTATTTAGAAAGGTGTAGACAAGGTGAGACATCCACAAGGACTCATGCCAGACTTTGGAGGTTGTAACCACCAAGAGACATCCCTGAGTCTTGTGTTTTTGGATACCTAGTCACAATCCTGTGATTTTGTTACCTGATCCAAGTCCTAGCATGGGTGGGCTGTGCCAGCTCACTTTTTAGTGATCCACAGGGCATATACTCTCATCTGTTCAAAATCTTCCCAAGCTACTTTCTGTAATCACAGAGAAGCTTTTCCTTTTCTTTGTAGGGTTTGGCTTCCCTTCTGTCTCAGCCTTTATTCTTCCTTACCCTATAATTTTCTCTAAAGTCACTCCTTCAGGTTCTAGTTCTTAATATAGTAAACAGATAACAGAGAGAAAGAAAGAAAAGAGAAGAAAAAAAAGGAAATCAGCTGTGTAAGTTCTGATAAGTCCTTTTCTCTTTCTCAAATCAGCCTGATGTCAAGGCTGTTATCTCCCTGTAGACATAAGCAAACAACACTCTATTTTGAAACTCAGAGCTTGACAGCGATGTCTTTCTTTTGAGCATTGTTAGGTAGAGAACAGCTGCAGGGCCATCAGGCACAACCAGGGGTCACTGGGAATCAACATGTTTGTTTAACATGCCATATAGATTGTCTGTCACACTTTATGTACAACCTGCAAGTTAGATGATTATTCTCTCTCTTTTGCAGGTGAGGAAACTGAGGCTCAAATATACTAAGTAATTTACCTGAGACACATCATCTGTTAATAGTTGCTCTGAGATTCAAACTCACCTTTGTCTGACTTTTTTTTTTCATGACAGAACCTTGTTGCCTCATCTCCCTCGTCTGCTAACACATATCTCAAATCAATAGCTCGTTGGGAAAACTAGGGTAATTTTGTGTTTGTGCATATAAAATAGTGATATTTTACAGTCATAGTCTTTTTCTGGCAGCATTTTCACTAATTTCAGTTTTTTAAAATGTGGAGTAGGTAAGGTTGCTTAATCTTAGAAGTTAGTGATCAATTTGGAGTCAAAATTTCCAATAAATGTGAAGTGCATCAATCCATATGCCAACTCGGTCATCACTAGAGAGAGGATGGCATTAAAGCAAGTGCTAGAGAATTAGAGGTGAACATTGAGGTGCACCACTCAGATAAATCTTCAGGAAATAACTTGCTGATCAGATGTAAAAAGTGAAGTCAGATGACATCTTCTAGCTGAAGCACCCTTGGGATTGGCCACAGCATTTGAGTGAGGCCACACTCTTCTGGAGTATTAAAAGATTTCTGCCTAAAGAGGGGAGCAGTGGCACTGGGGCACCTCTGCTGCCCTCCCTGCCAACCCCTGCTCCTTCCTTCTTTTATCTTCCCCATGCTTGCCTTCTACCCCATAAGCCTCTTGCACCTGTGACTGTGTCTCTGCCTCTAGACACAGAAATACTGTAATAAAGAGAACTTAAAAAAATTTAGGCTCCAGATAACAATAAATATCCCTTC
This sequence comes from Homo sapiens, assembly GCF_000001405.40. Lineage (NCBI taxonomy): Eukaryota > Metazoa > Chordata > Mammalia > Primates > Hominidae > Homo > Homo sapiens. The sequence continues at coordinate 128,476,837 of NC_000008.11, forward strand.
ATGTATTGGGCATATGTTGTGTCTCATGAACTGTTCTAAGTCCTGAGAACAATAAGGGGAAAAGACTTAGTTCCTGCCCTTAAGGATCTCACATTCTAACATAGAAGGTAGGCATGCACAGCACATGCAAAACAAACTGTAGCAAAGAAAGGAGATATGCACACACAGACATGCACAGGCAAAACGAATTAGAGTGAAGAATTTCTTCTACATCTTCACTTCATTATTATTATTATTATTATTATTATTATTATTATTATTATTATTTTGAGAGTGAGTCTCACTCTGTCGCCCAGGCTGGAGTGCAGAGGCATGATCTCGGCTCACTGCAACCTCTGCCTCCCAGGTTCAATCAATTCTTCTGCCTCAGCCTCCCGAGTAGCTGGGACTACAGGTGTGCATCACGACGCCTGGCTAATTTTTGTAATTTTAGTAGAGATGGGATTTCACCATATTGGCCAGGCTGCTTTCAAACTTCTGACCTCTTGATTTGCCTGCCTCCACCTCCCCAAGTGTTGGGATTACAGGCGTTAGCCAATGCACCTCGCCTATTATCTTTTTTGACTAAAGGTTTGACTAAACATTTGAGACAATGCATAAATGTGTAACGACTCATTTTTGTAAGACCCTGGAAATGCCCATTTTTAATGGGCTCATCAAAGTCCTTATATCCAGATAATATCATTGTGGAATATAGAAAGAACCGGGATTGGGACACAAATCTTTGAAGAAAATCTTCTAATTTTGTCACTTGGGTTTGGTACAAGTGACGCACACCTTCCCTGACCTGGTTTTCTCATTGAAATGGGGATAAAATTACCTTTTTTTTTTTTTTGAGATGGAATTTCACTCTTGTTGCCCAGACTGGAGTGCAATGGCGCGATCTTGGCTCACTGCAACCTCCCCCATCCCAGGTACAAATGATTCTCCTGTCTCAGCCTCCCAAGTAGCTCGGATTACAGGCATGCGCCACCACGCCCAGCTATTTTTTTTTTTTTTTTTTTTTTTAGTAGAGACGGGTTTTCACCATGTTAGTCAGGCTTGTCACAAACTCCTGATCTCAGGTGATCCACCGGCCTCGGCCTCCCAAAGTGCTGGGATTACAGGTGTGCACCACCATGCCCGGCCTGAAATGGGGATAAAGATACTAACCAATCATTTACCCAGTTGTTTAGGTGCCTGCAAAGTGTTTTGTTCATGAAAAAAAAAAAATAACACCTATATTAAGAATTTTGAGCCATGGACAATCAGATCAGGCTTTGAATGTATTTCCCCAATTACCGACTCACTCATTTAGAAGATGTTCAAAAACCATTAATTTATTTAACTCAAAGGAAACTATTGATTGATAAAAAAAAAATTATTTCCTCTGAAGAGAAAAAAAATAGTAGACTTTTAACATAGGTTTGCTTATGACTATGTTTCAGAGAAGTAGGTGAGTGGCAGAAACATTTCTGTCTGGAGCTGAATGAGCAGTGACTGGTTCATAGGCAGAATCCTCAAGTCCTGATAAAGAGGTTTTGCAGTGGGAATTCCACTGAAGGATCCCAGTTTTCACTTAAAAAAGTGTTACTTTAGAATAATTGTAAATTTACAGAAGGGTTGCTAAGATAATAGAGCTCTGTATACCCCTGACCCAAATTTAATGACATTTTACGTTACCATAGCATATTTGTCAACATTGGTAAACTACTATGAATTAAACTTCAGGCTTTTTTTCCTCAGAAATTTCTTTTTCTCTTTCAGGTTCCATCTAACCCAGGGTGCCACATCGTACTTAGTTGCCATGTCTCCTTTCTTTCCTCTGGTTTCTTTCCTTGTTTTTCACGACCGTAACGATGTTAAGGAGTACTGACCAGGTATTTTGTAGAAAGTCCCTCGATGTTTGTTAGACAACTTTTTCTCATGATTATTGGAGTAATGAGACTTGGGAAAGAATAACATAGTTGTGAAATGCTATTTTCATCATGTCATATCAGGGTACATGATATCAACATGATTACCACTGTGATGTCAACCATGATCATTTGCTTGCCACATTTCTCTACCGAAAAGTTACCATTTTTCTCACTTTCTATACTCCATTATTCAGAAGCAGGTTACTAAGTTCAGCCCAAAATGTGGGAGTGGAGAGTGTGGAGTAGGAATTAAGCCTCACTTCCTGGAGAGGGGAATCTTTACTTACCTTTTCACTTTTAATTATTTTCCATATTTATTATTTCCAAACCACAAAGAGATAAGTCAAAGATGCTGAAGTAGAACCCAGAGCACAAACTCAAAGATGTTGCAAGATTTGAAAGGTTTGAGAATAATAAAAACAGTGAAAGTAAAAGTAAAGGGTTTTATTCCCTGGAAGTCCATTGTATTTACCAGGCACTCTGCCACTTACCTTTCAAATATTCCTCTAATGTTAACCACACTCTGCTTATTTCTAGTTACCTGAGAGCATGGAGACCCAGGGAGGTTTAGTCTTTTGGGACAAGGCTATATAGGCAGTGACTTAACACAAACAAGAGTCAAACCCACGACTGTCAGGCTCAAGCTGTCACATTGCCTCACGGAGTCTGAGAAGGTAATAAGAGTCAGAATTGGCCAGGAATTGTAGCTCATAGTTGTAATACCAGCACTTTGGGAGGCCAAGGTAGAAGGATTGCTGGAATCCAGGGGTTTGAGGTTGCAGTAGGCCATTATTGTGCCCTTGCATTCCTCCCTGGGCAACACAGTGAGATCCAGACAAAAAAAAAAAAAAAAAGTCATAATCTTAGCAGTGCATCAGGAATTTAGAGAGTCCAGAAAGATTGGCTTGGAAGCAGGTGCTGTTTGGAAAGATGGAGTAAGCAAGGGATTTAGTACAAATAGTCAATTTAGACTAGAAGCAATGACACATTGAGAAGGAATGTTAGGTAAGCCAAATCTGGTTATTTCCCATTCAATCAAATCTTTTCCTTCTCTATGTACCCATTTCCAGGTTTATATGTCTATCATAACACTTGTCAGATATTGTTAATTTAAAAATCATGTCTGTTTCTCTGACATTAGCCCATGAGTGCTAGAGCAGCGATGTCTATGCCTCGCAGCTCTCCATAGCACCAATACCTAGATGGTGCCCAGGGCTTCCTAGCTGCTTGAGCAATGTTTGCTGAATGAATGCATGAATTATTATATATGAAGATCCCCAGTATATCAGTATTTAGAAAGGACCATGTGTTCTAATCACGTCAAATTATTTCTTTAGATTGAAGGTCATACAAGCAGAATATTCAACCTTCTCTGTTTCAACTGGAGACAGACTTTGTCTGCAAATCCACAATGATACAGTGGAGTCAACAGTAGAATAGATCTTGGCTGGCTTGGCTGACTAGAAGTTCATCAAAATGGGTTTGCCACTTAGACAGTAAACAATAGCTGTGTTATCTTGGTATTAGTCAAATGAGTAGGACCATGGTTATTGCTTCCAATATGCAATACCCACAATTCCCTCTTCACTAACCACCCCACTGACCCCTTGTTCTATTTACCTAACCGCTTTCCAGAAAGTATGGTTCAGACATTTGGTTAAAATGTAATTTTGAATGTTCAGACTTAAATCTACACAGAATCATAATATTCTGTTCTGCAAGGTTTTTATTAGCATGGTATCATTATTAGGTATTATTCTATTCCTGACTAGTATTGCTAAATGGTTTAAATACATTTAATTTATTTTTGTTTATTTTAGTCTATCTTAAGTGCTCTTAAATGCATTTGCTTGTAGCATTTTTAAAGTTTTGGCTTGAAGTTATAACCAAAGAAACACTAATGATAATTGCATGCATGTGTAGAAGACTGTATTTTACAAAGAACTATCCCATGTATTAGCTCCCAAGGGTAGGGACAGTTCTAGTACAAATCCATGTGCATTAAGAGATACGGATAAGTTCATTACCAAGGTCTCTTAATCTGTTTAAAGAGAGATAATTGTAACATTCCTTGATGATAAGGATTATGAAGCCTATTTAAACATTCCCAATATGGTGAGAGATGTGAAAAAATGTACCTCTATTGAGATCTATTTCTGACAATAATGTTTTTCTAGAGTGGTGCAGTGCATCCCCCTACCTGTCTAGTCTCCCATTCCAGAAAGATGGAGATTCCCAGGCATTTCTGGCTTGGCAGGCTATGGACTGGGTGTGTTCTGAGCAGGTGCCAAGGCAGTGCGTTTCTTGTCCTTGGAGGGGAAGGCTGAAGCCGACGGGCCACTGTTGAATACCATCAAGGGAAGTAACAGACAAGTTATAAGCAAACAGTTCATGCCTTGGTGGCTAAGTCAATAGGAGCTACTAGAGGAATGGTTGCTAGCACAGAATCAAAGGAAGTAGAGACCAAGGTGAGAGAGGAATTTGGAGGTAGGTAGAGAGATGAGTCTGGAATAATTTCAGTGTGAGAATGCAGATGATCATGGAAGCATTTTATGTAATAGTGGCAGCCTCTGCTTTGGACTCTCCAGGTGTATAAAAAACCATTGGTTTTAGCCTAGTTTCACATTTGAAACACCTGGGTTGCTTTGGAATGTACAGATGTCTGGCCTCCCATCCCCTGAGACTCCTGTTAAGTTGGCCCAGGCATGGCCTGACACAAATATTTTTTAAAAGCTCCTCAGGAGACTTGATTCATTGAAAACCACTGATCCAAAAAATAAAACGTTTAACATATACCACTTATCAATTCTGTCCATTCTTTAGTAAACATGCAGATATTTTTCATGGCTTCTTGTAGAAGATAGGCAATAAATAAGGTCAGTACATTCTGCTGAACTGATGCACCTGAGGTCACTGCAATGGTGCAAAGAACTGCTGCTTTGGTTCATTTAATATTAATGACCCCTGATTTGATGAATTCTCAGAATGTGAACTCCTTAACGACAGGGACTCTATCAGACAGGATCTTGGAAGAAAACAGATAACATCCTCAAATTGGATACTTTGATGAAAGTTTAAATATCTGTTTTCAAATGTGTTAGCAGGGTGTGTGGAAACGCTAAGGAATAATTACCGAAATGGGAGCCTTTAGAATTCCTTGGCCTAATGAGAAAAAAGGAACAGTTATAGAAACTAAAGGCAGGAGAGGATTATGACTCAGCTGAAGGATGCATTTAGACCTCTTGACCGTGAAGAGATGGAGCCAAGGAAATAAATGCCCTGACCATTCTCTTCCATCTATCCAGTCTCCTGCTCATGCTCCTCATTGGTCAAACCCAACCAGAATTCCAAACACAAAATACCCATTGATGAAGTCCATACAGATCCACACATAAGTCACAGATCAGGGATAATCTAGGGAAGGAGGCAGAGTGAATGCAGAAGGGCAAGTGGAAGATAGCTGCACAGGTTCAATAGTTTTTTTTTTTTTTTTATCCATGTGATCGCCTACCCCCAATATCTGTAGGGTCTGGTACCTATAATATTCTTAGCAAGAACTATGTGAATTATGATTATCAATGAACAATGAAGTTACAAAGAGAAGTGAAAGTAACACTTATTAGGTACCTCCCAGTTACCAGGTGTTTAGTTTTATTGAATCTCACAATAACTTGGTGAGATGAATTATGATTATAGCCATCTTACAGGTTGAGAAAATAGCAAGTCAAAGAGGTTGAGCAACTTAATACAGGGGCACATCATCTATAGGTGCAAAAAGGGACTTCTGGCCTAGGCCTAGCCAACTGTGGGTCCAAGCTTTTTCTCTAACACCATGCAACTCTCTTACTGCAAACAGAAGTACAGTTCATAACCACAGGAAACCTTGAGTGATCTCTCCATGATGAGATTGATATAAAGTTTGATTCAATTCACTTTGTTAGGTACCAAGGAAATAGAAGTTCATGGCTCCTTCCTACCCTCACAGAGTTAGTAAGCTCACATATATTTCAATCATTTGTGGAAAGGTTACCACGTAGGGGGCCCAGGCCTTAAAATAAAAGCCATAATTTATCATTCATTCATTCACTCATTTATTTATTTTTCCATTTATTAATTCACTCAGTGCTTGACATCATTCTAGGCTGCGGCAATGCAGCTGCAAATAATCTAAAGTCCCTCATTACACAGAATTTACATCCTGGTGGGAGCCAAAAAATAAACCAACAAATAAATAAACAAGAAAAATGATAGGTAGTGATAAGCATTATACAGAGAATGAAAGCAGGTGATGTGATAAAGAGTGATGGATGGTTTTGTTAATTTGGGAAGCCAGGAAGAACTCTTCCAAAAGGTTTATGTCTCAGCTGAGATTGGCAGGTCTGAAGGAACCAGCTATGAGAAAATCAAGGGCAAGAAAATTTCCCATAGTGTGGAGGCTCTAAGGCAGGAATTCTAGGATGTGAGAGAAAACTGAGAAAGCTAAAGCATAGTGAGCTAGGAGAACAGTTATAAAATAGAAGTTAAAAAAGCATTTGGGGTAGATCATATAGGATTTTTTGCCCATCCAAGGGTGATGGGAAGCCATAGGTAGGTTTTGAGCAGGGAATGCAGTGATCTGATGCAGTTTGAATGCATTACTCTGGCTGCTTTCTGGACTGTAGTGGGGAGGAGGGAGAACAGAAAAACCTACTAAAGCACTGTTGTAGGGATAAAGGAGAAGATACTGGAGGCTTGGACTGGGGGTGATGGTAGTGGAGCAGAAGAGAAGAGGATACTCTCAGGCCATGATTTGGAGGTAAAAGGTGTCAACAGGATTTGCTGAATTTTCAGACGTGGGACATGCAGGAGACAGGAATCCAGGATAAACTCACTGATATAATAAAGACTAAGGAAGCAGTAGACTAGGAGAATAGAATAAGAATGGAAATTCAGAATTTTGTTTTAGCCATGTTAAATATGAACACTTGTTAAGACCTAAGTGGAGGTGACACACTGGAAGGTGGATGCAGATACTGGAAAAAGCAGGGCTGGAGACCCACTTTTGGGGTTTCTGACACATAAAGCATACAGAATCCAGGGCTGCATGAGAAAATCTAGGAAGCAGGAGTAAAGAGACAAGAGGCCTGGACGAGGCATTCAACGTTGTGAGGGCAAGCAGAAGATGAGCTAACAAAGGGAAATAGCAAGGTGTCACTCTTACAGTATGTCTGAAGGCCCTGATATTTCAGGACAGAAAGAAATTTGTAAGTGTTTTTGTTTTTGTCTGTTTGTTTTTTGAGACAGAGTTTCACTCTGTCACCCAGGCTGGAGTGCAGTGGCGGGATGGGATCTCGGCTCACAGCAACCTCCACCTCCCAGGTTCAAGTGATTCTTGTGCCTCAGCCTCTGCAATAGCTGGGATTACAGCTGCCTGCCACCATGCCTGGCTAATGTTTGTATTTTTAGTAGAGATGGGGTTTCACCATGTTGGCCAGGCTGGTCTTGAACTCCTGACTCCAAGTGATCAGCCTGCCTCGACCTCCCAAAGTGCTGGGATTACAGGCATGAGCCACTGTGCCCGGCAAGTGTTAAATTTAATCATTTAAATTAAATGCACAAACATGGAGACTTCCTTCTCTGCTCAGACTGACATTGTGAGCTATTAAGGGGGAATATTTGAGCCAGCTTCATGGATGGCTTACAGAGTAGATACACTGAATTGCAGATACTGTTAGAAAGAGCTAAAAGGCTCTCTCTATCACTAGGAAACTGAGCACCTGGGACCTGCCTTTCTCAGGTGCAGTTAGATATGCTGCTTCTGTGCCGTGTCCCTGAAAACAGTGAACAATAGCTTTGAATCATAGGTGCTTTGTTTCAAATTGTGGCCCTGCTACTCATTAGATATATGACAGCACACAAGTCATTTGGCTTCTTTGAGCCTCTTTTTCCTCATGGATAAAACAACGATGATGCCAATCATCTGCAAACTTCAGTGGAAAAAGAAAACCTCTTTCCTGACAGATTCAGAAAAAATCTCAGGTGCGATATGATTTTCAGGGGCCTCATTTTACCATCGAGGTCCAGGTGTGTGAACCCTCTCCCTTTTTAAATTAATTTATTTAATTTGTTTATTTATTTTGAGACAGAGTCTCACTTTGTCACCAAGCTAGAGTGCAGTGGCACAATCTCTGCTCACTGCAACTTCCGCCTCCTGGGTTGCCAATGTAATGGATATGCATTGATATTCTGTCCTGCATCCATCCTTTGCCTCATTCTACCCTATGAAAATCATATCACAATTTCGTTCTGATGGTCCCACCTCACCCTCTCAGCTCTTGTACTTTAAATGAAGTTGTCTATCCTTTCCCTCCAGGTGCAACAGTGACAAATGCCAGGTTTTCTCTAATCAGCACAAATCAGCACATTCTATACCTCAGGCTTTGCTGATTGGCTTAAAGCTGGGAATATTTGAGCCAGCTTCATGGATGGCTTACAGAGTAGATAAATTGCACTGCAGATGGACTATAGGAAAGAGCTAATGACCTAAGTCAGGCCAATCAGAACCAAAACAATCTAATCATGGTGTATCTTTTCTTAGCTAAAGAAATAAATAGATTATATTCACTGCTGGAGCGGGTGCTACATTTTGTGAGTTTGAACCAATGAAAGTCACCATCACGACCCTAAAAATTGAGCCTATCTAAAAGATGCAGCTTGAAAAAAAAAGTTCTGGGGGTATCCTTTGAGCCCTTGACTGAGCCATGTCTGAGGCCCCTGAATTCTACACTGGACTTGAGTGCAAGTTAATAAATCCCCTTTCTGGTTCCAGCCTGGCGGAGCTGAGTTTTCTTTCACTTGCAAGTATAAGAGTTTAAAGTGATCAAACTGTCTTAAAGGGTTGTATTGAGGATGAAATTAATAATGATCAACAGCACTAATCCAGAGGAGGTGCTCACTAAATAGAAGCAATTATTGCAATTTCATTTTCAGCTTCCTTTAAATACTATACTCTTTCCATGATAACGATTGCAGTGGTCTCAAAAATGGAAAGCTATAATGGGACTTAAGCAGAACCAGGTGCTGCGAATTTGTGTATACTTTTAAAAGTTCAATGCATCAAGCCAAGAAGACTAGTTACTCTAAAACAGACTATTCTTCATCAGAAGTACATACCTGAAAAGCACACACAAACACACACAAATACATAGAAGACTCTATATAAACATTCACCCTCGTATCCAACGAATATGTAAGTCTCCCTAAGTTGAAAAGAGGAAAGAACAAAACTTGACATATCCTATCCGATTAATTCAGTGGAGTGTCCAAAGCAGATTATGTTAATTCCAACAGTAATTCTTAATATTTGTAATGTAATATATGACTTGATAAGATTGTGAAACCTTCTGACAGCTTATTAGCTGATGCCATTAAAACCAAATGTCAACTTTATCAACTGCTGTCAGTGATATTAGCAATGAAACAGTCTCCAAGGGATGGAGGTTCAATTTGTGTTGGATAATGGTATGAATAATCACTTAGATTTATATAGCACCTTTTCTCAGTAGAGTTTAAAGAGTTTACACACATCATGTTCTCACAATACCCCTGAATAGAAAGAAGGGACGAAGTTTAATGTTCTTCTGTGGTTTGTGGTCACTTTACAGCTTTGAGTTCATGAAGCCAGTGCTTACAATAGACTTTACATCCCCCCAATTGCTTTGCTTGAGTTAGGATATAATGCCACTGGGTGTGGAAAGATGCCCACATAGAAGAGAATAATAATAGAAAACAGATAATGGAATGCTTTTCCACTTCATTATACCACAAACCTAAACTATATTATTAAGAACATTTACTCACAAAGATTAACTAATTGCCATGTTTGTAAACATAAATGAAAAATTAGAATACATTTCAAAGCAATGAAAAGCAGGGATATAGACAATTGAAGTTGAAAGACACTTAGACAAAATAGCGCTCCATGCTCTCATTTAGGCTTTATGAATCTTGGCGATCATTTTTATTTTTTTCCCAAGCATCTATTCATTCTCCTGACAGTGGCATTTCAGTTTTCCTTTGGGAAAGTTTCAGTTTTCCTTTGTGTTGCCCCTATTCTCTGCCTGTGCTGTTTGGGTAGAGATGATCCCAATCCTGATTCTCTGGGTGAGGACATGACCCAGAATTGGTGAGTAAGAAAACTGCATCCCTTGGTCACCCCTGTTGTAGAGATACTATGTGATCCCAAACGGGGCAGTAAAGGCAACACCTGAGATTTTTTCTGAATCATCAGGAAAGAGGTTTTCTTTTTCCACTGAAGTTTGCTAAGCTGGTTTTATATAAGCATAAAGTCATCTTGTGCCCACATTAGAAAAGTTTGCTTGAGAATGAAACCACTATAGTGGGATGAAGCTATAAAAAATAAAAGAAACAATATGATTCTCAGGGGCCTCATTTTAGCATCGAGGTCCAGGTGTGTGAACCCTCTCCCTTTTTAAATTAATCTATTTAATTTGTTTATTTATTTTGAGACAGAGTCTCACTTTGTCACCAAGCTAGAGTGCAGTGGCACAATCTCTGCTCACTGCAACCTCCACCTCCCGGGTTCAGGCTATTCTCCTGCTTCAGCCTCCAGAGTAGCTGGGATTACAGGTGCCTACCACCACACTAAGCCGATTTTTGTATTATTAGTAGAGACGGGTTTTCACCATGTTAACCAGGCTGGTCTTGAACTCCTGACCTCAGGTGATCCACCCACCTCGGTCTCCCAAAGTGCTGGGATTACAGGCATAAGCCACCCCACCTGGCCACCCTCCCTCTTTTATATGAGTCGCAGTAATTTGGCTTTTACTATTTGCTAATCAAAGAGATCTTATGCAGGTGCTGACTGCTAAATCTTTAGTGTTACTGATACCAGTTAACCTAAAGTCACTTTTCTCCATGGTAAATACGTAGTCAGAATAAGTTACTGTTTGCTGTGGTAACAAAAAAAATCCTGAAATCTCAGTGGTTTAAGACTACTAGTTGTTGTGTTTTTTTTTTTTTTTTCCTTTTCCTAGCTTACATGCAGCTTTATGGTGGATGGGCTCTCTGTTCTCCTCACTCAGAGTTGCAGGACAATGGGGCAGCCATCATCCAAAGTATTTGTCATTGTTATGGGAGAATAAAAGAGAGAGAGTTTGGGGTGGGGTGGCGAATAGCACATACATTCTTAAAGCTTCCACTTGAAAGGAAAACAGATTACTTGGCATAAATAACTTGCTGGATTTCTGAGTGTTAATACATAAGACCCTAGAATTTTAGGAACTTCATACAATTTTAAATCTCTGCAGCCATGGACTAGTCCCTGGACACAGAAAGTGCCTTAATAAGTGTCATTGTCCTGTGTTGTCTAGCTGTCAACATCACTAATCCTTGACTCTTTCTTTGGCTACTGAGTTATACGATTTGTCACTGACTGTTCTTTGCATTCTCCCTCCCTAACCACTTAATTTCTTCTTAGCAAAGTGAAAAGGAGTCTCTTTGTATCCCCACATGTCAGCAAAAATGAGAAGTGAAGTAATTCTATAGCAGCATTTTCACACTGGACTCAGCATGGAATCCGTGATTATTTTTTCCAAAATAGGAAGTACCAATTTTCTTCTTTTCAACAAGAGAATCTTTTCTACCCTTGGGTATTTGTCTAAAATGTGATGCAGTGCTGCAGTTTGCTCATATACTAGGAGGCAGTTCCCTTCCAATTATATATTATGAATTCTATCTTAGATGGGAAAAAGCCTTGTGGCAGTTACAAATCCCAAGCTAATTATGGCATAACTTTAAGAGGCATTTAAACATTGAATCGGATTAAAAGTAGCTAGCAAATGTGGAATTTGTAAAGAATCTATGCAATATTTGGCCATTTCCTAAAGAGACAGGAGACTCAGATGAGGACTAAGCAGGACACGATTTTTCATCAAATTAACTAAATTAGTGCTTTGTGGATTGCATGTGGCAACTAGTCAGTAATTACCATGATCTGCAAATGAAAACTTATTTGAAGATGGAAAATAAAGAAAAGAAATATGAAATCTTTTTTTCTTTTTTTTTTCCGGTCAGCTTTGGCAGAGACTAGTTTCCACTTCCTGGACACACAGGAAGACAGTATCTCCCATCCTGTCTTGCAGGTCAGCTGAGGTCACGTGACTGCTTCCTGAACAATGCAATCTGGATAGAAGTGGTGTGCACCATTTTAGGGCCTGACCATGCAACCCCTTGCCTAATCTCTCATTCTGTTCACCCTCCAGTGGTCATGGTGAAGGTCAGATATTGAAAATGGTGGCATCACAAGCTGAAAGGAGATGAGATCACTGTATCATTTTTTAGGCGAGAGCTACCCAGGAGAGCCACAGATCTTCATAGGATCATGTGATGAGTAAGAAATAAGCCTGTGTGCTAAGCCACTGAATTTTTATTTTTACTCTTTTACAGCTATTTATATTCTTTCATAGATTTTTCCTCTAATATTAAATACATCAGAGCAAACAGAAACAAGCTCAACTATTTTACAGCAATTACTACCTTGGATTTTAGTGACATGGGAATACTAACAAAGGACATTTAAATCTGAGTAAGATGTCAGAGAAGTCTTCCAAGATAAGGTGAAAAAGTAAAAAGTAGAAGGCAAACAGAAAAGGCACAGCATGCAGAGAGGACAGTAGGCAGGAGGACATGCAGGCAGGAGCAGCACAAGGACAAGATTTGAGGAACTGCCCCTTAACCCAGGTGAAAAAAGAATACATTGTTTCTCAAAGCCAGAACCCCCAGTGAACTGCCTACGCCAGAAGGTCCTGAGCCTCCCTCTGCCCATCCCCTGAAATACTGTTTGATTTGTTACAGAGAAAAATGAGCCTCCTGTCTGAAAGAGGGAAATGAGGAAGAGCAGATTGCTGAGTCTGAGGTTTGTGCTGCCTATGTGCTGTTGAAGAGTCACCTGGAAGCAGATGCTGTGGGGAAGGGAACAGCTGGACTCATCAACATCATGGTTTTCTTCTTCTAGCTCCTGATTGATCTCTACAATTTTATTCAGTTGTATGATTCCTTTATATAATTCAACAAGACCTACATTGCATAGAAGATTGTTTTCCCAAAGTGGAGAGGATCTTCACAGAGAAAAAGAGAAGGCAGTTTATTTTTCAGCTCTGATGAAACACTAAAGTGTGCGGAAGAGAGATTGTTTGTTGACCATCCCTCATACAGCATGCACATTACTCACTGAAAGTGGAAACCAACCTGTATTGCTTATAAAGTGTGAAAGCACAAGCTTATAAATGTATAAAATCTTTTCTGGGTGTGACACACCTGTGTCCAATTTTGAATTTTTATGATATGTGCCACTTAATTACTGGCACTGAGTATCACTGAACTTTTTAGTTTTCTAGTGGGGAAATGTTATGGAGAAGCCCTCCCTTATTTTAAGTAAGTTAATTAAATCTTATGTGAGTTGTCAAGTGTAATTTTTCAAGGGAAAAATTTTGATGGGTGGAGAAATGAACTGCCAGATAATCTTTCTGGAATTCCGGGAGAATTCCAAAGAGGATTTTTTTTTTGACACTTTTTTATATCTTTAAAAGAACCACTGTCAAGTAATTCTTAGAAGAATATCCTGGGAAATGAAGCAAGTTTTTTCCCGTGTGTAAGCAATACACGAAGTTACATTTGCCCTAACCGTAGGGATGATTCTTTACCCAGTTTTAAAGACCATAGTGGTTTTCTAAGGTGTTGACACCCTCCATCCTCAGAACAGGTAGAAAGTATTAGGAGTGCAGGAAATAGACTAGGGACTATATTATGGACAGCCTGTGCTTTTTGACTTCAGTTTGCTATCTTTCTGTGATCACATCAGATTACTGATTCATAGATTCTATCTTTTATAATTCTGGAGAAAAAGAGGTTTGTTAGTTTTGTAATTTTTCGTAAGAACAAATGTATGTATTTTAGGAGCTCCACTGCATGAGAACAGTGTAACTCACACTGACTTGTGAAATCAGGCTTCTCTAGGCCATGCGTGTGGAGAACTTTCTATTTTACCAAGTGGGAGGGCTAAAAGCACAGCAGCCTTTTTGGTAGTCACATGGCGGAATGATCAAAGTTACATTGCTTATTCCAACATATTCGTTCTTTTTAAAACTTTTTTTTCACCCAAAGAAAAGAATAATATAAATTATTAACAATAAACATAAATTCCGAATTTTGATGTGGGATTAAATATCCAGATTTTATTTTTAATCTTAATCCTTAGCTTCTTGGGAGTTGCTGGGCTTCAGTGTCTCTGTGGTTTCGCCAGCTTGGCTAAGCTCTGGTTATTTTGGATCTTTTCTGCTTTTTTAAGTAACAGAGTCATTTTTACCAAACAATATAGTTTGAATGTATAGCTGGGAAAACGTGTATTGCTCTAGATTGGCCAATTTAAGCCATTTTAAAGAAAGTTAGTTCATAGTTGTTGCCTTTTAACTCATAGTCAAGCTTCATTCTTTCAACGAGAAACTTGTGATTTACATTTACTTGCTAATATTTTGTAGTTTGGAGATCCTTGTGGGCATTATTCTAACTAATATGTAGACACTTACATGGAAATTTTTGGACATAATATTAAATGAGTGGTATCTGTGAAATTGGTTGTATTAGGTGGCTTGACTAATTTTTTTCTATAATTGCATATGGGCTGCATTAAAAAAAACCCTGCATTTTCCTTTATGCTGGATTGTAAACAATTATATTACAATGTATAAGACATGTTTTTCCCTCATATGTTAGACTTTTCTTAGTATTTCATATTTATGTGTAGTCATTTTGTGATTTTTAAACCAGAATTTGGTTTAAAAAATATGGTTATAATATATGTGTGAAATAGTTTGGTGTTTACCTTATGAAAATAAAGGATTGTAGGTAAGGTTTCCTGTGCACCTTATACCAGAATTCAGTATAATACACTACTTTCTGTTTTCAAACAGATAAATCATAATATAGTCTGAATTGTCTGTAAGATCTATCTCAGAAACCACATTCTTGACAACTATTTACTTTTGAATAGTTTGCATTTTAATATGTGACTTTTGCCTTGAAAAGTAGTAAAGCCATAAACTTGTGCAAAACAAATTTCAAGTTTATAGATGTTAAGTATCTAATGTAAGAATCAAATGTGTATGCAAAAATACTTTTACCAATCTGGAACTTGAGAAAAATCCAAGGAATTTGAAACATAGATTTTAATGAGCTGATAAACACAAATTACGTCAATAAGGGTAGTCAGGATATTAAAAAAGAAGAAGAAGAAGAAGAAGAAGAAGAAGAAGAAGAAGAATACATTGTTTCTTTCCTTATATTGGAATGCAAAGATGCTGCAAAGAACATGATTATTATTCTCCTTTTGCTGATGAGAAAACAGAGCAATTTAAAAACAGAAGGCTAATACGTGGTAAATCCAGCATTCCTGGCTTGAAAGTGGAGGAAGGACACTAAGGGGGAGGAATGTGGCGGCCTCTTGCAGCTTGAAAAGGCAAGGAAATGGATTCTCCCCTGCAGCTTCCAGGAAGGAACCAGCGCTGCCCTCCTGACAGCTTGACTTTAGCCCATCTGGGACTCCTGAAACATGTAGAGTGGGCACTGAGGGAAGTGCAACAGAGTGACAAATGTCCTTATGCCACATTAAGATGAACAATTAACAACAGAGCTGAGTGCTTCCTGTTATTTTTACCCACTATTGCACTGACATCTTCCAGCAAAATGTTAATATCTTATTTATCAAATAAAGGAAATAGTACAAACATTTCTGGGTTGAACTTCTGATCTTCAGAACTATAAGATAACAAATTTGTGTTGGTTTAAGCCACTAGATTTGTGGCGATTTGTTAGAGCAACAATAGGAAACTAACACAGACTCTAACCTGGTTGTAAGATAGCCATTAACTATTCCTAAGCTGCAATCTTAACAGAAGAGCCTGAAAAAAAATGAACTGCTTTTCCTGGGAGTAGGAATTACCAAGAAATACTGTGTATCAGTAGTAAAGATCCTAGGAGCCTTTCTGTTAATGGTACACTAAGCACCCATTTCATCACAAATTTTCTAGGTGTAGGTACAGGCCTTGACTTTATCACATATTAGCCTTCTGCTTTTTCATTTCTCTGTTTTCTCATCAGCAAAAGGGATACATATACAGTCTTTAGATGTCTCTGTTTTTGTCATTTATTGTAGACCATTTTCACTTCTTAAATACTTTAAAATTTAATAAGAGCAACACAAATGCCTGACCTTGACAAACATTTGAAAAGCAAACATCAATGAGAAACATATAAAACTCTTTAGTGGACTCTCAGGAGTTTTCCTAAGTGAATCAGAGGAATCTGAGAAGGGGACATCTAGCTGACCATTAGCACACACTCTGAAAAGAGTCACAGATGTGATGCTTTATAAGGTAGATTTGCATTTGTTAAAGGTCATTCTCCACTGAGTATTTGCACTTATGTCTAAGACACAGGAAGGCCACTCTACCTCGTTCTTCCAATTTGTCTGTTCCGTGATCAATATTGGAGTCTAGACTAGGACGACTACAGGATCTTACCACTGCTTGATTTCCCATAAGATTGAGCGGACTTCCTGAAACAACTGGGGTGGGCACCAAGGGAAGTGCATTGGAGTGACAAATGTCCTTATGCCACATTAAGATGCACAATTAAAGGAGCTGAGTGCTTCCTGTTATTTTTACACACTATTCTACTGGGATCTTCCAGCAAAATGTTTATATCTTATTTACCAAATAAAGGAAATACTACAAGATTGAGTCACAGTTCTCCACATTTGAAGAAAGTTAAAGATGTTTTTGACATTTCACATTCTGTCTAGTAATGGACTGAAAGTGTCCTGTTTCTGCCAGGCTCCTTACAACTAATGAAGACTCTTGTCTTTCATCCGAAAGCTCTGCTCAATCTCAGGCTTTAGCACCAATGTTATGGCTGTTCAAGGGATTTTAAAAAGCCCCAGATTAGTCATTCTGGGGATACAGAACCAACTTTCTCTTGCTTCACCCTTACTTTTGTCTTCAGTCCCAGTGACTGGGCCTCTGCCTTGACTGAGATTAAGCTCTAATTTACATTTTGGTTGTAGGTACCTAGCTCCCCTTTCTCCCCCTGCATCATAATCCTTGTGTCTTCCGCGACTAGTTCCTTGGGGCCCCAGTTCTAGCTACATGTGAATATTTATTCGATTTAACAAAAATATATTGAGTAGCTACTATGTGCCAGATTATTTTAGGTAAGGTGGTAGAAATACAGAAATAAACAAGATACAGAAACTTTATGATCTCAAGGAACTTTAAGTCTACACAATGAGACAAAAATACATGTATAAATTATATACACAAAATAAACAAGTAAGTCAAGGGAGACCCCATTTGAGGAGGCAACAGGTGAGCAGAGACCCACTGATCTCAGGGAGCAATTGTACATATAAGTGGGAGGAAAGTGTTCAAGGTGAAGGATACTAACATGATGTCAATGAAGAAGACTATGCTTGGTGTGTTTGGGAAAACTGTAGTCCAGTGCGGCACAGCAAGGACAAAATGGGAGTGAATGAAGCAGAAGTGTTGCCTGGCCTGGATCTGATCTGATTCAGTTGGCCAAATTCCCTGGGTCTTGACCTTGGGGTCACATAACTAGAAAACAGGAATGGTTACATTTAAATCCAGATTAATTTGTGTTTCACTTCCAGCTCCATCATTTTCAAACAGTGTTTAACTAGAGTAACTTATTTGCCTCTGTTGTGAAATAGAGTTTCACAGTTTTGGCTACTGAAAGGAGTAATAAAGTTGAACTATGTTGACTTAGTTTGGGCTGCTCTAACAGGCTACCATAGACTGGGTGGTTTAAACAACAGAAATTTATTTCTCACAGTTCTGGGTGCTGAGAAATCCAAAATCAATGAACAGCAGTTCTGGCATCTAGAAAAAGCCCACTTGCTGGTTTCCAGATGGCCATCTTCTCTTTGTATCCTCACATGGTGGAGAGTAGAGATAGAACATGCAAGCTCTTTGGTGCCTTTCTTAAGGGCACTAATCCTGTTTATGGTGGCTCCACCCTCATGATGTAATTACCTCCCAAAGCCTCCATCTTCTAATACCATCACATTGGGAGTTAAGGTTTCAGCGCAGCAATTTTGAGGGGACACAAACATTTAGTTCATATCATATGCCAAGAGGCTATAACAGTTCCTTGCACATAGAGGGTATTCAAATATTATCTATAATTAACAATAGTACATCAGAGTTACCCATGTTTTAAACTCTTTGACATTTTCACGCGGTTAAATATCTTAAACTCATTTTACATCATCTCTTTTCTCTCATAGCTGCTCTTTATTCCAAGTCTTTTATCTCAGTAAATGGCATCACCATTCATTCAATACCCAAGTTGACTCCATCCTCTTCCTCAATCCTCATGCCTAGCCAACCACCCGGCTCTCTTGTGTCTGTATAGGGTGACAGACTCTTCCTGGTTTGCCCAGAACTATCCCAGTTTTAGCACTGACAACCCCCTAGTCTCAGGCATACAGGAATGATTCGTCACCCTATCTCTAGCTCTGAAATGTTTCTCAAATAATTTATAATTTTACTTCTCTTCATTTCTAACTTAATTTATCATTCTTTTTTTTTTTTTTTTTTTTTTTTGAGATGGAGTTTCGCCCTTGTTACCTAGGCTGGAGTGCAGTGGTGCGATCTTGGCTCACTGCAACCTCCGCCTCCCAGGTTCAAGCAATTCTCCTGCCTCAACCTCCCGATTAGCTGGGATTACAGGCATGCCCAACCATGCCCAGCTAATTTTGTATTTTTGGTAACGATGGGTTTTCTCCATGTTGGTCAGGCTGCTCTCGAACTCCCGACCTCAGGTGATCCATCTGCCTTGGCTTCACCAAAGTGCTGGGATTACAGGTGTGAGCCACTGTGCCCGGCCACCATTTCTTTTTCATCTGGATTATTACTACGACTTTTCAAATGGTTCTTGCTTCCTCTTTTGATGTCTCCATTTTATTATCTACTGCAGCAAGATTAACATTTCATATCATTATGAAAATTAAAGTGCTTCAATGGCTTCCCATTGTCTTTATGGTAAGACCCACATTTTTAACTGTTCTGCATTGCTCTCTGCACAGCCTCACTCCCTTATTCCTTTCAAAACTCATCTCTTACCACCACCATAGGTTTTTACCTTCAGCCTACCTCCTACACTCCAGATACCCTGGTTATTTTCTCCCTCTGAATAAACTAAACTGAACTTTCCCATGTGCTGTGCTCTCTTTCTGGCTGGATTCTCCATCTTAAGTTCAATCTTCTCTTCACTAAACTTTAAATCCCAACTCAAGTAGTTCTTCCTTGGATGGAAGATTTCTACAATCTCTGAGAAAAACTGATTAAGTTCTCTTGTTATATGATCCCAAAGCAAGATGTTTAAACTACAAATTTAAATTACATTTCTAATTATCTTTTTATCTGCATAGAGTTTAGAGTTCACGAGGTCAAGGATCATAACTGCCTTATACTCAACTGTATCTTCAGCCTGAAGCTATGCCTGGTGCATAGTAAATGCTCAATTAATTATTGTTAAATGGGTAAATAGGTGAATATTTTCTGAAGATGTCACTTAGTAAAATTGCTGATAGGGTTGTTGCTTATGATTTGCCACTGTGTACTTCTCAACTCCAGGGGCCACCCTATATTTCATAGTCATTGTTGACTTGTATGGTCTTTAATGACAATTTTTCAGCAGATAGCAAGTAAAGTGCTTTGAAGAATGAGTCCTGTACTAACGAAGATAGGCTAAATTAGACTGCAGTGATAAGAAAAGCGTACATTTTAGTGGTTTAACCAGAAGTTTATTTTCTGCTCACCTGTCATATACTGTGTCCAAGGCGACCCTACAGTTACAGTCCTCCATACTTCATGATCCCAGGGTACTTTGATTTTTGCTGCTGTCATTTTAATACAAAGCCACCTTCACACTTGCTGATGCAGAGGAAGAACATGCTGGAGGGTCTTAAGTTAGATTTTAATTGGGATGATAGGAAGAACATCTAACACTTCTCTCCAGAACCACTGAGAAGGATAGTCACATGGCCCTGCCCAGCTATAAGGGGAATGAGAAAGTATAATTCTTACATGTTCATAGAAATGGAACAAAACTGAATATGAAGAAGTATTAGATATCTCTACCATGAGTGCTTTAACCTAATTTGTACAAATTTCCCCTTTGGATTAGTGGGATAAATGGCTAAAAAATTAAGCCATTACAGTGCCTTCAGTGGTAATTTGGGATTGGGGAAGGCACCTGGCACATTGACCCTGGAAAGGATATATGGGGACAAAGCTTTATTCAGTAATGGGTACACAGAGTGATACCAAAGTTGGATGATGTGCTAAAGGAAATAAATAACATTTCACCATATGGCAGCTGTCTGAAGGCTGTTTTGCAGGAGGCTGGTCCTGAGCTTTTCTATATTAAATTAAGACACAGTATATTTGATCAAAAGGTTTTTGTTCTTGATA
Organism: Homo sapiens; assembly: GCF_000001405.40. Taxonomy (NCBI): domain Eukaryota; kingdom Metazoa; phylum Chordata; class Mammalia; order Primates; family Hominidae; genus Homo; species Homo sapiens. Next base: position 128,497,283 of record NC_000008.11, read on the forward strand.
TCACTTGAGCTGGGATCAAATATTCCACTCCACCAACTTGCTGTGAGGCCTTAGTTGCTTATTCCTGAGCCTTTCCCCACAACTGTAGAAAAGGAAGATTATATTTGCTCTGTCTTCCTTCACTGGCTCATTTGAAGAATCCCATGAGATGAAGTATTTTTCATAAAGAATGAGCTATTGGTTATATATTATAGTAAATTGAATAGATGTGGGAATAACATGTAAACATCAAAGCACTATATAAAATATAAGATGGCGTTATTTTTATAATAATTATCAAGGAAAATAGAAATGAATCCAGAGTAAAAGAGATGATCATAGTGATCCCCTTTTGAGTATTCACCTGAGTGTGTCTCCCTTGATTTGTATTCCTAGAAGGAAGAATGTGAAGTCCTGTGCTTAAGACATATTGACTCAATTTCCAATTTGCATATTATGGATTGCCACCAGCAGGCATTGAGTGAAAATCTTTATTAAAAAATGGTGCTGTTGCAGCAGGCTGTGCTTTGGCAGCTTTTATTTCCCCTTTTCTTGCATATTTCAGCCTCTTAGCTTTTAGATAAGGGGAAAAAAAGTAAATATTTCAAATAAAAAACCTAAAATTGCTATGTTAAAATGCAATGGGTGGATCTCGCTTAGTTTCGATATGCATAAACCAACTGTAAAAGATGTCTTCTAGATAATCAGGAACATTTGAATATGAACTGTATATAAGACAAAATTAAGAGATTGCTGTTAATTCTGTTAGGTGCATTACTGTCATGGTGCTGGGGAAACTATGCAAAGAAAACATGATATTATCACTCAAAAATTCATACCAATCATTTACATATGAAATGACATGACATCTGGGATTTGCTTTAAAGCAGTCCAGCAAGCAAAGAAACAGGCAAACAAAATTGAGGGGAGGTGCTAATAGGTAGGAGGTGATACTGGCAAAATGTTGATTATCTTTGAAGCTGAGTGACTGAGACATGAAGGCTCACTGGAGTACTTGTTCTACCTTCTTTACGTTAAAAAATTTTCATAAAAAGAGTACTACAAAAATTGCCATCTAAGAGGATGAAGTCATTTCTGGGGCTGAGGAGCATATAGAATGTGCACTTGAAAATTGAGCACTTTTTGAAACTTACTATAAGCAGTTCATGTCAGGAAGGGGATTGCTGTGCCTTACTCTAGAGCCCATTCCTTTTTTTTTTATGAGTGCGACAGAGATAAAATCCAAACGTGATCACTGCAGAAGTGATGTCTTAGAAAAATATATTCAATTCTAATCCATAGATATGGAAGTGGTGGAAAAATAATGAGTAACAGACAGCTGGTCCTCCATCACCAAAAACAATTTGAAAGTCAAGCTTTTCTCTGTTGTTTTTTTTTCCTCCTTTATTTCCTACTCTGGTCCCCCACCAATGACTCCTGAATGCTCTGACATCTGTAGACCTATTTTTAAAAAAGTATATAAGTATATTCTTAAGTATGATCAAGCCACAAATATTCCTTTGTCAGGGGAATGCAGTCAAATGGTTCATCCAAAACTGTAAAAAAACATAAAAGATATAGAAGTAATAAACAGAGATTTAAAAAATTAGTGATAATTGATTAATTCATTTATTTATTGGTCAATTTATTAATTCACCAAAATCGAGTGCTTATATGTTGCAAGCACTCAACTAGGCCGTGGGATGCTAATGGTGAACTACTAATGGAGATTACAGTTTAATGATTGAGGGATCCTACAATTTGTAATAAATGAGGATCTGGAGACCAAAAGGGACAATGGTGACTTTGTGCACACCTGTGTGTGTGTGTGTGTCCTAAATCACATACTGGGGAAAAAACATATTTACAACACAACCACAAAAAAACAAATACTTTTAGTCTTGTCTCTTATATCTGGCCTTGTCACTTTCTCACCAGTCAGGATCTGTATTTGCATACTACCTTTCAATCAGACTAAGCTACTAGTCTATTCCCTAAATATGTCACCCACTGTGATGTTTTCACATCTACTTCCCTGCCTGAACTGGCTTGTCTCCTCCCTACTCAAGAAGGTCAACTCTTCATCCTTCAAAACCTGGAGTACATGTTACAGCCTCTCAATCTTGCCATGATGCTCACTTTCCTGTTACCCAGAGGAATAAATGCTCCCTCCTCTGTATTCTCATAACACTCTGTACAGACATCTATTGTAGCACTTAAGAGGCATTGTCTTTTTTGTTTAAATGTCTTGCTCTCTTGCAGAACTCTGAAATTCTGAAAGACAAAGTCTGTACCTTACTTGTCTCCGTAACTTCAATGCATAAGGCGGTGCCTGATTCGTAAGAGGTGATCAATAAGTGTATTTTAAGCAAATGAATGGATAAATGAATGAACCACATCAAAATAACCTCTCTGACATAAAAGTTTAGTCCCTTGAGAGTAACATATCATAGCTCTTTTAGCAAAAGTCATAGGGTTTCAAAACTGGAAGAGATCTTGGAAACCATCTGTTCCAAACCCATAATTTAGCTTTGGAGCACATATTAGGATGGATTGGACTCTCTTGGTCAGCACAGAATGAATTGCCTATTATGCTTTGATTCAGAAAGAAAACAGGAGAGCCAGGACATAAGACAGGGAAAGGCAGGGAGAAGCCAAGGCAAAATTAAACATTTACTAAGAGGCTTATCTGCCTAGGGGAAATGATCACACATTGTCCTAATGACCTCCCTGCTGAATACTACATGCCCCTCCTTGTCTCCTGATTTGTTTTCCCTACCCTTCTCTGTAAGTTTTTTCCATGGCACTTATTAACTTCTAACATGCCATATCGTCTCATTATTGATCATGCCCATCGTTTATCTTCTGACTCCCAATTCAATGCTCCCTTCACTACAAGCATTTATGCCTAACTGGTTCATTACATTCATGGCAAGGGCTGAGTTTTTGCAGGCTGTATAGCATGATGTTTTAAAGCAGTGCTCATCAAACCATCTCTACTGAAGGACTCATGTTTAAATTTCTAATCGCCCATGGGCAATGTCATCCCACTGTGCATGACTAACATTTGGCCTACACCACATCCAGAATGGCCCTATACCATGTTCACTGAGATGAATCTAGTGGTCACACTCTGGATGCCAGGATAATTGCAAATTGCTATAAAATTTTCTAGTGCTTATTCTAAGCTTCTATATTATCCCATCACATATTGCTAACAGGTCATGGGACCAGCACCAGTCCTCATGTCACACTTTGAGGATCAACTAATTTATAAGATGGACTTCAGAGTCCATTGGTCTGGGTTTGAATTCTAGCTCTACTTTTTCCTAGCAGTGTGGCTTTGAACTCATTTTCTTAACATTCTGGCTCTCAATTTCTTCTTCTGCAAAGTGGGAATACTTATAGTAGCCCCTCAGAGGGTTGTTGTAAAGGTGACATGAGTTTATGTATGTGAATGGCTGAGAACACTGCCTGGCAGAGTCAGTAGTCAATACATGTCAGTTCTTATTATTACCACTTGACCTTTCTCAATCTGGAACACTCCCTCCATTATCATGGTTACTGAATTTCCCAGCCAAGTGTCACCCTGGGAGTGCAGGAGAAAGCAGCTCTCAGGGACACCTGAGGGAGAGGAGGGATTTGAACTTAGGCAGTCTGGAGCTAACACCCTTGTTCTTAACCACTGTGATATACAAGATGGTTAGAGCTCCACTTAAGGTGCACCTACGCAGGGCCTGGGGCCATCCTTCCTTTTACTCTCTCTTTCCCCTCAAGCAGCAGCGGGGGTTATTTTGTGCCTCCAGCAGGGAAAAGAGAGAGAATACATTGCCCTTGACTTGAATGGCTGAAAATAAAGAGACTTGACTTGATTTAGAGATTTCTGTTGATTCTCTCCATCTTTCAATGAAGCTGAAGTGAAACTCAACTTGTCCTGCAGGAGGCAAAAATGTGACTACAGTAAGAACGTATATTGTTTTCTAGAGAGTTCGAAAGTCCAGCTTTCATCCTAACTTCATTGGCATTCTCTGTCTTGAGTCAGCACTTCTTTGGGGAGAAACTTTTTGAGTTGTTAGTACTGTCCTAAGTAGGCGTTAATGCAGACATGTTCTGGGGGATGGCATTCCTCCAACCTTGATAAAAATCTATTTGTTGAATGGATTTGTGTATATAAACCCAGCCCACTTCCTGAAGTGTATTTAATAAACACACCACTTTAACACAGTGAACATTTAGAACAGATAAAAGAGAACAGTCAAGTAATAAATGAGGAGGAAACAAATTGTTTATTAAATTTGCTTGCTTAATTTGAGTAATATTTGAGGGATGACTTGACAGCAATTACACACATATACCCATATATAGATAGCAAATCTTACATAGAACATATTGCATTCTAGGCACACTGTTCTATGGTTTTATATGTTTTAACACATTTAGTTCTAAAAGCACAGAGATAATCTCTTTTCTGAGATGAGGAAACTGAGATGCAAATAGGTTAAGTGTTTCCCTAAGATCACTCAGGTACTAAGAGGCAGAACTGGGATTTGAACTCAGACAGTCTGGTGCTAACACCCTTGGTCTTAACCACTGTGTTATACAAGATGGTTAGAGCTCCACTTAAGATGAAAAATATCAAAAGAAGTATCACCATGTAATGGTCAGGTAAAAAGAAATTGGCCATTTGGTGAGTGTGATGTGTGGCTCTGGGTGAGTTATTTCCTGTCTCTCAACTTTGGTTTACCAATCTCATCAATGGAGAGATTTGATGAGACAGGCCTTCAGGGCTCTTCTAGTTAGCATGCACAAGGCTTGTCTGCTCTGATTAGCACCAGAGCTCCCCTCTCCGCAGCTCTGCTTCATATGTCCCCTCTCCTCTTCCTAGGTCCTCTTCTCCCTTTGCTGGTTGTCCCCATTTATTGCCCTACGTCACTGCAACAGGTTGGAAAAAATGCTCTGAGTTGTTTCTGCATGGATGACAGTAAATCCACCAGGCACAACCCTGGGACAGATGAAAAAGCATAAGGATTCACAAATGGGACAAAAGCAAAAGACACTGACCTCTTCATTGTGCCAACCCTCCAGCTCTAGGATGGGCACTGTCCCCACCTCTCCAGACAGATGTCATAGTAAAGTCCAGGATCAGAGGGCAATGGAAAGGTGACCTAAGGACAACCCTAAATTATAGTCCACCAAACAGCTGGGACTGTGTTTGATACACTGACACATCCTAAATGTTCAGCATAGAAACTGCTAAATCCTAGGTGCTTTTATTAAGCTATCTAGCGCCACCCCTATTCTATGCATAATTCCACCTTTACAAGGGCTATCAATATTTGTATGGAAATGGAGAGTTTAAAGGCCTTTTCATATATATTGTTTTATATCTTTTCAATTATCTCACTTAATTCTTCCTTGGCTCTTGGCACCCTGATGAACACTCTTTACTTCCTCTTAACAATAGGAAGTATTGTCCCTCAGCAACTGTCCCTCTGCAACAGTGAAAACCTCTTCTGTTTCCCCTTCCTCCCTGCTGAACCAGGTCAGGATTTCAATTCAATAAAGACTTTTTTCATAGTGGTATCAGGAACTCAACCCAGGCACCAAAAAGCAAAGGAGAACAGAATATCCAATGACTGTAGCAGGTAGCAGTGATGAGAAGGGCAGGAAAAACAAGATACCAAATGGATTTCGTTCTTTTCCTTGGTCAACCCAGCACTCAGAGCATTTGCAGAAATAGACGTGACTCACATGGGGATTGATCACACAGCTGAGGGGAATCCACAAGATGATCTGTCTCAGTACATACAGCAGGAGAGAAAAAACTTGGGATACTTACAGAGGCACTAATCAGAAAGAAACAGTTTGTTTTATTCATGAAGACATTAGTCATGTCCTCCTTCATGCTACCAATGGCTGACATTAGAAAATGATGGATGCTGAAAGTGAGTACAGAAGATTTTTATTATGTAATTAGCATGAGGACTTATTTTTGTTTAAAGTCTTGCTTCAGAGTCACTTACCTACCATTCAATATTTGAAGCTCTGGTTTATTAAAAATAGGAATCAAATAATCTCTAAGAATGTCAAGCCCCCTGTTTAAGCCAGAGGTTTGGATTGGTGGTGTTATTACGTGAACTTAATTCAGTTTGTTCCTCCTTCGAAAACGAAGAGTGGATATAATGGTATATTTTATGGTGGTGTTAAGTCATGCAGACACTCATTCATACTGAATTAAGGCCCTGAAAAAAAAATGGAAGTTTGGGGTAAGGATTACTTTATGAAAGAATTACCCCAATTCTCCAGGGCTTAATCAAGTTGGCCCAGGATAAGTCTTTATTTTTGCAAGTGAATTGTTCTGCTGCAAAGGAAATTCAACAATAAGAAAGAAATTTCTCAGGTTTGTATTTGCTGGGTCCAGTCTGACAAAGAATATTCTCTTGTGAGGCGTTGATAAAGGAAAGAGAAACTGGAATTTTCTGATGCCTATGATGAACCAGGGGCTATATGGATATAAGCTTATTTAACGCTGATAATTTTTTTACAAATGATTAAACAGATGCTCAAAGTGATTACATAACTTGCCCCAGGATCAGGTGGTTAATAATATGTGGAGTCAGCCTTTGAATCCTAGGATTGTCAGGCAGTTTCATAATCACATACTATATTCCCAGTACCCCAGTGACCGAATTGTAGTTGTCTTTTATCTTATTAAAATACTCAGCTAAATCAAAGTAATGAACACCTTGGGAGGGTATGGATGGAAAAAAGAGGAGCCGAAAACCTTCTACTCCTCTGCCTTCCCACCCAGCAAGGTACCAGCCTTGAAACCAATTTGCAGTGCATTGTCTCAGCTTCTAAACTGGGGAAACTCAGCACCAACCCAAACCCTGCTGAGCCTTCTCACTTCCCATCAGTCCTTTGCCACTGTTTCTCATTCCTTCATGACTCCTTCAAACCTTTATCACTACTGCCTGCAGCCACCTCATCAAACTCTTCTTACCAGATCACTTTACCATCGAGACCAGCAGAAATAAAAATTTTCAGTGGTCTTCCTTGACGACCTACATATCTATTCTTATCTGCTTCTATTCTTTCTTCCTTTTCTTTCAGCCTTAGTATGTGAGATTTCCCTCCTCACATTCATGGCTAATTCTTCCATATGTGCCTTGATCTTAACCCTCCTACCTTCAGCTCTGGGAAGTTGCTTTGTAGATATTTCCCTTTCTTGTATTTCCAACTTTTCCTTCCAGTTGCTTCCTTCTACTCTACCATTTTCCTTTCTCAAGGCTCAGTCACCATAAAAAATAGAACACTTGACACTGTGCTCTTGCTCACTCTCCAGCCTCTTACCTGCATCCCATTCACTCTCGACTTCACCTCTAATTCATTCACTATCTACTGGCTGCAACCTGACATTTGTCCCCTCCTTTTTTTCTTGTTGCTGCTGTCTGTAAAATGCCCAATGATTTTCTTTTTTTATTTTGTCAAATCAAACAGGTGTGTTTTCATCCTTAGCCCAGCAGATCATTTTTTTCTGCATTTCAATCACTGTCATTTTTGATTCTGTTCTCCATGTGTGCCGTAGGCCTTCTCCTTTTTGGTCTCCCATTCCCTTGTCCACTCTTTTATTATTGGTGTTTCACAATATTTCACTGGGCTTATAGCATCAATGATGACCTGTAGGTGGGTCACTTCCTTGTCAAGCTCTAGATTGCATGACCTGTGGTACATCTTCATCTGGATGTCCTCAGTCACTCAAACTTAAGTTGTCTAGATCAGAACATAGCAACCTACCCTCTGTTATTTTCTTTTTCAATTAGCAGTAACACCACCAACCTGGACTGCCAAGCTATTAGCCTGATAGTCAATCCAGTTGTTCTTATCTTCTTCCCATTACCTTCCAAAATCCAATAATTAGTTCCAAAATTTTATTTCATACATATTTCTTGAATCTCCTCCTTCCTCTCTGTTCTCATATGCCCTAACTATGGAATTCTTACTCTTTTGCAACAACTGTTTTAGCTGCCTTTAGACTGGCCTCCCAGTTTTCAGGTTCTCCCTCTTTAAATCAATTCTTCCTGTAGATATCAGTGTGATTCATTAAAATAAAAAGCTCGCTTTTTTATTCCATTAAATTTTTTTATTCTTTTTTCTACTTCTTTATCGAAGTAGAACACATTATATCAAAATTACCCTAGTAACATTTTTTATGTGTACAGTTTGGTGATATTAAATGCATTCCTAATATTGTTCAACAGTCATCACCATCCAGCTCCATAATTTTTTCATCTTATAAAATAAAAATTCTGTACCCAATTTAAGTAAAAACACCCCATTCTCCCCCTCAACTCCTGACAACCACAATTCTACTTTCTGTCTGTATGAATTTGACTACTTCAAGCAAAACACTTCATATAACTGGAATCATATAGTATCTGTCTTTTTGTGTCTGGCTTATTTCATCCAGAGTAATGTCTTCTAGGCTCATCCATGTTGTGGCATATGTAAGAATTTACTTTCTTTCTAACACAAAATAATATTCCATTGTACGTATAGCACATTTTGGTTGTCCTTTTAACCATTGACAGGGACTTGGGTTGCTTTCGCTTTTGGGCTATTGTGAATGATGCTTCTATGAACACAGGTGTGTTTAAAATGTCTTGGGTATATACCCAGAACCAACTGCTGGATCATTTATTCATTTTATTTTTAATTTTTTTAGAAACTGCCATACTGTTTTCCACAGTGGCTATGCCATTTTACATTCCCAACAGCAGTGCACAAAATCCAGTGTTTCCACATCCTTACCAATGCTTGGTATTTTCTGGATTTTTTTTTTGATAGCAGCCATCCTAATGGGTGTGATTAATTTTATTTTTATGGGACAAACTTTAAGCATTATTCAGGGGCATATAACATATTACACAATGTGTGAAATTGGCTCCTTTAAAAGGTTCTTAATTGTGCCTAGAGATTTGCAATAAATGATTTGAAACTTGAAAACTGTTTAGAACAGTGATTTGTGCACAGTAAGCTTCCAATTATGTTAGTTTCTTTGAGGAGGATGTTGATGAAGAGGATGAGGAGGATGAAGAGGATGAGGATAATAATGGTCTAGTATTTCTGCTACCACCTCACCTTCATTTTTGCCATTCTCTCTCAAGCTACTCCAAGTGGCTCATACTTTTCTCAAAAAAAATGCTAATATTTTGCTTTGTTCTTTTTTTTACCCATGAAATTCTTAGGGCCTGATATGTCCTGCTACCCACACCTCTTTCCTCTGGCCAAATCAGCCTCCTTTATTTCTCTTTCAGAAGTGATCTTTTCCTTGAAGGGTTTCTCAAATAGTCTGTGATGGGTAAGGTTCTTTCTCAATACTCTTTGCCCTCTGTGAATATCATGTATTGAGGTGGACTATTTAGTTACATTTTTCTGCCCTCTAGACGGTGAGCTTGAGGGCTGAGATGCTCTTTTTCAAAGATTCACCCAGGCCCCAGCATAGTGCTTGGCACAGGGTAGATTCACAATATAATCAGTTAAACAAATGGATAAAAGGCAGAATGAAAAATCCAAGGATGAGAGTATAGACTGGAAAAGTGACAGAACACTGAAAACAAGAGGCAGAGATCTGCCTTGGGACGTCCTTCAGGTGTGCAAAGACCTAGCTTTGTGACTTGAAATCACTCCAGCACTTCCCGGTTGTGTGACTTTGCTGTTAGCTTCAAGGACATGCTTTACTGAAACCTGCTTTATGCAAGCTTCATTCTTTAGTTTGCATATTCCATTTATTAGGAATCAACTATTTTTAAGGCGATACCTTCTCGACTGTCTTTAGTCACAAACACCTAAATATAAATAAGAATTAAAGGCATAGAGTGCTGGTTTCAGTGGATGTAAGGACAGATACAGGGAGATGTGTAATCATCTGAGGAGGCGTGGAGGGGAAGGGGATCTCTCCAACAGGGTAAACTGCTTCCCTCCACTCCATGGCCAATGAGAAACTGCCTTCCTCATAATATTGCTGAGGATTGGCCTTGACACTGCCTCTGTCCTAAATTACCCTCAAATTGAAGGGAGATAGCAAATCTCTAGGCACGATTAAGAACCTTTTAAAAGGAGTAAAGTTCACAGAAAACAAAAACGGTCAACACAAAACCATAAACAGTAATGGTCAAGATTATTAATCAGCTCCTTGCCCAAGGATGGAAAGTGTGATATTTGTGCACATGCTAATCAAACTGTGCCAAAAGTTAGGCTCACAGAAGACTTATCCTTTTGCAAAGTAAATATGAGCCATTATTGGTTATCGCCACAACCACAAAGAGTACTAAGCCAAGTACTATTGATCCAAGTAAAAGAGATAAATCCTGAAGGACACAGTGTGCCTGGTCTTTTGCTTGGGGCAACTTCCACTCTCCAATTGCACATTTCACAGCATCTTAAAACGAACTGTGCAATGGCCCACATGACTACAGTTGCCACTGACATGGCCAATGATAACAGCCTCTGAGAGGCTGAGGGTGAGAAGTAGGCACAGTATTGGCACGGTATGAGGAGGATGGGCTTAGGAGCCAGACAGGTCTATTTTTGCCAATATTATAGTGTTACGACCTCTTTTCCTCTCTAGTGCCTATCTACTGCCGTTATCTTTGCATATGTCGAAGCTGTAGTATTAGGTGTCTATAAATTTAGAACTATTAAGTCATCTTGTTGAACTGAAAGTTTTAACATTATAAAATGATTTTTCTTTAAAAAAAACTCTGATAATACTTTTTGCCTTAAAGTTAACTATGTGTCTATTTGAAACTGCTATGACCACATCAACTTTTTTGGTTATACATGTGATATGGCATTTCCTGTCTTTTTATTTCCAACTTCCAACATCTTTTAAATTTTTAGTGTGTTTCATAAGCAGCATATCATTTAATCTTTTTTTTTTTCTTTTTCAAATTTTGGTTGACAGTTTCATTGAATTGGAATGAGTAGTCAATTTATATTTAATATAATTACAAATAAAATATCAAGACATTTGTGTCTTGATATTTATTTTCTACTTGCCCTATTTCTTTGGCCTTTATTCCTCTTTTCTTGCCATCTTCTGGATTAATGGAGTAAATTTTTATTATTCCATTTTATCTCCAATATCTTTTGGAGGAAATATATCTACCTCTGAGAGGTTTGAGTTTATCACTTTAAGCTCCTACCCCAAGCAGCATCAAAATAAGGCAAATGTCTTAAGAGGAAAGCCTATTGAATGCTTGTTGCAGGATTTTTTTCCCTATAAGGATTTCATCTGCCAAATATTTCAAGAATGCAGGAGATTTTGCCCTGACTTTTCAGGATTTTATGCCTCCATGCCTCCTTGGGGCTTTTTCAGGTTCCATTATGTTCTGCTAGTCCCTATGGCTGCCAAACTTCTATGGCTTTCTCCCTCTGCCCCAACATGCCTCACTGGAGACTATTGGCCTAGGCCAATCCCCAAACCTCCCCAAGCCCAAGCTTTAGCTTGTATCCAGAATTGGCAAATACCCTCAGAGAAGAAAATGATAGAATCTCAGTTTGCCTTATGAGCGCTCTTTTCTATAGTTCTAGGTCATCCAGTCCTCTTTGTCTCTCCAGCTTGCCAATGATTTATTTTTTTTTAACTATGACCTTTTTGTAATTTATTATTTTTATTTTTTTCTAGTAATTTTAATAGGAGCAATGCCTGTTGCTTCTACCTTCCCAGAAACTGAAGTTCTTGTTAACATTGAAATTAAACACCTGAGGTACAGGGACATATATCAGGGTTTAAGAGGACAGGGCTGGAATTAGGCTGCCTTTTCGCATTCTTCTTGGGTCTCAGGCAAGAGATTTAATTACTGGGCCTCTTTTTCTTCTCTTATAAAATGGGAATAATGACAGAACTTGTTTTGTGGGTTTTTGGGAGGATGTGCTAACATAATGAATGTAAAATATTTCACACAATGCCTTGTACATAATAAATGATCAAAAATGTTAACTGTTATTATATAGTATTGACTATGTTAGTTAGGAACCCAAGCATCACGGTTTTGAATCAAATGCCACTTAGTACCAGTTAGAATTTGAATGACTTATTTAACTTCTTTATGGCTTTACCATCTCATTGTGAAACACCGGATTAGTAATAACGTCTCATAAGGGTTTATTTTCTAATTTTATAGTGGCTCCGGCTTGAATCATGGGGCTTGTGAGCTGGGAGCATCACTGAGATCACAATGATTTCAAATGCTGGTGTAGTTCATGACCAAGACACATATCATGGGTCTGAAGCTGAGCTGAAGTCTCAGATAAATTTGTAACTTAATTGAACAAATAGCATCCAGGGCATTGTTCTCATTCCTATCACATGAAAATAGATTTGCAACAATGGCATGTCAGATCAAGTTGCATATTCTAATTCTACTTCATGTTGCTAATGTTTACAGAGATGCCCGATTTTCAAACAAGTATAAAAAATTTTATGCTCCTTAATATTATCATCTGTCAATGCTTGTTGAGATTTCTCTGTGTTTTCATATATTAGTTTTACCAACTGTTCTTCCTTGGACAAAATTGTCTTTTATCCTGAGATTATGTCTTTTCAATTACTTTTTTTTTAATTAAGAAGATCTTCCTTCATGAAATGATGCAGACAGAAGTTGTGGGGGGTTTTTTTTAATGATTTTATTTAGCTAAAATAAAATCCTGAAAAACTTATAAAAGTCTCTTAGTTAAAAAGCAAACAAAACTTTTTACTCATTCACAGAATCTGAAAATCTGAGAACCACTCACTAGTATATATACAAATGAGTAGGCTCCTCCCAGAAGTTTATTTCTCAACTTTGGATATGTCATAACACTTCCCAAGTATCTACACATTATTGACTTCAATTTTTCTTTTATACTTCACCGCATTTTGTGAAAGAAACTACATGAAGTGGTAGTCAAAATTTCAGGAATTCTCAAAAATCATAGACTTATTAATCTTGAGTTCCAAGGATCTGCTTTTCAAACACATTGAATGTGCTCACTGTACACCCTAAGTTCTAGAAGCTCCCAGTGTGAATGTGTTCACTGAATGATCACATTCAGCCTTTCCTGGCATTTAACTGAATGCAGTATATATGTGCATAGATATCTCAGACATCACATTATTGACATTTTTATACCCCTTTATTACAAATGGGAGAAACCGAGGCACAGGGGGTTAAATGTCTTGTCTGAAATTTCAATCAGTGTTGGGTTCTAAAAAAACCCCACCACTTGGATGAATTATTAATATTTTCCAGGCAAATATGTAGTCACCTTTCTGTTCACCATGCAGGAAAAATGTAAGAGAAAGAAATAAATCTCTCCCCTTTCCCTGCATGCTTTTCCTGGGCTCCAGAAACTGTGTTACAAAATTTCCCTGTTCCTTATGGACTCCTAAATCCAAACCAGGCCCCTGCTTCATCTCCAGGCCTGGAGTGGCCCTATCACCCTCCCACCTAGCTGAAGGCTGCCAATCAAAGGTCTGGATTCTAGCACCTAGTTCTTATGGACGGTTTCAAGAGATGCACAGAAGACATTTTGTCTGGCTTGCCCTGTACCTCAATGGTCTTCTATTTTTTTTCTCTCATCAGCACAGACTGTTCATCTAGTTTGCACATACTTTGTGGTTTTTCTTCTGTGGAACTTGAAGCCACAGTAATAAAGTCAGTTTTGAAGGAAGGGGTGGATTGAATGTGACTCTTTCAATGAAGCTCAGAAGCACAGCACTTACTTGTCTCTTGATGCTGACAGCCACATTTTTCTGGAAGGACTCTCTGGCTTGCATGTGTTTTATTTATGTGGGCCTCACACGATTACATAGTCCTAATCACTGGAAGTCAACTACCACACCCTAAGTCCTAGAGGGTCCCATTTTCAGCACCATGTGAATGTAGAATTGTTGACTTTCAAACAGGAGTGTCAACATTTATTTGTTGCGATTCCCTGTCCTTGAGATAGTAAACTATTATTAAACCCATTTGGTAATAAGCCAACTGAGGCTGAACAAGATGAAGTTTCCCCACAAGATTCAACAAATGGTAAGGGAAAAGGAGGTGTATCTCCCTTTTATTTAAATATATTTAGCAACTAACTTTTCTCAGACAAAATCTTATGTGGAAAGCCATTGATTAAACCCACTAAATCCATTGGCATGACCCTATTTTAGAAGTTCTAATTTATTACACTTATTTTACTATAAATAAATAAAAAGATCCTTGAAGCTGTTTTGATGAAATAAATATGTGGAGTTGCAGATCTGAGATAATAATTATTTCATATTAGTCAGCTCTCAATTTGATTGTGGGTGTTTTTTTCTTGTTTTGAATTTGCAGTATCAAGTAAGTATCTACTCTCATGGGAGCATAGATGTGAAAGTTACAGTTAGGTAAGGACTTGCCTTGCAATCTCTATGCATTCTTTTGTTAAATTGACTAAGAGCTGCAAGAGCATTGGGTCATTTTTATTCAAACTTGAATCACTAATAATATCTAGCTATGGGCCATATTTCTTTTGATGAATACCACAGCTAGAAGATCCAAAATCTACAAGCACTAAAATAAAAATATGATACTCTGGTGTTCCATGTAATGCATATACTTTTTATTGGACCACCTACACCACACTGTGATGAAAGTATGCACTGAGCACATTCAGCCTTTCCTGGCATCTAACTGAGTGCAGTGTATGTGTGTATTAGTGGTATATACACTCATTTATGCAATTTCATGCAAGCAGATGTGTATAGGCCTGAATTCCAAGAAGAAAGAATGCCAACTAAAAAACTTTCTAAATAATAATATATTTCCGTGAATTTTAACCATATGTACAGAGGTAGGGAGAGAAGCTTTATCCTAAATTCTGCTCAAAAACTGGTTCATTTAATGCAATATAACACTCTAAGAGGGTCTCCGAGATTTTATAATTTAAGTAACATATGTGAGTGTGCATGTTATTATAGTTTTTAAAAATGGTAATTATGTAATCGATTGTTGAGTCAAATATTGTGAAGCTTCCAACACACCCCCCAGAGAATTTTTTCCTGTTGTCTCTACCTCCCTACTTATTTTGGCTCTTGTCTGCTTCACATTTCACATCTTCTATAATGGTCTCCTCTCTGTATCCTCACCATAGCAAACCCTTTCTCCCACCCAAAGGCCTTTGCATTCATTGTTTTCTCCAACTGACTACTTCTTTCTTAATTTTTAGTTCCCCAGTCAAATATTATTTCTTCAATGGAGGAAGCCTTCCCACTAATGTATTACTCCTTCCAAAGCAGCCTTTCCTCCTTCAGCCACTGCCCGTCACATCACCGTATTATTTTATAAGATTCTTCTCATAACTTTGCTTTTTTTACTTATTTATTGTCTGCTTTTCCCCACTTTCTAGAACACTGTGCAAAAATAGAGGCACTGTCTGGTTGATTATATACCTCATTTGCCAGTCCTGGTAAATTGGACTGTCTGAGCACACACCTATTGTTATAATTATTATTACTGTTTTGATTCTTAAAAGTGTCCCATTTGGGACAATAATTTTTTTTGCTGGAATTAATGAATGCATATGAACCCTGTGATTCTTTGAGAAGCAGTTTACCAACTGTTTGTATACAGAATATGTCTTGGATTGGAAATTGTAAATCCTTTGTTCCGGTTCCAAATCCAGTCATTTAGTAGGTATAATATCCCTAGATGATCCGCAAGGCAGGTACAAGCTTTAACAGGCAACATCCCCAAATAATCTTTATTAGCACGCATTCTAGTATATCAGACCAATAACCGAATATTTTCAGACAAAACGATTCCGTCTCTAGAGATTTGCAAAGAAGTTCAAAGTTAGTTAATAGTCTAAAGTTTTCATTGGCACAGGGGCAGGTTTTGGCTTACAATAAGAAAAATTACGAGAACCATGCAAACCTCCTGAGTCAGTGAGCACCTGTTGCTGGAAACACACAACCAACTCCCCAGTGTATTCCCATGGAAAGAGTGCTGAGTTGTAAAATCCGATCTTAACTTATCAGTTAATACCTGGAATACTTAATCCCTCTGGGACAAGGTCCTTTCATGTTTAAACTTTAGAATACACTTTTAATTCTTCCTCATATTTTCTCTCTTAAGTTTGCTGTTAATTATGCAAATGTTGATAAATTATTCTATTGTAAAGAGTAAGTGACAATACCATCTGTTGCCATATCAATAAGAAGAAAGCCCAACATAATATGATTCAACCTGGATGGTTGGGTGAATTTCAAATCCAGGAAGTGATGGGTTAGATGAAATATATAAAGAGCTGAGATGAATGCTTCAGAAGCTTCTTAAGACATAGGCAAGTCTGTTTCTGCTTCTTGATGTCTTAATTTTTGACTTTATAAAATGGGTGTAATAATAGTTGTTTTGCATCTGTCCTAAGATCAAAAAAGGAGCCTGTATGTGAATGTTTCTTGGAGGTGAAAAAGCACTATATAAATGTAAGGGCCTTGACGTGTTGCACAAAATTGAGGTACGGGCTCTTACATGTCTGGGCGGGAACCTTGTGAGAGGTATTCAGGGTTGAATGAATTTTCATTTCTTCAATAAAACAATCTTGGAGACGTGGTTGTTCATATGCACCCAGGAGCCTTGAAAGGTAAGGCTGTATGAATAAGCATATGTGTGGATGGTGAGAATGAAGCCAGAGTGGAAATAAAAGTGATATTTTTAGCACCTACTTGATGCTAAATTGCTTTATATAGGTGATTTCATTTAAGTTTACTACATACAAAGCCAATGAAAGAAGTGTTACAATTCGTCTATTACATATTAAGAACCAAGTTTCAGAGAGGTTAAGTAATTTGCCCTAGGTGTTGTAGGTTGTGGACAGGCCTGCTGTAGTCCCTGAGATGCAGAAAGAAAATTAGCAATTGGAAGTATGTGAATTCTGAAACCACAGGGTTTACCTTATTTGTTGGTAGTCAGGCTGGAAGGGTGGTCTGCCCTTCCTCTAAATTAACATTATAAACACCAGCAACCCCCACCCTACCTTTCTTAGTGCTCTGACATTATAACTTTCTCACCTTCTCCCACACAACCACTCAATCTCAGGCCCATTTCCATGGATAACTAGGAAGCACAAGGAATTATGTCTGTTCATCTGTATCTTTGTCTTGTGTGCCCTTCACAAGGATTGTTTGCTTCTTTAGTAGTGAAAGCAAATTTGACCTAAGTTCCAGGCAACATTCTTAGCAATTTGGGACTCAAACCAGCTACCTATGGCTTTTCTTAGGCATACACTCTATGTGGAAGAACCAGAATCCTTACCAATTCCAGCTAATTCTCTCACCCATATTCTCATTCAGCTCACTTAGAGTGATGTGCAGAAGGGTAGATTCCACTTTGTAGATAATCATTTTTTAAAATTATAAAACAACAGTTATGGGGCTTCCATTTCTCTAAAATTCATTCAAAACTGTAAGAATTCACATAACGTTAGTAGTCAGAGTGTTTGGAGGCCTACTTTCAAAGAAGAATTGAGCCTGAGTTAAATACAAATGATTACTACTCTTTAAATATTGTCTCTTTTGTTGGCAAAGGGGATGGAATTGATGACTAACTAGTTCCTTTATCATCAAGGTCTGTTATTTTTTCACAGTGACCTCAGAGTAGCCACAGCACTTGTGATCTTATTCATATGGGCTCCCTGCCCAGAAACACAAGGGAATGAATCTTTCCTTAAAATGAATAATACTGATGACTTTTGAGCACCTCGCTGCCTCCTAAAACAATTTAAACCTCTTATTGTTAGTAATAACGATACCTTTTAAGTGCATCCATGTTTCATTTATTCTTTGCCGCTGGAGAGCCTCACTAACAGCTTGTTTCTTTACATGGTATTGCCAAGACTAAGAAAAAGTGGTTTTCAAAGTGCTTGTAGAATTATCACTGGTAGAGATGTGGAAAGAGTACACATTTCAGGATGAGAAAGATCTAGGATTCAAGCTCAGTTTTGAATTTCCAGCTGTGTGTCCATGGGCATATTTCTTAAGCTTTCAGTTTTTCAGTTGCCTCATATATAAGACCCAAGTCATCATATGCACTTCTGTGGGTGAAGAAAGCTGCCTAGCTTGTGAGTGTTCAGTAAACCCCACTTCCATTCCTTTGTATTTCCTAGGGCATCTTAATGAGCTGTGGCACATTTTCCTGTATTGTTAGTCGTTATGGTGATTAGGTGAAAAATTTATTTATTTGTTAGTTCATGAAATAAAATCTATTTATTTAAAATGTATCTGATTTTTAATTACACATTTATTTTTATTGTACAATAATACGCCTTCACTTCTCAAACTAAACAGAAACATATATGGTGAAAAATAAATCCCTCCTTACCTGCCCCTAATACCTAAGTTCCACTCCTTGGAAGTATACACAAATAAAAGTCTCATGTACACCTTTCTAGAAAATTGCAGTGTATAAATGTGCTTAAATCGGCATATATCTTCTTTTTAAATAAATGCCCTTATTTATTATAGCTGCTCTCTATTTTTTTTGCTTAATTTATCTACATAGGTTATTTATTTTCTCTAAATTTATACTAATTTACCTCTTTCTTCTTTATATTGGTATTAATAGTAAATTTATACTACTTCTTTCTGTTAAATAGGTTAATCATATTCTATAGTATAGAATATTATGACATATTAATATTATTGTATTAGGCTATTCTCATGCTGCTAATAAACACATACCTGAGACTGGGTGATTTATAAAGGAAAGAGATTTAATCAACTCACAGTTCCTCAGGGCTTGGGAGGCCTCAGGAAACTTACAATCATGGTGGAAGGGGAAGCAAACATATTCTTCTTCACATGACAGCAGCAAGGAGAAGTGCCGAGCAAAAGCGGGAACAGCCCCTTATAAAACCATCAGATCTCGTAAGAACTCACTCACTATGACAAGAACAGCATGAAGGTAATTGTTCCTGTGATTAAATTACCTCCCACCAGGTCCCTTCCACGATGCATGGGGATTATGGGAACTGCAATTCAAGATGAGATTTGGGTTGGGATACGACCAAATCATATCAATTATTATTTGATAATTAATTTGATTATACGATATTATTATTTACTGAATAGCATATAATTTATTTTAGCATTCATTAGCAATAATGTTTAATACTTATTTTTGAGGTAAGTATGCTGGTTTTAGAGACAGACAAATTTTGGTTCAAATTTGGGATCTGCTGCTAGCACAGTGAAGTTGGACTTTTTTCCCATTTATTTAATCATGGCAAGTCTAGTTGCATCAAAGAATCATAAGAATTACATTAGCTAATCCTAAAGAAGACTGCAATAGACTAAATTTATGTGCCCTCATCAAATTTATACATCAAAATCTAATCCCCAATGTGACGGTACTGATGTTGGGGCTTTTGTGAAGTGATAAGGTTATGAGGGTGAAGCCCTCATGAATGGGATTAGTGCCCTTATGGAAGAAACCTCAGAGAGCTACCTGCTCCTTCTGTTATATGAGGGCATGGAGAGAAGACAGCTGTCTGTGGACCAGGAACCATGTCCATTCCTATAGACATGGAATCTGCTGGTGACTTGATCTTGGACTTCCAGACTCCAGAGCTATAAAAAAATAAATTTCCATTGTTTAGAAGTCACACAGTTTATGATATTTTGTTCTAGCAGCCCCAAAGGACTAAAGAGAGGACCTAACAAATAATCAACTTCTAGATGGTTTCTAATGAATTCTAATAATAATAATAATAGTAATAATAATGATAACATCATTACTTCTAGTTGAAGAACAGTCCTTCTTAGTTGATGACTCTGAGAAACACAGCAGGTAGCACTTATTTCTGCAGGATATGTGATTGTCACTGTTGTTGGCTTTGGTGGTCAGTATGAGCAGGCTGGGTAAATGAACCACAGGTCCTGATCCCTCTGAGAAAATCTGCAGACAGACTCACTTTGAGATTATCCATCATGCTGTCATTCTCATTGGGAGAACTGTTTTCCTCTCTGGTAGCATGTGAGCTCCTGAGGGTAAGGAGAATAATTCCTTTCATATCCCTAGCACCTGGCAGTGGATGAGAAATACTGCTGTAGTGCTGTGGTCTTGATGGTGCTGGTGGTAGAGGAAGAAGAAATATTAATAGGAGAAGGTAACATTTACTGAAAACTTGCTCTCTGTTTAGGGATTTGATTGAGTTAAGTGATTTAATATCCATATTCTGAGATAGCTGGTGCAATTTTCAGCATATGACCTAACTTTTGTGTCTCTGTTTCTGAGTATATAAAATCAGGAAAATTGCAGAACTATCTCAGAGCATGGGCATAAGGTTTTAATAAGAAAATACATGCAAAGTGCTTAGAACACAGTCTAGCACATTGTGAGCATTCAGGAGCAAACTGAGGCTCAGCAAGCCTTAGAGGCTGCTGTAAGTAAAACTCCTGTGTACGTGGTGTAGACTCAGCACTCTGACTTCAGTAGTCCTGTTCATCACTGAGCCTTATGGCTTCTACAGGTTTTTAGTAAATGTGAGTTGAATGGATCACTGTTAAGCCTTGCTTTTGCAGAGAAAGAAAATTCGATTTAGGAAAGACAAACAAGCATATGTGACATTAGGAAATTGCAGAATCCTCCCAAGTCCTGTGATTTGGGGTGCATTCCACTATGATAAGCAGTGCAGTTCTTGGGCCCTGGCTTAGGCAAACTCCTGTATCTTGTACTTTCCACTTTTACACAGACAAGTGGGAGACAGGAGAGCATAGGAATGAGGAGTTCATGTTCTAATGCTTACCCTGTGTGACTTGAACCAGTCAATTACCCTGCTTATGCCTCAGTTCCCTCATCTGTAAAATTAATAATTTTTTTAAAAATTTCTAAATTTCTTACCACTTTTACCCCGCTTTGTTTCTTGAGTCACCCATATCTTACCTCCTATGCAGTGGAAGCTAAAAACCTATAAACTCCATCTTTCCCCACTACTCATTTGCCAGTTACCTTTAATAATCAATGAGCTGGTTTGTGTGCTCAGGTTATCCTGAATACAGATATACTGGGGGTTAACCTCAGCTTTTCTCCTATGGGCCTCAGATTGGAAAAGTGTTTTGAAACCATTTGCAGAGTGTGTGATCCCTTGACTCTGGACCTGAGGAAGGGACCAAGGCCCCTTGCAGTGAATAGTCTTTGGGCAGCATGTCACAGTGACATCAACCTCATTTTTTTGTAGCATGATGCAGCCATCTTTAAATGGTTTACACCTGTTGTTACTATATGTGTGGTTAAGGCTTGGATGCTTTGACATGAAAACAAGAATGGTTGCTGGGAGACAGAACAAAGATGTGGCATTCATGGACACTTGTGTCAGTATTTCAGAATTCTCAGCAGCATGTCAATTCAAACAGCTTTTGGGCACATTAGGGAGACAATTCAATAGAATTCAGAGATCAAAATAAATCTTAATAGAATGTATCAGACACCTACAGCCAGGAGAATGCAATAACAATCAGCCACTTCAACTGCCACGTGCAATGTTGAATCCTGTCTACCATCTTCAAGCAGAGAATGTGTCAAGCTCCTGTTTGAAATATCCTTTGGGATAGGAATCTCACTTCCTCATGAGAGTCTTCTAAAATCTAGAAAATTCTACCTGCTGCAATGTGTGTTTCTATAATGACTTGAAATATTTATAACCTCCATACAACAATCCCCATTGATGGAGTACCCAAATTCAATAGTTCTTCCACATGAGAACTCTCAATTCTTCTCAACCTTCTTCTCTAAGGCACTTCTCCCCAGTCTAAACATATTCTTCGGTCATTTCTCATGTGACATGATTTCAAACACTGTCTTAGGAGAGAAATTATATTTCATTAGGAAGGCTAAATGTTAAATATTTGCTCATTAAATCAGTTAGTCATCAAATATAAATATCTTGCTTACCTGCTATAAGCAAGGCATTCTACAAGATACAGAGATGAATCAGACATGATCTTTTTCTGCAAGTTGTTCTAGCTTTGTCAACTTTTAGGAACTATACGATTTTGATTGAGTTGTTGAACATTTCTGAATCTCAGATTTTTAAATCTCTAAAATGTGGATCAATTCAGCAATCACACAGGGTTGTTGTAAGGATCAAACACAATAATGTATGTGATACTCTTCACAAACTCTAAAGTACCCTAAGAATGTTAGGCATCTTGATTAGAGGAGAGAGGAGGATCACAAATGTACGTAGAAAGTGACCAATATGAAGAGAATTATTAAAAATGTGCTAAGATTGGTAGACTGAATAATAAGTACAAGTTAAGTGCCAAGGAAGAGTGGACTCCTTAAGCCATGTCCAGATGAGGAATCTGTTATGTAAACTTCCAAGCAGACGGAATTAACTCAAAACAAAAGAAGTAATGAGAACTTTAAGAGAGAAAGGCAAAACATTTTATTTTATAAGAATCCATGTGGAAAAACGACTGCATTTGAAATTCTTTCCATGAGGCAAATGAAAGCAAAATACTTTGGAGGATGGCTTAGAAATAAATGCCATGTGCCTGTCTCTGTCTAACCACACCTGTGTGCTCCTTTATGATGACATTCATGCTACATGCCCTCTGTCCCCCAACATGTACAATATAACACCCACTGTCCTGGCAAGAGTTCTACACACTATTTTGGGCAATTACTATTCTCCCCATTGGAATGCCCCTGGCTCTGGGGTAAAATTCCCAGCCATGGCCTCTAACCAAAAGTAGTAGTTGTTTCCATGGTAGAAGCCAGAGCTATCCCCAGAGAAACAAAAGATCATAGGCAGATGATGAGATAATTTATTATGTAAAATGGGACACTTTAGAGAGTACAAAGGATGATTTTGAAAACTGTTTCAAAACAACAGGTGTATAATGGGACTGTCCAAGGCAAACTGGGGTGTGTGGTCAGACTAGCCATAAAAGAATGAGCTTTAGAGTCAATGTAGAGCAGGTTTCTCCTTTGGCCATTTGATTTGTCACTTTGGGCAAGTCATGGAACCTCTCTAAAACTCTTTCTTCATTTGCAAAATGTAATTAGTAATACCACTTTCAAAGTTGTGTTTTATGTATTGAATAACATAATGTATATAAAGTTCCTATCTCAGTCATGATACCTTGAGGTCTTGTCAAACATGTTGGCTTTATCTCTTTCTCATCTCTTTCTTCTGGTCCTTTCTTCCTGCCAGCCTGCCTTTCTCAAGTTTTTTGGTGGTAAAGCCAAGGCTAAGGGTGAGCAGACCCATGCTGAGTTAATCTGGGGCCATTACTATAATTCTGACCTGCAGACTCAGGCATGACTAAGGGAAAAAAGCAGGTAGATTCTATGGGATGATGTCAGCTGCAGGTCAAAGCATTTTATATTCTGGAATGTGGGCATTTGGGGAGGTACAATATAGATAATGACAAAGAAGAAGGAAATAGAAACATAGAAGGTTGGGATTCGTTCAATCATCCACCTATTCCTTTGAAGATATTAAGAGTCTATTAAGACTCCACCTCTGCTAGACATGGCAAATATGGTGGTAGCTGCAGACATGGATTCCACAATCATGAAGTCAATAATCTATAATTTCAAGAATCCTAGAGACCCTAAAGTGCTCCATGATTCTAAACAAACAAGAAAAAACAATAATATTTCAGCGAGTGTGCTTAAAGCATTTCATGGTTGCTGACATTTTTGCATTTACTGACAAATTGCAGATGCATGGGTGGCAGCCGTTCACTCTGTTTGGAGGATAGGGATTGCATGACAAAAAGTCATTGTGGTTAAATATTATCATCCAAAGCTGTATCCTCTAATTTAGAGGTTTGCAAAATGTGGTATTTTTGTTAATGAAGTTTTATGGGAACACAGCCATATCAACTTGCTTATGGATGGTCTGCTTTCAGAACAGCAGGATCAAATAGTTTGGACAGATATCTTGAGGCCCATAGCCTAAAATATTTACCATCTTACTCTCTAAGAAGTTCAGTGTTCCCTACTCTAATGCTCTTTTAGAGAGACTCAAAATACATTTGTATGCTAAAAACTCTGAGAAGTTTTGTACTCAATACATCTTTGAATTCTGTTTAACCCAGGACTTCTGTGGTAGACAGTTTCTAAGATGGCCCTCAGTGACTCCTACCTCCGGCTATTCATGGCCTGTATACTCATTCCTCTCCCTCTGAGTAGAGGTTGGACTGAATAATTTTCTTTCTAATGAATAGAATGCAGCATAAATAATGGGATATCATTTTAGATGCTGGATTATAAAAATATCTACGTTTTTGTCTGGGACACTCTTTGGTTCTCTCTTGCTCTAAGATCACCGACTACCATGTTGTGAACACACTCAGGAAGCGTCTAGTGAAACCCGCTTGGTGAGGATCCAAGATGTGCAGCCACATGAGTACACTTGAAAAGGGAGGTTCTGAGGCTGCCAACAGCCATGTGCGTGAGCTTCAAAACAAATTCTCCAGCCCCAGTTGAGTTTTGAGATGACTACAGCCGTGACTGAGAGCCTCATGAGAGCCCCTAAGCCAGAGGCATGCTGCTAAGCTGAGACTAGATCCCTGACCCGCAGAATCTGTGAGGCAATAAACATTTGTGGCCTTATGTTGCTAAGCATTGGAGCCGTATGTTACACGGTAATAAGTAATTAATACAACTTCCTCAAATATTCAGTCCTTGAAGTCACTGTGCACCTTCACTTCACAACACCCCCCACCCTTCGCAATGGATCACCTATTGTCTACTTGCAAGATGCCAACTCTCCAGTCAATACAGTTTGAGAAATAATGGCAAAAGATATTAAATAATTGAATCTTCCCAATAGTTCAAACTAAATAATAATAAATAAAAATTATGTTTCTATCCTGATCTTGAATTAAAACCCCAAAGAGCTTGGTTTATTGTCTTTTATTCAATATCATATTAATAGGCACCCTTTAGACAAATGATTTTTTTCAGATCAAGGTTCCCACACCACTATAAGAAAGAAGTATAATTATAAAAAATCATCAGAAAGAACAGCTGCTTCAGAAAAGAGTCTACCATCTCCTGCCCTGTGAACTCTGTGTTTTCCAGATTATAGAAGATATAGAGATACTGTGCAATAGGGAGGTCACTGACATCTTCCCGGCATCCTCACCCAAAGTTATAAAGCCATACATCGTTATTGTGTATTAGCTTTGGGAAATGTGTTGCTTGTCTTGGAAGCTGCTTTGCCTTCTGTTATAGGTCAGAGCTGACTCACAGTTTCATGATATTGGTTTTGCTAACTCATTAATCACATGGGTCAATGATGTATTTTCCCCCATTAATGACTATAAAGTCTATTTAATTGAGTTTGTCAACAGCAGAAGAGACAATGGCTTTCAATAAATGATTCTGAAATTTACATATTTATCTGTACCTTTCATTTCATGGTAAAAGTTGAGCAAAATAATTAATCCAATGATATCTTTAAGAACCTTGCCTTAGTAACTCTTCTGTGCTCAAGGCTGGGGATGTGTAAGAATACCATTCATATCAGTGAGGAATGTCAGCCCATTCCTGGGTGGACCGCATAGCAACTCGAAATAATGCTCATTTTGGAATTAGATAAGAGTGAGCTTGAATTCCAGTTTTGCCTCTTGCCAGTTGTATGAACTTGGGCAAGATACTCAGTAATCCAAAGATCTGTTTCTCCAACAATAAACGTGGTAGAGTCATGGTCTGGGAATTAAATATGTATAAAATATCTTGCACAGTGCTCGGCTTGTAATAAGCACTTAAAATGATATTTTTTTCCTCACTTTACTTCCTTACACCCTAAACTTCTTACTCAAGACAGAAAAGCACTCATGAAGTCCTTTTTCTACATTATGCTGTGAATGCACTGAGCTACTGTTCTGCTTGTGTGCTGGTAGCCACTTATCTTGTCAGCTTGTGTGGCTTTTTATTTCCTCTAATTGACATGGGCTGTCTTTGACCTAAAGGGTGGAAAACTTGAACATTTCCCATAAATGCCTAAGACACTTGACAGATAATAAAAATCCTAGTTTGAGGACATTTACTAGTTTGCAAGGTTACTGGAAAGAAATATGAATCTAAAGCAGGGATTGGCAAACCTGCACGCCAAATGTGGTCCATTGCCAGGTTTTGTAAATCAAGTTTTATTGGAACTGGCCGCACCCATTTGTTTATGTATTGTCTATAGTTGTTTTTCCAATACAATGTCAGTGTCAAGTAGTTGCAACAGAGACTGTATGGCCCACAAAGTCTAGAATATTTATAGAAAATGTTAGCCGACACCGACCTAAAGAGTTAATCTCTTGAGGCAACTTTATAGGACAAATCTCTGAAAGTATTTTTGTGGAAATAAATTAGACTTGAGAAAACAATAAACAAAATATGATTTTTCATCAGAATATGAGAAAAAATAGTCTCAGGATCTAGAACTAAGATGCAATTCCAGTGAAATTAGTAAAGACAAGGAGAAAAAGATAGGCATGAATTCAAGGACTTGGGATCAAAAGGCATACATTTTTTTCCATAGGTCTATCACTTTCAAGACATGTAACTTTGAACAAATGACCTTGCTCTTGACGAATTGTTTTCTTAATCTGTAAAATAAGAATTGCAATAATTCTCCTTCAAAGAATTTTTGTGAGACTCAATGAGATAAGGTATTCCATAAATTTGAAAGCTTCATATAAATGTTATTTTTTATTATTATTGTTAAGACTCATACCACACACTCAAAATGTGTTTGCAGAATAAATTAATTTAAAGATTGTACTTCTAAGATTGTTGGCAAATGTCTAGGCTTGTACAACATGGTACTATATATGTTGCTTTAGCAGTCAACTATGGGTTAAATTCATTATTGTCCAAAGTCTCATTATATTTTCTTTTCAATTTAAATGGTATTTTAGGTTTTTAAACTTCAGGGAAACTTCCAATGTAGATACTTTCTAATCCTTATGGATGATGTTCTATGTCTAAAATGCTGAAAATTGTGAAACACAGTTGTACTCATTCCGTACTAGATCAATGGTAGTGAGGATAAGTCTCCTTTACTCTCTTGTAGGGATTATTTCATCACTGAGCTTAGAACAACCAGTCTATCTTAGAACTGCTAGGGCCATATAGCATAAAAACCTTCTCTATTCTTCCTTGGCCCTAAGGACCTGATGACACCCTGGCAGCTTAGGTAAAACTCTCCATGTTCCCAACCCATGACTCTTCTTCTGGCCTCTCTCTGTGAAGTAGATGGACAGTGCTCAGCACATTGATTTGTAGTTGCCTACAAATAATATCCCTGGGCCCAGGAAGAATCCAGTTGTTTCTGCCACATGGATGGGAGGGGAGGAAAAGTTAGGGAGTTAAGATGATGATACAGAAGGTCTGCCTTGACGGGGAGGGGGAATTGGGGTGAATGTAAATGAAAAATTACTATTCTGGGAAGATGCTGGCAGGATTCCCAGATTTCCCTTTGTGTGAATGCCATTCAGTTCAATTAGGTTTCCAGCTTCTGCTGTATTCCAGCTGTGATTTGTGCCTGCTATGCAGTGATTTACTCTCTGCCACTCTTAATCCACACATTTTCAGGCTGGTAACAACACATACTGGCATCTAACTTGCAGAGACGGGTGTCCTTCTAACATCAAAATGTCATAAAATAGAAAGTGCCTGTAGTGAAAACTCCCTGTGAGTGTGGGGTCTGAAGAAGTCAGGTTGCCCTGGGAAAAATACCTTAGGAAGGCCTCTGTTCAGAATCCAAGGCATACATATTCTCTCCTATTTGCCTCACATACATTCACTTCAAATACTGTCTATATGTAAATATCATTCTAACCATTTCACAGGTGAGGAAACTGAAACACAGGCATGGAACTTGCAAACAGCCACTCAGGCAGTGAGTATTAAAACTGGACAGAGAATCCAAGTCTGTCCATATTTTTGTCACTCTCCTAGGCTGGTCTCATGAGCCCTGAATTGATATTTTAGTGTCAGGAATGTTGATTGCATTCTCTTCTCATTCTCTTTTTCCTTTCTCCCTACCTTCCTTCCTTCCTTCCTTCCTTCCTTCCTTCCCTCCCTCCTTACTTCCTTCCTTCCTTCCTTCTTTCCCTCCCTCCCTTGATTTTTCCTCTTTTCTTTTCATGAATGTCCTTTTAGAATTAATAATTATCTGACTGCTACTTGACAGTTAGCCAGTGCAACACAGTCATTCTCTTTTGTTGATGTCAGGATTTGAAGTGGGGGTGATGAAAAATGTGATGGTCCATTCAACACCAAATCCAGAGCCAAGCACATCATCACAGCAAGTTACCCAAATAACTTACATATCTGCACTGATTTACAAAGGAGGATTGATCTGCTAAAGCAGACTTCGGTTAACCTTTTCTGGAGAGGGACAGATAGTAAATATTTTAGGCTTTGTGGGCCACCCAGTCTCTTACAACTGTTCAACTCTGCAGTGTTGATCGGCTTAAATTGTTTTCAGTTGCAGTTTATCCATGAAAACAGCCACGGACAACCCACAGACAAGGGAGCAAGGCTATGTTCCAATAAAATCTTACTTACAAATGCAAGACATAGGCCACACTTGGCCTGTGGTTCAAGATTTGCTGACCTAAGTACTAGAATACCTTCAGTGTTAAGCAGCTAATCTGGGATTTCCCTGCAGATTGTGGCAGATAGGACAAACGCAAAGAAACTGACTGGGGAAACATCTGATTGGCATTAGAGCCACCAGAAAGTTCCAGATTATCTGGTTTTTGTGTTATGTGCTACAAAGGATGCTCATTGGTGAAGACAGTAACCAGAGTCAAGATCAACTTCCCTTGTGGAGCTAAATCTAGAGAGGACCCCAGGGATGGACCTCAGTGGTAAAGGTCAGAACCTGGTTGAGCCAGAATACTGGGTTGAACAAACATCGAAGAGAAGAAAAAATAAACAAAGGACCATTGTGGTAGTGGTGCTGGGGGGTGCTTTAGGGGTAAATTTCGAGGTAGATGTCATCTTAACTCTCTTCTGTGACACCAAAGTCAAATTACATCAAAAGATGTCATGTGCTTCTTTTCCCTGTGTCCTAAGCAGACAGAACACATTCATCCATTTATCCAGGATCCAAGTCATGCATATTATCTCCACCCCTGTTGTATTTTCTCCAACCCCTCATCCATTCATTCATATAGTCACATAGTAAATATTAATGATTGACTATGAGTCAAAGACTTGCATTACAGGCCTGTGCCTTCGAGGGACTCAGGGTCTAACATCATGGGATTAATAAGTAACTAATAAATGCAGTGACATCTTGTGGGTATCATGACAGAAGTTTATATAAAGTACACAGAGGAAGAGCAGAGGAGGGAAGAGATATCTATCTGGGTTAGTTCAGAATTCGGGCTGATCGACATCTCGGTGCTGGGGGAATGATGGCAACTGAGATTCAGCTTAAGTTATTTTCAGTTGCACTTTATCCATAAACTGGTAAATAAGCAATGTAAATGTTTCTCTGGTTCCCATGGAGGTATTAAGAAGTTCAGGGATCAATGCCATCTACAAAATGTGAATGCCCCACCAGGTTGGAAAAGCACTGAAGCAAGGGGCTTGCTTCCTTTTATATCATCAGATTGTGGGAGGAGCCGTGAGGTCCAGACTTCCCTGTGTTCTGTTTCTACAATGGGACCATCAGTAAGCATGCTCACTATCTTCCACATTATCCCATACATTTGTCCTAGGGAATGAATGAAGAAAATTTATTTTGGTGTTTTTGCTTGATGCAGTTTAGTGTTAATATATTTTATTATTAATGTTAATATTAATTATCTACACAGACAATGTTTGCATTGGGTTTTAGCATTTTTAAAATGTTTTTATATTGATCATCTCTTTTTATCTGATCCTCATTGCATTCTTATAAAACTGGATGGAGAAACTGAGGCTTAATGACACTGAGGACCTTAGCCAAATTTACACACCTCATCAGTGGCTGGAACTGAATCTTGAACCTGGTTCCCCAATTCTGACTCCTGGTTTCTTTCTTTTCTTCTTTCTTTCTTTCTTTCTTTCTTTCTTTCTTTCTTTCTTTCTTTCTTTCTTTCTTTCTTTCTTTCTTTTTCTTTCTTTCTTTCTTTCTCTCTTTCTTGCTTTCTTTCTTTCTTCTTTCTTTTTCTTTCTTTCTCTCTCTCTCTTTCTTTCTTTCTCTTTCTCTCCTTCCTTCCTTCCTTGTTTCTCTCTTTCTTTCCTGATTTCTTGAGACCACCTCATGCTAATTTCAGCTCTGTTGTCCCTTTCTGCCACAGGTATTAAATGATCTTGAGGAAGTATTCTTTTGTAAGATGATGCAGAAAGGTGGGGAAGATAGAGCACTGTGAACTTAAAGTTGGGAGGAAAATCAATTGCTGTGGATTTGCTCTATCAGCTTCAGCCTTCCAAATGTGGAGGCTCATTGTTGGTCATGGATAAAATCTAATCCTCCCTTACACCCTGGGAGGTTGTAAAAGGGAGGCCTAAATAAGTAGGGAGATTTTGCAATCTCTAAGGAGACAGAATGGACCCAGCAATTTCACTATTTGGGGCTGGAGATGAGCATTTCAATTGGGAAGAAAGAATGTCAACTAAGGGTTTCTAAGTATATACATTTGGTGAGTATTGCATTTTGTGTTAATGATCAGGAAAAGAGGGAAGTGGACACGAAACAAAAAAGATTTTCAGACTTCCTTACAGTCTAACAAGTATCTTCTCATTGATTGCCTTATTGAGTACTCCCAAACACTTTGTAGATACGATTGTTTTAAAGTAGTATTATCACCACCCTCATAGAGTAGACTGGGAAACAGCCTTAGTGAGATAAGAAACACGTTCATATACTCTCAGTAAGTGAGAGACCTGAGATTTGCCTCAATCCCAGTTCCCTGCTAGGCTCATTATCTCCTTGGCTTATTTCTTCACTGAACAGCTTATTTTATTTTATCCAGACAAAGATGGTCTCCATTCTTTTTGGCCCCTGGCCATTTTGATTGCTCTAGGATACTGCAGCTCCCTAGATTGCTAATGTCTGCATACAGCTCTGTCTTGCTGAGTAGCCCAGGGGCTCTCTGATACCTAAGACACACCAAGGAGATACTTGGTACATGTTTGCCATCAGAGTATGAAAAAGAGGAACTGATGAATAGATGGAAGCCATGTATGTGTCACTGACCTAGACCACAGCACTAATGGGTTATGGTCATGCTTTTATTTTCCCCTGGCTACTGTGTTGTACATCCTTAAATGTCAGAGCTGGAAGAGGTCTGAGGTCACCTAGTCCAACCTCATGATACTGCAGATGAGAAGACTGAACACATATTGGAGAACCACCACGCCTATGATCACACAACTTTACTCAGCTTTGCAGCCATTGACTTTCATTTAGTAAATATGTGCAAAGGTGAAAATGGTCACTCGGAAGAGGAAAACTATACATGGTGCCTGAGACTTGCAGTAGGCCTAATAATGCATGGGCTGATTGAATGAGTGAGTTAATTTCAATTTCTGGCAACTAAGTGCACACCTTACTGAGTGTGAGTTATCCTGTCATTATTGTTAGGAAAGACAAGATGCACCTGGGTGTCCATTCTAGACATTTTAGAAAAGGATGGTTTTTAAAGCCCATTCATTTCTGACTTTTAAGTGTCATTGACTTCTGGGTCCAGGAAGTCCTGGCTGACAGATACAAGATTGCCCTACATGGGCTTTAAAAACTTTCCAGAGCCTCTTGGTTTGACAAAATATTAAAAACTTATTGGATCTCTATTCACAGAGTTGGAAGTTGACTCTACTGTCCTTTACTGCTTTCTGCTCCCTGCAGAATTTTTGAGGATCCAGCTTCCTCCTTCAGAAAACTATCTGCCTTCTCATAGATAAATGCAATCTCAATGGCCATTCATGTTTCCAAGAGGCTTATCTAAAACAAAGATAGCTCTGTGTAAGCTAAGCAAATAAAGAAAACCACCTTTTTTGTAATTATTTTCCGGGCATTTTAATGCAATAGGAATAAAATTTAGTTTCCATGACCTTGAAACTCTAACAAGAGCAGTTAACAGAAATATGGGTCTAGGATGAGCCAGAGCCTCCCTGAAGGCTTTTGAAAAATCCACCTACACAAATGAACGAAATCACTTTATCTTTTTAAATTGAGGATGTGTTTCTTTGGGCAGTCAAAAAATCAAACTTATAAATAATGGGTCATTTGTGTCCTCACAGTGTGACTGAACAGGCATAGGCACAGAGGCTGGAAGAACAGGTTCTGCTCTGTCACTACCATTTCCTATTTCTGTGACTTTGGAGAGGCAGGCCCTTCATAACCTCTCCAAGACTCAGTTTTATTTGAAAAATAAGATGAAAATCCTTAGCCTCAGAGGTTAACTGTGAAAAGAACTAGCATAGTCAGTGGCACAAGTTGGTTCATGATTTCATTTCAGCCTGGGTCTGACTCTTTAGGAAACTGGACTTCAGTTGAATAAACTTTGAATAAGTAGAACATTGGGCAGATAACTGCACCTCTGCATCATCAATGGGCAAATGACTGTACCCACGTTCCTGCACCTGTATTCTGAGAAGCTTAGATTAAATGATTTCTGAAAGTCCTTAAAATAGTAGTAATTATATACAAATGATATGCAAAGTACTTTATATATGTGTGTGTATGTATATACATTTATTTTATACATATATATATATATTTTTTTTAGACGGAGTCTCACTCACATTTTTAAAGCCCATTCATTTCTGACTCTTAAGGACCATTGACTTCTGGGTCCAGGAAGCCCTGGACCCAGAAAGTCGCCCAGGCTGGAATGCAGTGGCGCAATGTAGGCTCATGCAGCCTCCGCCTCCCAGGTTCAAGCAATTCTCCTGCCTCAGCCTCCTGAATAGCTGGGACTACAGGTGTGTGCCGCCACACGCAGCTAATTTTTGTATTTTAGTAGAGACAAGGTTTCACCATGTTGGCCAGGCTGGTCTTGGACTCCTGGCCTCAAGTGACCCTCCCACCTCGGCCTCCCAAAGTGCCGGGATTACAGGCCTGAGCCACTGTGCCTGGCCCATATTACCTCATTTAATATGTGCCATGCCCTGGGAATTAGATAATATCATCTTCACTTACTGAGGAAGGAGTTAAGGTCAGAAGAGAGCAAACAGCCATTCAAGGCCACGACACTGAAAGGCAGAACTGCTGGGATGTGAACCTGATCTGGGAGACCACCAAGACCCCATGTGGATCCACTGAACAGTACATCATTACAGAGATAGAATCACAATGGAATATATGGGAATGTTGGGGGCCCTCCTAAGGCACCCTGATTCTCCTGCCAGCCCCTCAATTATTCCAACACTGTCTTCTTAGTCCAAGCCTTCTGGAGTCTAGACAAACACAGACAAAAAAACCCCCTACAATATAACTTTTCTTATGAATTTAAACCAATAATTAACTACACATTGACTTTTTGGGGAGGATGAGGTCACTCACTTTGTACTCCCTATGTCTGGCAATCATGAGGCACAGGCAGGCACTCAATGCATGCTACCTTGAACTGAGCTTTCCTTGTATGCCATTCATCTCTTGTTTCCAATACTCTTCTTAGCTCTTGTCTTTATAGCCTCTTTATTGATTTTAAGACTACCTTTTGGAACTTACAAAAATCTTAAAGCAGAAGTGCTTAGGAAGCATTTATTTGGATGCTTTTTTTTGTAACAAGAAGGAGCCTGAATTCATGAAGTGAGTGGGTAGCAGAGAAAGTTTTTTCTTTCCTGAAGTGCAAGGTTCTTCATACCCCAGCACCCTTTTTAGGTGAGGCTACCCATTCCTTACTCAACCACTTCGAACACCATTGCAGCACCTATTCCCTGCAGGGGGCAGGGTGCAATGAGCCTGCCTGTCTAATGATATTATAGTTGATTGGGTGATTTCCGAATTATATCAGATGGGCTAGTAAGCTGCTGGGACATAAATTTCTGATATATTTACAAGGTTTTATGACTCTCGCTCTACTCTGAAAGCTTCTCCAGCCAAATGTGATGGTAACAAAAAACTGAGTGAGAAGTGTTCCCCAAAGCAGAGGAAGGCCCTGAAGAAAAAAAGGAAAAGGAGAATCAAGTGACAGGAAAAACATGTGGGCTAATATTTTCCACATTTGTCCCCAGTGAAAACCCTTAGTGGAATATGCCATGTTAGAACAATACGAATTTGGCCTTGATATATCTGTCACTTCTAGAAAAAGAAAAAGATGTCTTTCATCTTGTCAAGATTGGACTTAAGCCAATGAAGTCTGCATATCTGGGGTCTCCTGGGACAAATGTTTCGGTACAAGATCTACTTGTAGCTTTTAGGCAAAGGCATTGGCAATGAAACCACACTGGGAGGAAGAAGGGAAAAGAACGTTGACTGAGTGCCTACTATGCTTCCATCGGTATTGCTCAGGTGCCAAACTCACAAGCCTACACACCCACCTCCTTGACTTTCCAGTAATATAACCTAGCAATTTATTTAACCTTCCAGTGCATCATATAATTTTTATGAGTATTAAATGAAATTAGTCTAGTAAAGTTCTTAGAATACTTCCTAGCATGTAGTAGCACTTGAAAAGTTTTATTTTTTATTATGATGGGACTTATTTGCAATGTGTATGGGAGCATTCTTGACTGCCTCAATGACTGGGGGCACTATGCTGACATTTTGAACTCAGCTTCCTGAAATACTTAATATTTTAAAGTGTATGCAACAGGCTTGCACAAAGGGAATGTACCCCCATGTTTCCCTTGTTGAGAAACACAGCTAGGTCCTATACTGTTGGTTGCATAATTTTTAATCATTACTAAAGATGCTGTGAGGTCAGTAATTATTACCCCTAATTCACAGATGGGAAAACTGAAAGTTTCAATAACTTGCACAATGTCAAAATGCTATGAGTAGGTATTGCTCAGGTTTCAAATAACAGATTACTGTCTCTAAAACTGATGCTTTCTTTGCTACATTCTGCTTCCTTGATTACAAGCATCCAGATACTAGTGTTCAAGTCTTTCTGAAAAATGGAAAACTAGGGGTAAGTCAAGATATCCATATCATAATTTGAACAGAAATATTTAAGTTGGTTAGAAAAAAGTAGCTAATTTATGGGGCAATTGTTGAACTTTAGCACCCTCAGCCATGTGAAAAGCTGCTCATTAGCTGGCAGGCAGTTTGTCTTGCTAACAGTAATAACCAGTCCTTTCTATCCTGGGAGCCTCTTCTCTCAGAGCTGGGTGAATATACATTGGAGATGACCATGAGCATCCACAGTGGTGGCCAGGGACATTGCAAATTTCCTACCTGAGTATGCATTACCCAGCATTTGATTTAGTCTGTGTTTACATTCATTTATTCATTTTAAAACACTCATTGTCTCAATTCAAGGCTAACACATTGTGCTAAAAACTGGATCAAAGGCAAATCTAATGTATTATTTTCTTCAAAGACATTCTGATTTAATGAAGAAGATGCGTAAGAAAGGATTGCAGTGCACTGTGGAAAGAACAATGATAGAAGAGTTTACAAGGTGCAAAGATAGCTTAAGGCAAGAGATGCTGAATCTCCCCCAGAGAGTCCAACTAGGCCTCCCTATTTCAGCAGTGGTTTGGGCATTCGTCAGGTGTGCATCAAGAAACCTATGCAGCAAGAGAGGATAGCAGGTGCAAAGTAAGAAAGCCTCCGAAGCTCAGCTCCAAGTACCTTGGCAAGGCATGAACAAGGCTGTGGGGAGAAAATGGGAAAATGTAAGCCTGGAGAGTAGGCAGGGGCAAGATCAGAAAGGGAGTTTGCTGAAGAGTTCCCCTTTTATTTGGCAGTTAATAAAGAACCAGTAGCAGCAAACAGTGTGTGTTATTTGGATGAACCACAGTACAGTCATGCACTTCATAATGACGTTTTGGTCAACAACTGACCACGTATAGAATTGTGGTCCTGTAAGATTAGAACAGAGCTAAAAAATTCCCATGGCCTAGTGATGTGATGTCGTAGCCATCTTCAGTCATTGCATAACACATTACTTGTTGTGGTGGTGGTGATCCTGGTGTAAATAAGCCTACTATGTTGCCAGTTGTTGAAAGTTTAGCAAGTTTAATGAGGTACAGTACATAATACTTCATAATGATATTAAACGACTATGTTTCTGGTTGATAAATTTACTATATTATACATTTTATCATTATTTTGGAGTATACTCTTTCTGCTTATAAAGAGAGTTAACTGTAAAACAGCTTCTGACAGGTCCTTCAGAAGGTATTTCAGAAGAAGGCACTATTATCCCAGGAGATGACAGCTCCATGCGTGTTGTTGTCCTTGAAGGCATTCTAGCAGGACAAGATGTGTAAGTGGAAGGTAATGATAGGAATAACCCTGCCTCTGTGTAAGCCTAGGCTAGCGTGTGTGCTTGTGTTTTCATTTTTAATAAAAAAGTTTTAAAAGTAAAAAAAATGTTAAATAGAATAAAGGCTTATAAGGATATGAAGAAAGCAAATATTTTTGTACAGTTGTACAATCTATTGTGATTTAAGGTAAATGTTTATTACAAAAGAGTCAAAAAGTTTAAAAACATTAAAAGTTTATTAAGTAAAAAGTTATAGTAAGCTAAGATTAATTTATCATTGAAGAAATAACATGTAAAGTAAATTTAGGGTAGCCTAAATGTACATTGTTTATAAAGTCTACAGTAGTGTACAGTAATAAATATCCTATGCCTTCACATTCACTCACCACTCACTCACTGACTCACCCAGAGCCACCTCTAGTCTTGCAGGCTCCATTCGTGGTAAATGCCTTAGACCATTTTTTTATCCCTTACACCATATTTTTACTGTACATTTTCTATGTTTAAATACACAAATTCTTATCATCGCATTATAATCACCCCCTGCATTCAGTACAATAAAGTGCTGTACAGGGTTGTAACCTAGGAGCATAAGGGTATACCATATCAGCTAGGTATGTAGTAGTCTATACAACCTAGGTTTGTGTGAGTCCACTCTGTAATGTTTGCCCAGTGGAATCACCTAATGATGCATTTCTCAGGACATATCCCCATCATTATGTGACACATTCATGCATTTGATGCACACACAAAAATATGTATCAAGACCTGCCTTTTCTATACATGATGTTCCTGTCAATAGTTCATGAGTTGCCAATTCTGTACAATTACCTTTGGGGTTGTGTCTCATATTTATTTATTTCCTTCATCTCTTCTGTGGTTCCCTAATCCAAACTCCCATCCTTTTGAATTCTCATCACTACAGAGGCTTCACCACTACTCTCTCCTTCCTATAATCCATCCTTCACTTATAGAGCTTCCTAAAATCATAAATACGAGGGAATGTGTGCTAAATATAAGACCAGGAACTCAATATATATTTCTTAAAGAAACATTAATAAATGGCAATTAAAAACTCATATAAGAGTTTACAATTGACAGAACATTTTCTCATACCTCTTAAAATTATAGCTATTGTCTTTTTTGCTGTGTTCATCAAGGACTAAAAAGTATAAGACTAAAAAGTTTAAGAATGACCAAAAAAAAAAAGATGTAATAGGAATAGAGAGTAAAGACTTAATGATTCCAGGGAGCAGTATCAGGAGTTAAAATATTGATTGTAAACATACAAATTGGGTAATGTATTAGTTCCATTCTCACACGGCTATGAAGAAATACCCAAGACTGGGTAATTTATAAAGGAAAGAGGTTTAATTGACTCGTAGTTCCACTGGGCTGAGGAGGCCTCAGGAAACTTACAATCATGGTGGAAGGGGAAGCAAACACATCCTTCTTCACATGGTGGCAGCAAGGAGAAGTGCAGAGTGAAGTGGAGAAAAAACCCTTATAGAAGTATCATATCTCATGAGAACTCCCTCACTATCACAAGAACAGCATAGAGGTAACTATCTCCATGACTCAATTACCTCCCACTGGGTCCCTCCCACAACACTTGGGATTGTGGGAACTAAAATTCAAGATGAGATTTGGGTGGGGACACAGCCAAACCATAGCAGGTACTAAACTGAGGCTTAATAAAGTTCTCTTAATGGAAAAATATTGTGATAGGTTGAATTATGTCCCTTCAAAATTTACATGTTTAAGTCCTAACCCCTAGTACTTGAATGTTTCTTGAAGATATGTCATTGCAAATATAATGAGTAAAATTGAGTTCATACTTGATTAGGGTAGGCCCTTTATCCAATATGATTGGTACCCTTATAAAAATGAGAAATCTGGACACAGGCAGGCATGCATGAATAGAAGACGATGTGAACAGACACAGGGAGAAAATGGCCATCTATAAGCCAAGGAATACGACCTGGAACAAATCTTTCCCTCACAATCCTCAGAAGGAACCAACCCTGCTGGCACCTTGATTTTGAACTTCTGGCCTCCAGAACTGTGAGACAATAAATTTCTATTGTTTAAGCCTCCCAGTTTGTGGTTGTTTGCTCTGGCAGTCATAGCAAACTAATACAAATGTCAAGGAATTACGATGCTAGGCTTCGGATGGTTGATCCACGTGGCTGCCGCTAGTTGCTACTGTTGGTGCCTTGCACTTATACCCTTGGATGCCTTTTACCATTTCTATGAGCCTCTCCCCACTTCATTGTGCTTTATCTTCTTTCTAGATGACAGCCCTCCAGAAAGGAGCAACTTTTCTCTTACTTGCAGACAGTCCTTTGAAGTTTACAACCTCCCTTCCAGTGCCCAGTGGCCTTTGACTGATGACTGAAGGGTACAGGAGTAGGAATTGCCCACTCTCTGTTCTCTGAGGTGGAACCTACCCTCAAGAGATCTCTTGCACTATAAAGATGAAGCTCCCTTTCTCAGGACATCATCTGAGATCTCCCTCTTGCCCTACGTCTTCCATTCCTTTACCAGATTCTCCCAGGAGCTGTGCCTTTGTAAGTCACTTGCACCTGAATTCTAATCTTAGATTTGCTTCTGGGAGACCCTTATTGCGGGTGCTGACTCTCCCATCAGCACCTACAATGGCTAAAGTTGGAGTAGATAGTGAGTCGACAATTCCTCCTTCAAAATAGGAAGTGAGGTTGGTAAATGCCAGCCAAGGGTATGGCTGAAAGGCAATATAGCCTACATGGTACATCCCTTAGAAAACAAAGAGACTTTGCACAAGAATGGAAGAATAACATGTGAAGGTGGCAAAGGGAAGCTAGGAGAATGCCAACATAACATCTGTGTCCTTGATACACAAGGAGCTGTTTATATTATGAATAATGTGAGCATAGTTATAAGCATGATGCAACATAATTCCCAGCAGGTAAGTTTAATAGTTCACACATAAATCTCAGCAGGTAAGTTTAATACTTAGCATGGGCTTTTACATCTTCTTCTTATGCTCCAGAAGCATTAAGGCAAACTGTGGAACTTGTAGCAAGGAAGTGACTTTTTCACCTGTGGAATTTGGCTCAGTGTTCATTAAATGCTTTGGAATTTAAAGTGATTTTTTTTCTTTCTTTAAAATGTCTAAATGCTGTGTTGATAAATGTCACATAGAATAACGAATGTGATGGAATGTGCTGAGGATAATGGGAGTTACTTTCTAGTTCACCTGAACCATGACTTGTCTACATTTAGTAAGAATAATGAATGTAATTTAATACAGCACCTTTGCATGGAAGTGACTCAAAACACCTTTCAAAGTGAATATTAAAATGCTGAATTATGCAATAAAGACATAGATTTAAGTAGATAATAATGGATCACATACTTACAAAAGCACACAGTGCGGCAGAGGGTACATTTTTAAAATATGCATTATATTGTTATTAGGTAGAAGGATGAACACAGAAAGTGAAGTCGACATGGAATAAGAAAAACAAAGGTCAGATAGAGATTAAATAGGGTCTTTAATGAATAGAGCCAGCACAGGATACTCCAAAGAGCATGACAGCCAGAGTCAGACAGAACAAGGTTTTATCTACCATTGATGGTACAGGTGACCTTGAACAAGTTGGTCAAACTGCTTAAGCTTTGATTTATCTAGTTATGTAAAATGAGCTAATATTTTCTGCTTAATAGGGTTTTCATGAGGAATTAATGAGATAATATATATTTCAGCAGGTGCTCAATAAAAGATGGCTTTTATTATCCTTATTATCGACAATATATAATAACCACAGCTACCTTGCACTCACTTATAAGGGCCTGTTCCCCACTTTAATATGTATCAGTGACATGTCACTCTATCAATCCATCACCACCCTATCTTTCTCTATACCATGAATTATAGTCATAAATCACATGCCGAGCTTGAAGAAAAAACAACAGAATTCATCTAGTCCAACCACCTTATTTTTATAAACAAGTAGATTGAAACCCAATGAGGTGAAGTGATGTGTACACCATCACACACAAGTGTAGCTACTGTTTTGTTCCAGGGGCTCTGCCCACCATTCTACATGAATTACTATTTTGATTCTTATAATAATTTTATGAGAGAGATATTCTTATTTATCCCTGAGTAAACTGGGGCACTAAGAGAGGAAGTGGTTCTCCTAAAGTCACACGGTTCTCAGGTGGCACAGCTGCATCTCAACATCCGGGTTCAGCTGATCCTCTGCAGGTGTCTTCAGAGTCCCTTACTCACCTCTCCTTACCTCTTGATTCCACAGGGTGAGAAAGGAGTTCAGCCTTTACTCTCTGGTACTTTTGCTATTGGATTGCTTGTTATGATGGCCAAATCTCCTTTTCTGGGGACTTCCTGTGTCCTTGTGGAGGGGAGAAAGTTGGGGGGATGCTGCAAACAGCATTGTTTCTTTTTTTGCTGTACGTACAGATATCTACCTTGGTTCTTTCCCAAACTCCTTTGCTCTCCTTCAACTCTGAGCCAAGGATTTAAATTATCAAATCCAGCTTTTAATCTGTG
Organism: Homo sapiens; assembly: GCF_000001405.40. Taxonomy (NCBI): domain Eukaryota; kingdom Metazoa; phylum Chordata; class Mammalia; order Primates; family Hominidae; genus Homo; species Homo sapiens. The sequence continues at coordinate 128,538,223 of NC_000008.11, forward strand.
TCTTTAGGGAAGTCTTAAAGGCATTCTAAGACTCAGCTTCTTCACATGAAAAATGGGGTTGTAATAATGCCAGTTTCATGCAGCTTTCATAAGGATCAAACGGTACACGGGAAAATGCTTTGAAAACTGAAAAGTGCTGCACATATTCATGTATTGGTATGTCACGCCAAAGGTGAGGCTTATAATAAGTGTTAAGATAATCCATATTTTATGAATGAGATGTGTTCAGTAGTCTACTGGCCATAGGGCACTAATTCACAAAACTGATAATCTGTTGAATACTTGAGTATTATTATGGCTATGTCAATTTTTGAAAACAGGGCAAAGGTAAAATATTTGTTTGAAATGATGGCTAAGGAAATGATGGTTAAAGAAAACAGAACTTTCACATCTGGCACGATAGCCTTTCTAAGCCAGGAAAATCCTTGGCAACAGCCTCTTCCAATAAATCAGCATGTCAGAAGAAACAATGACCCTTCCCTCTAGGAGAGGAACAAAACCACTCAACTTTCCAATGTAGAATTGGAACAGAAGTCTCCAAAACAACTTCGATACATCTTATTCCCTTCCCATTCACTGAAGGCAAGTACAAGGGGTGATGGAATTCCTTCAACTCAGTCTGTCAAGAGGCTCACCAATCCAGAACGACCCTCAGAAACCAAGATAAGAGAGTGAATTAATTGTCCATTGTAAATGTCGATATCCTTCGGCCAAGCTACCAACCGTTATTTTCTAATGTGAGTAGTACTAAGAATTTTTATTTGAACAGGAACCTAGAAAACAAATAACAAACATAATAGATCATCTCAGCTTCCTGACAACCATCAGTGTGGGCTAATTTGTTACTGGAAATCTAAGGGAAACTAGATTAACTGTGGGATGTTGTTTTCAATTTTACAGATCTCAGAGATGAAAGGCAACCTGTATGTCATCTTACCATACTGCCTTCTTTAACCCAGGAGGAAATATGGACCTAAGAGATGAGGCACCTTGGTCCCAGGGCATCCGTTGAAAATTTTTATGTGCTTTTTTCGTAATACAACATGGCCTCTCTAATTATTAACTCTGGACAAGCATTCTATTATCCAATTGATTTATTGAGTGCTTACTATGTGCTTAGCTATGTTTTTGGGACAAATTCTGGGAAAAAAATGAATTATGTAGGCAATAAAGAACTGTTTATTGACACATACTACCTCTTTTAATCCTCATAATGGCACTGTGAGTCTGAGGTCATTATCCCTATTACAAATGAGGAAAGCAAAACTTGCGTATAGTCTTATGGGCTGATTGATGGCGGAGCTGTGATTCCAATTCTAGCTGTCTGATGCACATTTAGGATTATCACCCTATACCATGTTGTCTTTCTCAACCCAGATTTTTTTCCTCCCTCTTCAACTCTTGCACCACCTTCCACACTTAATTCCACAGGCCTTGTTCTCATCTGGCTCTCAGAGATGTACAACGACCTGGTAGCCTGCAAAGCCCCCAACCTCGAGAATCTAATATGCTAGGGCTCCACAGACTGAAGACCATAAACAAATATATATCTGATATTTATCCATTTGATATTAGCACTAAGAAGGAAAATTAAGCCAAGTAAAGGAGAACAGACTGACTAGAAGAGCTAGTTTGGATAGGGTTGCCAGGGAAAGCCCTTCTGAGGGGTGACGTTTGATCAGAGGCTGAAGTCCAGGGATAGAGGTGGGAAGTGGCAAAGGCCCCAGCGGTTGTCTTAGATAATACAAACACAAAGTGAGATGCAGGGAAGGGGTCAGCACTGTGTGGCAGATAAGGGCACCTGCTCTGACATCAATGCCCCTGGGACTAAATATCTACCAGGCTCTTTAGTGGCTGTCTGACGAAGAAGGTTACCCAAATTCCCTGGATCTCAGTTCACTCATCTCTGAAACGGGGCTAAAAATAGTACTCACGTCTAGGGTCATGTGACGATTAACGGCAAACAGTGTGTAGCACACAACAAATAACAAATATCAGCTGGGTTTTTTCCCCTCTCCTTCATCATTAAATGCTATAGCTTTCATTCTTTTAACTTAATATAATTGCCCTAGATTCTTTCTATACTTAAAAAAATGGAAGTGGAATATTTTCATATTTTTAAAAAATAAAATATGAGGAAATCTGATATGATAAAATCAATAAATGAGAAGCCATTCTGGTTTACTCAGTGGAGTAGCAGGCAGGTTTGCTCTCTGCTCAGCTCCACCCACAGCCCCACAGTGATTCTGAAGAGGCCCTGCGCTTCAGAGAGCACAGCTAATACTATTCCTATTAGGCAGAGCTCCTAACATAATGACTGGTATGAAATAGGGGCCGAACATTTCATTGTTGAAAGAACGTTGAAAATTACAAAGTAGAACCTCTTTCTTTTTTTTTTTTTACATTTTTTTGAGAAAAGAGATTACTAGGCCACACCACACAGAGCGATCCTTCTTGAGGTGAATGTCGGGGGTTGTTTATGAAGCTCAGGCTTAGTCACAAGTTCAGAACATTTTGTGGGTTTTACTGGAACTCAATATCATTGCTCATCCCAACTCAGATCACCCTGGCAAAGGCTACTAGTGACCCCTGGATTCCCAGGTTCCACAAGAGAATTGGGAGTCCTGCTCTTTTTCAGCCTTAAGGAAGTCCCCTGGGGTTTCTGCATCTCCAAGAGCCAGAGCTGCAGAGCTGAAAGGGTCAGATACGTGTGGCAGCCTGTGTCTAATACCCTCTATGGATACCTTTCCACATTTTGGAGTCTAGAGAGCCTTCTACTTTGAATTTCTGGAAATATATCCATCACCTGGAGGTCAACAAGTTATGTTTTTGTTCCTTTCGTGTGTCTTACTTGTATGCTGCTGTGAATTCGGGTGTGGTTAGCCCAAATATGGGTCTGTTGTTGAGGGTTTGTTGGTCTCTTGTCTGTTTACTTCAATTCACCTCACCGCAGCACTTACCAAAACCCTATTTCCTCAGAGTCCTGAACCTCACCCTGTTCAGGGAAAGACACTTATATTTGTTGCATACTCTACTATGTGTTAGCCAGAGGATAGGCACTTTCACCTATAGAAACTTGTTTAATCCTCTCAACAGTCCTAAATGACACCCAAAGACATTAAATAAGTCATCCAAGGTCACAGTGAATAAGTAGAGCAATGTCAATTCAAACCAAAATTAGGCTCAAAATTCTCCTTTTTTTCCAACTGCAATGTGCTCTAGTGAGGACGTCCACCTAATTAAAAATATATATTTGATGTGCAGTTTAACCTAACATAAAATAATCACATTTTAATACTTGAGGTTTACTTACCCAAGTGATTTTTTTAGACAGTATAATTTCAAGTTGTGTATATGTGAATGTTTGAGTGAATGTGCAGGAATGTGTGTCTATCAGTGTGTAGGGCAGAGAAAAAAACAAAGAAAACAAGTAGGAAATAAGGGTGACATGCTTAGGCAAGTATGTTCTTCTTTCTCTGGCCCTCAGTTTCTACAAGTGTAAAATGAAAGTTTTGGATACAGCATTTCCAATGTTCTCTATGTGAAGGCAGTGACTCTGTTTCCTCTTCCCATCATTCACTTATGTTTAAAGGTCTTTGTTTCTCTTGGAGCCAACTCAAATCTGCAAGAAAATCAGGTGGGTCACTTATAATATAGACGTGGCTTCCAGGTGCATACTCTATTAGGGAAGCCTGTGGCTTGAAACAAAGTTATTTTGTGGTGAGCATGTCTTCCTAGGATGTATTGCTTGAGTGGTGACTGGGGTTGGGAGAACTATGTATTCTCTGTTGTTAGCTCCTCCTACTCTAATGATACAGGCTTAGAGGTGAGTGACATGGGGTGCCTGGATGGATAAGAAATAACAGTGGTCAGTGAGTGAAACCAAATTCCTAGTGACTCAAGGGTGGAGTTTTGGAAGAGGCAGTGGCCAGGGCCAGTGTGGACCCCTGGCTGAGAACTTAGGCACTGTGCGTTAAGCATGCTGGAGTTTTCCAGGAGGCTATGCTTACAAGTGTGGGCAGACATTAGTGATGGGACAGGAATGGAAATGGGAAGGTGGTCCCAACAAATCCAAAAAGCAAAGGTCTAAGAAGCAGGTCTAGAGATTAGGCACAGATATCTTCTTTATGAAGACTTAGTACCCATATGTCTCTGTCATAAGCAATGCAGCACACTGTGGTTTATAACTCATACCAAGACAAATTTGGCCAACACACGCTTATTTCTAACCTAGCGGTTTGGGAAATCTGTTTTATAGAAACATGATTCAGAGTTGAAAGGCACTTTAGAAACTACCTCATCTAATTTCCTTTACAATGCAAGAACCACTTGTACAAAACCTCAAGAAATGGTGAATATTTTCACTACTTTTCAGGCTTTTCTAGTCCTTTGGAGGACAGTGGTAAGGACACAGTAGCATAAGGCAGATGAGCTTGGGATGCCAACTATGGCACTTACTAGTTGCATGGCTTTCAGCAAAAAACAATTCTTTGTGAACCTTAGTTTCTTTGAAAGAAATTGGAATTATTTGTACTTTAGAAGTGCTGGATTAAATAAGATGTTTATAAAGGGTTTAGCACATGCCTGGCTTAAAGAAAGTGGTCAATAAATGCTAACTTTTAATATGCTTATGTATTAATATATCTTATTTTAATCCTGTGAGTATCCTCCGAAGTAGTTATTATCACTCTTATTTTATGCATGAGCAGATTGAGCCTAGAAGAATTGGAACTAAGTTGACGATGGTAACAAAACTAATAAGTAGAAGTGGGGTCAATAAACCTATGCTTATCTAGCTACAATGCTGAATTGTCTTCAATTAAATCACAGTAACTTCCACACTGGGAAAAACTTGGTTTTCCAGCAACTGGAAAGCAGCATAATATAGTTCTTACATATATGAGACAATATTGTCTTTGCAGTATTGTGAAAATTAAGTGACATAGTAAAAATAAAACACTTTGCATACTGGGCATATAATATTCACTTTGTATTACATTTTCTCTAGTATTTCCATTGCTGGCACAGAGCCTAGTACAGAGATAGTGTTCAGTAAATGCTTGTTAAATAATTGATGGCATATGTTTTGCATTTGGGGAGCATCACAGAAAATGTCTACTTCCACCTTACGGTTGTGAGTGAATGTTTGTCCTGTCTCTTTCCAATCTGTTCTCAAGGCTACATGTCACCAGTTTCCTCACCTTCCTCCCAGCTGTTTTTCATGTCTTTAGACAGAGGTCACATGGAGTGGCTGCCGGGGTCATTGTGGGAAAAACCCAAAGGAGAAAGTCACAGGCCTGTTCCAAGTCCTGACTCCTCCCACCCCCTGGTCACCAAACCTCATTTTCATTTCCCAAATGAGGCACACTTTATAAGATACTACTCTGATTTTCCCCTCTCTTTTAAGAAGAGACAACTTTAAAGATTTAAACCGAAAGATTTAACCTGGGTGAGGCCACGGCGTGGAAACATTTGATGAGCAGGTAACACCTAGAATGCAACCTAAGCACCGTGCATATGCAATGGGAAGTGGGTTTTCAGATCTCCTCAGAAGAGCTGCCTCCTTCAAAGTCTTTGGTCTTAATAAGATATTAACCTGCTTTTACTCTTCAGCTTCATTTCTCTAGCCTGAGACCTGTTAACCCAAATTACTCTTTTTCTTCCAATAAAAGAAAAAGTTGACATTGTGATTACATATCAGTAGCATGACAAATTACATCAGGGGTAACAATATTCCCAAAGGAGAGTGGGAGGTTATTATTTCTGTAATTCTAGCACACTTGCAAGAAGTGCAAGACAAGCAAGAAAGTATCAAAGAGTAGTCGCTCAATAACTGGGTGGAGGGAAGCCAGGGAATGCTACCTGGATCCCAAGGCCAGGCAACTTGTCCTCGGTGCTTTCTAGGGCTTGGATACCAGTGGAGGCTGACATGCCTTTGGTTGTAGAATGAAATCACACTTCTCCATATTGAGAAAAAATCTGCTTTGCAGAATCTGGGATGCATAGCTCTCCGTGTGTGAATTGTTAAGACTCTTTTATTTATTCGTCTACCCATTTAACAAATTTCCTGATAATACAAATTAGCATTTATTGAAGATTTTTCTTTCCGTTTCTGTTTATTGTTTTGTTTTGCTACATATTAGACATTGTGCCAATTTTGTTCATGAATTTGTTGTTTCATTTGCGTAACACTTCTAAGAGGTAGGTATTAGTATCACCATTTTTAGATAAGAAAATTGGAATGCAGAATGTTTATTACTTAATAATACTCCTAATTGTGTGAGAGTAAGAACTTAGCAATATTTGTGTTTGTTACCTAACTTTTAAAAAAGGTAACATTCAGGCCCATAAGGAACTCACAGTCTCCTGAGTGATATAGATAAGTGGATGGATAGATGATAAATAGATAGATAGATAGATAGATAGATAGATAGATAGATAGATGTACCTTCAGATTTAACATTTAATAACATAAAAATGAAGTATAGCAGTATAGCCTCACACAAAATTCATATAAATGTGGTTAAAATAAGCATTTTAAAAGAAACAAAGGCAAGCTCTAAAAAAAGATACATTTCAAAATACCCAAAATTGAGAAGAAATTTAAATTGGTCACAGTAGGAAGTATCTGAGTTGGCATTGTGGAAACTTGTTAATGAATACTAGGCACAGACATAGGCTTTCATGATTGACAGCTGAGATTTAAATGTTTCTATGGGATCAAGAAGATGAAAGCTAGAGCCTGAGTACAGTGCAGAGGTGAAACATGTTCTTGCAGATACAAGATCTTATAAGGAGTTCCACTTACATTAGAAGGATACTGGAAAAACTCTAAACACTGATGTTCAGAAACAACAAAAGATTTTTCTCTCCCCAGGTCCTTGGATGGAAAAGAAATGTCTCTCAAGAGAAATCAAAACACAAGGCTATACCACTTGAGTTTAAGGGCCTAAATTTACAGTTCCCATAGGTATAGAAATTCTAAACAGAATTACTGATATAAAAACTAGTTTCGACCCATGAAACAACTGGGTATCACTATGTAAGAAAATATGAAATGCTAAATAATTGATGGCATATGTTTTGCATTTTGGGAGCATCACAGAAAATGTCTACTTCTATCATATGGTTATGAGTGAATGGTTATCATGTCTCTTTCCAAACTGTTCTCAAGGCTACATGTCACCAGTTCCCTCACCTTCCTCCCAGCTGTTCCTCTCAGCCTGTGTGATCCTAATGGTGAAAGAAACAATCTCCACTGAAGATGAGCTCACAATCACAAATTATAAACCATTTAAGGAAATGATGCTCCATGAGGGCAAGCCAGCAGACACAACTCACTGGGGTGATAGTACATCAATAATTCAGTATACTAGAACAATCAGAGAGGGGCTATAAAGAGTATTTAAATATATTAAAGATAAACATAAATGGATTATAACTAAAAGGAAAAAAATGTACTGTGAGCAAAAACACAGATGCACATTATAAAGAGAAAATAAAAGAGAATTTCTAAAGATGAAAAATGTCTAGCTGTGGCAGCAGGGGGAAACTCAATGGAAGGGTTACACAACACATAGTTATAAAAGAATAAAGAATTAGTGAAAATAGATCTAAAGAGATTAAAAGAACTTGGCTCAGCAAAAATAAAGATAGAAAAGATAAAAGAAAAGCTAAGACATATGGAGAATAGAATAAGTTTGTTCAATATGTATTTAGCAGGTTATCAAAGAGAGAGAGAGAGTAGAGAGAGTGGGGGAAAAGTAGCATTTAAAAAAATTATGCCTTAGAAGTTCCTCAACTTGAAGATATATATGAGCCTTCAGAATAAAGAAACATACTGAATTCTGTGGAAGATAAAGCAAACACAAACCTCAGTTAGCTATACCATGGAGAAGTAAGAATGCTACACACAGAGAGATTATTGTAAAAGTAAGCATAGAGTAAAGAGAGCAACGATTAGACTGACAGTAGCAATGGACACTGGAAACCAGTGAAATAATGCTTGCAAAGTGCTTAAAAGATGAACAAGAAGAATTCAAGTAGCAATTATGTGCCAATAAATTGGGAAGTCTGTAGATAAATCTAAATAAGGCTTACTGTATAAAACAGCAAAATAATTACTAAAGTGTTGCAAAAAAAATGGAACTAGAATACTAATTACCAACACCATGAAAGATAAAAGTGGATGATAGGTGTGAAAGTGTGGTAAAATGTTATTTTTTTGCCTTGGGGAATAGGTATATCCCCTGTGAACTTTGACATTGCTAAATCAAGATTAGGTGTGATGTTAAGAATAATTCTAAAGAACAGAATGTAGAAGTTATAGCTTTTAGATCATTAGAGCATGAGGAAAGGGGAAGAAATAAAGACAATCTGACCAATGTGAAAGAAGACAGGGAAGGAGGGAAAGAAAAGCACAAACAAAGAATGAAAGTTAGAAAGCACAAAATAATGTTAATAGATGTAGAACCCAGAATTAGACTCATTTAGAAGCAAAGACTTAGTACATTAAAAAAACATCAGGAATAAATAAAGCTGCCAATAAATAGGACTAGAAAAATTGACTATGCAAATTGTAGTAAATAAGTAAATAAATAAGGTCCTTACTTCACATTATTCACAAAAATAAATTCCAGGTGAATGAAGAAACTAGAGGTGAATAATAAAACAACCTTAAAACTTTTAAACAAATATATAGAAGGTTATTTTTACTGCCTTTGGCAAGAAAATAAGTTTTTAGATAGGGCACAAAAAGACGACATCATAAAGTAAAGGATTAATATCTTTGAATACCTTGAAATTCAAAGCATCTGTATGACAAATGCACTAATATCAAAGCAGAAAGACACAGACCAATAAAAATTATTTGCAAAAAAAAAAAAAAAAAAATAGAGAAAAAAACCAAGTGTGTAAAATAAATATGGTGGGGGAAAACCTAATTTTAGAATAGTCAAATTATTTAAACTGGCAATTTATGACAAAGGAGACAAAAATAGCCCACATACAGTAAGATTCCATTTCACATCTTTAAGAATTAGCATTAATAAGGTTCAAAAGATACCAAGTGTTAATGAGAATGTAAAGAAATGACAACCTTCATTTGCTGTTGGTGGGGGTTAAGATTGAAACACAATTTTTATGGCAATTTTGCAATAAGTTTAAATATGAAGAAATGTGCATGATTCCTATACACGACTCCTCTCTCAGGAAGACCATATAATTTAGGTAAGTTAACCTCATCCCTGGGTCTAGAGGTGAGGCATGTGGCTCAGTACTTACCTACTCAACATACATTCTTCTGTCTACCCGTACAGTAGCTACAGTACTTATGGGGGTGGGGAGTGCTAATTAGGCAAAAGCCAGGACTTTTATTTGATACACCCCTCCTTGCTGTTGGTGAACCAGGAAGCATGCATCCTTGGCAGCCAATAACAATAATTTCGAGACCAGTAGAGAAGGAGCTTGCCAAAATGGAGTAAATGCAGAACAATTAGAGCTGAGAAATGGAGAGAAAGCTATTCTAGGTCCTACCTTGAGTTATAAGATGAAGCTTCTCCTAAAATCAATTATCCCTGGACTATGCAATCACATGAATTAAACAAAAACAAAAACGAGCTTTGTCTTATGCTGCTGAAGTCATTTTAGGTTTTGTGTTGTATTGTGTTCTGTAGCTATACCCAGTAGCATCCTAAAATGAGTAGGATTGAACTGGCATAAGGGAAAGGAAAGATCACCTCAGGCAAGTAAGAAAGACAAATATCGTTTTATGGATATATTGTGCTTTGCTTTGAGTGTGTTCTCTCATTGTACCCTAGACTTCACAAGCATATTCTTTTTTACGCCTAATTATTACTGTTCCTTTCTTTTCGGGGTCATACACATCTTGCTTACCATTGTATCTACAGAGCCCAGCCCAGTGCCAGGAACATCATAGGTACTGGATAAATATTTGCTGGATCGATGTTAAGTGAAAATAATGCAGGGCTGGTAGGCAGAATCAAAACCAACAGTTAGCAGGATCCATACTGGGGAAAAACTGGCTGGGCATCACAGTCATTCCATGCACCAAGTGGCAGATTTGGGGGACTAGCCAGTGCAAAGTACCAGGAGAAGAGACACAGCTTAACAACATGATAAGAAACAGTAAGTTTGAGAATTCATTGACACATTCATTTATTCAAGAGGAAATGGGGATTCATACTTACATATGTATAGTTTACTTACTATGTGCCTGGAACTATTCTAAAGACTTTTTTTTTTTTCTTTTTCTTTATTTCTTTCTTTTTTCTTTTTTTTCTTTTCTTTTTTCTTTTTTTTCTTTTCTTTTTTTTTTTTTTTTTGAGACAGAGTCTTGCCCTGTCGCCTAGGCTGGAGTGCAGTGGCGTGACCTCGGCTCACTGCAAACTCCACCTCCTGGGTTCAAGTGATTCTCATGCCTCAGCCTCCCAAGTAGCTGGGACTACAGGTGTGCACCACCACACCTGGCTAATTTTCATATTTTTAGTAGAGACAGGGTTTTGCCATGTTGGCCAGGCTGGTCTTGAACTCCTGACCTCAAGTCATCCACCTGCCTCGGCCACTCAAAGTTCTGGGATTACAGGAATGAGCCACTGCGCCCAGCCAAGACTTGACTATTACCTCATTTAATTCTAATGATATCCATCCAGGTAATGTGATAGAGTCTAGCACTTAGGTGGTCAATTTACTGAGTGGTGGTTGTGGGATGAATGGATAAATCCAAAGTCTGTTCTTTTTACTGATCAAGTACTTCCCATAAACACTGACTGGGTGCTCCTTAAGAGCCAACAAAGTGGAAAGTGATTGAGGAAACAATGAGAATAATCCTGGGAGTTGATGCCTGGATTCATCTGGATTACCTTCCTCATAGTCTAATGTGCAGGATGCTTTGAAAGCCCCACCCAATACTCCTTACTAAGCTTAAATCATGGAGAGAATGATAAATATGTCCTATGTAGACACAAGGAATCTTTGACTAACACAGAATGAAGATTTTGGAAGATGATAGTAATAGACACCAGGAGAGCAGATAATGGGGTCAATTAAAATAATGGTAACTACTAACATTGATTTAAAAGGGTGAGGGGACTAGTTATAGCTTAGCAAGGAGGCTGTTTACATAATCAGATACTTGAGAATCTACTCTGGGTCTTGGCAACAGGACTAAGAAGTAACAAATACAGCCTCAAGAGATTCTATGAAAGGAATGTACTGGAGTTAGTGGCATTGCCACAGGCAATAGAACTTAAAGGATAGGAATGTGAATGGTAGAGTTGAACTTCAATGTGATTACCCCATCTCAACCACTTAGTCTTTAAGCTTGTTTCCCATCTGTAAAATGGGAATAATAATGAGGCTAATCTCATAGAGTTAGAGCGTGAAGAGCATTGTCTGGAATAGGATAAGTTTTTGATAAATTGTATCTGATGTCATTGTCCGTGTCTCTAAGAAAGAGCATGTATCAACAAGGATGAAACAATATAAACATAATTCGAGAAAACATGGCAAAAAGAAGAATTTGGGAGATGTAGATTTTGTCAGAAGAGGATCTACTTGCCGTTGGGTGTGATGAGTTTATATTTAGCACTTGTCTGCACTTACTATGTGCTTAGCTTTGGGTCAAGCTCAGAGATACTTAAAGGGAACTAACAGCATGCGATTTGCGGAGTCCTATAGGTCTGAGAAGCAATTGTGCATACAGGCTAATGGTTTTGGCTTTGGAGTCAGACTGTATAGTTTTGAAATCCTGTTCTTCCACTTAGTAGCATTTTATTTTTCTCTGTAACCCTCAGCTTTCTTTTCTAAAACAAAAGTGAGGGGTGGGGAAACAAATCCCTAGGATTTATGAGAGATTTAAAAGATCAAATGAGGCCGGGCACAGTGGCTCACGCCTGTAATCCCAACACTTTGGGGGGCCAAGGTGGGTGGATCACCTGAGGTAGGTAGTTTGAGACCAGCCTGACCAACACGGAGAAACCCTGTCTCTAATAAACATACAAAATTAGCCGGGTGTGGTGGTGCATGCCTGTAATCCCAGCTACTCAGGAAGGCTGAGGCAGGAGAATCACTTGAACTGGGAGGCGGAGGTTGCAGTGAGCCAAGATGGCGCCATTGCACTCCAGCCTGCCTGCAACAAGAGAGAAACTCCGCCTCAAAAATAAATAAATAAAAGATAAAATGAGAAAAGTACTTACCATTAATATCTGATATGTACCAAGACATTTGTAGGAGTAATAATAATGATAGTGTGAATATAGGTAACAGTAGTCATTGTAATAATGTTAACATCTGAATTACTGCCTATGGTCAGGTGACAGGCTCAGAATAATAATGTGCATTTTGCAGATGTTAATACAAAGATCAGAATGGAGCCATCGTCAAGGGCAGAGTTTTCCATAGGGAGATGGGTAGAGGGAAAACAACTGGGATCAGAAAGAAGGGGAAAAAGAAAAAGAGGATGGGCTGGCAGAAAGACAGGAATAGTTAATGTCTGAGAACTGAGGAAAGGTGATGATTCTAGAACAGGGAGCCAATAACATCTAATATCCAAGAGGTCAAAGAAATTGAGACCTCAGGCAAGATATGAGTGAGTTTTAAAAGGACAATTTAAAACTTACCATGATAAGGGCAGGAATGACCATAGATGGTTTCAGCAGGAAATGTGTTGATAGGAAAATTAAATTCATTGATACCTAAAAGTGCCACACAGGTAGGAGGACTATCAGGATGACAGGCAATGTGGCTTCACCCATGCATGAGACCTACTTGGCGTGACATCTCTGCTGGGCCACCTGCTCTGTGACCATGGGAGAGTGCTCCCCTTTCTTTCTCTCCCTTGCAGTTGTGTGCCCAGGGGGCTGAGTTATATCCAATGGGATGTGAGCTGAGTGATATGCAGCACTTTTAGGCCTGACCCAGAACATTCCATGAACAATTTTCCCTCTCTTTCTCTATTGCCAGCTGAATGGGAGGATAGAAACTTTCGTTCTATTAGTCCACTAATTTTTAAAGTCCTTTGTCACAGTGGTCAATTTACCCTGACTGGTGTAGTTAATAACTACTCTGAACCTCTGCTTCTCAGGCTAACAATAGCTACTTAGCTGATGGTTGTTCTTTCCGTTTTTGCCTGCTAATAGAATCTTAACGGTGATGAGTTAATTGGCATTCTTTTGCTTTACGAGAGTCTGTGTCCCTCCTCAGCGTTATCCATGGAATGGTGTGTGTGTGTGTGTGTGTGTGCGCGTGCACGTGTGTGTGTGCATGTGTGTGTGTGCATGTACGTGCACATGTGGGCATGTACTGGCCAATTTAAGCCAAGGGCAGCAGTTTTCCTCCCTTGCCTGTGAATATCTTAATAATGGACATGGGGTCAGTGATACATGGAGGGAAGTTCTCTAGTGGGCTTTTAGCAAATTTTCCTTGTTCTTGTTCTTAAAAAGGGGCTCGAAAACAGATTTTCATTTCCCATTTTAAATTTTGCATATTATTATGATGCCTGGAGCTACAGTAGCCACCTTGTTCATTGAGAGGAAACATCTGAAGGCAAAAGCCGACAGGCTGAAGAGGCGAGAATCCCAAGGTGTGGAGCCAATCCTGAAAGCATCCTACCATCACAAGTGTTTTAAGTGAGATAATAATATTGTCTTTTATTTATACCATTCTCAGTTGGTTCTTGTGTTCCTTATATCAAAAATACCCTGACCGATATTTTGGTTAGAATTACATCAATTAAAACATAAGAATCGAAAGCCATGTGGTAAGTGATCAAGTATGATATCATCAAAATAACCACCACAATCACCGTCAAAGCATGGACCTCCTGTCTCCCAACCTAGTGCCTCAGACCTTATTGCTTCCTGGGTCTCAACAGAAAAATAAAGTCTGTGACACAATATTTTCCAAGGGGTGGGAAAACAGCCTAGAAACACAACCAAAGAATTCTTTTTAGAACTTTTAGTTCTTTTGGAAACTGAGGTTGTGGAGGAGATTTCGTTATTGGTGGCATTGGGATGTATCGTTTAGATAATGAGATATTTGTTGGGTAAAGTGAAACCTTGGGATAACAGGTGCCCTATACAAATAAGGGTACTATTAGCTAGATAATATTTAACGAACACTCCCTCCTTATCACAAGCAATTCAAGACAATAGAATAGAATATTACAGTCGATGGTGGGGGAAACATAGAATCCTTACATTATTCCTACCAAATGATAAATACGGAAAGATGCAGAGCCCCTTGTCATCCTGCTTCCTGCCTTCATTCAGGTTATTCAGAAAGATGAGTGCAGCTTGAAGAAAGATAAGGCCAATGTAAGACAATCTGTACTGTGTTCATACTCCTAGAGCCCAATAAAGCAAATCAAATCAAATATATGTGATGAAGACCTAGATGAAATGAGAAGCTATTTTCATGCCATTGAATGAGGGTAAGATGATAAAAGATAATAATAGCATTGAGGAGAAGAAAGTGAAGCAGAAGGAGAAAGAACAGAGATGTTTCTTTGCTGTTTTCCTCTTTATTAATGTCTCTCACATGTCATTTTCTTGTAACATTCGATGCCCAAACAAATCAGCAAGGTAGCCTCCACTATCCATATTTAACAGATGAGGAAATTGACACTCAATGAAGTTCATTGACTTATCTGAGACCACAGCCAGATCTCTGAGTCCAAACAGCATATTGCTTTTTGCTCAACAACTTTGCTTTTCATTTTATTCTCTCTGGGATGAGAATCCTGAGTGACCTGCATTAGTCTTTTCTCACACTGCCAATAAAGACATACCTGAGACTGGGTGATTTATAATGAAAAAGAGGTTTAATGGACTCACAGTTCCACGTGACTGGGAGGCCTCACAAGCATGCTGGAAGGCAAAAGGCCCATCTTACATGGCAGCAGGCAAGAGAGAATGAGAACCAAGCAAAAAGGTTTTCCCCTATAAAACCATCAGATCTTGTGAGACTTTTTCACTACCACTAAAACAGTATGGGGGAAACTGCCCCTATGATTCAGTTATCTCCCACCAGTTTCCTTCCACAACACGTGGGAATTATGGGAGTTACAATTCAAGATGAGATGTGGGCGGAGACACAGCCAAACCACATCATGGCCTGATCTTCGGACTCAGAAATGACAGTCATCTTACCCTCCGAGGAGCTGGCTGCAACTCAGGAAGGTGCATCCATGAAGAGGCATGTTGGGTGAAGTAAGAAAACACCTTGCTTGGAAGGGAAGATCCCTGACTCAGGATTCTGATTTAACACTGTCTACACTTTGTAATCTGAGTGAAGTGACTAAACCTCTCTCAGCTTGTGTTTCTTTGAGTTTAAAAAGCAAAGAGCCTTCGTGACATTGTGTTTCTGATTATTTATTGTTTCTTCTGTTTTACCTCAGAAGACTGGTTGACCCTTGTTTAAAAACAAAACAAAAAGAAACTAACATAGGAAAGGGGCCTCCTGGCCCCTTGCTATTTATGCTTGTCCAATATAAGTGTTTTCCTAAAGTGCGTAAAGTACTTGTGAATGCCATTTTTTAGATATATGCTGTCAGTTCTAATTGCACAGAGCAGAACATTTTAGCCATGAGAGCTTCTCTGTGTCACAAACCTAGCATCCTGTAAAAGCAGGCCTACAAATGCTTTCACAAATCAACTCATTTCAGAATCAGGTCATTGGATGGTTGGATATATGGTTGGAACCACTTGGTTCCAAACTCTCCTGGCTCTATTCTTTTTTTGTGTGTGTGGAAAACAGATCTGCCAGGATTCTTCTGTATGCCTCAGACTAGAAACCCATCTAGACATCACACACATCTCTTAAGCTGATTTTAATTTCATTCTGTTGTGTGGTCCCAGCTTGCTGGATAGAAGTTCTTCCAGAACTATGTAGCCCAACACACTCTAGGTTAATGCAGAGCCTCCTCCCCACCCCGCTCCTGAAATGGTGCTTCTCCTGGGCTCTGGGCAGTAGCCATCCATTCACATGACAACCCACTTTTGTTTTGCAGGCACATAGGTTTTTCATTTATTCTGTAGAACAATCATGCATGTCAGACAAGGATTGACAGCTCCATTTTATGGGTAGAGAAACTGACTCAGAGAGCTTAGATAACCTGCCAAAGCTGATGGTGATACTCAGAGGTTAACCTAATCAGAAAGTAATTAACCTCCTTCTACTCTAATACATCTCTACAAATAATCCCAATTCACTTTCATCCTTGATGAAAATCTGATTTCTATGAAGCTTTGACTAAAACTTCTTTAACTTTACTTCATTTCATGATCCATTCCATTTATATGCCTCGGTTTCCTCATCTAATAAAAAAGCAAAAAGTAATTAGGCTGAGTTACCTATGCTTGGTCTGTTGAAGTAGTTTGAATTTTTCTGAATCAGGATGAATGCAAATTGCCTCATTATTTCACTAATTAATAATGTCTGCTTGGAAATGCAACTATCAGTGCACAATAAATGATAAAGCTTATAATTATAGATGAGAGCAATTGCTTCTTTTTTTGTTCTTACCTTCATTTCAGTTTATCTTCCTGAGCTATAGCTACCTCTGTAAGGGTTAGGAAAACATTTAAAATATCTAAACAGTGATTCCTTTCTCAAGCGTTCGGAAATTGATGAATCATCTTACTCTGCAGCATTCAAAGTAACTGTGTGCTTGACACATAGGAGGAAAAGTGGGCTCTTTGAAATGTGAGCAGAGCACCGATCGTGTCACCTGCCCGGCGCGTGACCTGTTCACTTTCCACCTGACCCTCTGTGCCCAATGTCACCTGGAGCCTGAAACCTGGAAGGGAAAAGTCCTTGACTGGAGTCAGTGGAGAGAAAATCATCACCTGCTTGGGCACAAACATGCCTGGTGACTGCGTCACTGTCTGTTAAGTGGGATCAGCTAATAGTTGCACAGCGGGCCTTCAAAGCATCACGGCAGAACTGATGAAGTTCCTGTAATGCATTCCCTGTGTGAAGGCCTTGGACTTTAGAGCTCAAGTGCGCCAGGAGCATTTTGAGCTTGCCGACAGGCTCTCCCATGGATTCTATTTGGTTATACGGCAGTGGAAAAGAATTGACTTTCATTTTCGTCACTCTCTGCCTGAGTCTCTCGACTGCAGCCACACTTCTGTTTCCCGTATATTGCATAGGCTATTCCCTCTACCTGGGACACCCTCCCCTCTGGATTGCAGCAAGATTTGCTTCTATGTTTCACTCAGTTATCTACTTACAAATCACCTCCTTAGGGACCTTGCAGGCTGCTCTCTTTCTCCTTACCTGGCTTCATTTTCCTTCACAGCACCTGATACTATTACACATATTTACTTAGTTAGTAGTCCATGCTTTTTCTTCCCCACTGGACCATAAGTTCTCTGAAGGCAAGAGCCACATTTGTGTTTTTCCACTGATCTGTCCTCAGTGTCTACAATAGTACTCAACCCACAATATAACCTTGAGAAACATTTCTTAAAGAAGTGAATAAATGAACGAGTGAAGGAGTGATTTTTTTCTCATTTTACAAATGAAACAAGTCAAAAACAAAGAGGGGAAGTAAGCTAGTCCAGCTCTACAACCATTTAGTGGCACAGCTAGTATTAACATTTTGATTTCCTAACTCACAATCTAGGATTTTATTTTCGTTTTATTCCATACAACACTGTTCTCCAGAAATTTGGCAACTCAGACGGCACTTGACTTTTCACAAACACATTTCTTGCTGTCTTTAACCTGTTCATGTCAATGAGAATGACTATAACCTCATGAGAGACAAGTGTTTACTAGTTAAGTTCTTACTGAAGTGATTGGTCTTAGAACTCCCTTTCAAGGGCAAAGACGATTGAAAATTAGTTATACAATTACATTTTTAAAACATTTTTGAGTATAATGATTTTAAGCATTTGTTGTATAAAGGTGGATATGCATAAAGAACAGGTAAAAATAATAATCATTATAATCATATATAGAAGTCGTCTTGGTACATTTTAAACATATTTAACAATTGGAATCCTGCTGTATGCCGAGTTTTCTATCTCTGTTTATACACATTATATTTTAAACATTTTTCTAATGTCACTAAAACTAACATTGTTTTAGGGATAGTATTTCAATATATAAGTGTGTCACAATTTCACAGTTTTAGTTGATCATTTTCCTCTTATTTATCATTAAGATTGTTTCCACTTTTTATTTATTGGGTTTCTAGGTTTTAGTCCTTCATATTTCTGGGTTCAGTTATTCTATAAACATTTTCAAAACTATGCAGAAAATAAATTGTCCAAGTTTGTACTTAAAGTGCTACAAATAATCTAAAAAAAAAATCAGGGTTTCAAGCTCAAAGCTTCTCTTCAAATCAATAACTGTTGAAGATTTCACTTATTTGCATTTTTAGTCTTTGAGGTTTAGAGTGGAGGGTGGGGATCCGGGGGCAGTGGGACAGGAAACATTGACCAATTTGAGAACAAATAGAGGCTTGGAAAATTTGTTTACATTCTGTTCTATGTGTGATTCTGGCCTTTGTAACAAGGAGGATAAAAAGCCAGAACTCACTTTGGTGGCGCCTGCAGACCTCTGCACTGTAATGACACGAGTGCAAGCTGCACTGGGTGCAAGTCAGCATGACTCAGCCACCCTCCCCACGGGGTGAGAGGAAGCAGTGGTGGAAGGCCAGCACTTGTTCCTACCTCCGCATGTACAGTGGTGAAGAGAAGGCTCACAAAGGGTTTCTCAATCTGAGAAGGAACCCTGTATTCAGAGTGCAGCTTAACCCAATGGGATATTCCAGCTATAATTCTAATAAGGGTGATGGTCCCACTACATACCTAGCATATTTATGAATCTCAAATTGATGCCACCTCTTGTACCTTGCACAAGTAATAATCACTGCCATTGATCTGGCACCTCCTACGTGACAGCTTACTAACCTAGGCACTTTCAGCTGGTCAACTAATTTAATTCTCAAAACAAGTTTGCCAGGCAAGTATTATTGGCTGCATTTTCCAGATAAAGACATTGAAGTTTCTAATGAACTTCAGGTAAAGTTTATTCCAGATAAACTTCACTGAGGTTCATGCTGTCCAAAGTCACACAGCGCTGGGATTTAATACTGGTCTATTTGTCTTCAAAGCCTATGCATTACTGCACACCTATGAGGTTCTGCAGAGAAAAGGTTCCTCCTTCTGCTCAGTACCTGCAATTCTAGGGACAGTTGTCATGGAAAAAACTGTATTAGAATAATCTATTGATCAATAATCTCATTGACTAGCTATTTAATGAGCACTTACTTTGTGCCAGGCTCTCTACTAGTTTCCACTGACAGAGTTGAATAGAACACATTTCTGATCATAAAACGGGAGGAGGGCGAGATTCGAAGGGCAGGATTGTGAGATACATAAGCCTCCACTCTCAGGACATAGAATACTCTATTCACCACAGGGATTAGCTCGTCACAGAAACTCAATAATATTTGTGGAAGAAGACAAAGATCAAAGGATGGGTGATAAATTATAAGGCGCTTAAAACTTAGTCTAAATACTTGGAATCTATTCTCAGGTTTATTCTGTATTCACTGTGCAACTTTTGGAAGTTTTGTGTAGCCCCCTAAGCCTGCCTCCTTACTTTTAAAAGTGGAGATAAACATCTTTGTCTGATTTCACTCATTGGATCACTGTGGATCCAGGGGATCAGGGGATCAACTATGGGTATCAGAGCTACTAAAAAGGTAAACATCAGTTTCCAAGTATCAGGAACTATAATATTTGTTGGCCAAATCAACCAATCAATATTTATTGCATACCACATGCCAAGTATAGGACTAAGGACTTCACAAACGCTCTACATTTGTGCCTTCAACAACAACACTTGATTAATGAATGTCTCCATTTTATAGATGAGAAAACTGAGGTTCACACTGTTTAGATAGCATGCTGGAGATGACACAGCTGGTGAGGGGAGAAGCAGGAATCAGATTCTCATTGCCTGATGCTGATGTCCCAGCTCTTATAACTGTGCTTTCACCCCAGCAGCTGCATGTGACAGTCATCCTACTAGAAATATTTCTGCAGGAATTATATGCCTGTTCTTAATTTTCCCCTACTAACTTAGAATCAGTCACGGGATTCCTCAAAAGTTAAAAATAGAGCCACCATATGATCCAGCAACCCCACTACTGGGTGTACATTACAAAGGAAATGAAATCGGTATGTCCAAAGAGATGCCTGCACGTTCACGTTCACTGTAGCATTACAGTAGCCAAGATGTGAAATCAACCTAAGTGTCCATCAACGAATGAATAAATTTTAAAAATTGTGGTATATATACAAAATGGAATACTCTTCAGCCATAAACAAGAAGGAAATCCTGCTATTTGCAGCAACATGGATGGAACTGGAGGACATTTTGTTAAGTGAAATAAGCCAAGCATAGAAAGACAAACATTGCATAACGTCAGTTATATGTAGAATCTAAAGAAGTTAAATTCGTAGAAGTTGCATAGAATGGTGGTTACTGGGGACTGGGGAAGTGTGGGTGGGGGAAAGTTAGAAAGATGTTGGTCAAAGGACACAAATTTTCAGTTAGGAGGTATACATTCAAAAGGCCATTGTACAATATGATGACTATTGTTAGTAACAACATATGTATCTTTAAAAAATACGAACAGAGTAGAGTTTAAGCATTCTCACCACTAAAAATAAAAACTAAGTAATGTCAATTAGCTCAACTTACTTATTCCAAAATGTAGATATATTTAAAATATTATGCTGTGCATAATAAATATATACAATTTTGTCATTTAAACAAAAAGTAATAATTTTTATTTTCCTAAAATAAAAAACAATCAGCTACAGGAAGTCAATTCACTTTCTGAAAATTCCAAGCTGCACTGCTTTCAGAACCCGGAAGTCTTTTTTTTTTTTTTTTGAGACGGAGTCTCGCTCTGTCGCCCAGGCTGGAGTGCAGTGGCGGGATCTCGGCTCACTGCAAGCTCCGCCTCCCGGGTTCACGCCATTCTCCTGCCTCAGCCTCCCAAGTAGCTGGGACTACAGGCGCCCGCCACTACGCCCGGCTAATTTTTTGTATTTTTAGTAGAGACGGGGTTTCGCCGTTTTAGCCGGGATGGTCTCGATCTCCTGACCTCGTGATCCGCCCGCCTCGGCCTCCCAAAGTGCTGGGATTACAGGCGTGAGCCACCGCGCCCGGCCAGAACCCGGAAGTCTTGTGTTACCCTTAGGTCTTCAGCTTCTGACTCCTTTTATTTCTGAATCCAAGACCATCTTGTTCCAACACTGTCCATACCCCTTCATATGTGCTGGGGGGTGAGAGGAGAAGGGTCCATGCCTACCAAGTATGAAATGAAAATAAGACCCTCCACCCAGACCCTCAGATGCTCTGAGCAAATCCTGAGATTTGCTATAGAAGCAGCTTCCTGTTGATGCTTCATGCCAAACACCTTTTTGACCCACATCCTTTCATCTTTTTTTTTTTTTTTTTTTTTTTGAGATGGACTTTCCCTCTGTCTCCAGGCTTGAGTGCAGTGGCGCGATCTTGGCTCACTGCAAGCTCTGCCTCCTGGGTTCAAGAGATTCCCCTGCCTCAGCCTCCGGAGTAGCTGGAACTATAGGCACGCACCACCATGCCCGGCTAATTTTTTGTATTTTAGTAGAGATGCGGTTTCACCTTGTTGGCCAGGATGGTCTCTATCTCCTGACCCCGTGATCCGCCCACCTCGGCCTCCCAAAGTGCTGGGATTACAAGCGTGAGCCACCGCGCCCAGCCAGCCTTTCATCTTTGACCTTTGAAATTCCCTCTTGACTGATTCCACTACTCCCGTGTCCGTGTTACAGCTCTTCCTTTATGGTGCTACCTGAGTGGCCTTTGTTGAATACAACTGAGCTTTGTCTTCCCTGCGGCCTCTTTAGTACAAGAGAGAGGCATGGTGTTCACTAATTTCATCTCCATCTCCAGCTCTCAAACCCACCCTTGCCCCCAGCAAATCCTTACATGCCCTATTCATAGAAGGCTTTTGAAGCCTGTTGCTGGTCTTTGAATTCTCCATGGTCTTTTCTGGATCTCTTTGTGCTTCTTGATATCTAGACCTGGACTCAATTTCTGTTTTCCATTTTGCTTGGTAAACTGCTAGTCCTTCAAGAGCAAGCTCAGATATTGTTGTGTTTGGGTCATTCCAGGGAGCACCACCTCGCTTCCTCCTCTGTGCTGTTGTGGTTGTTGGAATCTAAGTCAGTTGTGACACATCTTATTTTTCTGTCACCATTTGTATTTGTGCTTATTTCTTCTGCTGGGTCATGTACTCTGTAAGAACAGAGATGGTGTCACACTCATGTTTACATGCTGTACCTAGCATGGTGCCTGGTACATAGTAGGTACTCCGTAAATGCCTGCCAACTTGAATTGAATCAAGAGCCACAGAGATAAAGAGTAGCTGGCAATGACTGTGTAAAACCTAAGAAAGATTCTGAATTGTCTCCAGCAATTATTAAAGAGTAAAAAGTGATTTTAAAAAAGATCTTATGTTGGGTTTTAAAAGATAAATTTGGAAGGTATTAGAACACTCAAAGCAATGACCACTTTTTGTGCAAGTGAAAAATTTTTAGTTTTAGTCTTTCCCAGGACTTTGTGAGAAACCAGATTCTAATTATGTATTTAATCAACCTCTATTCCCAATGGTTTCTTATGATGACTTTCTGTTTAAAGGGTTTACAACACTGGATTGTCCAGAAGCCATAACTGAAGCTGGCTTAGTTAAATTGATTTCCTGATTCCCTAGGTTTACCATTAGAATTGTATTTCTTCATCAGGCTTCCTTCTCTCACCTCTTCAGCTCTGCCACCTCCAGGCCTTACCATCTTCTTGGTTTCTGGTGATGCCATCTACAAGAGAGGAAAGGGAAAGTGAAGAGGGAATGGGAAAGGAAGGAAAAGAGGAAGAGTTGTGATACTTCGGAATTACTTTTTGAAAATCACAACAAACCCATTTCTATTGTTGGTATCAGTTGTATTTCAATTGCCTTGGTACTTACTGCTGAATTGCCTTTGAAAAGACTTTTTAGCAATCTACACTTTGAAGATTAATAAGAATGGCTATGTGACTACACTCTTGCCAACACTAGATAGTCCCATTTTATTTAAAAAAACTAAAAATTGTATTTAAAGTCGTATTTATTTGATTACTCAGGTTATTTTGCCATATATTTCTTAACCAATTGTTTTTCCAATTTTATGAATGTCCATTCAAAGAATTAGATAGGTTTTTAGTACTATATTTAGACCATTGTCTTTGGGGATTTAAAACTACAGAATTTCTCAAAATGTACCAGAGTTTCACTGTAATACAATTGAGTAAAATTATTACTTTCAGCTTTAAAATAGAGTGAGTTTCTTTAATAAATATTTGCCCTTTCAGAATAGAAATAGTCATTTTTCTCATATGTTAGGTACATAAACATAATGAAACATGGTTCCTCAACTCCAGGAGCTCACAATTTCATAGGAAGAAACATCAGAAAAATCAATTACAGCATATTATGATAGGTGCTTGGATAGAGTGAACACATTGTGCTGTGGAGCCTAGAGAAAGTTCATCTTAGTAAAATATGTAGCAATAAGAAAGGATAAGGCTCAAAATAAGTGCTATAGCCTGAAGGTTTGGGTCCCCACCAAAATGCATATGTCGAAAGTTAATCCCCAGCATAAGAGTTTTGGGATGTGGGACTTTTGGGAAGTGATTAGTTAGTGTGGGACTTTAGGGAAATACCCTCATAAAAGAGATTAATGCTCTGGAAAGGAGACCCCCAAGAGATCCCTCACCCCTTCCACCATGTGAAGGAACAGGAAAACGATGGCCATCTATGAAAGAGGAAATGGGGCCCTCACCAGACAGTGAATCTGCTGGCACCTTGATCTTGGACCTCCCAGCCTCCGGAACTATAAGAATAAATTTCTGTTTATAAGCTACCCAATCTGTAATATTTTGTTACAGCAGCCGAAATAGACTAAGATAATAAAGCAGTACTATGGTAATTTGGAGTGAAGGGAGAAAGCAAGAAAATTGTGAGGTAGGATTTAGGACTTGGGAGTGAAGATTGAACATGTGTGTTGACTTCCAGTTATAGGAACTCTTCTTTCTCCCTAATTTATCTTGTCTATTTCTTCCCAGTGGATGTGGCAGGTAAGAATTGTTGTTGGGACTTCATTCCTTTCTGTTCTCATCTCTGTTGAAATAGGAGATTTGAGGGTCATAGAAACACATGAAAGACAATCCATAAGATGTGATTGTTATTAGCAAAATATTTTTAAAAAGAGTTTGAGTGTCAGTCAGGAGGACCAGAGACAAATTGAAATTTCTGTCTTGGGCCTTGGATTTAAGAAGCCTCAAAATGAAATGGGAGTAAGTGAAAAGGGCATTCTGAGTGAATCTGGACTCTTAAGGAGAAAAGTAAAGGAAGGTAGAACTGGGGAAATCCATTGAAAGATGACAGCACTGAGTAAGGGAAATGATTAAAATGTTTCCATTATTCCCTGGAATTTGATCATTTTTCTCTTCAGTTACCAGCAGACAGAGTCTTGCTCTAT
This sequence comes from Homo sapiens, assembly GCF_000001405.40. Lineage (NCBI taxonomy): Eukaryota > Metazoa > Chordata > Mammalia > Primates > Hominidae > Homo > Homo sapiens. Next base: position 128,562,828 of record NC_000008.11, read on the forward strand.
CACCAGGCTGGAGTGCAGTGGCACGATCTCGGCCCACTGCAACCTCCACCTCTGGGGCTCAAGAAATTCTTGTGCCTCAGCCTCCCAAGTAGCTCAGCATCTGAGTAGGGATTATAGGCTAAACACCACGCCCAGCTAATTTTTGTATTTTTAGTGGAGATGGGATTTCACCATGTTGGCCAGGATGGTCTCGATCTCTTGACCTTGTGCTATGTTCACCTCGGCCTCCCAAACTGTTGGGATTACAATGTCTTTCTGTATGTCCCTCCAGCTATTCTTTTGACTAGATTACACACATACTTAAACAAAAAATTAATTAATTTCAATTGCAATGATTGCTACAAAGTAGAAATGTAAGGTGACTTGAACTTCCTAATCTAATCATGGAAATCAAGGAAGGCTTCCCAGGAGAAGTGAAACCTGAAAGACAGATAACTATGAGTTATATACAGCAGAGTTCCTCAGCCTTGGCACTGACACTTGGGACTGGATAATTCTTTATTGTGGGGATTAGTTCTGTGCACTGCAGTACGTTTAAAGAGCAGCATCCCTGGCTTTTACTTACTGGATACCAGTGGCACTTTTGCCCAATTGTGGCAAACAAAAATGCCTCCAGACATTTTCAAATGTCCCCTGAGGAGAACAGCTAATCTAGAGGGATGGGGCGAAGTGCAGCATTCTCAGCAGAGGAAACCACATGTGCAACTCTAAGGCAGGGAACGTGAATCTGAAGAACTGAACAAGGCTACAGTGTCTAGATCATGAAGCCTCAGTGGGCTAGTGGTACTAGGTGACATAAATAAGGTAGGGTTAGATAGATCATGCACAACCTCATGCATGTGAAGATTTGGGAAGAATGAGATGAGTAATGTATACAGCATCCTTGAATTGTGAAAGATCCATACTTAACAACGTACCTATTTGGATTGTTCCCCCTCTAAAATCCATTTACCTGGTCATTGTGATGGACTCAAGCTGTCTGCAAACCTTGAACATAATTTGCATTTTGGGTCACACAGTCCCTATAGAATTTGTAGGTTTTGCTGGCTTTTAATTTTATTGCCTATGACATTTAACTTTCAAGCTCCACTAAAGAGCTTAAAAAACAAAACAAAAAACTTCTATTTACAATCTGTTAACCTTTTCAGCTATAATCTTTTTTTTTTTTTTAACCTTTCCTTCCACACGCCCCACAACACATATTGAATCTGATGCAATGACTTACCCGTTACTCCTTCTTGGAGTCTTTGTGTCATCACAAAGCCTCTCAAGCCAATGTCTTACTCCTTAGCTGGCTTCCTTTTCCATAAGTTTGCTGCTCATTTCCCCACAGACACAGATGGACATTTCAAAGATTTTACTGTGATTTGTTTTCTAGAATTAATCTCATCATGAACTTACTGTGCTCTGTGATGGCCAATGTAGTAGCATCGTGGAAAAATGGCCCTGTGTAGAAAGGATAATTCTTCTTCGTGGTTGCAGTGGATCTGTCTTCGAGAGATCGTGCCAATTAAATTAACACGTTTATAGCTCTTCATCTTTTAAATTCCACATCATTCTGCTTTTCATGCCTTCACTTTATCTCAACTCTTGACTCTACTTAGTCTTTCCAGGAAAATCTTCTAAAACTCAAGTCTAAATTTCATTAGGGTGAAGTTTCTCTCTTATTCTTCTCTGTGCCTATAGATCTGGGATTGCTTCCTGTTAACTAAATTTGTTACGGTGGAGTCTACCTTCTTCTGTTTACCTGGGCCATAACTGTTTTGCCACAGTTGAAGTAAGCTGAGCTTTTAAATAGTGTTCTGATAGGGCTGATGGGGATCAGATTTTGGAGTAATGTTAGGGCATGTACAATAGGCAGTAGAAAACTGAAATAAACACAGTGACTCCTGCACTGGCCATGTGACAGGAAGTGGTATACCTCATCGCTACTTACCTGCCATTGGCCACAACAAGTTGCATGGTCTATCCTAACTTAGAGGGTGCAGGGAATTGCAATGCTACATTTTACCCAGATATTGGTGAGTGAAAACATCAGCTATAGTTTTAGTACCTACCATGATTAGCAGAAGCAGAGAATCCCCGCCCTTATGGCTCACATTGTCCATTGGGACAGCCATGGATCAAAGTACAGAGTGATGATCATGAGGAATGTTTTCAAAACAGGAGTGTATGGTGCCCATGAGCACATAAAATAAGCAGACTTGACCATTGAAAACTGAAAGGTAATATGGATTAACTAACTGAGGATGGAAATAAGAATTAACTAAGTGAGGATGAATGCAACCCGGGCAGCAGAAATAGCATGTGCAAAGGCCCTGGGGTTGGAGAGAATCTGGCATATTCTAGTAGGGGAAAGGCTGCTATGACTGGAGGGTGGAAAGTGAAAGGAAGGCTTATGGAAGATAATGCCAGAAATGTAAGCTATGACTTTATTATAAACCCTTAAAATGTCTGAGGCTTGAGAGTGGTGGTTTTGTTTTGTGAAGTCAAAGAGAAAAATTTCAACCAAATGGAAAGGATGGAAGGAATGTATTGAGCACTGAATCAAGGGGTCAGATGTTAGCTGGAGAGATAAGGTAAGATAAGCCCAGGAAGATCACAGCAATGACCCTTTGTGCAAATGCTTCCTTTAAACCAGAGCTGTGACTGAAAGGAAACATACCATTTAGATGGTAAAGAGGCAACATTGTTGGGTGCTTACCAGAGAAGTCTTAGTTTTTTTCACCCACAGTGATGAAGAAGGGAAGTAGCATCACCTAAGGTGTTTTGTGCATATCTCCTGAATGTCCCACTTAATCCCGCAAGAGGTTTAAAGTTCAGAAAAATTATTACACAAGTTACAAGGGTAGATCATGGTGAAGCTGAGATTCTAGTATGTTTTGCAGTGGGCAGGCATATGCACATCTTCTTCCCAAGGCCCAGGGGGCTGAGAGGTTGAAGAAAGAGGCTGACATATCCAGTTTCCTTGAAAGAAACATTTAATAAAGACCTACAAACAAAAAGCCGAGGGATAAGATGTTGGATCCCCATCCAGTTACCCCCAGACCCAGGGCTTATATACCATAGAGAATTTGCTTAAGGGCAGAGTTTATGATAAGTACGCATTTACAATAACATCAAAGTTGTTTCGACTTAAGGGCTGGATTTACAGTAAGTATGTGAAAGTAGAAATCTTAGAGGCATTCCCAGAACTGGAGTTGATCAGAAGTCAACATGGTGGATTAGCATCCAAGATGAAGTTGCTTTAGCCTCCACACAATATAAAACTCTTAAATGGGTACCATATTGCACCTTGGAAAAAAGGAGGGTTGTTGGTGTAGATGATCTTCAAGGTCTAGCTATGCCTTTTTGAAAGCTTCATACTTTTCAGAGAAGGATCTGGGCCCCCAAACTGCATGATTTCTTCTCTTCATTTGTGTACTTCACTAAAGCTCTGTCACCCTTCTTTATGCTGAATTTTCACCAATGAAATTTGAAGATAATTTTTCTGAACAGGACTTTTAAAATCCACAGTGTAGCATACATCATCAAAATCAAGAATTTGGCCTACTGTGTGTGTGCATGTGTGTGTTGATGGTTTTATTCCTCTTGTCTTTGATCTCAAAAAGCTTAAGCTTTACTGATAACACAGTTGGTTAACATATATTTAGTATGTTACATGTATTATATACTATAGTTTCCAAAGCACATTACCTAAATTGCTAACCTATCTTGTAATTTGCTTACTACCATTCAGATTTTAGAAGCTGGCTCATTGACTGTGCCCACCCAATCAGCAAAAGGCTAGAATATAGCTGCTTCTCCAGTAAATAAATGGGAAAAGGAAGATTTGTGTTTATCTTTGCAAGTCTCCACTGTAAATCATAATGTCAAGGCGATTTCATGTGTCTAAGCAAAAAGATGACAACATGGCATTTTGAGCAATTTTCTTCTTTCTTCTGAGCATGCATATGGAGTTTAATTCACTAATGTATTTGTCAGAGAATGATTAAAAGCATTGATTAGTTTCCCAGAGAAGATTTTAAGTTTTCATTATAGATTTTTATTAACTTATTCTGTATTAGATATGGGCTAAAAGACCTTTCATGTAATGTCTTTAGAAACACTGGAGTTTACCAATTTATTTTAGCAGCCATTCTATGTGATAAAACTGGTACATACATTTATTTGTACAGTGTAATAGTTAAACCACAGGCTTCAGAGTCAAGTTGCCTTGGTTTAGTTCTTGACTGTGCCATTTAACGATTATTTTAAAATTAATCAAATTATCCAAACTTTCTGAGCCTCAGTTTTCTCATTTGTAAAATGGAGGTAATAATAATACATATTTCATAGTGTTTTTGCAATGCTTGCATGAAGTAATACACAGGTAGTTTTGCTAATAAGGCTAGATATTGTTGTTATGTGTAACACACACAAACTCGCACACACACACTCAAATAAACAAGCATGAAGGAGTATGTACCAGGAGGCTACTTATGAAGTCATTGCTCTATCCAGGACGCATGCAGGAAACCGGGTGTCAACCAAGGAAAACCTCGGTGTTTCAGTAACTGAAGGTTTAATGAAGATACTTTGTGTTGGGCTATGGTATCACTAGATACATAAGTCATAATGCCTGCCCTCAAAAGTTGGGATTCTAGCAGGAAAGACAGATCACAGAACTCCTGCAACAAGGAGTAGGAGGAGGAGAAAGAGGAGGAAAGGAGGGAGATGGGAAGAAATAAGGTGCGGGAGAAGGAGGAATAAGACAATGAGGAGGAGAGAATAAGACGATGGCAGGGAGGACAAGAATCAACCTGTGGAGTTTGTTTTGTCTTAGAAGAAAACCTATTTTCTACTTATGTGAAAAGTCATGGATCCAAATTAAAAAGTTGACACAAGTTGAGTTTAAAAAACTATGATTTTAAAATGATTTAAATAAACTGGGGATATGTCCAACAATGGAATATTACTCAGCAGTAAAAAGAAATGAGTTCTCAACCTATGAAAAAACAGTAAGAAAAATGTGTAAATTACTAAGTGAAAGAAGCCAATCTAAAAAGGCTGCATGCTGTATGATTCAAGCTACAACTGGCCTTTGAACAACACAGGGGTTAGGTTGCTGACCCCTGCACAGTTGAAAATCTGAGTATAACTTCTGACTGCCCAAAAAGCTTAACTGCTAATAGCCTACTGTTGACCAGAAGCTTTACTGATAACACAGTTGGTTAACACATATTTTGTATGTTACATGTATTATATACTATATTCTTATGATGAAGCACACTAGAGAAAAAAACAATGCTATTAAGAAGATTATAAGGAAGAGAAAATACCTTAATGGTGTCATACTGTATATGTCAATACTGTAGGTGTATCACATCTGTTTATAAGATGAATCTTCTATCTGAAATGGGAAATCTGAGCAGTAGAACCTCAATCTATGATCCATATCAAACAATCTGACTTTTACTTGTAACATCATAACTTTGTTTCTTGGGAACACTTCCAGTAACATTAGTGGCACTTTGTATGGATCCCATGGTATTACTCAAAATTTATGATATTTCACTAATCATGATGAAAAATCCCTGAGAGCCATGAGAGATTACTTTTTCACTTTGATCCACAATTTTCTGGAGAGAACTGCTCATAAGGAGAAGATTAGTGTCACATGGTGTTTTAAACAAATACCTGCAACACAAGCTCACCACAATAGCAACAGAAGGTAGCTGTGAAATTATTACAGTAGTATAGTAGGTACTACTGTTAATATTATGCAGTTATGATTTAATACTGCATCTTTATATTTGTTTACATTTCTCTCAACTGCAAGCAGCGCCATGTTTGTCTGTGAGTGTTGGTGTGCATAAATTTTGCAAAATTTTAAATTTTTATAATCAAATTTGATAAATTTCCTTGTGATGGAACCAGGAAAGTGTAACACCCTTCCCTACCTTCTCAAAATTTTTGGAAATATTGACAAGGCCCTGGAATTTACTCCAGAACATTATATCTCAATTCTATGTTAATGGAAAGGCTTGGTATTTTGGAGTTGGCCAGGTTTAACAAACCGTTAGAACACAGCTTCACATATGTCATAACAGCTACATGTCTAGGGAGCTGGGCAGCCACAAATGAAGAAAGGTTAGTCAGATCAGACAATTAGAGAAGACATTCTTAGAGACAATGGATTTGAATAAGTCTTTGTTTGTTTTTAATTTGTTGTTTCAGCTCCATTTATTGTAAAGACTGTTCTTTTGCCCAATGCTCTCTGATAGCATTTCTGCAATACATCAGGGGTGCACATACATGCATAAATTGAATCTGTTTATAGTTTCTCCTTCATCTTCTGCTAGTTTATTTTGACCTATCCAAAAACTGCACTATCCTAGTTAGTATATTCTATAAGCCTGGAGGGTATCTTTCTAATTTTTATCCAACAGTAACTTTGCTATTATTTTCCAATTGTATCAGAAACTAATACACATTTTCACTTATTTTTTTTTCACTTATTTTCTTTTGAAACAGCGTCTTGCTTTGTTGGCCAGGCAGGAGTCTGGTGGTGTGATCATGGCTACTGCAGCCTCAACCTCCTGGGCTCAAGCGATCCTCATGCCTCAGCCTCCCAAGTAGCTGGGACCACCGGTGTGTGCCACAATGCCTGGCTAATTTTTAATTATTTTTTTTGTAGAGATAGGATCTTCATATGTTTCGCAGCCTGGTCTTTCTTAGGCTTAAGTGATCCTCCTGCCTCAGCCTTGCAAAGTGCTGGGATTACAGACATGAGCCACCATACCCAGCTACATTGGTTTTAAACATCATCCAACCAATTATTGCCAACCACCTACTATGTAGCAGGTACTTGGCTGCATCATGCAGTAAAGAGACAAAACTTCCCATCCTTGTGGAGCTTACAAATTAATGTGTGTGGGGAAGAATAGGCACAAACAGTAATAAGAAATAAATTATATTATAAATAATACCAGAAAGTAAAAGGGCTATACAAATTATAGACAAGGCTATGTGGGATTGAGATGGTGTGGTAGAGGGGTTTGAATTCTAAATAGGTTGATTATAGGAGGCTTCTAATCAGCCTGTCAAATTCTTGAAAACATTGCTGATATTCTAGTGGAGAAGACCGATGTATCTATATTAGAATAAAATATATTTGAACATTATATCTAATCTAAAAACTTGGCTCATTTGTCACTCTACTAGGCTTTGCTTTTATATCTATAAACTAAGTATTCAAGTTTTCTCTATGAAGGTCTTACTTGTATTTAATTTCTGCATACTTTTTAATGAAATTGTAATTTTTAAAATTTGTTTTCTATTTATTGCTATGTGGGTAGATATTTAATTTTTAATTATCTGTCTTGTTAAATTCTTATTAATGATAATAATAAATGTGTAAATTGAAATAAAAATATATATGAAAATCATATGTGCTGTCATAATTTTAAAAATTCAATTCCAATATCATTCATTCATTCATTCACTAATTCATGGTTTACTATGCTACCCAGGACCAAACGTCAGTGGCAAGAGCACACAACCTGGTCTTATTCCTAAAACCTAATATTATTATAGGCCAGGGAAGGTGGCTCATGTCTGTAACCCAGCACTTTTGGAGGCCAAGGCTGGAGGATCACTTGAGCCCAGGAGTTCAAGACCAGCCTGGGAAATATAGTGAGATCCCATCTCTACAAAAAATATAAAAATTATACATATATAAATATTATATAAAAATAATATTACATAAAGAGAGAGATATGTATGTTATATGAAAAGATATACTTACATACCATACACATATATGTATACAGCCACATGTATATGTGTGTGTGTGTGTGTGTGCACATATATAGAAAGATTTTGAGGAATTGGCACACGTGATTGTTAGGCTTGGAAAGCTCAATATCTGCAGGGCAGACCAACATAGCTGGATCTTATTTTTTTAATCCAACTTGCAACTCTGTGTACTTTAAGTGGAATATTTAGACAATTTACATCCTAGGATAATATTTATATGTGTGGCTTGGATGAATCCTAAAGGATGAGTGGAAACTTTCTATGCAGAGAGATTTAGTGGGGTTAGGAGGGTATCACTGGTGAAGGAAACAGCATAAGTAAAGGCATCATGGCATGAAATAGCTTGGTCTGATAGAAACTGTAATAAAGCAGACAAAATGAACATGACTAAATTTATTGTTGTAAGCTGTACTACACAACCAGGGGAGAATCCAAAGAGGCCCATTCACATTCTAATTACCTGTTATTTTCTAGAAAATCCAGACAACTTAATCCTCTGCTTTCCTAAACCTTAGGAAGTGGTAGCTGGGTAAGAGAAGGTGGCATTAGAGACAGGTGCTATCCAAGGAAGTGAAAAATATGTAATTACTTCAATAGGTTTGGGGACTGAGAAAGAAGCAGCTAAGATCTTGCTATGGTTTTAATGTTTATGTGCCCTCCAAAATTCATATTGGAACTTAACTTCCTATGCAACAGTAGCAAGAGGTGGGTCCATTAGAAGGTGATTGGGCATTGAGGGCTCCAACTTCATGGATAGTCTTATTAAAAGTGTTGAATGGAACTAGCTAGGCCTCTTTTTGCTCCACCACCTTCTGCCAGGTGAGGACAGAGTATTCTAGGTGCCATCTTAGAGTAGAGATTTGTCCTTTACCAGACACTAAACTTGTCAGCATCTTGATTTTGGACTTCCCAGTCTCCAGTAATGTGAGAAACAAATTTCTGCTATGAATAAATTACCCAGTTTGTAGTATTTTGTTATAGCAGCACAAACGGATTAAGACACAAATCTCTTCAGTTTTTGATTTGTTAGTGGGCGAACAGCACTGCTGTAAATGGAACGTTGCATTGGGAAAAAGTCCTGGCTTGGAAGTCCCTGTAAGATAACCAGGGAGAGATACTCAACAGGCATTTGAGCATCTGAAGCTCAGGGAAAGGTCTGAGAAAGTTATATAGATTTGGGAAATTAATGACTGGTAATAGTCATTGGGACAATGACAGTGAAGAAATTTGCCTAAGATTCTACAATTATCCAATGACAAGGGATGTCAACTGGGCTCAGAATCTTAGAGAATACCTACGTCAGGCAGTTGAGAAAACTCATGAGAACAATAAGATGACCTCTCTGCATTGAGTCCTATTCCTCTGATACCGTGCCACGTTTGTACATGCCTCTTCAATGTTGGTGGCCTGAAGTAAATAGACATTTTAGGTCCAGAATAGAATTGAACTTTCACCTATCTTATTTTAGCATCTATAATTCTACTAATACAGCTTGTGTCTATGCGTGTCAGCCATATTCACTGTTGACTCATTTTGAATTTATAGTCAAACTAAAACTCCTGAGTTATGTTCTTATTAACTGTTATAAAGCTAAGTTTCTGTAACTTATGCTATTTCAGTATGTTTTTGACCTTAAATATAAGCCTTGTCTGCATTAAATGTTTTATCTTTTGTTTCTTGTTTATCTAAATTATCAAGAAAACAATGATTTTATGTTTTATTCCTTCAATATAAAAAGTAATCTTCACGATATGCTTATTTCACATTGCATTCCTGTATAAAAACATCTCCTGTACTCCATAAATATATACACCTACTATGTACCCACAAAAATTTTTAAAAAACAATATAAGAAGTGATGTTAATGATTAATACAAATATCATTCAAAACATTTTAGCTAAAAACTGTGATTTAAAGGGTCAAGCTTCAATTATCTGGGTAATAAAAACTTTTGTCATTCTTTAACTTATTCTATAAATATCTTCTAAATGTCTGCTATTTGCCAGGCACTATACTGGGGGCTGGGTATTTAGGAATATAGATGTTCTAATATCTTTCCCCATGGGGTATGCTCTCAAGTGGGAAGACAAACTGTAAGCATATAAACATAAACATATAATTAGTATCATTTAAATTCCATAAAGGGAAATTACATCCCATGAGAAAAAGTATCAGGGGGTCTACTTTAGACAGGTAAGTCAAGGTAGGCTTACTCGAAATGCAGAAGTGACATTAACCTAAACCTGGAAGTATGAGTCGGTCTTAGCTAAGTGGAGGTGCAGTGGATGGGAGAAGGCAACAAGAGAGTTTGGAACAAGTGCAATATCCTGAGGCAGGAGAGTGCTTGTGCCTGAAGACCCAAAAGAAGAATAAAGTGATTGGATGTCAGCAAGGGGGTAACCTTAGACATGACTGGTAAGAAAGGGAGAAGCCAGGCCTTCATAGCCTGGTACATTATGTTACAGATTTTCTTTTTCCTTTCTCTCTTTTTCTTTTTTTTTTTTTTTTTTATTTTTTGATTCTGAAAAATGCAATGGCATGCTATTGTAGGGTTTTCAGAAAAAAATACATTTTTGTTTGAGAAAGATGACTCTGGGAGATCAATTAGAAAATTATTGCCATGATTCAGGTGAGTGACGCTGATGGCTTTCAATAGAATGATGGCACTACAGGTAGGAATATTCTTGGTGGGTTTTGAAAGGGTGTGTTGTGGAAGGTATAAATAATGAAGGCCAGGTTTTTGGTCTGTTGATCTGGGTAAATGGAGGTAACATTTACTGGAGTAAGAAAAACAAATGTAGCAACAGATTTAAAAGTCAAGTCAAGGTTTCTAGTATGGGCACGCTTAGTTCAAAAATCAGATAGTTATATTAACAATTTTGAATTTAAGAAATCACATTAAGGGCTAGAAATATAAATTTTAGAGGTTTTGGCATAGAGAAGAACTTTAAAGTCAGTGGATAAGGTTGTGCAGGAAAGGATCTAGATCAAAGACTGGCTTGAGATAGACTGTAGGAACTTCAACATTTGGAAACTGTGTAGAGAACTCAGTTGGCCAAAGCAACTGAGAAGAAAAAAATTGAAAGAGAGAAAGAACATCTGCAGTATGGTTTAACTGAATACAAAAGAAATGGGTTTCAAGAAGAATGTGATTAAATACTCTAAAAAGTCATCATGAATACAGCTGCATTATGTGCTTCTGTTATAGGTAGGAGATTCTTCTGGGTAGACAAGACTTTATTACTTTTGCCACCCTAGACCTTGCCTAGTGTTTTCACATAACACATTAATAACAAATTTTTGCTAAATCAATTAATGATTAAGATATCAAAAATATGTTTCTTGTCACAATTTGCAAAATATTTTTAAATGAACAATGTCATAATCACACAGCGAGGTCATTACTATCAGCCCCATTTTCCAAATGAGAAACTAGCCTCCTGGAGAAGTTACGTTTCTTGCCAAAAAATCAAATATATAGTGTTACGATAAGGCCAGAGTAAGTCTGGTGTTCTATATGGACATCTCTACTCACTGACAATGATGGATAAATGAGGTCACATAACTGTATGTACTGACTTATACTAAGATATAATATATTACATATGTCAAGATAAATATCTTGGAATTTTTTATATGGTTATGTGTGTTGATATATCCCCAAACTCGAAATATGATAGCGACAAAAGCTGAATTGGCAGTCAGCTCACAAAGATGGTAGACACCTTTTCTATAATAGAGTGGGAGGTGATCCTAAGTGGTACACCCTAGGTGGTGAGGTAATTGATGGAAAGGAAGGGGTTGAGAGTGTGAACCAACAGCTGCAAAGAGTTGACAGTGAATGGAGTTGTAGTCTAACAGCCATAATGACAAAAGAACTATACATTGCTCATGCAGACATTATATAGAACACAGACTTAATATGCCCTTGATGTGGAAGGAACTTCTGTTGCAAATCAAGAATTCTAGCCACATTTACACATGGGAAACGAGAGCAGCTGCAGTGACATCTTCAGAGAGTGAGTACAATAACCTAAAGTGAGGGAATTAGTCATTCTTCACCTTCTTTGCGTCACATTGTTGATTTGCTATTAACAACGGTTAACGGACGAAGAGATTGCCAACCCCCAACCCCATAACTTCCTATTATATCTGTAAATCCACATTAACCAGACCAAATTGTGGATTTGTTTATGGAAAGGCAGGACATCTAAGATTCAAGAAGTTTTGCTTCAATTCAATGAATTTTATCACAATTTTATATCTACAGACTGCTTCTTCTATAATCTTCATTCTCTTGAGTCCTTCCCAGGTGTTTTGGGACTGAATGAGTTCACGAAGAATTTCTTCTCCTTTAGGCACACATTGAAGAAAGAAAAGATCCTCATGAGGACTATTTATTATTTCCCAGAATTTTGATGCCTATAAAGTTCCAGTAGAAAATCACAAAATGAAACATAAAAAGTTCCTTTGTGGCTCCTAGGACCTACATTCTTAGAAGATGAACCCTGAAGCTCACTGCATAGGCCATTTCTAAATTCCTGCTTTCAGGGAAAGGATCCTACTGATGTTTTCAGATAAGCAGAAATCCTTGAAATAAACGCAGCATGATCTACCCTCTGTGGGCTTCGAATGGCTTCATGGGTATAGGCCATGTTTTCTCAGCTATACCTTAAATGCCTTGAACAGTGGGACTGTGTTATGAACCAAAAGGAGCTCAGCCTCTCTTTGAAATATGAAAACCTCAGGAAATAGCACATAATGGCAAGCTCAGAAAATGTCAGACAGCATTTCCCAACATGTGCTGACTCTTATGAGTGGCTCCTCATAGAAAGGATTTCACGGACAAAATACTTGGGATATAATCCAACCATAGGCTCTTCTTGACTAATATGAAATCTCATTCTTGGTTCTAAGAAAATCTCACATGTAAGAAACCAGTTAACTTTTATTCCATACTTTCCAAATTTCTTTGACCACAGGACTTGAGTTTTTTTGGTTTCTTTTTGCAATAGGACTGCATTCTACTGAACACAGATTTGGCAAAGTACAAGTATTTTCTATCTTGGGATGACTTACTGCAAATCCCGGCTCTGCCATTTTTCTAGGGAATTGCCCTATCCACTTACAATTGAGTGAGCCTAAGCCAGTCATTTCAAATTCAGAAGCTCATGAATACAGTAAGACATGCTTCAACAATTATTGCAAGGATAAATGAGATAACATAGATGAGATGCCAATCACAATGCTTGGCACACAGTGAAAGCCTACAAACACTAGCTGAGTCTGCATCTGAATTTCTGCATTGAAGGAATCAAAATAAAAACAAACAAAAGCCACTTCTCATAATGATGAAGACTCTCGTGACAGGCTTTGTGAAGCACCAAATAGCACACAATCCAAGACTGAATATCACTATTTACTGTCTAAGTCTTTGTAGCAGGTATCCATAGTAGAAATGCTTAAGTAACTCAGTACACATCCTTAAACGCTTTCAGGTTTATTGCAAAGCTAAATTAGTAAGGTAGCCTGAAAGGCAGACCTTTGTGTTGAACTTCTTGAGGAAACACATCTTGGACCTGAGGTGCTAGAAAAGCTGTTCAAATGTTTTCCTGGGGGATGCAAATCATTTTCCGAATATTAAATAGAAATATCATGACATTTGATTACAACATTAGTGCTGGTCTGGCCACAATGCTGAACATTTATTTTACGCTGTATGCAATAGAAAAGAAAAACATTTTGCTAAGAAAGCTCTTGTGGCCTGATAGGTTCAAGTTTAAAAGGAAGTCTGATTTCCGGCTCTCTTTCACTTTTCAAATAACTGAGTGCATTAATTTTAAAACAGCAAGGAATTGATTTTCCATTGACTTCTAAACAGAATCTCCTTACACTAGGGAAGTCCAAGTCAACCCTGTATTTGAAAATTAGCATACATTTACCAGACTTCCAATCAGAATGGAAATCCCAAACCCATCTTTCAACTGCACAGCACAAGTTTGTCTTTGAAAACAGTGAAGCAGCTTTCTGGGAAAGGGTTATCTGGTCCCAGACTGAAACTGGAACACGTTAGTCACCATTTTACCTTATTAAAATCTAGCAAAACAGTGGGCAAAATAAAATCTCTGACTGGTCCACTTAATTTGAATAGAAATCGTCAGTTAGCATCCTGAGAACAGTGTGAATCAGGAGGAAGAGAGAGGCTGGATTCAATGGGCGAGAAACACACTCAGTAATGACTTATACCTTCAGATGTTTCCAATAAAAAGGGGGTGGTGTTTTCTCTAGACAGGTCTGGAGTCTGGAGAAGATGACTCAGATTCACAAACTATTTCTCAGCCACTTTTTTTGAAGGCCATGAATCTGAAATGTGAGATTCAGTGTCATTGCAATCAAAAAAGAGCCATGTTAGACACATGAAATGCATGTGAGCATGATAAAAGTGAACCAGGTTCTAAAAGAGGGTTTCCTTCACGCATGAAGTTTGCAGCTATTTTGTGATGAAAATATGTCCAGTGTTTACAATCTAAGCACTTCAAATATGGGCTCATTGAACTGGTTTTAGGACAAATGTCTTGACCTAAAACTTCACTGAGAAATGTCATTACTCAAGTCTTCAATTTAGATAAATTAAAAACTTTGACGTATGAGTTCGAAGAAAGGAAAAGAGGGTGAGGACATTAGTATTTATGTAGCACTTTCTTCATTCCTGGGAGGCACAGTGTTAGTTCATTTGCACACACGCTTTCATTAGTTCCTATTACAACAGCATGAGGTAGGCATCATAATTGCCTTTTTATAAAAAGATGGAGAGAGGATAAACAACTTCCTAAAGATTACACAAAGAAAAATTCAAATTCAGGTGTTCTGATTGTGAAACCAGGACTTTTTCTTTCTTGTCTCAGTTATCTGCAACATGTGTTTTATAAATCAGAGGCTTGGGTGTTATTTAGTAGGATAGCATTGTCGTTCATTTTCTGGAATGACTTTAGCATGTCAGTCTTCATTCTTCTAAGTTAGAGAAAATTATCATAGCAAATATTATTGAATGACAGAAAATGTGCTAGAAACTTTATATATATAATCTCCTTTAATCTCTAGCAAGTCTAGGACAAGTTTTAGTCTGTATTTTACAGAGAAAATGGGAATGCACAGCACACTTTGCTCAATAGCACATAGTTTGGAAGTAACAGGATCAGGATGTGAGCCCAAGTAATATGAGTCCAGGTCTGTTCCCTCAGCCATTATTCTATGGTTAAATATGCATTCATGCTGTATGCATTTGCTTTACAAAACTATTCTGACCATGGTCAGGAATATTCACACTGTCAATGGAATCAATACATAACCTCACTTTTTGTCCACACAACATACTCTGGCTATCTACTTCCCAAATGATGAGACTCGATCCTGGGAGTGTAGTTGCTTTGCAATTGAGTATCTCATTCTGGCTGATGGGCTGTTATTAAGATCATGAGCCTAGCAGTCAAAGACAGTGTTCTGCAATGGACTTATTTATATTTGCAGATCAATTATTTTAAAAAATCAAGTATTGCTCTATAGAATTGCACTTGCTGTGAAAGTATAAAACAAAGGACTGCAGTGGGTAGCTTGGATGCACATTTGAATGTACTAGACTTGAACCACAAGCATGATTGCCTATAGTAAGGATGAGTAGTGTGCCCTCTTCAGACCCTTCCTTTACAATAGCAAGCTTATGTGTGACCAACATGAAGCACACTGACGTATAAAGTTCAATTTTAAAAAAAGCAATCTCCCATGCACTTTGATGCATTTATCATCATTCTTAAATATTATCATTAATTGCTCAAAGGTTATTACAGTTTTGTTCAAATATGTCAGTCCAACTCATTTGGAGAGTTCATACAGATTTTAGTTGTCCCTTCAATCTGCATAAGAGCAAAGAAGGTATATTTCTTCTCCGGCAAAGTCCACAGAGACAATGCAGTCATATAATTACACACTGATAGTTAAACTTTAGTCTTAGTAATAAGAAGAGTGATGTTCAGTGCTTTAATAGAAAAGAGATAATCTGCTCAAAATGAGTATAGCTAATAGAGGTTCTCTCAACTGTTTTTACAGTTTTATTTAAAATATTTTATCTTTTTAATATCTGGATTTGCCTCCAAAGGTAGCCTACAGCTTTTCTTTTAAAAAAATACTTTATTTTATTATTATTTTTTAAGTGCTGGGGTCCACATGCAGGATGTGCAGGTTTGTTACATAGGTATACGTGTGCCATGGTGGTTTGCTGCACCTATCAACCCATCACCTAGGTAGTAAGCTCAGCATGCATTAACACTTTTCCTTAATGCTCTCCCCTAAGTGCCCTCCCTAGACAGGCCCCAATGTGTGTCGTTCCTTTCCCTGTGTGCATGTGTTCTCATTGTTCAGCTCCCACTGATAAGTGAGAACATGCGGTGTTTGGTTTTCTGTTCCTGCGTTAGTTTGCTGAGGATAATGGGAAGCCTATAGCTTTTCTAGTTCATTTTCTTTCTTTCTTTCTTCCTTTTCTTTTTTTTTTTTTTTTTCTGACATATTCTCACTGTAGTGCCCAGGTTGATCTTGAACTCCTGGGTGCAAGGGATCCTCCTGCCTCAGCCTTCCAAAGTGCTGAGATTATAAGTATGAGCCACTGCACCCAACTGCACCCAGCCCTCCAGCTCATTTTCTTTGTCAAAAGAGTCTCAGTGACTGTTCCCCAAAAAGGCCACAGTGTCTTTGGCAGAGGTCCCATAGCCCTTGCCTGGGAAGGGCACTTGGAGGCATAGTTAGGCATGTGAGGCTAAGTCTGGCCTATGATCATAAGGTACACAGTTCAGAGAAACCCGGAAGCTGGATTTGGAGTGAAGGTAGGTCCAGGAAGTATGAGGAGTTCCTAAATATTCATTCCCAATGGATATATTCCCATATCCCAATGCACACTGAGTGTTCTTGCACACCAAGGCAAGTCTTAGGACACAAAACGTGGAGAGATGCCCTGAGCAATGAATGGTCAGTGGCAGGACCGGAGCCATTCAAGTTAGGCCAATGTATTTTAACAAGACTTGCAGGTAAGCCACAGGCTTGTTCACGCATTCTTGAATGTAAACATTCCCAAATGTTATTGAACAGAAATTAGACAAGATTTTGTGCTGACATAAGCTATTGTATCACAAATCAAACTTGTACATAGCAATTCTCTGTTTTAACCCGAGTGTCTCCTCCCACATTTTTAATGCTGAGATATTTTGTCCTGATCATCGGCCCTCCACTCAGGCGCTCAACTCTATGGAATATTTTTCTAATCCTTCTCATAATGCCAACATAAAGAGTTAAAAATTGACAATAAATTATAAGCTAATATGTATGTGTCATAATAAACACAATACAGAGTGTGGAGGATTTTTGTTTCTTAAATATCATACTTTATTTTGGTGCAATTTTTATAACTTTTAAAACCCTTTCATTGTGTTCCAAAAACTGAGCAACTATTAATTAACATAATTGGTTTTGTTTTTCAATTACATGTTTGTGTTTCGTAAGTAACATCATTTTGTCTGCACTTGGACAGGCCCAAGCCCCAAATAGAAAAGAAAGAGTGTTCAGCCTAGCCTAACCTATGTTCCTGCATGCAGAAGTTCTTCAGGTCTGGGAACAGCTTACTGGGTTCAACTTAATGAAGGACAAAGATTCCTCAGAAATATGAAATCCATAGATCATAGCAGAACTCCCTTGCAGCTCACATTTTAAGTCCTTCCCCCAAACCTCACACTCTTGTCCAAGAGCTGTAACAATTAAGAAAAATAAATTAGTAGGCTTACATTTTTTCTACTGAAGTAATGTAGATAAGTGATTGTATTTCGTATCAGAAACTCTGGGATCAAGATCCATTCCCCCAGTGATGGAAGTGAGCATGGAAAAGTCATATCATCTCTAAATCGTCACTTCCTAATCAATCAAATAGGGGGCAGGAATACTTTCTCTACCTTGAATGTCTCACAAGATTGCTCCTTAGAGCCACCAAAATATTATGAAATACAGTAATTCAGTATATTGCAAAGCACAAAGCAAATGTAATAACTAGGGCTGCCAGGCTTGGGTAAAGAGGGGCTGCAGTCCAACCTGAGGTCGGCTGACAAAACCAACCACTCTGGCATGGCACTGCTTTACTTACTTATTTTTGCTATTCACACAAAGGGACTATTTGGATTAACAGAGACCTGGGTGGTATAAAAGAAAACAGAGCTCTGTGAATATTACATAAATATATTTATAATATCATTCAATTACATCCATCTCAAAGTACAGAATTTATAATAGGGAAGCCTGGACTCTAGTCCTGGCTTTGCTGGAAATCAACAATTTTAAGTTATTTCCTTAGCTACTTTGAGCTTCTACTTGCTCATTTGTAGGATGAAGAGGTTACCTTCTCTCTAATCTGGATAATTAAATTAAATTCATATATTTCTTTAATACTCTAAAAATGTAGACATGTTCATCATTCAATGGATGCTCTAACTGCATCTGATCTAATTATCTCCCTTATTAAAAAATTCCTGGCAATCTGTAATTGGTTCATAAGAACAACAAACTATCTTTAAAATCCAGAAAATCTATGTAGTCAGCCACCACAGGGTGCAAATGAGGCCAGGTGTTCTTTATCCATGGCAAAGATCCACACCCACCCTTTATCTTCTTTCTCCATCACGTTTGGTCTCCAAATTCCCTTACTCATCTCATTCAAAAATTACTTGATGATTATTGTGTAAAAGATAATTGATTTAATTATTTTAGCCTAAACCAACAAAGCTAAACATCACATGACAGTACTACCTGCTGGCCTCTCCAAGGGCTGAAGTTTTAAGGCTCTTGATTTAAATTATACTTGCACTTAAAACAGTGGCTTCACAGAATCATGAAGAGTGTGGTGACAAGGAGGCTTGGGGAGCATCCAGTTTGTCTTCCTTGTTTGTAGAAAAGGGGCTGGGGCTCTAAGTAGAGCAGGGACTGGCCCCAGATCACCTCTTCATGAGTGGCAGTGTCTGAGTAAGAAACCAGGATGTAACTTTAGGTACATCGCCTTTCCAATGACATCATGATTTGGCTTTGCCAGTCATACCTCTTGCCATTCTCCACCCTGCTCTCTAAGCTCTTGGACCTTCCAAAGCTGCATCTAGTGCCTGGACAAACTAAGAACAAGCAGTCCTTCCCCTGGAAGCCCATACACCAGGGCACACAGCTTCATAAACAGATCATGAGTGGGCTTACCAGAATTTCTCCATTTATGCTAAACTTTCCTCCACCTCAAGGCCTTTACATTGGCTGCTCCCTCTTCCTGGAGTACAATTTCTCTCTCCATAGATTCCCATAGAAGTCTCTTTATCATCCTTCTCGCCTTCCTCCTTCCTCCCTCCCTCCCTTCCTCCGTCCCTCCTTCCCTCCCTTCCTTTCTTCCTTCCTTCCTTTCTCTCTTCTTTTCTTTTTGACTTCCTCTCTTCCTCCCACTCTCTTCTTCCCTCCTTCCTTCCTTCCCTTTCTTCCTTCCTTCCTTTCTTCCTCCCCTCCCCTCCCCATTTGTCCCCTCCCCTTTTCTCCCCTTCTCTCCTCTCCTCCCCTCCCCGTCCATCCCCTCCCCTTTTTTCCCCTTCTCT
This sequence comes from Homo sapiens, assembly GCF_000001405.40. NCBI lineage: Eukaryota > Metazoa > Chordata > Mammalia > Primates > Hominidae > Homo > Homo sapiens. The sequence continues at coordinate 128,582,283 of NC_000008.11, forward strand.
CCTCTCCTCTTCCTTCCTTGTTCAAATGATGCCAGTTCTGAGAAGCCTGTATTTATCACCCTATCTGGAATCTTTGATCCCACCATTATTCTCTTCACCGTTACTGTGCTTTAATTTCTTCATAGCACTTATCAGTCTTCAATATTATATTTACATTGCTCATTTTTTACTTGGTAATTTTCTAATTTTTCCCTCTCAGCATGTAAGTTTCATGAAAATGAGATCTTGTTTCTTGTATTTATCACTTCATTCTCATTTCCTATGTAAGTCTGGGATCTAGTAGGTGGTCAATACATATTGCTGGATGGTCAGATGAATGAATGAGTTTATAAATGAGTTATACGTCTCAGTTTCCAGAGGGTTCTCCTTTTACTCTCTTTCAGCAATGAAGCTTGTTGGTTTTGATGCTTCTAAGAAACTAGATTAGCCTAATTCAACCCCAGTTTAACATTTTTTAAATGTCAGCTCTCCTTTCCTCTATTAACACTAAATTATTTTTATTCTTTATGATCTCATCTTACAGGGCAGTCCACTATAGATAGTAATAGAATCTCCCAAGTTTCATCTTGGATAGAACAAAAGATTCAGAAGTCAACATGCTGTTAGTATATTTTATTTGTTTCAAACTGGTGGGAAACTTAGCTTGTCTTTATTAAGTATTTGTAATTGTAGATACTTTGTTCATATTGTACTGCTGACAAGTATGCTCTGAAGCCAGAACTATAGTTTTTCATGTCTGTGGAGTTCTCAGCAAGTGGTGTCATGCTAATTACTTTGTCTTCTGTAAGCCCAAAATATTAATGGATAATAGGTTAAGGATCCCAGCGGAAAAATACTGGCAAGACTTCTTACCTATTATGACATTTTTATTTAGCTCGGTCTTTATTTTCCAATCTACTTTCTTTAGAGTTACTTCATGTAAGAGTTTATTATTCATAGTAAGAACATTTTTTTTTTCCTGTGGCAGAGAGAGTAGTCTAGAGAGTTCAGTTGATGCAAGGGCAAATTCAAAAGCAATCCAAGTAGACTCTGGCCTCTGTGTAGAGCCAAATCCATCAAACAGAGGAGATGAGACAGCAAAATGTACTCTTTCATTAGTTTCTACCCACAGAGAGTGGTTTTTAAGGGGGGAGGGAACACTTGGTTGCTTTATAAAAGTGTCTTCTTGTCTCTCCAGGATTTCCTGTTGCCTTGAGGAAAATTTGTTTGTTTGCAGATTAGGTCTATTCTTGTTTTAATTTGATAGAAATTTTAAAGTAGGTGTTTTTAAAAAATCCTTTTTAGAGACCTCATTTACTTACACATTCACAAGGCTGGACTCCAAGGCCTTCAAAGAGCAAAAAGTACACTTAATTATTATTCAGAGTTTATATAGCTCCTAGCATAGTTTCCAGCATATAGTAAGGGCTCTCTAAGTGTTTGTAAGTGAAAGAATGGATGAATCAATGTGTGAATAAGTAAATAAAGTAAATTAGTAAATATTTTTCCTACCTGAATATTGATAATAAGAAATTAATAATTCTATTTGCATAATTATTTGAATGTATCTCAACTCCCTGTCTCAATCTAAGAAAATTCTAGAGTTCCCTGTAGATTCCCTTGAGGCCTCTGTTGCAACTGCATCATGGTTCACCTTTTATTGCCTAATCCTGCTTCCAGCTTTTCCTTACAGGTGTGGTTCCCAAATGCAGTTCCCAATAAATATCCCGCATGCAAAACTCTCCTGCAGAGTCTGTTTGCAGGAAATCCAACCTAAGGCATCATTCTGAGACTCAATTTTCTGTTTTTAAAATATGAAAGATCCCATTTATCCTATAAGACTGTTACGAGGATTTAAATAAACTGTAGAAAAGAAATGCCATTTTGGGCCTTCAATAAGTGTTAATTTCCTTTTCTTTTTCCTCAAATTGTGTCCACATATGAAATCCTTTGCTGCCACAAAATAAGTGGTCAGCACATACTTGTAGCATGAGTAAAAAGTATAAATGTTCCCACGTGTCCTTTTATTAACCTGTGGGGTGATATCATGAGTAAAGGTCAAGATGCTCAAAGGCCAAGCCATCTCATGTGGATTCTGTAAATGAAACCTGAACGTTTGCATTTAATATCATTTGCTTGCAACAAGTTTGAGTTTCTCCCTTTCTTAAAGGTAAAGAAAACTCCAAAATCAAACTAGGCTCTTTTTTCCCCCTTTTATCAGGGGAAGAGGGGCTTTCTCCTTTTATTGGGAGCTCAGAATTGCCTTTCTCCTTTTATTGGGGGCTCAGAATAGCTTTGACCAACAAAGAAACTAGGTTGCCTGCCCTAGTAGTGGTTGTGAAGGTTCTTCTAAGAGTCATTTGGTGACTCTTTTTCACCTGCAATCTTAAACCTGACATTTACGTCTGCCTCCAAAGAAAAGCCACTGGGGTCTTAGGCAGAAGCCCAGCCAGCTCTCTCCATGTATCCAAACATCTTCTCTTCTTTTGAGAGAATGCTGAACATATTTATTGAGCTTTCATTGCATGTTAGGCAGCAGTTTTTACAGGCAGCAATTAACCCTGTATGTTCTATATATTAGGGTGGACTTTAGGCATCAAGGTGCAGGTTCATGCCTCAGTTTCCCTCCCTGTAATGTGGAGGTACATACTCTTTGGTGACGGAGAAGTAGAATATTTTGTTTAAATACAGTGTAGATATGTATTCACTCAAATACACAACCCACTTTTAATGGACTCTTGATACCAGGAATAGAAGAATAAGAACAGTTAGATCTAGCGTTTACTGAGATTCTTTCATGTGCCAGGGCCTTATATTTGGTATTAGTCAGCTGTTGTTGCAATAATGCTGCATAAAAGGAAACAAACTCAAACAAAAGGCTTATGATCAACAATAATTTGTTCTAGGGGTCATGGGGTTGCACTACCACTTAGCTGATTGAGGCTGAGCTTGGGGGGGGGCTTTGCTTCAAGCTGTAGGTTTGCTGGGCTTTGCTCCAAGAGTATGCTCAGTACATATTTGCTTTTTGTATGTTTGTTTGGGGGCCAGGGATGAAAAGGCCAAAGCTACCTGAAACACTCTCCTCCGAGGGAAAACACACCCCCTACACTGTGATTCTATGGTGTTTCTTGCTCTTCTCCATCATAATCTGCCTATAATTACATAGCAGGTGTTTGTTTACCAGAGCTTTTGAGGGACAATAAGTCCTTTTACCTGAGCTTTTGAGAAGCAATTCACTCATTTCTGAATCCAATACTTCAGAAATTTCATGGCACACAGAAGGAGCTCAATAAATGTTTTTGAGTTAACAGATGCATAAGTGAATAAAATCTTTATAGATCTGTACTAATACCTTCTAAAAGGGTTGTGCTAAAATGATGAATGGTTGAGTTACAATTTGTAATTAGGACAAGCTTGACCTGCTTGGGCAGTCACTGAATCTTTTGAAGTCGACATCATGGAACACAAGTGACAAATGATCCTTTCATGTCAGCATTGGTGCTGTACACCGGGTAGAATGAACCACTGATCTGACCTCGTGGGTTTCTTTTTTGTATTTATTCATGGGAACATGATTAAGTAATTGAGAGATTTCAGCAATCATCCACACATGGTTTTGAGCCCTTCAAAACACTGCATTTGGAATTATTAGAATAAAAGTATTTATTATCTACAAAATGTTAAACAAGAACATTTTCCAGTAACTCAGCCACCTACTCCCTGGAGAGAAGTTCAAAAACAATTTCATAAAAGCAAACAAAAGGCATTCATGATGAGTCTTCACATCACAGTAGCAATAGAACTGGCTTGCAGAATCTCAGCTTGAGTGGGAAGTAAACTCCCATAGAAGCCATGGAAGTTACAAAGTTTTACTAGGTTCTTCAACTCTTAGAAGTGAATGATGCTGGACATGTCACTTAATTTCTCTGAGTCTCCATTTTCTCATTTATAAAAGGGACATAATAATACCTAAATGCTAGGTCTATTACGAAGGTTAAATGGGACAACAGACGTGCATTGCTTGGTGACTTCTTCTATTTTTTGAGGCAACATCATTTTGTTTTTTAATTTCAAGACTGTCTATTATGTGGACTATTGATGGCACTACCATTTTCTTCATGTAACTTTTCTTTTGCTATAGAAGTATAAAATTATTTTACTATCTATCATTATCTAAAATCTATCCATTATCAGTATGATGTGTGTAAGTTGCATTAAATTCTTTATTAGATGGTCTGAATTCTAATTCATTTATGGCCACTAGCAATTTCTGTGGCTCAGGCTTTCTGAGCCACCATTTGGTTCACGGGACATTCATATTTAAAGCTTATTGAAAGTATGAGTCTACAAATTCTATTATCTCTCTATCAGTCTACCAGTCACTACCTATTTTGTTATTTATGTGTCCACCCATCTACTCATCTATCTGTCCGTCACAAACACTTTTCATGCCTGACATGGTTTGGCTGTGTCCCCACTCAAATCTCATCTTGAATTGTAGTTCCCATAATCTCTACCTGTCATGGGAGGAACCCAGTGGGACGTAATTTAATCATGGGGGTGGTTACCATCATGCTATTCTCGTGATAGTGAGTTCTCACCAGTTCTGATGGTTTTATAAGGGGCTCTTCTCCCTTTCACTCGACACTTTTCCTTGCTTGCCTCCATGGGAAGTAGGACATGTTTGCTTCCCCCTTCTGCCATGATTGTAAGTTTTCTGAGGCCTCCCCAGTCCTGTAGAACTGTGAGTCAATTAAACCTTTTTCTCAGCTATGTCTTTATTAGCAGTGTGAGAGCAGACTAATACAATGTCATTCACAAAATCACCTTATATAGTAAATGGATCATTCATATTAACTTGAGGCACTAGGTAAACCACTAATATTAACCAAAACATTGCTGAAACTGAAGCAATCAGGGTTAAAACTATTCTAGTGAATGAGAGATTGCCACACACATTATTATATACCAAAGTATATTATCTGACCAAATAAAAGTGAATTTGCAGCAAAGATGTCTAAAATATGCTTTAAGCTAACCCCAAATATGAAAATTTATATGAACTATACAAGTAAGTTAGAGAGTTATTGCCTATATTGTAATCAGTCAACACCAGAGTATTGTAAACCACAAGCTCTTCTGACATACTCAAATGTGATTTACTTTATAAAAATCTAATCCACATACAGATTTTTCTCAAGATCATATGTATGCCATATATTAGGCAAAGGTAGTCTTATTTACCATCCCCATTAAATATGAGCAATGTAGATGTCTCTATTTTTTCTTCAATTTATAGTTTCAGATCTTAGTTGTATCTACTCTGAATTCAGCTTCAAAGATAGATTCTTTTCTAGCTTCCTCTTCTGTTCCTACTGTTCTTGCCACTGTCTTAGTTCAGACCCATACGATTTCTCTCCCAGGGATTTGCCATGGCCTCCTAACTGGCCTCTCTGCTTTTGAAGTCATCTCTCTTCAGTTCAGTTCATCAGCCAATCTGGTGATTATTAAAGATATAAATTCAACTCTACAAATCTACTCCAAGATTTTCTATTTCCCTTAGGTTAAAGAACAAACCTCTCAGCATAGCACACATCACTTTTCCTGCCCCACCCATCCTCATTTCTCACAACCCAATCACCTACATCAACATGGTGGTAAATGGAACTTTTGTACTCTTCCTTAAACTTTCTTATCCCTCTGTGCCTTTCCATAAGCTCTTTTTTTTATTTGTAGAAATGTATGGGGTACAAGTATAATTATGTTACATGCATACATTGTGTAGTGGTGAAGTCGAGGATTTTAGGTTATTGATCACTGAACATCCATCACACAATTAAGTAATCTCTTACCATCCACCCTCCTTCCACCCCCTCACCCTTCCAAATCTCTGATGTCTATTATTCCACACTGTACATCCATGGGTACACATTATTTAGCTCCCACTTATAAATGAGAATATGCATCATTTGACTTCCTGTTTCTGAGTTGTTTCACTAAGATAATGGCCTCCAGTTCCATTCACGTTACTGCAAAAGACATGATTTTATTCTCTTATGGCTGAGTACTATTCCATTGTATATATATACCACATTTTCTTCATCTAATCATTCACTGATGGATTGATAAACACTTGGCTTGATTCCATATCTTTGCTATTGTGACTAGTGCTGTGATAAACATAAGCACTTTGCCCTGTAGAAAATAGCCTTTTTCCCTTAATACAGCGGAATTCTATTTCTTCCATTGGTCAAATGCTTTTTCCTCCAGAAAGCAACCTCTGATCTCATCATGCACCTACCCTCCTCTTACCAGTCTTTTATAGAGGGTCTCCTTCCTGCTTCAACAGTCCCTTGCTTAACATACTTGATGCCTAACACTGTACTCTAATTATCTGAAAATATGTCAGTCCCACAGTACACTGTGAATGGCTGAGTGCAAAGATCCAGGAGCCTAACATAGTGACTGGCCCATGTTAGGCATTTAATAAAGTTTGTTAGATGAACAAAGTGAATAAACTTTTTAAAGCAGCAGTCACTTGGTTGTCAGGCAAAAAAAATTCAAACGAGAAAGAAAATTACCATACAGGATGATTTGTCTGAGTGCTTTGTTTCCCCGTCATATTATGTCAGGGATCAAAGGATAGCATTTTTCCCTCTTCAAATTGAAAATAGCTTTGTTTTTACTGCTTTTTTGTTCCTCATATTAAAAAGGAGCTTTTGTGTTTGGCTTTAATATGACTGGATTGTCTCTACATTCATATCCCTCGATACCTGGCTTTTCACCATAAGTCAGCAAGATCAAAATCTTCTCCTAATTACCTTCACTACCTGCTGAAATATCTGCTGCTGGGAACATGTCAGTTGCTCCAACAATTATGCTAGTGGTAACGGCACACATTCTCACGAGGCAGGGTGGTGATACCGGACTTCAAAGGGCCTATGCCAAGTGGTGATGTATATTGCAGTTCAATTAAAGCGTAATTAAAGTGGCATACTACATTCTAACTTCTGCTTGTGTCGAAGATAATCCATTCCAATAGTGCATGCCATCACCTCTACAGCAGATCCTAAGTTACAAGGACAGGAGCATAGCTCTAACTCCTTCAGCATTCACCCACATGAAGATGACATTGCGTGGTCGAGGGGGCAAATTTATTGCAGTTATGTGTAATGAGCTGCTGGTTTGTGCCAGGTGAGGTATCCTTATGAACAATATTTCATCAACTCCTGGTGGCAGGTATTATTTTCCTCATTTTCCAGAGGGGTTAGCTAAAGCTCAGGAAGGTTCTATGATATACACAAAGTCATGAGAACTTTCACTTACTAAGTGTATAACCTTGAGCACATTTTCTAAACTCTGAGATTCAGTGTTCTAATTGAAAAGGGTGAATGCCTTTATCACTGGTCACATACATACACACACACACACATATATACACACACACATAAATATGTATTTATGTACACATATAGATACACACATGCATACATACCCACATCTACATGAGGATATATATACTTGTCTATATCTATGTGTGTGATATATATATACACACACACACAGATATGTGTGCATAGAAAACAAGTTGAGTGATGAACAGAATAGGTACCCAGTAATTGTTTTTAATTGTTGCCATTTTGTTTTTGTTTTCAAAGGCCTCCAAAGCAAGTGATTCATTCAACCTTCCAGTGTTCTCATGCCTTATGACACATTAACCTTCATGAACTTCCTATTCTTTCTGTCAAGGAGCAAATGGTAAAAACACCAACACTTGGTGGGGCCCCAAGGTGACTGAGAAAGACCACATGGAGACTCAAGTCTTCTCATGTCTGTCTCATTCATGCAACAGTAGTCCAAGGGCTGATGGACTTGTTGGATACTTGCAGGTGCAGGGGGTCCTTGGGACAATCTTGGAGAGCTGTTTTTTTCCTGATCTCTCAGTAGTGACCTGTTACAAGGAACTGAGTTGTTTACTGTGGTTAAGAGCACAAAATCAGAAGTTAGAGAAGTATGAGTTTACATGCGTTTATGACAGCATTATTTACAATAGCAAAGTCAGGAGTTAACCTAAGTGTCCATCAACGGTGGATTAGATAAAGAAAATGTGGTACATAAACACTGTGGAATAGGACACAGCCATAATAAAAAATAAAATCATGTCTTTTAAAACAATGCAGATGTAGCTGGAGGCCATTATCCTGAAGTGAATTAATGCAGAAACAGAAAATAAAGTGTCACATGTTCCAACTTATAAGCGGGAACTAAACAATAGATACACATGGATATGAAGATGAGAATAATAGACACTGGGGACTCCAAAAGAGAGAAGGGAGAGAGAAAGGGGGAAAGGGGCTGAAAAACAACTTACTGGGGACTATGTGCCCTATCTAAGTGATGGGTTCGCCAGAAACCCAAATTCAGATGCCTCAAAAACCCATTTAACAAACCTGCATGTGTACCCCCAAATCTAAAATTTAAAAAAAGATAAAAGTATGAGTTTATACTTAGATTCTGTCATTTAGTAGTTGTGTAAATTTAAGCAAGTTACAAGACCTATCTAAGCCTCAGTTTTACCATCCAGAAAACGGGGATGATGATAATAACTTACCTCATAGAGCTGTCAAGGGAATTAAATGAGATAATGCACATAAAGTGCTTGGCACTGTCGTGTTCTTATACTCCAATACATAAACTTATTATTATTATTGTTATTACTCTAGCGTCCTTTCTTACTGTCTCTCCTAATCTCATCTCTTTTTACACATACATACTCTCATCTACTCTGAGGCTCACTCAGATTTTCAAATATTTTTGAAGGTGTTATTATGCAGTGGACTGAGTGAGTGAACACACAGGCTATATGCAAACTACCTCTGGAATTCATTCCACCCCTATCTTTGCATTTCAATCAGATTCACATTTCAAAGGCCCAAGCCATGTCTGACAATTCTCCTGGCAATAGCTACAATGAAAACTTGAACATAGCCTCTAAGCCTTTCTAAAAGCAAGATTTCCCAGTTATCATAATTAACCATATTTCAGAATATACAGAGTGCTATCAGTGAGCAGTATCAAACCTTCAGAATCATCAGCATAAAACTAGGTTGAGTTGCATGGGAGAGAACTCTGAACCTGATTCTATCACTTCCTGTCTAAAAGTGAATCAACCATACCAGAGTGGTGACTGCCCCAGTGTTTGGGTGTAACAATGTGTCAACAACTTCTAGGAATAGAATTTATGTTTCAACTGCAGGGCAAGATTTAGTGAAGTATAAGCTTGAAGTTTTGATATGCAGATTTAAACACAGAGAGCAGAAGACCAGATAATGGAGGATAAAAGAGAAATAAGGAGGAAGAAAGGGAGGAGTGAGAAACAGAGAGACTTAGATGGTTGTCATGCAAATACTTGGTATTGCAAGACTCTTTTCTAAGTATTTGCTATCTGTTAAGAACTTTCATTTTCCCCTGATATCTACTATATCTTTTCAGCAAAGGATATTTTAAAAAATTCCAAATGCTTAATGAATTCTCATAAAAGGTATTAAAATTAAGAAAAAAAGATTCTCAGTTTTTGAAGAATTATAGTAGGTCCTTAGAAACTTAAATAGTTGGCAAGCTTTCAGATATTCCAAATTTACAGTAAAACCCCAGTTTTCTAGAAATAAGTGATTCTGTGGGGTTAAATTTTCCTATAATTTAGTATTCATATGATTGAACGTTTTTTCCACTAATATATCTCTCCTACTTCCTAGCTTTATGAAGCTCTGATGTATACTGTATCACGTACTTTTAATCTTTCCTTGATGCCTGAACATGTTCATCATTATCACCATATAGTGACCAGGGTCAACGTGAGTGTCTGGTGTATTTCTGCCTTACACTAACTGGCCTCAGACTGCTGTGTGGTAGTAATTCTGACGTTTGTTTTTAAAATGGATTTCTGTCCCTTTCTTCTCTGTAAGGTGTTCAGCAATTACACACTGTTTTGGGAAACATGTCTGCCTGTAATAGAGCATTTGGCTCCTGTCTATTATGGCAAAAAAGAAATAAGAAAGAAAATACAATAATTGAGTTTTAATTTATTTAATTTCAAAAACATGGTGAATGTCTACTCCATGCTAGTCATGTGTTAGAAGATGGGGATACAGAAATGAATAAACCCAAGTAGCCTGTGGGCTGATGAAGAAACAGGCATTTAAAAATCAGACACAATACAATGCCATAGAGATTCTTACAATGGTAAGAACCAAGTGCTTTATAGGGATCTCAAACTCTGATTCCCACAGAGATTGACAGGTAAGATGAATGAGACAGGAACATAGGTTGCAAAAGAATATAGGAAACTGTCCTATGGGAGAGGCTACAGTTATGTCAGCTGCTACTTAGTTCCAGTTCATGTTTATCAGACTGATGTCGAGGGTCCAGTGTGGCCAGATCCTCATTGTTTAAATTGTAATTTTCTTATTTTAAAATCACTGGTCAGGCCAGGTGCAGTGGCTCAAGCTTGTAATCCCAGAGTTTTTGGAGGCCAAGGCAGAAGAATTACTTGAGACCAGTCTGGGCAATATAATGATACTCCACCTCTACAAAACATTTTAAAACCTCGCATGGTGGTACCCAAGAGGCTGATGTGGAAGGATCACTTGAGGCCAGGAGTTAAAGGGTACAGTGGACTATTATCACACCACTGCACTGCAGCCTGGGCAACAGAGCATGACCTTGCCTGTAAAACATGAAAATACAAAATACAAATAAAAGCACTAGTTGGACTTGATCAAGGGATGCCCATTTGAGATCCTTGAGTATAATGGGAATAAAATGAAAGATGTTTAATTGTGACTGTAAGGTTACAATTGTTACCTCTGAACTGAGCCTTACAAGGTGAGCGCAAAGAGAAGGAGTGACAGTCTGTAGACTTACACTGTCTAGCATAGAGTATGTCTCCTTCATTTGTGTGTCTGTTTCTCCTCTCCTTTCTCAAGGTCAGGGATTTGGGGCATTCAATACAGACTGCAAGGGCCAAGACCGTTTGCCTCCTGGAAGTTCAAAAATTACTAGCATGAGGCCAATTGATTAACAGGAGGAAAGGCATACAAATTTATTTAACGTATATACATGGCAGTCTTCACAATGAAGACCTAACCTCTCAGTGAGGTACAAACTTATAAAAAATCTTGAGATTACTGGAAAAAAAAAAAAAAAACGAGCGCTTTGATCTTGGTAAAACAGGTTACAGGGGCAGGGGGAAAAGAGAAATTCTGCTAAGGGGTAATAAGTGATTACTAGGGAGAATGACTGGATTGGGAAACAAAAAGTAACTTATAAATAATATTCTTTGGAATTTCAATGTGTATGAGAAAGAGGCATTATCTTGTGAAAGAGTCTGTGCAGGTGTGGTTACATTCTCGGTCTTTTAGGGAAAGAAAGAAAACTATTGCTCTCTTTGGCGGGTCTGGATCTGAGACAGATAAAAGAACCTCAGCTTTTTTGGGAGAGACTATGAAGGTTGTGGGGGGATGGTCTGAGAGACCTTTAGGTTTCTTCAGTTCAGCATGTCCATTTGTCATATTACGGGGTGTCAACTTCTGAACCCCAACAATAGCTATTTTATAGATTTTTAGAACCTCAGAAAAAGGTAATATCATGTCAAATATAATGTGGATACGGGCCGGGCGTGGTGGCTCCTGTCTGTATAATCCCAGCACTTTGGGAGGCTAAGGTGGGAGGATCACTTGAAGTCAGGAGTTTGAGACCAGCCTCGCCAACATGGTGAAACCCCATCTCTACTAAACATACAAAAATTAGCCTGGCGTGGTGGTGTACACCTGTAATCCCAGCTACTTAGGAGGCTGAGGCAGGAGAATTGCTTGAACCCAGGAGGTGGAGGTTGCAGTGAGCCAAGATCGTACCACTGCACTTCAGCCTGGACGACAGAGCGAAACTCTGCCTCAAAAAACAAAAAAACAAATATAATGTGGATATAAACATGTAAGATGTAGTGGGTATAAGTGTTTGACTTTTCTTCCTTCTTCTTTTCACTTATTGAACAAATGATACTGGAGACAGCAAGAAATTATTTCGGCAGATAGCGAAGGCAAACGAGGCCTCGGCAGAACTTCCCTTCTAACAGAAAGCAGCCAAAGTAATCATTTCTTTTCTAACAAAAGGCAGCCTGAAAGATCAAGCTGAAAACATAGGTAAGAAAGCTGGAAGCTTGCGTCGTGGGAGGCCTGCAGCTGCACCAGTAGAAAAGGGCTACCTGAGGGCCAGGCATGTTGATCATGGGGCTCCACCTTCCCTTTTTTGTTAGCAGGTGTACAATGAGAAAAAGGGCAACATGGAGAAGCTCAGGAAGAGAACCCACCTGCATAACAAAAGATTAGGGTGGGGGCTGCAAGTGATTCGCACCCTTTGCAGATGAAACACTTGGTCCGAACCGGGTTTTTGTGCCCTGTGTAAGTCAGACACCACCTCCCCACTAGCTCATCTATAAAACCCCTGCTGCATTTCACCACAGATTGGCAACCCATTTTTCCAAAACCCCTCTCTATAGCAGAGAGCTATTTATTCTCTTTCTTTTGTCTATTTCATTTCCTCTCTTAACCTCACTTTTTGTGTGTCCGCATCCTTGATCTCCACCGTCATGAGACAATGAACCTCAGTGTCACCCCAGACAACAAGACCACTTCACAAATAAGTGTTAAGAGTCTACTATGTGCCAGACACTGTTTTGTGTACTGGCAATATAGCAGTGAACCAAGCAGGCAAAGCCTCCATTCTCATGGCACTTACAGATGAGCTGGGAAAACACAGGCAATAAACAATTAAGTAGACTCACAATGAGCATACATATGAGTGATTTGGGTTTATTCAATGTATATCTACTCATTGTATATATATTGATCTGCTTATTGTCTATATCTTTCCAGCTAAAATGTAAGCATACTGTATATATGTAAGCATATATAGATACCACATATAAATATATACACACATATTGATATATATGTGTGTATATGTATGTGTGTGTATATATGTATATACATACATATATGAAATAATTGCTATGGTATAAAATAAAGCAGAGAAAAAGTTACAGGTTGTGCTAGGCTAGGTGTGAAAAATATTATTCCTAAATATAGGAGGTCAAGGAGGATCTTACTATTTCAATTAGAAGATGACTTTTAACAGAACTGTAAAAGTTGCATGTATTTCCAAGTGAAGGATGGTCCAGATCGAGGGGCCTGCAAATGAGTTGAGAAAATTCTTGGAAGAGCACAGAGGACAATGCAGCTGGAGAAGATGGGCCAAATGGAGAGCAGTAGGAGACAAGCTCAGGGAGTCAGCAGGGGCCAGATCCCCCAGGTCCTCCTGGCCCCTGTAAAATGAGAAGCCCCTGGGAGCTTTGAGTGGAGGAGTGACATAATCTGACTTAAATTTTGAAAGGATCACTCAGTATGTTGTGTAAAGAATAGAATATAAAGAGCAAGGATGAAATCAGGAAAAACAAAAAACTGTTAGGAGGTACTGCAGTTAGCCAGGAGAGCCATGAGAGTCGTGACAGTGGTAAATATTAACAACTGCTCAGGTTCTGGAGATATTCTGAAGGTAAAATAGTTAAGATTTGCTGACAGATTGGATATGGGTTGAGAAGAAAGAGAAATGCAAAGGATAATATCAAGATTTTTTCCTGAGAAATGGAAGGGTGGAATTGCCATGTACTGTGGTGTCAAAGATTATGGCAAAAGCAGATTTGGAAGAGATGAGATTAGGAGGTGATTTTGGCCATGATGAATTTGAGATGCCTACCAAACATCCAAATGGAGGTGTCAAGTAGGCAGGTGTATACGCACATCTGGTGTTTGGAGGAGGGGTCTGAGCTGGAGGTATAAATATAGTAGTTATCAGTGTGTGGATGGTATTTCAACATTTTTATCTAGTAAGATCAATTGAAGAGTAAGTTTAATAAAGAGAAAAGATACAGGGACTGAGTCTTGGGTCACTCTGTTACACGTATTGAAGACAGTAATAAACCAGGAAAGTGAGGTTGAAATAGGAGGACAACCAGGAGACAGTGACTTTCTGAAAGACAAGTGAAGAAAGCATTTTCAAGAAAATGAGGGGATCAACTGTGTCAAATACCATTAAGTAGGTCAAGAAGGAAGCTGAGAATGGTTCTCAGATTTAGTAAATGAAGGTATGTAGTGACCTTGATCAAAGTTGTTTTGGTGAAGACCAGATTGGGAAGAGTTCCAAAGAGAAAGTGAGATAAATTAAAAACAGAGCTTCCTGTAAAGGAGACAACAGAAATGATATAAATGTGAGTTCAGGAGGTGGAAGATATTTTATTTTTCAGCATACTCCTGGATGACAGGAATGAGTCAGTAGAGACGGGATACAAGAGAAAGGAAATACCCTGAAATGACATCCTTGAATAAGGAGAGAAGGCATTTAGGAAACAAGTAGAGGAAATGATCTTGGATCTTGGATTTGCTAAAGGATGATGAAATATGTAAGTTCAGAAACCAGTAGATTGGTATAGATGATGGTGTACGTGAGGAAGTTCTCTTGTAATTGGTTCTATCTTCATTAAAGTCAGAATAGTTATTAGCTGAGAGTGAGGAAGGGGGAATATTGGAGGTAAAGGAAGAGAAGAATTAGACAGTTATTTAAGATATTGGGAAAGTGGATGGATTATGGAAATATTGCTGGATTGTCAGGTGGCTTAATTGCCCATTTGAGATTAGGTCATGTTATGTGAAACAAGTTAATATGCTTGTATATTTTTCACAAGCCATTTCAACTATTCAAAGTACAGGAATAAAATAGAAAAAAATGTTAGATTTAACAACAAATTGAGATTTTGCTAAGTGAGGACAGCCATACATTTTACTGCACTTTCTTTTATTATGCTTCACAGATATTGCATTTTTTACACATTGAAGGTTTGTGCCTGCATCAAGCAAGTCTACTGACACCATTTTTTTTTTCAACAGCATATCCCCACTTTGTATCTTTGTCACATTTTGATAATTATTGCAAGTTTTCAATTTTTAAGTTATTATTATATCTGTTATGGTGATCTGTGATCAGTGATCTTTGATGTTACTATTGTAATTATTTTGGGGAACAATAAACTGCACCCATATAAGACGGTGAACTTAATTGATAAATGTTGTATGTTTTATGACCACTTCAACCACTGGCCATTCCCCTCCTTCTCTCTCCTCAGGCCTTCCTATTCCCTGAGATCCAACAATATTGGAACAAGAATAATTAATAACCCTGCAATGGCCTATAAATGTTCAAGTAAAAGGAAGAGTCGTATACCTCACACTTTAAATCAAAAGCTAGAAATGATTATGCTTTGTGAGGAAGGCATGTCAAAAGCCTAGATTTGATAAAAGCTGTATATATTTGTCCATTCTCACGCTGCTAATAAAGACATACTTGAGACTGGGTAATTTATAAAGGAAAGAGATTTAACTGACTCATAGTTCCACAGGGCTTGGGAGGCCTCACAAAACTTAGTCATGGTGGAAAGGGAAGCAAATACATCCTTCTCCACGTGGCAACAGCAAGGAGAAGCGCTGAGCAAAAGGGGGAAAGCCCCTTATAAAACCATCAGATCTCGTGAAAACTCACTCACTATCACAAGAACAGCATGAAAGGAACCACCTCCATAATTAAATTACCTCCCACTGGGTCCCTCCCATGACACATGGAGATTATGGAACCTACAATTCAACATGAGGTTTGGGTGGGGAGACAGCCAAACCATATCACTAGGTCTCTTGTGCCATACAATTAGCCAAGTTGTGAATGCAAAGGAAAACTTCTTGAAGAAAGTTAAAAGTGCGACTCCAGTAAACACAGAGATGATAGAAAAAAGAAGTGAAACATTTTTACTGCGGATACAGAGAATGTTTTAGTAGTCTGGATAGAAGAACAAATCAGACATACCGTTTCCTTAAGCCAAAACCTAATCCAGAGCAAGGCCCTAACTCTCTTCAATACTCTGAATGCTGAGAGAGGTGAGATAGTTGAAAACTAGCAGAAGTTGGCTCATAAGGTTTAAGGAAAAAAGTTGTCTCCATAACAGAAAAGTGCAAGATAAAGCAGTAAGTATTGATATAGAATCTGCGGCAAATTATTCAGATGATCTAAATAAGATCACTGATGAAGGCCACTACAGTACACAACAGATTTTCTATGTAGACAAAACAGCTTTCTGTTGGAAGAAGATGCCGTCAGGGACTTTGACAGCTTCAAAGGAGAAGTTGATGCTTGGCTTCAAAGTTTCAAAGCACAGGCTGAGTCTCTTGCTAGGGCCTAATGGAGCTGATGACTTTAAGTTGTAGCCAGTGCTCATTTTCCATTCTGAAAATCCTAGAGTTCTTAAGAATCTACTTTGCCTGTTCTCCATACATGGAGCAACAAAGCCTGGATGACAGCTCATATGTTCACAGCATGGTTTCCTGAATAAATGTACATTATTGACTCATAATACTCATAACAGACTCATTGTTGTGACCTACTGTTTGGAAAGATTTTTTTCAAAATATTATTGCTCATTGACAATGCACCTAGTCACCCAAGAGCTGTAAGGGAGATGTACAGGGAAATTAATGTTGTTTTCATGCCCATAAATCAAGCAGTAGTTTTTGGCTTTCATATCTTATTATTTAAGACATATATTTCATAAGGTTATAGCTGTCATAAATTGCAATTCTTCTGATGGATCTGGGCAAAGTAAATTGAAAACCTTTGGAAAAGGATTCACCATTCTAGATGCCATTAGTAACAATTGTGATTTAGGGAAGAAGGTCAAAGTGTCAACCTTAACAGAAGTTTTGACAAGTTGATTCCAGCTCTCCTGGATGACTTTTAGAGGTTCAAGACATCAGTGGAGCAAGTCACTGCAGATGTGGTAAAAACAGCGCAAGAATTAGAATGAGAAGTGGAGCCTGAAGATGGGACTGAACTGCTTCATCTCATAATAAACCTCGAACTTATAAAAAATTGTTTCTTATGGATGAGCCAAGAAAGTGGTTTCTTGAGATAGAATCTACCCCTGGTAAAGATGCTGTGAACACTGTTGAAATGACAACCAAAGATTTAGAATATGGTTTCTGCTTAGCCAGTTGAGCAGTGGCAAGATTTGAGAGAACCGACTCCAATTTTCAAAGAAGTTCTACTATGAGTAAAATGCTATCAAATAGCATCACATGCTATAGAGAAATCTTTGTTAAAGGAAAAGTCAATTGATGTGACAAATTTCATTGTTGTCTTACTTTAAAAAGTTGCCACAGCCACCTTAACCTTTAGCAACCACAAGTTTTATCAGTCATCAGCCATCAACATCGAGGCAAGATATTCCCCCCAGCAACTTACTGAAGGCTCAGATGATCATTAACAGTTTTTAGCAATAACATTTTTAAAATTAAGATATATATTAGACATAATGCTATTGCAAACTTAGTAGACTACAGTGTAGTGTGAACATAACTTTTATATACACTAGGAAAAGAAAATGTGTGTGACTCACTTTATTGAGATATTTGATTTATTGCAGTGGTCTGGAACTGAACCTACAATACCTCCAAGATATGTCTGTATAAGGAGAAAGGGGCAAAGGATTTGAGAGTTTAATGAGCATGATCTCAATAATGGGCTGTGGAATATAAGCTTTCCTCCTTCCTCCTGCAAATGTTTAATGATAGCCTGTGAAACATCATGAGAATTTTGGGGCTAGAGAAATGAACAGACATGGTTCTTGCTCTGAGAAAAGAAATTATATTATAGTCCATTATTTCCCAAACTGTAGTCATTCAAATGTCCCATCATATTTTTGTTATATCTTTGTGCTCCCTGTATTATCATATAGTGTTTTTTAAAATTATGTACACTTTTAAGTCTTAATAAACTTATTTGAAAAGACATTATTTTTGGTCTCAATGAAAAGCCAGTCTCATTTGCCACAAATAGAAGGTAATTGTTAAACCCAATACAATTAAAACAGTATATATAACTAAATTCAACCCAGCTACTTTATTTGCTGAAGGCTCCAAGCCTAGATTTGCTGTCTGTTTGATAAAAAAGGAGATTATTAAATACGAAAGAGTTGTTAAGGACATACTAGCACAAAACTTAGCCCTTCTCCAGTCATTAGAAGGACTCAAGGGAAGGCAAAGGAGAATGTTTTCCACTTATCCTTAACTGTTATGAAGTGCACCATATAGTACAACGTAAAAGCAACTCTCATCTCTTTAGCGATGCACATCCCGTGTTTAAAGAAATACATATTCAGTAGGAAGACAGCCATACAAACAAGTACAATATACGTGGCAACGATGAGAAACAGATTCTAGCTACAGCATAGATTGTGAAGAGCCTTGAAGACCATAATAAATCAGCTCATCTTTCATTAAAAAAATTAAGTTTAGAAATCAAGAGATGACTTGAGGATGAGTGTTCAGGGAATTGTGTTATTGTTGAGTTAGAAACTAAATCTGCAAGAGTCAGACTCCATAGAAAGTATGCCACATGGTGATGGATTATCCATTCAGCTGCACCACAGATGGCCATAGAAGGCTCCACCACCAGAATGGGGTTAGTATCATTCTCTTACACTGAGGCTTGTTTGGGACATGAACTTCACCTGCTCTTTTTTTTTAAAAACATTAACTTTCCATTCTGTGCTAGAGAAAAGTAATGTGAAGGCAGAGATGCCAGTTAAGAGAGGAAGTTACCCAGGTTGGAACCTATAAAGCCTAAAATAAGTTAGTAGAAGTTGGAATGGGAAGATAGAGTTGGAGATAAAAAGCATTTGACTGTAGTATCTGTAGGGCTTAGTGATAGATGATGGATTAGGGCAAATACGTGAAAGGAGGAATGATCCTAAGATGATAAAGTAGTTTGCTGATATTTAAGAGTATGTGGAATGTGAATTACAATTTAAGAGACTTGTGTTGTCAAACTTCGTGAACTATTTTAGCTGGAAAGAGGCTTTTCTGGCTTATTTTCTGCTTCTTACCCTTGAAGCTGCAGACAAACGAAATTGCCAAATATAAAACTTTCTTATTTATAAGGCGTGTCTGAACTATGAATTAAATATTAGAACATAAATAAAATTACTTTTTATTTAAATTTTAGATTTCTAATAAAGGCTTAGCCTGAAATTTGGCATGAGAAGGCTCCATTAAGTGGTAAACCCCATGAAGACTGCAATAATATCTGTTGTTCAATAAATAGCTATTTAATAAATGAAAATATTCTAAATCTTGCTATGTCAGTTTTTTACTTGATCAAATTGTTTTATTTGTTTCATTAAAAGTATTCATTGTGAACTACTTTCTGCCAGGCAACATGCTTTATAATCAAACAAAAACATTGTCAGTTTTCACAGATCCTTCTAGAGGATGAGATAAAGTATAATAAAACAACCACACAAATAATTTTTAAATAGCAAATGTAATTGCATGCTACTAAGGCAGCTATGAGTTGTTAGGAGAACATGAATACATTCATTTACTAATTCAATAGTTATTGGTTGAACCCTAATGTGTAATAGGCACTAGCGATATATATATAAGGTTAGTGCAAAAATAACTGCAGTGTTTGCAATATAAAATAATGGCCAAAATCGCAATTACTTTTGCACCAATCTAATACACACACACACACTCACACACACACACACACACACACACACACACATATATATATATGTTAGCTCATGCAAAGGTGATATATTAGCTTTTGGTAAATAGGAAAAGGGATAGGAGTGCAAAGGAGGTCATGATTTTAGACAAAGTAGCCTGGAAAGGAAGAATTCAGTGGGAAGGTAACTTTAAGTAGGTGAAAAAAGCCATCTATTTAGGCTTTCTCTCTCCTGCATCTCAATGCATAACACTTTAAGAAACCAGGGTTGTTGCGATGATCAAATGAGATAACATAAGAGAAACCATCTAAACTAGGACCTGGAGTCAGTTCCCAACTGAATGAATCTATTCCCTGGATTCAGAAGAGGTGCTGAAATGTGGTCCTCATATGCCTACATATTCTCTTCCTTGTTCCACCCAACTTCTAAAACAAATAAATCAGCCTCCCCAACTCATTCTTAATGTGATAAGTTGTATTTGCTTGGAACTACTACTTTTGTACCTAGGCTTGCTCCTGTTCATTCAACTCTTTTACCTCTGCAGTGCTGCAGAAGCCAGACTTGCAATATACTCTTGTTTTTTCTATGCATTGCTTGAGGCCTATAGAAAGGTAAGACAAATAACATTCAGTGGCAGTTCTAGGTCAGAATGCAAAACACCCTGGACAAATTTCCTTGTGTGGGTTACAGTGTCTGTAGCTAGTCGTAGCAGATTGGATAGCGCTCAGTTTGTGGGGCAACTTTGGTAAGATGCATACCCTTTTTAAACCTGTCTTCTCAGCCGCAAAACAAGAAGAAAGCTAACCTTTTCTGACCCCTTCAAAACATAAAGAGAGGGAAATAAGTTAATGTTTGGAAAGGCCTGTGTGACCCTTGAAGCCAAGACATTATCAAAGTACAAAGTAAATTACAAGAACTGTTTGCTATCCCATTAGTAACTCAAATAGTACAAGGGGCTCCACCTGTCAAATCCTAGTTAGGCTTGTAGTGCACACTTGCTTTGCTCATGAGGATAAAAATGGAAATAAAAGAGTTGGAAACTCTCATTGGGCTCATTTTTAGAAAGTTTTGCAGTAGAAATCCTTATAGGCACAGACAGGTTCTCTTTCATAGGTGCATTTAGCCCCAGTCCCTTCACTGAGCCTTGGAGCCTGGAAATAAGGTAAGGATTGGAGCTTGGAACCCAGAGACAAGATGTGAGGACTTTTGTGACTGTAGTCTAGTTTCTTAGAATCACCGGTTCTCTATCTCTGGACGTGTAAAATGAGAATCATCATCACCAACATCATAATTACTTTTTGGTTATGATGTCTCTTTAACATAATTAAATAGCTAAAATATATGGACTGTTAACTCTTACCATGTTAATCACTCTATTATACTATCTCCTTAAATCCCCACAAAACTTTATGAGATGTGGCTTATTATTATCCTTAATTTTCACACAAAAAAATGAGGCAGTGAAAGGTTGAATAAATTACCCCCATTAACAGCTCTCAAAAGCAGGGAGCATGAGATTCCTTTCCCCACAAATCTGCTGAGCTGACTGAAAAATGAAGCCCTACCTCTCTGAGTTCCATTTGCCTTTATATACACTAGAACTGGCATGGAGTGGTCAGTACTCCCCAGTGTTATCCATCTGTGGAGCAGAAATGCTTTTTGATTTGTAAAGCATTATTAAAATGATCCTATTCAGATTAATAGTCACATATCCACAGGACAAATGTGTCCATCAAACCTTCCTGCAGGACAGCAAGCACTGAGGTATTTGTTGCATCTGCCTGTCTAGCACTGGATGGATGCAAAAATAAATTCATTCTAGCTAAGATGAGAAGAGTGAGGGCTGGTGCATGGCTGTACTGAGTCAATACTTCAATTTCCCAAAGGTGTATTTAGTCTCTTTTCAACCTGTTTTCCTACAGTGTTAAACCAAATTGTAACTATTAGAATCTGCAATTTATTCCCTAGTATAATCGCATACTTATAAGGGATAGATATTTGGGATGGGGGTGTGAGAGAGGGAGGGCTGGCAAAAAGCAAATAGAAGTACAAAACATTTGGCTCCTGATAGAACATTTTTAGCAGCCTTCAAACGTCTTTTATACACTAAGCTTCATTCAGATGAGAATTGGATCTCACCCCAAATTAGACAGCAATGTTGTGAATTAGGTGGAATGGAGAGCTAATATTTCTTCCATTCCTAGTTGCTTGGAAGAAAAGACAAAATTTGACTGCATGTTTATGAGGCAGAGAGAGAGGCCAGTATTTGAGGACTGATATTTAAATGAACAACTTGATTTTTGCCAAACTTTGATATTTAATCTTTTGGGGATAGGAGAGAAAAGGGAAAAAAATGTTGACTCATCTAGTATTTGCTAATGTCTCAAAGGACTGTGGTGGGTAGGAACAGGACAAGAGGACTGACAAAGTGGGAACTAACCATCCAGATCATTAGAAGTCGTAGATACACTAAGGATCCTGTTGGTCTTTTAATTCCAATGCATCTTCTGCAACGATATTCAAACTATGCCTAGGGTAAAGAAAGTGGATTCTAAAACAACCAAAGTAACATTCAGTTCATTGCAGAAACCTCTCAAATATATAAAATTGGGTATCACAAGATTGAAAGCGACAAAGAGATGTCTTTTTTTTTTCATATCAAGAGGTGATTAAACACCATTGTTAAGTGATCTCCCAGCCTCAAAACTTAGACATTCTACTTTTACCTTTCACAAAGTGGTATCATATGAGCATTAAGCTCACACCAATTCAGCAACACTCAATCTCAACCAGGACAAAACAATAAATTGTTCAGGTTATTTCTCCCATCACTCTACTAATTTCTACTTCAGCAATGTGCTGAATAGGGTGTCAAGTGCAGAAAGAGGGACATATCATTTTCTGGAATTATAAAAAAGTAAAAACCTCCAGGGATGTTGAACCTACTCTCCTGGAAGGATATATGTCAGTCTACAAAGTGGCCTTGCACACTTTTGTAATCCATTTTCAAGATAATTTTAATTGTACATTAAAAGAAATATCCCACACTGACTTTAGAACTTTGTCCTTCAGGAAGATACAATCCTACCATACTGCAATCAAACTGATATTCCAAAACATGACAGACCATGTATCACCCTAAACAATGCTTTCACATTCAATCATTCCACAAATATTTAATAGGCACCTACTATTTTGTTACAGGTATTGGAAATACAGTGTTACACAAAACAGAAAATATTTCTTCTGGTGAGCTTTTATCCCAGCAGAGAAAAGCAGAAGGTAAACAAATAAACACATACTAAGCAAGATGATCCCAGGTAATAGAAAACATTAAGGAGAAAACAAAACAGAGTGATGGAGAAATTGGTTAGTCAATTTAAGATGGAGCTGCAGGAAGCATTCCTTCTAAGAAGGGAATATTTATGCCAAGACATGATTGGCAATTGGTGGGAAGGAGTCAGCACAAGAGCCTCTGGGATGGGGGAATCAGAGACATAAATTACTGCAAAGTCCTTGAGACAGGAAGGAACTTGGCTTATTTGGGCAGCAGACAGAATATCAGCAAAGCTGTATCTTCAGAAACATTAGCTACTAGTAAGCTCTTTTTCAGCATAAAAAACACTACTTGATCTGATACCACGTGACTTTCCAATTTCACCACTCCACACTCTTTCTCTTTCACTCTCTCTAGTTTTGCTGAACTATTCGGAGACTTCTCATGTATGTACCAGGCTGTTCATGTCTCCACTTATCAGTACACACTGTTATCCCTGCCTGAAATGTGCTTTTCTATTTTGTAACCTAGTGAATCCCACTCACTTTTGAAGATAAATCTTCCCTTTCATTCCTGTAGAATCACAGAGAGAAAATGATTAACTGCCCAAATTATCCAAATTTCTATCACCATCAAAGGGCTTTGCTGCTTCTTTTAGAGCCTATATTCTAATTGAGTATTCCTTTTTAATGCTCTTCTTTGACTTATCATAGAATTTAGCATAACTTTTTAGGTTGTAGACTCCAGAAAAAGCACACCTTTCTTATATCTAACACAAAAATATACGTCAGCAGTCAGTACATTAATCAATTATTTCCCCTTCCCTTCCCTTCCTTCCTTCCTTCTTTCCTTCCCTCCTTTCTTCCTTCTTCTCCTTTAGTTCATTTAACTAAATTTCTAATTCATTTAACTAAACTTAGGTATAATATTTGCTGCTTCCCTTCTCCTCATCCCTTGCAGCCATGTTATTAGGCTCTGACTTGACAACACATGCTTCATCTACTCACCTTCACAAAGTCATGTTGTTACCATCCTCTCTCTTCATTAAATATGATCCTGGTGGTCTTGTGTTCTTTCTTCCCTTCCTATGCACCAAAGGCCTTTACTTTGTTAACCTCTAAAAGGGACTATTCCAGATCAGTCTGCTTCATGCAGCAACCCTCTCTGCGCTTTCTGTCATGTCACCACTTATTTCCTTCACAAGACTTATCAAAATATTTTGTTTTCTAGTTTATAGTTCACCTTTTACTTTAACATAAATTCATTGAGGACTGAAACCTTGGATGCTTTGTACATCATTGTATCCTAGTACTCAGCACAGCATTTGGCACATAGCAGATGTTCAGTATGTACCAAATGAGTAAGTGAGTGAATGAATAAATGAACACGTACTTGAACACATGTATCATGCCAAGCTCTGTGTTAGGTAATGGAAATTTTTTTTTTTCAAAACCATGTTCAAATATATATATATATTTATTTAAATTTAATTTTTTAAAATTATTACTTCTTTTTTGATAGAGACTGGGGTCTCACTATGTTGCCCAGTCAGGCCTTAAATTCTTGGCCTCAAGTGATCCTCCCATCTTGGCTTCCCAAAGTGCTGGGATTACAGGTTTGAGACACTGTGCTCCACCGATTTTTTGAAAAATTAAATCATGGCCTTTGCCTTTGAGTCCCTTTTTCCTTCCTTGTAAGTCTAGCCTTTCTTTCTTCTGTTCTCACACTTAAGAAAAATATTGATTAGTACATGGAGTTAGAACCTCATGATAATGCCCTAGAAGAAAGATCATCGGTTTCATTTGGATTAAAAAAAAAAGTTAACTATGTCCTTAAAAGAGTCTCTAACCTTCGGTAGTCATTTTGTATTCTCTTGAATTTGATAATAAGATGGTGTGAATAGGTTAGATCAAGTATATCCCCTAATTAGCACTCATCACAGGGTACTGTGGTTAATGATTTATATACCTTCCTTACCAGACTCTGAGATATTCAGTGGAAAGCACTGCATCTTGTTTATTTTTGTTTCCAGTCTTCATTTAGTATCACAATAGGCATACTAATTTTTTTCTAAGACAACAACCTAGGCATAAACTTAATTGTTTTTCAGAGCATGTATAAAGCTTTAGAGATTATGTTAGCTATCTTCTAACTTTTCAGATTTGAAAAATGATGGGAAGCATTGTGTTCAAAATAAATGACAAAGATAAAACTGTGACTTGGGTCTACGATTCCATGACTTGAGTACTTCTTCGTTGTTCAAAGTCACATCTTTATCTGAGAGGAAAAAAAAAAACCACCACTCTTGGGAATCATGCTGCTTAATGGAAACTTTGCTCTCTTGGGACAAGGCAGCAAACAATAAATTAAAAATAAATGCTGAGCTGGCAGGAAGATGATGTTTTATCCAAAGATTGCACAGGCATATGCCCATAGGACAGCAAAGAAATTCTGTATTCTCTGAGTTCATGATTAGCAACAAAGAGCTGTAAATTGTCACTAAATTCACCTGTTAGGTGATGCTGGAGAAAAACATTCCCTTCTGAAGACTGCTTTACTTTCAGTCACAATAAAGAATTAGACCTGAGAGCAACTTGGAGGCACACAACAGCCACTCTTTTTGCATCCTTACATCCATAGGATTAACAATTTTCAAATAATTAGCATGATGGTTAATTTTGTGTTTAGTTGACTAGGCTACAGAGTGCCCAGATAGCTAGCTAGACATTGTTTCTCGATGTGTCTGTGAGGATGTTCCTGGAAGAAATCACCATTTGAATCCATAGCCTGAGTAAAGAAAATTGCTCTTCCCGATGTGCATGGGCATCATCCAATCTATTGCAGGTCGAATAGAACAAAAGGCAGAGAAAGGGAAACTTCTTTCTCTTTGCCCAACTGAGCAAAGTGAGACATTGGACTTCTCCTGCCCTCTGATCAAGACTTGCGTCAGCTGCACTCTTTGTTCTCAGGCTTTCAGACTTGAACTAGAACTTACCCCATCAGTTTTCCTGGTTCTCAAGAGTGAGTTGTGGACTCCAGAAAAAGATAAATTTTTCTCTTGCCTAACACGAGACATAAGGGTTTCTTGTGTCAACCCTTAATAAATTAATCAATCATTTCTCCTTCCTTCTTTGAAAAGAAACATACCACCAGCTTTCTGAGATCACCAGCTTGCAAAGGGCGCATTGTGGGGGCTTCTCATCCTCCATAATCATGCAAGCCAATTCCTTATAATCTCATTCTCTCTTTCAATACAGTCAGCCCTCCACATATGCAGGTTTTGCATCTGTGGATTTAACCAACTACGATCAAAATCAGTGATTATGGTGGGCCAATAGTACTTATTTATAATCCATGATTGGTTGAATCACAGAATCCTATGAAGGGCCAATTGTGCTATGCTAATTTAGATAAGGGACTTGAGCATCCTGTAATTTTGTTTTTTGTGGGATGTCCTGCAACCAGTTCCCCATGGGTTCAGCGTGCTGAACATATTTATCTCTCTCTCTCTCTATCCATTTATCTATCTATCTATCTATCTATCTCCTATTAGTTCTGTTTTTCTGGAGAACATTGACTAATACATAGCATTTTAAGTTCTTGAATAGTTAGTAAGCCTTATAGGTGACAGATGTTAACTATGTTAACTGGAACACTCAATTTACTGGAATAATTCTATGTTCCAGATTCTTGATAAAATCCTCATTTAATTTCCTTGATTTTCTTAATACATTGGGGAGCAAAGATAATAAGGGAATCCATGAACAGTCAGGATATCAACATTTATTGAGCACTTTTGTTGGAGGTGACAGCTTTCCAAAAACAGTTCAATAGCCATAGTTGTCCTCATTGTTTATGTAGCATCTAATCAGTTTCTTACCCAAACTTTAATGTCAGTTCCCTCTTGGTCTTATTAGATTACTTTAGTGTTTCATCTGTCAGATTTCATCTATATCTAAATAGCCCATATTCTTGACCTTTTATCATCTGCTCTGCTAATGTACTCCTGGGCTATGCATGAAGCCCTTTTGATGGTTTAACTATGTTTTGCAAACAAAGGCCAGACAGCTGGTCTAGGGAGAACTCCCATCTGGCCTAGGCAATTCTTTCTTCTCAAAAACCATTGTGTTAACCCAAACAATGTGAAGTGGAGTCAAAATTTACACATAAACAAAATGTAAAAAATAAAAATTTTTAAAAAGCCACTTGATTTTGAAAAACATTCTCTCTTGTTCTAGGCCCCCATTCCTGCTGATGACAAAAGAAGCTGGGAATTGGTCCTTAACTTTCCATTCTCTTCCAGTTTAAGGCAGTCTCTTTTCTTTTATCTTGCCTTACTTTTACTTGTACAAATAATCTGTAGATTTAAAGTTCAAATTTCCTATTAAGGATATTTGTTTCTTCTGTTAAGAAATCTCTCCTCTTTGCTTTCTATCCAGACTGGTATCTGAGCAGAGGAAGAAGCTTCTATACTTTGGTGCTGCCCTTTGTTTGGGATGCCTTTTCTCCTTAGTATTTGGACAGGGATTCCTCTGAGGAATTATTTATTACTGAGGTAAAGTTACTTTGGCACAGGTGATGCTCTGTTACCTCTTCTGGATAGCTAGTTTCCACAGGAATTCACCCTGGCTCTAGCTGCACATCTCATTTACTCCCGAAATTGGGAACACTATTATGCATCCTCAAAGGCTTTGCCCCTCCCATTCACAAATTCAGTCTCCAGCACTCCCTGCCCACAGTCTTCTAAATCTCCTGAGGTACTCAGGAATTTCCTGCTCACAAAAGGTAGGAAAGTAGAAGTGTACTCTTAGCATCCTTGCTCTGACCAAAGTTTTCATGCTACTGTCATAGTTGGCTTTACTCACTCCATGTTAGAAGACAGTTTCACCTCAACCGGAAATGAAACAAGTGCTCCAATTGCCTTTGGCTCCCCATATGACCCATCTGTGGTTTCTATCTCCAGGGTACCCCCCAAATTCACCCCATGGTTGAGATCTGTAAAAGGTGGTAGAAACTGCAAATCCCTGCAAAACCAAAGTAGGGTTCCTTCTCTACCTTTAA
This sequence comes from Homo sapiens, assembly GCF_000001405.40. Lineage (NCBI taxonomy): Eukaryota > Metazoa > Chordata > Mammalia > Primates > Hominidae > Homo > Homo sapiens. The sequence continues at coordinate 128,610,266 of NC_000008.11, forward strand.
TTCCTTCAAAATCTTTCCAACCACTATTTCATCCTTGAAGTAGAAAAGTTCTCTATCTCCTTTTGAAATAGGGAGAAGCATTCTTGGCCATATGTGGAGTTCTCTGTATCCATAGCTCATAATAATACTCCATATTCAAACCTTCAAGATTTTCTCTTACTATACAAGGAGAGATTTTTGAATTTAGAAATCCCCTTTTCTCTCTCACACACACACATGAAATTCTTCTTGTAAGACTTGTGACTTCCTTTGGGCTTTGCCTCCTATTTTGGAAGATAAAAGTTGAATATTGATTATTTTTCCTTTCTTTTCTCTAATCCTAATCTTTCTGGAAACAAATGGATGCTTTCACTTGTACAGAGAGGAAGGAAACATCAGGAGGAGAAAACTTCCAACAATATTTTAAAATATTATGTTACAATGGTAAAAATCCTTTATAAGCTCCCCAAAGGAAGAGTGAACGGTATACATTTTGTAATTTATCCATTTCATTTGGCCATATCAATTATACCACAAAGCCTTTACCGTGATGAATTTTCTCTATAAATTTGAACTGAATGCAATTCAAATCAGTTCAATATAGTTGCAATCAACAGATATTACTGAGTACCTGTTAATGTGCCAGGCACTGTGCTAAGTTGTAGGAATACTGATTAAGGAGGTACCTTTATCGTCTTTGAGGAGTGCATATCCCATGAAAAAACCAGGCTTATAAGTAAATAAATTAAAGTAAATTTAAAAATCAATGTAATTATTTCAAAGACTATGGGAATAGCCATAAGAGAAATCTTTGACAATCTGTAAGAAAATATACTATTGTGATTCAGAGAATGGAAAATCTAAGGGACTTGAGGATAACTCATGAAATGAGGTGATGTCTTAGTTGGATTATAAAGGATGACTCATTAAATGGGGAGCCATTCCAGGCAGAGGGATTATACGTGAAAAAGGACCAATGCATACCTTGGATAAAGAGACATTTGACTTCACTCACTATATGTACTCACAGAAGCCAAACATTTTTAATGCACTGATTAAATATTGTGTGCTGACAATCTAAAGGGCACAAAACCCAGTCTTCTTTGAGAACACCCAGTCTGGGCATAAGAAAAGGGAGACACACTAAGTTAATAATTAAAATTAAGGTAACCAGAGGGTGTATGGGACATAAAGGAAGAGAGTCTGGGTTGTGTACTGCACTGCACTTTCTAGATAGACTGCAAGAATGTTCACACCTTTTCTGGATGGCTGGTCATACTACTTAGAAGGCTGTTTGGGATAAAATGACCTTATTAGGAGGGAGTGGTACTTAAGAGAGAAGATTTTAGACAGAGACACTTAAAAAGATTTAGTAGCACAATTGGAGTGGGGAGGGAGTTGACACAGCCCCCATCTGGCCAGCTTTTCTGATATCCTGATTTGTATAAGCAATCATTTCTCCTTATCATTTAGGGATGTGCTGGATGAAATTTTTCTTTAAGAGCAAAGACAACTCAGAAAGATGAATGTGTGTTGCTGAGCTAATCAACACACAGAATTAATCAACCTGAGGGAGAAGAATCATTTATGGACCTCTCATTTATTAGGAAGCCACTAATTTGGCTTCTGTGATCACTTAGATTTTTATATCTTCTTTCATGCGCATCCGTGTGAAGAGACCACCAAACAGGCTTTGTGTGAGCAACATGGCTATTTATTTCACCTGGGTGCAGGAGGGCTGAGTCCGAAAAGAGAGTCAGTGAAGGGAAATAGGGATGGGGCCATTTTATAGGATTTGGGTAGGTAAAGGAAAATTACGGTCAAAGGGGGTTTGTTCTCTGGCGGGCAGGAGTGGGGGTCGCAAGGTGCTTAGTGGGGGTGTTTTCTGGGCCAGGATGAGCCAGGAAAAGGACTTTCACAAGGTAATGTCATCACTTAAGGCAAGGACCGGCCATTTACACTTCTTTTGTGGTGGAATGTCATCAGTTAAGGTGGGACAGGGCATATTCACTTCTTTTGTGATTATTCAGTTACTTCAGGCCATCTGGGCGTTTACGTGCAAGTCACAGGGGATGGGATGGCTTGGTTTGGGCTCAGAGGCCTGACATTCCTGACTTCTTATATTAATAAGAAAAATAAAACAAAATAGTGTTGAAGTGTTGGGGCGGCGAAAATTTTTGGGGGGTGGTATGGAGAGAGAATGGGCCATGTTTCTCAGGCCTGCTTCAAGTGGGATTAGGGGCGGCGTGGGAACCTAGAGTGGGAGACATTAAGCTGAAGGGAGGTCTTGTGGTAAGGGGTGATATTGTGGGGATGTTAGAAGAAATATTTGTCGTATAGAATGATTGGTGATGGCCTGGATATAGTTTTGTATGAATTGAAAAACTAAATGGAATAACAGAAGGAGAAAAACAGGTGTAAAAGGTCTAAGAATTGGGACGACTCAGGATATCTGATTAGAGAGTGCCTAAGGAGATTCAGCATAGTCCTACCAGCAAAGATTATTTATTTACTTCAAGAGTTAAGAGTGGCAGTTTGGGGATAGCACCAGGAGATATCAGCTGTGATGGCTTGGAAAAACAGTGTAAACCGGCAGTGTAAACAAGAGCAGGGCATGTATGAGGAGTTAGGAATGGTGAATAGGAGTATGACTAGACAGAAGATAGTAGGGATGACAAGTTTTTTGGAGCACAGTCTAAGTTGGTCTGGTGTCTGGAATGAGACTGGGGCCTAATAAAAAGGAGCGTCTATACAGGAGCTTAAATGGGCTGTACCCTGTAGCATTCTGAGGACAGGCCTGAATTCTGAGAAGGGGAAGTGGTAAAAGTATTGTCCAGTCCTTTTTAAGTTGGTGGCTGAGCTTGGTGAGGTGTATTTTAAGACCTTTAGTCCATTCTACTTTTCTTGAAGACGGAGGACCGTAAGGGCTATAAAGGTTTCACTGAAGAGTGAGAGCCTGAAAAACTGCTTGGCTGATTTGACTAATAAAGGCTCATCTGTTATCACACTGTATTGAGGTGGGAAGGCTAAACTGAGGAATTATGTCTGACAGAAGGGAAGAAATGACTGTGGTGGCCTTCTCAGACCCTGTAGGAAAGGCCTCTACCTATCCAGTGAAAGTATCTACCTAGACTAAGAGGTATTTTAGTTATCTGACTCAGGGCATGTTGAGTAAAGCTAATTTGCCAGTCCTGGGTGGGGCAAATCCTCAAGCTTGATGTGTAGGGAAGGGAGGGGGCCTGAATAATCCCTGAGGAGTAGTAGAATAGCAGATGGAACACTGAGAAGTTATTTCCTTGAGGATAGATTTCCACGATGGAAAGGAAATGAGAAGTTCTAAGAGGCAGGATAGTGGCTTGTACTATAGCATAGCCTGCCTTTGCTGGTGTGTGGCGATTAGGCCTGGTGGAACCGCCATCAATAAATCAAGCGTGATCAGGGTGAGGAACAGGAAAGAAGGAAATTTGGGGAAATGGGGTGAATGTCAGGTGGATCAGAAAGATACAGTTATGGGGGTCAGGTGTGGTATCAGGAATAATATGGGAGGCCGGATTGAAGTCTGGCCCGGGAACAACGGTAATTGTGGGAGACTCAACAAAGAGTGAGTACAGCTGAAGGAGCCGGGAAGCAAAAAGTATATGGGTCAGCTATGAGGAAGAAAATAGATTTTGGAAGTTATGAGAACCGTACAGAGTGAGTTGAACATAGTTTCTGATTTTGAGGGCCTCTAAAAGTATTAAAGCAGCGGTAGCCGCTGCACGCAGACATGAGGGCTAGGCTAAAACAGTAAGGTCAAGTTGTTTGGACAGAAAGGCTACAGGGTGTGGTCCTGGCTCTTGTGTAAGAATTCTGACCGCGCTAACCATGCCTAGGAAGGAAAGGAGTTGTTGTTTTGTAGAAGGTGCTGGGGTTTGAGAGATCAGTCAGACAGGCTTGGCAGGGAGAGCACGTGTGTTTTTATGAGAATTATGCCGAGATAGGTAACAGATGAGGAAGAAATTTGGGCTTGATTGAAGGAATGGGGGCTGTCTGTGAAGCTTTGCGGCAGTACAGCCTAGGTAATTTGCTGAGCTTGATGGGTGTCAGGGTCAGTCCAAGTGAATGCGAAGAGAGGCTGGGATGAAGGGTGCAAAGGAATAGTAAAGAAAGCTTGTTTGAGATCTAGAACAGAATAATGGGTTGTAGAGGCAGGTATTGAGGATAGAAGAGTATATGGGTTTGGCACCATGGGGTGGATAGGCAAAACAATTTGGTTGATAAGGCGCAGATCCTGAACTAACTTGTAAGGCTTGTCTGGTTTTAGGACAGGTAAAATGGGGGAATGGTAAGGAGAGTTTATAGGCTTTAAAAGGCCATGCTGTAGCAGGCGAGTGATAGCAGGCATTAATCCTTTCAAAGCTTGCTGTGGGATGGGATATTGGCGTTGAGCTGGGTAAGGGTGATTAGGTTTTAATGAGATGGTAAGGGGTGTGTGATTGGTCGCCAAGGAGGGAGTAGAGGTATCTTATACTTGTGGGTTAAGGTGGGGGAATACAAGAGGAGGACGCAAAGGAGGCTTTGGATTGGGAAGAAGGGCATCAATGAGACGTGGCTATAGTCTAGGAATAGTCAGGGAAGCAGATAATTTGGTTAAAATATCTCAGCCTAATAAGGGAACTGGGCAGGTGGAGATAACTAAAAAAGAGTGCATAAAAGAGTGTTGTCTAAGTTGGCACTAGAGTTGGGGAGTTTTAAGAGGTTTAGAAGCCTGGCCGTCAATACCCATAGCAGTTATGGAGGCAAGGGAAACAGGCCCTTGAAAAGAAGGTAATGTGGAGTGGGTAGCCTCCGTATTGATTAAGAAGGGGATGGACTTACCCTCCACCATGAGAGTTACCTAAAGCTCGGCGTCCGTGATGGTCTACGGGGCTTCCGAGGCGATCAGGCAGCGTCAGTCTTCAGCCGGTAAGCCAAGAAGGAGTCAATCAGAGATCCTTGGGCCAGAGTTCCAGGGGCTCTGGGAGTGGCTGCCAGGTAAGTTGAACAGTCCGATTTTCAGTGGGGTCCCGCACAGATGGGACACGGCTTAGGAGGAATCCTGGGCTGCAGGCATTCCTTGGCCTGGTGGCCAGATTTCTGGTACTTGTAGCAAGCTTCTAGGGGAGGAGGTTCTGGAGGAATGCCTGGCCGCTGCAGTTCACGCGTTTGGAAGTTCTTGTGTGCTGGAGATGTGGCTGGGGTTTGTCTCACAGTGGAGGCAAGGAATTGCAACTTTTTTTTATTATTGTACACCTTGAAGGTGAGGTTAGTTAAGTCCTGTTGTGAGGTTTGAGGGCCAGATTCCAATTTTTGGAGTTTTATTTAATGTCGGGAGCAGATTGGGTAATAAAATGTATATTGAGAATAAGATGGCCTTTTGACATTTTAGGGTCTAGGGCTGTAAAGCGTCTCAGTATTGCTGCCAAACGAGCCATGAACTGGGCTGGGTTTTTATATTTGATGAAAAAGAGCCTAAACGCTATCTGATTTGGGATAAAGAAAAAGGAGCATTAACCTTGACTATGCCTCGGGCTCCAGCCACCTTTTTAAGAGTAAATTGCTGGGTAGGTGGGGGAGGGCTAGTCACAGAACGAAACTGTAAGCCAGACCAGGTGTGAGGAGGGGAGGCGATAAAAAGATTACAGGGTGGAGGAGCAGAGGCTGAGGAAGAATTGGGACCTAGCTTGGGCTGGCAAGGAGGGGAGAGGTCAGATGGGTCTGTAGAAAAGGAAGATTAGAAAGACTCAGTGACTCTTGGGGTTGGGACTCAGAGGACAGGCAGGAGGGAAAGAAGGAAGATTTGGGACGAGTTGCACTGGGCACAGAGACTAGGAAGGGACTGATGTATAAAAGAATGCCTGGACGTCAGGCACCTCAGACCATTTGCCCATTTTATGACAAGAATTATTTAGATCTTGTAGGATGGAAAAATTGAAAGTGCCATTTTCCGGCTATTTGGAACTACTGTTGAGTTTGTATTGGGGTCAAATGGCATTGCAGAAGAAAATAAGGCATTTAGGTTTTAGGTCAGGTGTGAGTTGAAGAGGTTTTAAGTTTTTGAGAACACAGGCTAAGGGAGAAGGAGGAATGGAAGGTGGAAGCTTACCCATAGTGAAGGAGGCAAGCCCAAAGAAAAGAGTAGAGACACGGAGAAGGGGTGGGGGGTTCTTGCCCTCCAGAAAAGCAGAGAAGGGGTTGGGAGACAGAAATAAGGGATTGAGGCACAGAGATAAGAGATCAGGGTGCAGAAATAAGGGATTGGGGCACAGAGATAAGAGGTTGGGGTGCAGAAATAAGCGATTGGGGGGTTCTTGCCGCCTAGGAAAGCAGGACTTGCCGCTAAGGGTGAAGGAGAAGGGGTTGAGGGGTACTTGCCCCTCTCCCAGAAAAGCGGGGAAGGGGTAGAGACAAGGAGAGAAGGGGTTGAGGTACTTGCCCCTTCCCCAGAAAAGCGAGACTTGCCGCTAAGGGTGAAGGACCAAGGCAGGCGTCCCTGCATGGTCTGACACCCTTGAAACGTGGGTGTATAATCAGAGAGGTGTCCCTGCAAGGATTAAACACCAAGGGAAGGCTGCCTTCCCAGTCCGTGACCGGTGCCGGAGTTTTGGGTCCATGGATAAAACGTGTCTCTTTTGTCTCTACCAGAAAATGAAAGGAATTGAAATTAAGAGAAAGGAGAGATTGAAGTGTAGCGCCAAGATTGAAAGGAGAAAGATGTTGAGGGAATAGTGAGGGAAGTTGGAGAAGAGAGTAAAAAGAGGCCGCTTACCGGATTTGAAATCGGTGAGATGTTTCTTGGGCTGGTCGATCTGAGGACCTGAGGTCGTAGGTGGATCCTTCTCAGGGAGCAAAGAGCAGGAGGAAGGGGGATTGATCTCCCAAGGGATGTCCTCCGATCCGAGCCACGGCACCAAATTTCATACGCGTCCATGTGAAGAGACCACCAAACAGGCTCTGTATGAGCAACATGGTTGTTTATTTCACCTGGGTGCAGGCGGGCTGAGTCCGAAAAGAGAGTCAGTGAAGGGAAATAGGGGTGGGGCCGTTTTATAGGATTTGGGTAGGTAAAGGAAAATTACAGTCAAAGGGGGTTTGTTCTCTGGCGGGCAGGAGTGGGGGTCGCAAGGTGCTTAGTGGGGGTGCTTTTTGAGCCAGGATGAGCCAGGAAAAGGACTTTCACAAGGTAATGTCATCACTTAAGGCAAGGACCGGCCATTTACACTTCCTTTCTGATGGAATGTAATCAGTTAAGGTGGGGCAGGGCATATTCACTTCTTTTGTGATTATTCAGTTACTTCAGGCCATCTGGGCGTTTACGTGCAAGTCACAGGGGATGGGATGGCTTGGCTTGGGCTCAGAGGCCTGACATCTTCACTTTCTATAAAGATAGCATTCACAAATACATACACATAGGCATAAGTGTGGGAAAATATTCAGCCATCCTAAAAAAATTCAGTGTGCATATTAAAATATTGCTTAGTGATAGAATCAGAACTAGATTCTAGACCTCCTATTTCCCAGTCTAGCACTTTTTCTCCTGGTTGATATTTTAAAGTGTTATGAAAAACAAGCAAAAAACTTGAACATTTCCATATAAATCTTGCATAGCAGCTACTTGTGTGTAGAGAAAATAATAGTTATTAACTTTATACAATTTCTATATTACAAGTATTTATCTAAGTGTTTCACATATTATAGAAGGTTATTTAGTCTTCAGAATGATTTCATAATGTAGGAAGTACTATTACCCTTATTTTAAAAATGAAGAAACTGAGGCCGAGAGAAGTTAAGATTCTTGGTTAAAGTCATATGGCTACTAAGAAGTAGTCAAGCCTGAGTTACAAATCCTGGCCATTTACCTTCAACACATTGCACTATACTGCCATTTTAATGCTCTTCTAGCAAGTAAGTTTAAAATTTGGAAATTTGGAGAATAATCCCCAACTAATGATCTGCTATTAGGCAATACCTTGGCTTGTCTATGGGGTGCAGAAGAATTTCAGTCACAAGGCCTCTAGTCTTTGGATGAGAGGAGGCAGACTGGAGTCCTGGAGTTCCTGAAGGAATTATCAAATTCCTCATATTTTCTCTTATATTCCATGTAGCCAAGCAGAGTCTTTTTCCAATCTTGCATTAAAAGTAATGGCAAAAACTGCAATTACTTTTGCATGATCTAATAAACGGAAAGTCATCATGGGTAGAAAGTGGACTCCACACCAGAGTAGCCCCACAGAAGTCTAAGTTGGTAACCTGGGCCCTGGGTGGGTACAGAACTGGGGACAGAAGATATAGTTAGCTCATTAGGACTTTAGGAAGACAAGTTACTTGTGTTGGTTCACTTGAAATCCAGTATGGGTTACAATAAAAAAAGATATGGTGAGTTATCTGAGATAGAGAAATATAATTGAGAGAAGTAAGAAAGTTTACAGGTCTACAATGATAGAAATAGGCTGATTTCATGAAGGAAGATGGTGATGTTGCTACGGGGTTTGAGTTCAAGAGGGAATATTTCAGGCAGAATGGGTTTTACCAAAATCAAGTCAGTATTGTAAAAATTTCAACGGAGGAGGCCTTGGTGTTGGAGCCAGGGGCCTATATGTGAGAGCTGAGTGGAAATGCAGAAGGCTTGGACAAGCTAATTCCTTAGCATTCCTTCACAAATATATTTGTTATATATGTGTTCAAAGTTTATTTTGGGAGACTCAGCCCCGATCTCATATACCCACTCAGCAACACAAATGCCATATTCTTTACCAAATCCATACTCATTATAAGGCAATTTAGGTACTATCTCTTGTGACTTGGTCATGTTATATAGTGAGCTCATATTTCCTCTCACATTCCATGTAGCTTACCAAAGTCTTTTTCCAATCTTGCATAGCTTTCTCAAAGGAGACTTAATAATAAACACAATTTTCTTTATTCGGTGTCATTTCCAATGAGATTGAAAGCCCCCTTGAGAACAGAGCTCCCAGCAAGTGCTCAGCCAGTATTCTGCTAAATGCAGATCTCATAAGAGCAGATTCTAGCTCTGGATGTGCCTAGAAAAATTTATGTAACTTGAACAATTTGTTTCCGTACCATGGGCCTATCTACCTTATCCGTAAAGTGAGGCTACTGAAAGAAGCCAGACATAAAAGAACACACACAGATCATATGACACCATTTCTATAAAGTATTTAGAAAGACAAATCCATATATACAGTATGTAGATTAGGGGTTTCAAGGGGCTGGAGAGACAAATGAGAAGTGATTGTTAATGGGTGCAAGCCTACTTTTTAGGGTGATTAAAAATGTTGTATAGTTAGACAATAGAGATGATTCCACAACTTTGTGAATATACTAAAAGCAATTAGATTTTGTGTAATTAAAATGGTAAATTTTATGGTATGCAAATAAGATTTCAATTAATAAAAAACATATGAAGGCTTTTTCTACTGCTGAAAAGTTTCACAAGTAAGGTTTTTTTTTAAATGAATTCAACCTGTAACATAGTAAGAAATCAAACGCATTTTCATTTGCTATTTTTTTCTTCTCTTCGCTCCCAAGCTATAGACCACAATTATTGATGCTTTATCCAATTGCTCGTTTTCCTAGCAGTGAGAATTTGATAATTATTCACAAATTTGACAGACAGGCAAATTTAGGAAGAGGGGAAGATATTTTCCTGGATTTGAGCCTTAGGAAATGAAAGATGACTATATTTATCTCAGTGGGCTTCCATCCTGTTTCAGTGAGCAGTTTGAGCTTGAATCCAAGTGATTTGGCCATGATACAAATAGCACACATTATATGCAAATTTCCCAAGCATATGAAAACAATCACATTCACAGTTGGAAGAAAGTGAAACAAAATCTATATATAACCATGCAATCACTTATTATGCTAAAAATACCTTCTTTTAAGACATGTCTTTTTTTTTATTATTATTCCCAGTGGTTGAAAATAAATTTGTACTATGCTCTCTGTGGCACTAATAATCTATTGTAGAATTATGGCATGAAGTTTTAAACAGCTTTTTTTCCCTTCTGAGCAATTGTTTCTTGAAAGCAGAGAAACAGTGCCTTTCTCCTGTTTCTAGGCCTTGGAGCAAAAGCTATCATTTTAAACACCTGTTTTGATCTTAAAACGTATAAAATTCCAGCATATGTATGGTGATGCATGACATCTAGCTGTGCAATACTTACTACACTACTGTCTCGACGATACTGCCACTTACGTGATGGAGACTGGGGACCTTTCATTTGCTACTCTTGATCAGCATCTGTAACTGAGATTGCTGCAGCTCAGGGAGAAAGCATCGCGTTCCCCTTAGAGATGCCTCAATGCTCTCCACCACTAATGAGGTTCAGTACTGAAAGAAGAAGGCAGAATGCATACCAGGCTTTTTATCTTTTTAACACTTCCCTTACCCATTTGGCTTTATCTTCCTTCTCTGGTGATGGAAACAATCAAAACAAGTTTATGGCCTATAAAAATGCTTTCCATGCTGTTCCTTTTTTTTTTTTAAATGCTGGTATAGAGGAGATTTTGGAAATGTATACTGTACCATTGTCCCTCTGTATCTGTGGGGAATTAGTTCCAGGACCTACCTTAGATATAAACATCTACAGATGTTCAAGTTTCTAATATAATACAGTGTAGTATTTACATATAACCAATGTATATCATCCTGTATACTTTATCTCTATTTATGGTACCTAATACAATGTAAATGCTATGAAAATAGTTGTTACACTGTATTTTAGGGAATAATGACAAGAAGAACAAATTGACACATGTTCAGTACAGACACAATCTTTTTTCCCAAATATTTTCTATTCCCTGTTGGTTGAATGTGTGGATATGGAACACATGAATGTAAAGAGCCATCTCTATAGGCTTGGAAAAGCATATATTCCTTGCCTTCAGTTGATTTCCTGGGGGCTTGGAGGCCTGTGGGAGTGGGAGCAGTGGGTACCGGCTGGTGGTAGGATCGGGAGTGGTAGGCTGGGGTAACAATGTGTATGAGCATATTAAAGGCCCTAAGGAGCCTACAGAACACTGGCTTTCCACATTTGGAAAACTATCCTGCAGGTTCAAGATCTTAACTGTTATGTTGATATTTAAGGCCTAAGAAAATGCTAAAACTTACGTTTCTTTATCACCTACTCGCATATAAGAAGCATCTTCAGGCATTGTGTTGTTCTCACATGCAATTGAATATTTTCCTTGAAATTTGGAAAAGTTGTGTCTTCCTGTGACTCTTATGGGTAATCTTATCTACTCTTCTGACTTCAGGAACATATATAAAACTGTGTTTTTTGCATAATTCAGGTTTGCCATTCCTACTCACGGCTAACAAACAATCCCTAATCTCAGTGATTTAATACCACAAAAGTTTCTTTCTCAGGTACAATCCACTGTGGGTTAGGTGGCTCTTCTTTGAAAAATAATTTAGGAATTCAGTTCCTTCTATAGTTTGGCTCAATCATATTATGGTCTATAAAACAGCTCTACCAACTTGGGGGTCTTTTACTTCCAACTTCATGGATGGGATGAGAGTATAGACTGAGATACTTGTTGAAGATTTTCAGGACCGCTGCCTAGAAGTAGCTTCCTTCTCTTATCTCCACATTCTATTGGCTATAACTAGATACAAGCTAAGTGCAAGGGAAGGTGGAAATAAGGTTCTCCTGTGTTCAATTGAAAGAGAAATTGTATTGGTGAGCATCAAGTTAGTCTCTGATTTATCCTGTCTGATCATCATGGATCAATTTTATTCTTTCTTCTAAACATGAAATATGTCCTCATCCTCCCCATGGAGAACAATTTGATGTCCTTTCAAAACACCAGCTCTCCAGATAATGTTCAGGCCTCTACACTAGATCCACATGTGTGCCCTTGTTACTGAATGCCAGGGGTTCAGTCTAGGTCCTATTGCTTTCCACACAGAAAGACAATTACTGAGACAATGTGTATTGCTAGGGAAGTAGGCTTTATTACAGGTGATGTCAACCAAAGAGACTGGAGACAAATCTCAAATCCATGTCTCCCCCCAAGTGAAGTTAATAATTTATACAACTGCAAAGGAAAACAGGAGGGGCAAAGAAAAGGAGCTGGTCAACAGGCAGCAGGTGATTGAATAGAGGTCTAGCATCTCATTATAACCACGTGTGGGAAACTGAGAATTAGGGAAGGGTAAGGAAGAGGAGTTGGTCAACAGGCAGCAGGTGCATCTCATTGTACAAATGTAAGTTTCTCAAGCTTCAGTTCTATGGGCTTCTGGCTTATTGAAAAGTTGGGCCAATTTTATTTTTATGGTTTGATAGTTCATGAAGATCGGTATCCATCCCCAATTTCCCTCCTTGGTTACCACCGTCAAATATACAATAGCAGAATAGGGATGGGATAATTGCAATGTGTACTCTCATTTATGAAGGGAAAAAATACAAGACACATAAATCTATATTTATAGTGGATGCTGTGGTGCCCTCCCCAGATCTTCCTTTATGACCAAGGCCCTTAGCCTCCTAGCTGCTGATGGCTCACAGTTGAGCCCCACTCCAGGAACTGCTATCCAAAAATCACTGCCTTGACCAAGAGTATGACCTGCCTTGTGGAAGCTTGCATCCAATGACTAGTGCAGAGTATGAGACATCAACTCTTTGTCTCAATGGGGACAACTTGAAGGGATCTCCTAGCCTCTGATCTCTGGTGGGATTGGCTGAGTTCTTTGTTGCAATTACTTCACTAGTTCAATGTTTCCCTTTGCCTAATCTTATTTTTCTTACTCCTTAGAGGTGTTGTTTTCAATGACATTTCCCAAATAACCTGTGGCACACATATCTCAGGGTCTCTGAATCTGTTTCCTGAGGGACCTGAGCTACAGCACTGGTCATAATTGCTCTGAAATTCCATGGGGCCAATTTTATGAAGTCCCCCTAGTTTGGGTGGGTAAAAATAGTGCCTTTCAGGCTCTGATTTTGCTCTCTGTTGGAGGAAATCCCTTGTCTTTTATAGTTTATGGCCTGTGGCTCTACTCTTGAGGGTCTTCTCTTTGTTCAGTTTCTTTGGGGACTCTAAAGTGAATGCTGGAAAGCATACCATTGTTAGGGGTTTTGAGACTTTCTGCCTGCTTGTGATAGGTCAGGATCCTAAAGGTTACCTCAAGTCTCAAAAAGCCAAAGACGTTTTGAATTAATTTGTGACTTCTTTGTCAATGTAATTCTTTCAACACCTTCATAGCTTCTAATCTCTGTACATTCCAGTCAGTTTCATGTCCAGTAACCACACCCTAGAACCTTTCCTAGACACAGTTCTCTGACCTGCTTTATTTCTTTGCTTTTTCAGAACCCTGCCTCTCTGTCTTAACTAAAGCTACCTTGAGGTTAGAGGGATTGAATGGGATTGATTGAGTCTGAATTTGTCATTGCTCTAGTCACTTCATCCAACTGAAGAGTTTTTCCTAGACTTAGTATTTCAAAGTCATTAAACATCTCATATCTTACTTTTGAAGGTCTAGAATCTAGAATCTTCTCACTTTTTACACCCCTAAAAGGCCTTGAATTTCTCAACTTTCTTTATTCTTTTTCATTTCTGCCTGCAAAGTATCTAATTATTCCTTGAGGTCATAACTTAAAATATCTTACCAGACCACCCATTGGTAGCCAACATATCCTACCAAGATTCTGCTTTCCAAGCTTTTCTGCTGGAGCTATTGGTTGACTAAGCGTGCTCTCTGTATTGAGAACAACTACAGAAGGGATTCAAATGAAGTGTCTTGCAACTGCATAATCTGGAGACCTATGCTTAGAGCCTGTGTCAGCTTCCATGATGCTCATCTCTGAATGCTTAACCAATGCCATGTCTTTATCTTTGTGTTATGGTAGTCCCCTCTTCAAAGTATCAATTTCTGTATAAGGTTATATAACCAACCACCTGGTAATCTCAGTGACTTAGTAAACAAAATAGTGGAATTCTTCCTCGTGTCATAGTTTGTTGCAGATTTGATTGCTTTCCTAAGAAGTTTTCCTTGAAGAAACACATCCATGATTCTTCCATAGTGTCACTACAACTCTGTACTCTTTTTTTTGTCATGAGAACCTCAAGATGATTTTAAGGTCTGGTCTTTCAAATGGTGCATATCACTCCTGCTCCCATCCCGTTGTCCAGAAGTAGTCATGAGGGTATATTTTATGGCCCATAGGAATCATAAAGAACTCTAGGAAATTTATTCTTCCTCTGTTCTTGGGAAAAGGAAGAGAAATTGAGAGCATCTAGTCACTTGCTGTCATATTCCCAATTTCATGTCTCTGTAATCTAGATTTTTCCCTGAGTTGAAAATATTTATTAAATAATATTTAAGATGTATATGTATTTCAGTTTAAAGGTGATCTTGCACGAATTATATTTTTTGACTCTCAAAACATCCTGTGTGATATGTATTAATATTTTCATCTTCCTTTACAGATGATAACATTGAGGCTTGTGAGTCAAATTCCTTAACAAAGGAATAAATCTTCTACTGTATGACAAGTAGCCTGCTAGGCACTAGTGACAGAAAGGTGGCCCCAAAATAGATACAGACTCTGTTCCCATGCTTATGCTTTAAAGTAAGAAATAGGTATTAACTGAACAAAACATTAATAAATGTGTATTAACAAAGGAGATCAGTGCTCTGTAAGAAAGATACGTAATTGTCCAAAAATGTATTTAAAATTTAGCCTATGCAGTTTCTTTTTGGAGTGATGATTATATTTAAAAATTACCATATGATGATTGTACAACTCTGTAAACATACTAAAAACAAACCATTAGTTGCAGATTTTATATGGCTGAATTTTATAGTATGTACATTATATCTCAATGAAGCTGTTAAAAAGAAAGAAATACATGCAGGGAAAATACAAGACAATTTACCCATGCCAAATTAGTCATATAGACTGTAAGTACTGCAGAAAATCAATATTTAAAATAATTACTATACTTTACTATTAGGTTTTCAGTTTCCCTAGGCTTTTAAAAAATATATCAGAAAATGTTAAAAGATAGTATTTAAAAAGAAAATTCATGACAACCCAGTAACTCTTTATTTTTATATCTTGTCTTTTTCTTGGGGCAAATTATGGTAATCATGATAGAATAGAAGCTACATTTTCCCTAGATAACTTCTTCTGCAGTAGAAACAATAATTGATATAGTGTAATGTCATTTTCATCCATCCAATTAATATATTATGGTTTTGCTTAGCAGTATAAAAGACATTGAAAGTATAAACAAAACCAAACAAATGAAATATAGCCTAAACTGAAGGGCTCAAGGAAAGATACACTGGAGAACTCTAAGCCTGATATCTGAAAGTAACCTGGAGTTAATAAGGGAAGAATAAAAGAATAACATTCTGAACAGAGGGGTAATTAAGGAACCATGAAAGGCTTATGCAGGCAGAGACACTGCATAAGTGGAAATCCAGCAGGAGGGCCCAGGAAGGCCTATATTGTGTATACCTGACAGACAAAGTTAAGATTTTTCATTTTTTTTCCAAAAGAGTTTTCCAACTAAAAAGTTAAAGGTAGAAAGTCAAGGTTAATTTGATGAACAGCTTTTTTGTTTGTTTGTTTGTTTGTTTGTTTTTCCATAGAGTCTATTTCTAGAACTTAAATTACTCATGTACATTCAGCTTTAAGTGGTTGAATTGGAATCTTGAACTCAAGCTACCTGTCTGTGGAGGCCACTAGACAGTACCCAGCATAGTGGGGACAAGCCAAGTCAGCTAGGCTGGCCCTGTAGAAGGCCCTGGTCAGGTCACCAGGAAGCTAAGTACTCCTAGTGATGCAAGAAATATACTCAGAAGTATATAACCCTTGGGCAGGTCAAATTTTCCTATTTTGCAAACAGTATGGATCCTTGAGAGTTGGGGCTGCTTGCACCCAAAGATAAAGAGTGGAAGGTTCTGAGACACACTGACTCAGCATTGACTATTATGCTCTATTATGGACTCAAGTCACACCTCTGAGGAGCCCGGGTGGCATTGGCAGCTGCGTTTTCACCCACTGGTATCTTTGATTTCCTGTGTATTCCTCTCGCTGGTTATTTGCTAGTTCGGTATTAAACTAAAATAAAGGTAAAATTTCAAAATATGCATCTCTATTCCAGCTATCACTGATTTGTTGCCTGTTCAGAATGGCATGGCCATAGTTGTGGTGTTCAGCTAACACTGATTCTGATTAATCATTAATCACTGCCCATGCCAAACCAATCAACTTTCACTGCTGATCCTGGCCAGTCTTCAACTTGGGAACAGCCTTTGTGAATCAGCCTAGCTCAGCCTGGCTGTGAAGTTGGAGCAGAGAATTCTGGCAGAGGGTTCCGACATGGTTGGTAGGATGGATGGAGAAAGTAAAGATGGGTGCAGGGGAAGTAATGGAAATAATGTATTAGGCAAAAGCCCTGCAGACTGTCTCTGAATTGAAATCTTGTACTTAGACATGCAACAGAGGGGGTTTCCCACCTCTGCCCCAAACCTCCTGGGAAATTCTCCAAAGCAGCCCAATCACTTGGTATTTGCTCCATAACCGAGGTCAGAAAGTATAAGGACAATTTTTCTTTCATATGAAGCTCTGTGCATGTGAAAAGTAAATTTACCTTCTACTTCTAAAGATCTGTAGTAGGTACTGCAGTAGGAACATTACAGATGTGGTCATATTTCATCTTCATATGAAAGCTTTGAAAACGTATGATTTTCATTTTCCCCATTTTAAAAATAAGAAATCTGAGTGTCAAAGCAGTTAACTAATAATAAAGATTATGCATGTAGAAAGTGGCAGAGTGAAGGTTCAAACCCAGATCTTTCTAATATCCCCACATGAGCTTCTTACTTAAATATTCAAAACTGATCTCCTTTAAAATATTTTACTAAATGAAAAACCTTGAAAGAAAAGTTTTGTGTGTCTTGCCAAAATTATAGGTCTAATTAAAGTCAGAGTTGGGCTTTAGTAAATATCTGTTCAGTTGTCTCTTCTTACATAGGCCCTTCAAAGTGCTTTGGGACTATGGGAAAGAGATCCAAAGTGAGGTGGCAACTATCTCATTCAAACTGTTAAAGTTTAAGCACAAAGGAGCACTGCTAATTTGTAAGCAAACATCAGAATTTACCAGTTTCAGTGACAGCAAAGTCCTCACCAGAAGTTATCTTGGAGGTGCTGGGTGGCACCAGAGAATAAGCATGGGCTTTGAAATCAAAGGGCCTGTATTAAAACTCAGGCTAGGCCCGGTGGCTCACGCCTGCAATCCCAGCAATTTGGGAGGCCAAGGCGGGTGGATCACGAGGTCAGGAGATTGAGACCATCCTGGTTAACACGGTGAAACCCCACCTCTACTAAAAATAAAAAAAATTAACCGAGCGTGGTGGCACACGCCCTTAGTCCCAGCTGCTCGGGAGACTGAAGCAGGAGAATCGCTTGAACCCAGGAGGCAGAGGTTGCAGTGAGCCTAGATTGGCCCACTGCACTCCAGCCTGGGTGACAGAGCAAGACTGCGTTTCAAAAAAAAAAACACAACTCAGCTCAGGAGTTCGAGACCACCCTGGGCAACATGGTGAAACCCCATCTCTGCGAAAATACAAAAATTAGCTGGGCATGGTGGCGTGTACCTGTAGTCCCAGCTACTTGGGAGACTGAGGCACAAGAATCGCTTGAGCCCCAGAGGCAGAAGTTGCAGTGAGCCGAGACTGTACCACTGCACTCCAGCTTGAGCTACAGAGTGAGACTTCATCTCAAAACAAATAAATCTAAGTCTAGAGAAAGTTTTAAATGCCAAACTAATAAATATATTTTGTAATAATGCCTCTAACAATTTTCTTCTGTCTCTCTCTGTCTTTCTGTCTCTCTTTCTCCCTCTTCCTTCCCCATCCTCCTTCCCTCTTTTCTGTCCTTTATTCTTTCCTTTCTTTCATTCATGAGTATTAAAAGCCCTTTTTCTGCTCCATCTCTAGCCATATACCCCCTGGTGTTTTCTGCTAAAACAGAATTGATTGCCTCCTACCATGATAGTGGTTCTCACTTTTTTTTTTTTTTTAATTGAGACAGAGCCTCACTCTGTTGCCCGGGCTGGAGTGTGGTGGTGCAATCTTGACTCACTGCAACTTCTGCCTCCCGGGTTCAAGCAATTCTCATGCCTCAGCCTCCTGAGTAGCTGGGATTACAAGCATGCACCACCATGCCTGGACTTTTTGTATTTTTAGTAGAGAGGGGGTTTCACCATGTTGGCCAGGCTGGTCTAGAATTCCTGACCTCAAGTGATCTGCTCACCTCAGCTTCCCAAAGTGCTGGGATTAGAGGCATGAGCCATCACACCCGGCCATGGTTCCCACTTCTTTGCCTCCTTGGTTTCCTTTAGCTAAAGTGGTTTTAATTTTGTGTTGCCTTGGTGAGATTTTTAGTCACCAGGATCCTTCAAGATCTAACAGAAGAATCACTTTTACATTGAAATTTTTCCTATGCCCCCTTTTATTCCTCCTTCTCTAAGTTTACTTGATTGCTTCTCTCATTTATCTCTTTGTCCCAATTGTACCCTGTACATATCTCTATGGTTAATGATTCCAGCTTCACCCTATTCTATGCCTACACTTGATATTTCAAATATAATCATGTCTGGCTCATCAATAAAGCGGAACTATCACAAGACACTTTATCAGAAAGGTTGAGACACATCATGGGAGACAATGCATTTTAATAAGAAAGCCAGGGAAAGAATCTTCTGTTAGCCTTTGGAAATAAGAAAACCAGTGTGCTATCTATTTAACACTAGGACTCCCCCAGCTTTGTCCTATATCACTGTCACACCTGTACTTGAGACTGAGTTACAGAAGGAAAGTTAGTTGGGCATAAAACTGAAATAAAACTTTTTGAATATGCACAGAACTGTTTGAGCATCATGAAATTGTAGACAGTCATTCTTTTTAGCCAAAAATTACAATGCACCTGAAAGGCATTGAAGCTTGGTACCCAAGAAAACCAAGGGAAGTAACTGACACAGTTGACAGAAGCTAGTAAAAATGAGCTCTAGAATTTGTTGCAGATTCCACACTCATTCTGTTTCACTTCACTGTCTCTCAGCGACATTTGACTTAACAAATACTATTTTGCAAACTATATTTGTGCCCTTAACGCTATGTAAGATAACAGGTAAATCATGTGGTTCCTATTTTATCTGATATTTGCCATCAGTGAAATGAGAATAACATTTTCCACCTACTTCTTGGTGGCTTGTGGGTAGATTATGACATAATATTTGCAAGAGACCGTGAAGGAAGAGATTAAGGTACCGAGCAATGATGCAGATGAATGCTTTGGGAAGCATTATTGAGCTCTGACTATGTGACAGGTAATTAGATAGGCACTGGAGTAGAAAGACAAAGACATGACAACAAAGTAAGTGCACTTATCAAAATACCACTGTAAAGGCAATGAGACTTTACTGAGATCCTTTATGACTTACGCATGCAGAACTGAGAGTCTCCATATGGTAAGCTGACATGTGAGCTGTTAGGTTGTATGATATGAATAAAAATCCAGGTGAAATTAGAAAACACATACTAAGCTTAATGAGACCACCGAAGTCTGCTAAATGTTCTACTGTTTTCTTGGACCCCCACCAGCCGTCCTTTACTAGTATAAACCTGGATTCTCAGCGTCCTGCCTTGGTAAATATAATCTACAAATTATCCAGGGTATAAAAGGCTGCAAAAGTAAGATAAACTCTCCAAAGTTTTCACATCTCCAGAGTCCTAGTCTTCCCCACCCCTGCCAATTTTTAGTTTCAGTAATATGGAAATGGAAGAGAAAGCCATTCAAGTCAGAGGGAAGAGCAAATGCAATGGCAGAAAAACAATAGCCACGTGAGCTTTGGGAAACTTGGAGTCAATGTCAACTTAGCTTCTTACAAAAGACTCACAGGTAGCATGACTGAAGCAGGCAGGAAGGAAAGTTAGCCCTTGTGAATTGTGAACATAGTGGGAATTGTGGAAAACTGCAAGTAAAAAGCCATCAAAGGGTCCAACTTCTATAAAGCATGGGCCAATTGCTGCCATGTGAAAAAAATAAGTTTATTCTTACTTTAAAAAAAAAGTGGTGAAAGAAACTACCATCAGAGTGAACAGGCAACCTACAGAATGGGAGAAAATTTTTGCAATCTACTCATCTGACAAAGGGCTAATATCCAGAATCTACAAAGAACTTAAACAAATTTACAAGAAAAAATCAAACAACCCCATCAACAAGTGGGCAAAGGTTATGAACAGACACTTCTCAAAAGAAGACATTTATGCAGCCAACAGACACATGAAAAAGTGTTCATCATCACTGGCCATCAGAGAAATGCAAATCAAAACCACAATGAGATACCATCTCACACCAGTTAGAATGGCGATCATTCAAAAGTCAGGAAACAACAGGTGCTGGAGAGGATGTGGAGAAATAGGAACACTTTTACATTGTTGGTGGGACTGTAAACTAGTTCAACCATTGTGGAAGTGAGTGTGGCGATTCCTCAGGGATCTAGAACTAGAAATACCATTTGACCCAGCCATCCCATTACTGGGTATATACCCAAAGGATTATAAATCATGCTGCTATAGACACATGCACTTGTATGTTTATTGTGGCACTCTTCACAAAAGCAAAGACTTGGAACCAAGCCAAATGTCCAATTATGATAAACTGGATTAAGTCTTAATGATAGACTGGATTAAGAAAATGTGGCACATATACACCATGGAATACTATGCAGCCATAAAAAATGATGAGTTCATGTCCTTTGTAGGGACATGGATGAAGCTGGAAACCAACAAGGCACATGTATACATATGTAACAAAACTGAAGGTTGTGCACATGTACCCTAGAACTTAAAGTATAATAAATACATATATAGATAAAAAAAGTGGTGAAACCACATTTTTATGCAAAATCTTCTGATTTTTAAAGGTAGGCTTAGTTTTCTCTTTAAAACACTAAGCAGGACAAACTATGTGTTGCCTTTTCCCTGTCTCTGTCTTAGATTCTAATTTTTCCTATTTATAAAATGGGATTAATAATTCCTGTTTGGCAGTGTCCTTTGGATTACAGTATGTGGGGGGCTAGGATTTGCTGGATGCATGTAACTCTTCTTAAGGACACATGTATTCACTATTGATTACATAATCATAATATGATAAAAGACCTACTCAGGGAATGCCTCACTTTAGAAGTGCTCAATCAGGAACTTGATGCCTGTTTGTGCAGAATATTACAGAGGACATCCATTTTTTGAATTTAGGGTTGGAGTCAATCAAAGATAGATTAGTTTTTTTGCAAGATCATTTTGACTGGTTGTGTCTGTCTAGAGTAGTGAGTTAAGAAATGTTCTGCATCTGTAACTAGGCTCAGTGAAAGGAGAAGTCTCACGATTGATTAATGATGTCTGACAGGGTCTTAGAAAGTGAAAGTGGTCACACACATATGCACATTTGCCATCTCTGAACCAAATGATTTCTAAGTCCACTCCCAGCCCTAAGAGTTTATAAATAAGATTTAATCAAATTTGACCTCCCTTTAATGCCTCACAAATTATTCTGAGGTCTACATTATGAAGATCAGTGTCAATGAAATATTGATTAAGTGAGATTTCTATGTGACAGACTGTTGTATAAACCAGCTTTGTCCTTTTCTTATGTGACATCCACTTTCAGCACTTCACAGAACAGATTTATTAACTGAGTTGTCTAATGTCATTATTTTTTACTATGCTTGATGAAATCCTATATGCTTCATTCTGGTTTAACTTGAAAGACACCTGATTCTGTTCTGTATGCATGATACTAAGGACACACTGATGAATAACAATGGGTGCCTTTATTAAATGTGTTTCCTGATGTTCTCAGTAATATAGACAAAAGAACAATGAGTAAAATGTAAGGTGAGGTGTAGTTTCCACCTCTCATTCTTAAACTTTTCTATGAAAATCGAAGAGATAGATTGCCCCCAAGAAATCTGAAGCCAAAAATCACAATAAGTAGCCACAGAGTAAATATTTAAATATTTAAGAGTAAACATCTTGGGATTCTTGTTCTATATTTTAAGAAAAATTTGTAAATGCTATATAATATGTTTCTTCTAATTCATTGGGCTTTTTAATCTTAAAATCTTCCAGGAAAATTGGTAAATTTTAAAAAATGTGCTAGGCTTCCCATGTGGGTTTCTGGGACCTTTACATGGCCATATATAGATTCAGCTCAAGAAGCAGTGATGACTCCAATAGAGAAGCGTCATAAAATGGTCAAGAAACAAGTAGCTTATTTATTTATTTATTTATTTATTTATTTATTTATTTATTTATTTATTTATTTTGAGATGGAGTCTTGCTCTGTTGCTCAGGCTGGAGTGCAGTGGCATGATCTCCGCTCACTGCAAGCTCTGCCTCCCGGGTTCACGCCATTTTCCTGCCTCAGCCTCCCGAGTAGCTGGGACTACGGGCACACAGCACCATGCCTGGCTACTTTTATGTATTTTTAGTAGAAATGGGGTTTCACCATGTTAACCAGGATGGTCTCGATCTCCTGACCTCGTGATCCGCCCACCTTGGCCTCCCAAAGTGCTATTAATCTTGTTTTTAGATAAGAAATAAGAGAAATTTTCATAGCTGAAATCAGACCTGAGTGGAGGTCAGGAAAGATAATCCATTCAGAGGAAAGAGTTTATATAAAGACATGGAGGTATTAAATAGCACAGTGTCTCCAGGAAACTATAAATAGTTGTCTACTGCTGGATGAAGTTTCCAGATTGAGCATGGCATGAATAAGGTAAGAGAGAAAGGAAGGAGCCAATGTGTACAATAAGCAGGTCTGTTAGAAATATCACATTCTTTCCAAATACGTATTTTTCATTAAATTTTTTTAATTGCTCTCTTTTTGCTTAACTTTCTACTCATAGACCAAAAGGCAGATCAGGTGAAAGCTTTTTTCTCCTTCTTCATTCATAAACTGTACTTCTGAACCACATTATTCATGACAACCCTCTGCTTTGCCTTGGCCACCTATCAAAGGCCTCCTCTCACTGCTGATCAATGGTTCTTCAGGCACTGGAACTGAGCCAAAAAGAAAACAGCCATTGATGAAAGAGCAAAGCAGCAATTCCATGAGACCAAAACGTCCTGACCAGAGTGCAGGCTGGTCACAGCACTGATATATCAAAACACATTGTACTAGTGAGAGCTACTATGCACTGCACGTTTGTCTGTCTGCGGTTCTAGGCACATTACATATTTTCTCTTCTTTGGTTTATATAGCTCTCAAACACCTCTTACAGAAGATATAATAACTCTCATTTTAGAGATAGGGGAATTAAGGCTCATAGGAATTGATTTGCTTTCATACATTTACAACAGTGTAAATGTCAGAGCTGGTGCAGAAGCAAGAGCTCTGAGTTTCCCAGTATATCTTCTTAGTCAATATCTGATATGATTTGGCTGTGCCCTCACCCAAAATCATACTTTGAATTGTAATTGCCACAATCCCGACATGTCAAGGGTGGGAACAGGTGAAAGTAATTGGATCATGGGGGTGGTTTCCCCCATGCTGTTCTCATGATAGTGAGTGAGTCTCATGAGGTCTGATGGTTTTAGAAGTGTCTGGCATTTCCGTTGCTTGCACTCACTCCATCTTGCCACTTTGTGAAGAAGGTACCTGTTTCTCCTCTGCCTCTGCCATGATTGTAGTTTTCCTGAGGCCTCCCCAGCAATGCAGAACTGTGAGTCAATTAAAATTATTTCCTTTATAAATTACCTAGTTTCTGGTATTTCTTCATAGCAGTATGAGAACAAACTAATACAATATCTTAAATGGTACTTCATGCATGTGGTTCCTTTGTCTCTGTAGTGTACTCTGCCTAAAATCCTCATTTACCTCTATTTGTATGACTCTTTTCTTTAAGATCTGAGTTTGGATGTCACCACTGGTAGGCAGCTCTACATATTCTCACAAAGTCTAGGCTAGGTGGTTGTTGTTTGTGGTTCCATATCATCTTGTGCTTCCCTCTTTGCAGCATTTACTGCACTATTTAAATTGTTTTCTCTGAGGTCCTCCAAGGCAGTGATCATGTCCTTTACCTACACATGTCACACAGAATACCTGGCAAAAAACTAGTGCTCAATAACTGTTAATAACCCATCAAGTGTTTTGCCTTTCGGTGGCACTTGAGGCTTTCCAAATGAATTCATATAATCTGGCTCATTTAATGATATGTAAAAACTGGTGTAATCAGTAAAGTGCTATGTCAAGTGAAACATCACAATTAAATATAAGCATATGGATTAGCTAGAAGAGTCTGATTATACAAGATAATGTGCTTTCCTACATTATACCTGTAATACTATACCATATCTATTCCAAATATTACACATGTGTACCATATCACAGTATGGTCATTTTAATAATGATTCTTCCAATCCATGATCATGTATATCAGTCAGTTCTCATGCTGCTAATAAAGACACACTTGAGACTGGGTAATTTATAGAGAAAAAGAGCTTTAATGGACTCACAGTTCCACATGGCTGGGGAGACCTCATAAACATGGCGGAAGGTAAAGGAGGAGTAAAGGCACGTCTTACATGGCATCAGGCAGGAGCACATGTGCAGGGGAACTGCCCTTTATAAAACCATCAGATCTCATGAGACTTACTATAACGAGAACAGCACAGCAAAAACCTGCCCCCATGATTCAATTACCTTGCCCCAGGTCCCTCCCTTGACATGTGGGGATTATGGGAGCTACAATTCAAGGTAAGATTTGGGTAGGCACGCAAACAAACCATATCAGCATAGGATGTTTTTCCATCATCTACAATTTCTTTCATCAGTGTTTTGTAATTCTTATAAAGATCTTTCATCTCCCTGGTTTAATATATTCCTAGACATTTTTATAGCTATTGTAAATGTGATTGCCTTCTTGATTTGGTGCTCAGCTAGAGAATTATTTGTGTATAGAATCACTACTGATTTCAGTACATTAATTTTGTATCCTGAAATGTTATTGAATTCATTTATCAAATATAAGAGGTTTGTGGTGGCATCATTAGAGCTTTCTAGACGTAAGATTATATCATTGGCCAACAGGCATAATTTGACTTTCTCTTCTCCAATCTGGATGCCTTTAATTTTTATTTTCACTTGCCTGATTGCTCTGATAAGGACTTCTAGTACTATGTTGAATAAGAGTGGTGAAAGTGGTCATCCTTGCCTTGTTCCAGTTCTTAGAGGGAACGCTTTCAACTTTTCTCTGTTAACTATAATGTTGGCTGTGGGTTTGTCATATTTGTCATATATGGCCTTTATTATGTTGAGGTATGTTCCTTCTATTCATAGTTGAGAATTTTCCATCATAAAATATGCTGAATTCTGTCAGTTACTTTTTCTGCATCTATTGAGGTGATAATATAGTTTTTGTCCTTAATTCTGTTTATGTGATATATCACATTTATTGATTTATATATGTTGACTCATCCTCACCTCCCTGGGATAAATTCAGCCTCACCATAATGTATTTATTATTTTTCAATTTCAATGCACTGTTACATTTAATTTGCTAGTTTTTTTTTTTTTTTTTCTTTGAGACAGGGTCTGTCTCTGTCACCCAGGCTGAAGTGCGGTGGCATGGTCATGTCTCACTGCATCCCTGAACTCCTGGGCTCAATTTATCTTCCCATTTCAGCCTTCCAAGTAGCTAGGACTATATGCATGTTCCAGCATGCCTGACTAATTTATTTTCTTTATTTTAATTTTTTGTAGAGATGGGGTCCTGCTATACTGCCCAGGCTGGTCTCAAACTTCTAGCTTTAAATGTTCCTCTAGCCTAAGCCTCCCAAAGTACTGGGGTTATAGGTCTGAGCCACCACACCCAGCCATTGATTTGCTAATATTCTGTTGAGGATATTTGTGTCTATTTTCATCATGGATATTTGGCCTTGTAGAATGAGTTAGGAAAATTTCTCTCCTCCTCAACTTGTTGGAATAGTTTCAGGATGATGGGTATTAGCCCTTCTTTGTATTTGTGGTAGAATCCATCTTGTCCTGGGCTTTTTTTTTCTGATTAATTCTTGCTACTCATCATTAGCCTGTTCAGGAGTTGTCTTTCTTCCTGGTTCAATCTCAGCAGATTGCATGTTTCCAGGAATTTATCTATTTTTCTCTAGGTTTTCTGATTTGTGAGCATATAGTTGTTCATAATAGTTTCTGATGATCTTTTATATTTCTGTGGTATCATTTGTAATGTTTCTGTTTTTCATTTCTGATCATAGTTGAGTCTTCTCTTTAGTTTAGTTAGTGGTTTATCAATTTGTTTACCTTTTCAAAGAACCAACCTTTTGTTTTGTTGATCTTTAGTAATTTTTTTGGTCTCTATTTTATTCTGCTCTGATCTTTGTTAGTTCTTTTTTCCTAATAACTTTGGCTTTGACTTTTCTGGTTTTTCTAGTTCGTTGAGGTATAACATTAGATAGCTAACTTGTGATATTTCCACTTTTTTGATGTAAGCATTTAATGCTATAAAATTCCCTCTGAACACTGCTTTTGCTGTATCACATAGGTTTTTGTATGTTGTGCATGATTTTCATTTATTTAAAAATTTTTAAAATTTATATCTTAATTTCTTCATTAACTCAATGATTGTTCAGGAACATGCTGTTTAATTTCCATGTATTTGTGTAGTTTCTGAAGTTCTTGGTATTGATTTCTAGTTTTATTCCACTGTAGTCTGAGAAGATACTTGACATAATATAAATTGAAAAAATATGTTGACTTGCTTTATGCCCTAATATGTGGTATGAAAATGGAAAATGTTTCATCTGCTGATTAAAAAAAGTATATTCTGCATTCATTGAGTAGAATGTTCTGTAAATGACCATTAAGTGTACATGGCCTAAAGTCTAATTTAAGTTCTAAGTTTCTTTATTAATTTTCTGTCTCAATCTGTCTACTACTCTGAGTGGGGTGTTGAAGTCTCCCACTATAAATATATTGCTCTCTAATTCTTTCTTTATGTCTGGTAATATTTGTTTTGTAAATTTGGGTGCTCTGATGTTGGGTGCATATATTTAGAATGTTATATCTTCTCACTGAATTGATCCCTTTATCATTATGTAATAATCTTTCTTGTCACTTTTTATTGATTTTGATTTAAAGTCTGCTTTATCTAAAATAAGTGTAGCTAATCCTCATGGCCTTTTGCTTCAAATTGCATGGAATATCTTTTTTAATGTCTTTACTTTCAGTCTATATGTGTCTTTTTGAGTAAGGTGAGTTTCTTGTAGGCAGTATATAGATGCATCATGCTTTTTAAAAATCCATTCTGCCAATTTCTATATTTTAAGTGGTACATTTTAACTCATTTACACTCAAGATTAATACTGAGATGTGAAGCTTTGTTCCTGTCATATTGTTAATTGTTTATAAGTTGTATAATTTTTTTCTTTTTCTTTTTGTCTTTGTGGTTTAATGAAATTCTGTTGTGTTGACATTTGATTCCTGTCTCTTCCTTCTTCATGTGATTGTTTTGTAAGAAGTGTAAGTTTTATATTTCCATGTATTTTTGTGATGGTAACTACAGATCTTTGTTTTTAATGTTTAAGACCTCTTTGAGTATTTCTTGTAGGGCTAGTCTAGTGGTGACAAATTCCCTCAGTGTTTGCTTATTGAGGAAATATCTTATTTCTTCTTTACTTATGAAGCTTGCTCTGGCAGGATATAAAATTCTTGGCTGACACTGTTTTCCTTTCAATGCTTTGAAAATGTCATCCTGTTTGCTTCTGGCTTCTTAGGTTTCTGATGAAAAGTCTACTATTAATCTAAGGTAGTCTCCCTTATAGGCGACTAGGTATTTTTATCTCGCTAATTTTAAAATTATTTCATTTTGACATTAGACATTCTAAATATAACATGCTGTGATGAAGTCCTTTTTGTAATACATTTGCCTGAGGCTCTCTGAGCCTCCTGTACCTGGATGTTTAATTGTCTTGCTAGACTTGAAATGTTTTCATTGATTAGTTCCTTAAATAGGCTTTCTAAACTTTTTGATCTGTCTTTCCTCTTGGGAATACCAATAATTGGTAAGTGTGGTCACTTTATGTTATCTGAGGTATCTCAAAGGCTTTGTTTATTCTTTTTTATTTATGTTTTCTTATCTTTGTCACACTGAATTATTTCAAAAGCCATGTCAAGTTCTGAAAGACTTTCTTCTGCTTGGTCTAGTCTATTATTGAGGTGTTTAATGTATTTAGTATTTCCTTCATTGAATTTTTAGCTCCAGCATTTCTGCTTTTTTTAAAAGATATTTATCACCTTGGTAAATTTTACATTCATTTTCTTAATTGATTTTCTGCTTTCTTTGTATCGATTTTCAGATTTTTGTTTCATCTTATTCAGCTTCTCATTTCATTCAAAGCCAATATTTTGAATTCTTTATCTGGAATTTTGTGAAATTATTTTTTACTGGGATCTGTTGCCAGACAATTGTTGCCCATTGGTAGTGTCATATTTCTCTGCTCTTTCATGTTTTCTGTGTCCTCCATTGATATCTGCATATCTGTTGTAGCAGTCACTTGTTCCAATTTTTTGAAGTTGCTTTTGTAGGGGAGAATATTTTTCCTCACAGCTCCAAGGCAAGGCCCTAGGCCAAGGTGGATCACAGAGTCTATTCTCCTTTCCTCATTCCTCAGCAGTGATGCCAGAGTCCAGACAGCTCAACCTCCAATAACAATGAAGGCAGAGGTGATGGTGCAGACAGGGGCCATGGCTGTTGCTCTGCAGAGAATCAGAAACTGCAGCAAGAATGGACCAATCAGAACTACCTCCTGCAGTGATTTTTTTGCCTGCTTCACACCCAGTCATGACTCTGATTCCCTTATTTTGGATTTATTTTGCTATCCTTTCTCTAGGTTCTTGAAATAATACTTTAGGCTTTTGATTTGAAACTTTTGTTCTTTTCTTTGCAACACTTCAAATGCATTTTGTGATGTAATTTTCTCTCTCAGCAACACTTTAGCTGTGTCCCACAAATTGTAATATGTTGTTGTGCAGTAAAAGATTAGCTTAGCAGACCTGTGTTGTCAAACGCTACACATTCCAAAGAAGGATCTGGTCTTGAATGGCTCCTGGGAGATAACTTTTTATCCCTTAGAATATTCTATCTAATAAGAGTGTTTGTGTATGCCTGAGATCTTGGCTTATACTATGGGTCTCTGAGATCTTGGCCCATGTTATAGATCTCTGTTGAATCCTGATAGTGTATGCTAGCAATGTGATTTATGGTAAATGTCAGTTTTTATATGTCTGAGACTCTCAGTCAGGCTATGTCAGTTTGACGTCTAGAGGGCAGGAGACTTAATAACTGAGGTCAGTTGCTTAGGTGCTACATGCCTATGTAACTGACCACCTCTCTGCAAGCCCCCTGATGCCAAGACTCAGGAAAGCTTACCTGGTAGGCAATACTCCATCTGTGTTATGCACATCATTAGTAGGAGAATTAAGTACAACCCTGTGTAATGCCAGTAGGAGGAGACACCCGGAAACTTACATCTAATTTCTCTTGGATTTTACCCATGTGTGTTTTTCCTTTTGCTATTTTTCATCTATTTTTTTCTGATATAAACTATAAGGGTGAGTACAATAGCTTTTCTGTATTCTGTGAGTTATTCTAGTTAATCATCAAACATGAAAGTGGTATTGGAAACAGAGTGGAATTTTTATGTTCATAAGGTTCATTTTCATGTTCAATATATTTTTATTTAATTTCCCATGAGATTTCCTTATTACCTGCTATTTAGAAGTATACAGTTTGGAAATTTTACAAATGTTTGGAAATTTTTCTGGTATCATTTTATTATGAATTTTTAGTTCCCTTCCATTTTTGTCTGAGAACAACTATTTTCAATTTTTAAAATGCGTTAGTTTTAATTTTATGTTTTTAAATGTTTCTGGATATCATGTCTCAAGGAATATGCTCTATGGCCATTTGAAAATAATGTGTATTTTGCTGATACTGGGTGGAGTGTTCTATAAATGTTAACTAGATCCTGGTGGTAGATGGTGATTTGAGTTCCTGTATATCCTTGCTGATTATTAGTATAGTTGTTCCATCAATTTTTGAGAAATGGATGTTGAAGTTACAAAATATAATTATGGATTTGTCTATTTCTCTTTGGAGTTCTATAAAATTTTTCTTTCTTTATTTTGCAGTTATATATTTTGATGCATACACCTTAAGAAATGCTGTATCTTTTCTGTGGAGTAATCTTTTTGTCATTATATAATATCTCTCCTTATCTCTTATAATTTCCTTTGCTCTAAAATATAATCTATCTGATATTAACTTAGTCACTCCTGTTTTCTTTTGCTTAGTGTTTTCATTATATATTTTTTATTAACTTTCAATTTTCCAACAATGTCATATTTGAAAAGAGTTGTAGATAGCATATAGTTAACCCATGTTTTTAATCCTCTTGGTATTTCTGTCTTTTAATTGGTTGAATTTAATGTAATTATTAATATGTTAGGACTTAAAAGAGTAATTTTTTATTTCATTTTATAACACTTATAATATTTCATTTCATTTTTTATTTACTCTTTGTTATTGTTTTTCACTGCACTGGCTTTTTCCCTTTTTGTGGGTTACTTGAACGTATTTTAAAATTCAATTTTAATTTATCTATTGCATTTTGAGTGTATCTACTTGTATAGCTATTTTTAATTGTTGATCTAGTTGTTATATGTCATAACTCTAGGTAGTTATAACTGTAGATGTTCAATAGGTTAGGCATGTTAAATACATTTTGAATACATGTACACACACACACACACACACACATACACATTACTGGTGTCATCATTTTACCAGTTTGAGTGAAGTATAGAAAATTTACCTCTTTTTACAATCTTTACCTTCCTGTTTATAATTGTCTTAAATATTTTTGCTACATGCATTTAGAACCACATCAAACAGTATTACAACTTTTGCTTCCATCATCAAACATAATTTCAAAATCTCAAGGGAAGAGAAAATTACCCATATTTTTGCTTACTCTGTTTGTCTGTTTGTTTTTCTTTACTGATGTTCTTAGGTTCCTTTTATTGTTTCATTTCTGTTCAGGGAAGTTCATTTACCTAATTTCTTAGGGTAGGTCTCCTAGTGACAAATTCTGATAGTTTTTGTTCATATGAGGATATGTTGATTTTTTCTTCATTATGGAAGTATATTATTACTGCATATAGGATTATAAGTTGGCAGGGTTTTTTCGTTTGTTTGTTTTTTGTTTTGTTATTGTTGTTTTGTTTCTTTTTTAAAGAGATGGTCCTGAACTTATGGTAGTTCAACTTATAACTTTTTAACTTTGCTATGGTACAAAAGAAATACTCATTCAGTAAAAACTGCACTTTCAGTACCCATAGAACCATTCTGTTTTTCACTTTTAGTACTATACTCCATAAATTACAATAGTTATTCAACACAATAAAATAGGCTTTTTGTTAGATAATTTTGCCCAACTATAAGCTAATGTAAGTTTTTGAATATATTTTAGGAAGACTGGGCTAAGCTTCCTGATGTTCAGCAGGTTAGGTGTATTAAATGCATTTTTGGCATATTTTCAAAATATTATGGGTTCATCAGTATGTAAACCCGTCATAAGTCAAGGAATATTTATACTTGAAAATTATTGTCACTTTCTCCTGACCACTATAGTTTCTAATGAGTAATCTGTTATTATTAGAAGTGTTTTTCCCTATAGGTAAGGTGTTTTATTTCACTTCTTTCAAGATTTCTAATTTTAGTTTTTAGAATTTTGACTATTATGTATTTTGATGTGGATTTCTTTAGATTTATTCTGTTTGAAATCCATTCAGTTTCTTGAATCTCTCTATTTATGTATTTTCTCAAATTTGGGAAATTTTTAGCCCCTTTTTTAGCATTTCAAAAAATAGTTCAATGTGTTTCTGAGGCTCTGTTATTTTCTCCAGTCTATTTTCTGGAACAGTGTATGTTTGGAATGGGCAATTTTGTTATCCTATCTTCCAGTTCAATGATTCTTTCCTTTCCCTCCATTCTGATGTTGAGCCATTCATTGAGATTTTTAACTTGGTTATTATATTTTTAAGCTTACCCTTTTTGTTTGTTTCTCCTTAATGTCTTCGATTTCCTGTCAGAGATTTTTTATTTTATTGTTGGGACTTTCTGTTTTTCTGTTTGTTTTAAGCACCTTTGTAATTGCTGGTTAGAACATTTTTCTGATGTCAGCTTTAAATTTTTTTAGATAAGCTAATATCTTTTTCACCTTAGTCTTCACATTAATTAGAGACTTTTTTATTTAGTTTGAGATCTTCCTGGTTTTTGCTGTGACAAATTACTTATTTTTCAAACCTAGGACATCTTCAGTATTATGTTATAAGATTCTGGATATTATGTAAATCTTATATTTTAGCTAAATTATTTTGATAGTACTTTAGCAGGGGAAGAAGAGATGCTGCATCATTATTGTCAGATGAAAGTAGATGTCAAGATTCCTTCTTCGCCTCTGTTGACACCCAAGGGAGGAGGCTGTTTGTTAACACTGGGTATAGTGGAAGTCTTGGCTCCTCACGGGGTCTCCACTGATGTACTCCTACCCCTCTTGGTCTGGGAGATATCAGTGTAGACCTAGTGAGAAGCCAAAACTTCCACTATCTGCAGCATTAACAAAGAGCCTCCTCCCTTGAGTGTCAACAAAGGCTAACAAGGGAATCTGAACATCTACTTTCATCTGGCAATAATGATTCAGGATCTTTTCTTCCCATCAACACCATTTAGGGTTTTAGCCTTGTTACTGTTGGACAGTAGTAAAAGTTCTAAAGAAGATGTGTTCAACATCAACCCGTCTTCTACCATCAACACCACAAGGGTTTTAGCTTTGTTATTCTTGGGCAGTAGTAAAAGTTCTGACTCTCTACTGGGATTCCTCTGGCATAAATCCAGGAAGGAGTGTAGTGGTGCTGCATTATTGTCAGGTGGGAATGGAAGCATAGACTCCCTACACAGCCTTCTCTGAAACCATCACAGTGGGGAGGTTAGAATACCTTGTTAATGCCAGATAAGGGTGAAAGTTGAGTTCCCCATTCAGCCTTTGTTGTCATGTGTAAGGATAAAGCCACAACATATACTGTGGTGTTTGGTGTTTGGCTAGAATAGTAAATTTACTATGTACAATATTTCTGACTTGCTAGATGGCTCCTTTCCTGCTTTTTTCACTCAAGAGAACAGATTTAATTATTTATTTATTATTAATAATAATTATTTAATCTGTGCCCATTGACATTTTTGGGTTGCTGACGTCTTCAGTTCTAATCTGGGAAATGTAAAGCAAAAACAAAATTCAGGAAACTCATCACCATATCATTCCTTGCTCCCTAGCTTGTCTGCCTTGACTCTACCTGTCAGAGTATTCTTATTATGGTTTTATGTATAATACACAGAGTTTTTTGTTTTACTTAGCAGGGAGAATAGGGAAAATTACATCTACTCAATTTTTCCGTAAGTGATTTCACAGCGTATTTATTACAAAGAGGGATATTGATTTTTTTTTCCTCCTTTCTCACTTCCTTTCCCTCCTCCTTTCTTCTCTTTCCTTTCCTTTTTCTATTTACTTTTCTTTCCTTGTCTCTTCCTTCCTTCCTCTCTTCTCTTATCTTCTCATTTTATTCTTTCTCTCCTATTTTTTATCTTCTCTCATTCTATTTTTTCCCTGCTCCAACTTTGTTTTGTATATTTGATCTTCATCTCCATCTCTACTTTATTTCAGTACTCATTTTCTATCAAGCTAACCAAATATCTAATCAGAGATCATGGTCGTCTTCTATTTTCTTCTCCTTCTTCTTTAACTCAGTATGTGCATAATTGACTCATTGCTTGGGGAGCCACAACCAAAATAATTTTGCTTTTATAAACCTCTGTTAACATTCATTCCTTTCTTTTAGAAATAGTCACAACATCTCATGTTTCTTCTCAAAAGCAATCCTTCTGAAGCCTTCAATTAAAAAACTTTTTCTGACAGTAGAAAGGAATGAGTTTTAGATTTAGACTGAGCCAAGTTTGAACCCTGGTTCTATAATTTCTTTTAGTTGTATAATTTTTGGGAAAATTACCTAGCTTCTGTGATCTTGGATTTCTCATCAATAAATTGAAGACTTAATGAGATAATGTTTGCAAAGTACCAAATATGGCTGTTGGTACATATTGTGTGCTCAATAAATACTAGTTAAATCAAAATTATTAATTCCCAGTGATCTTTATCACTTCATCCAGTTTGGCTGTCAGCTTTGTTTCTGTAAGGTTATCTGTTATTATTACTTTGTTGTCATTGTTATTTTGTTATTATTAGTTAGGGTTGTCTGTACATTGAATAAAAAGGTTTATAAAATAGTTGAAATAATTTATTGACTATTATTACAACCATTAAGATTATGTTCATCCAACTCAAGCTTCAATTTTATCACAGACAAATAATCAAACAAATATTTCCTCAATTAATAAAAGGATACTTTATAAGCACATATTTAAACTTCTTATTTATAATGCTGTGACTATTATCTGATCCAGTGTCAAATACAGTATTTTGTTATTGATGCTTTGCTATTTGCTTATGGCAGAAAGACTGCTCAAGAAAAGTCTAGATAATTGTTGATAATGCTTGATTTGAGACAAAATCACGACCCTTATTTTACATGAAAAACAGCTCAATTAGGCCTCATTTCAGAAAGTTAGCTTCCTACAGTTATCCATTATGTCAGTATATTCTGCATTTGATGAGTAAAATGCAAGAAGAAATATAAAGATCATTTTGATATTGCAAATACATTTATTAATCAAATTCTAAGCATAGTTAGTAAAACTAAATTCGTTTTAACTACAAGAGGATTTCCCAACTATTTTCCCCGACATTTTTAATAAATTACTTTTTATATTTGTATATATCTAAAACACTTTTTTTTTCTTTTATTTTTTTGAGACAGAGTCTTGCCCTGTCACCCAGGCTGGAGTGCAGTGGCACAATCTTGGCTCACTGCAACCCCCACCTCCTGGGTTCAAATTATTCTCCTGCCTCAGCCTCCTGAGTAGCTGGGATTAAAAGCACCTGCCACCATGCCCAGCTAATTTTTGTATTTTTAGTAGAGATGAGGCTTCACTATGTTGGCCAGGCTGGTCTCAAACTCCTGACCTCATGATCTACCCGCCTCGGCCTCTCAAAGTGCGGAGATTACAGGCGTGAGCCACCGCGCCTGGCCCAACATTTTACATTTTAATAAATAAAATCAAAGTATAAGACTATAATTTAAAAAACATATTCTATGCCATATGCTTCACTGTCAAATTCCTCTACTCACTTACATTTGTGTCTTCCTGACAGTTTAATTCATACTAAATATTTTGCTTTCAAAACAATTTCTTGATTTATCAATTTTGTATATTTTTTATCGATTTTGTGGATTGGTGAAAATGATTTGTAATTTTTATCTAATTCCCTTATCTACTTCTATTATCATTATAATAATTTTAGTTAAATTGCTATTTGGTGTTTGGATTTTAAAAATACGTATTTTTAATAGTAATTCAAAATTATACACAATGTTTACTTTTGGGTAAATTTTCTCTCTGCAGTTATTTTTTTGTTTATTGTTTGGCTTTTATGTTTCTTTTATCAATATTTTTCCCAAGCCCTTCAAAGTAATATAAAGCCTTTCTATGTAAAATGTTTCTTACATTCAAGCATATCAATTATCCCATGCCTTCCATTTTCTTTGAGATCTTTTTCCAGAGTATCCCTCTTTTTACCATGCCACTCTAGAAAGGCTATTTCATAGGTCTGCCACACAGCTGCCATCCTGAGACTTACCCTTATCTTAATCAGAGGTTGCATCATCTATTTTTGGATAATTTTGTGAGCTTGCATATGGTGTCCATGGTTTGTAACCTTGCATTTTTATTCAGGGCCTATATTTAACTTTCATTTTACCAAGTAAATAATTACAGGTTGAAAATTATTTTCTACAGAATTTTAAAAGCATTCATCTATTGCATTCTAGCTTCTAGTGTTGCTTTTGAGAAGTCCAATGCCATTACTTTATTTTTTCAATGTGGAACTTTCTACATTATCCTCAAAATTTTAGAATTTTTCTCTTTACACTCGTATTTTGAGCTTATATGGTGATATACTTTGATGTGCATCTTTTTTGACTTATTTTCCTTGGCACTTCAGAGACACTCGTCCTTCAATTCTGAGATATTTTCTTAATTCATTTTCTTTTGTATAATTTTCTGTTCTCTGTTTTCTTCTTCTAAAACTCTAATAATTTGAATATCTTAAATTTGTTAAGCAACTGTATCTTTTTTATTTTCTATTTTATCTTTTTGTATTACTTTTTGGGAGATTGTTTCAACTTTAATTTTTAATATAATGTTGAGACTTTTTAAGCATCATGTTTTTAATTTAAAATAGTTCTTATTGTCTAATTGCTCCTGTTGTATAATACCCTGTTCTTGTTTTATTGATAGACTATCTTCTGTTTTCTATCTGAGGATATTAGCTATAGTATTTTTAAAGATATTCATTTTCTGTTATCTGTATTGTCTTTATTTACTCCAAGCTGCTTTCTTCCTATTTATTTTGTCCTTTGACTTTCAAATTGGAAGATATTTTAAATTTATTGATACTATTTGGCTGTTCATTTATATTTGAGAATGACGTGCTATAAAACTTATGAGCTCTATGTGGACGGGTTGGATTTGTTAACTGATAAACTTTTGGTTAAGATGACATTGTAGGGACCAGTTTATTGTATTTATTGAGATGCCTTCAAATAAAAATAATTACAAGTGTATTTTCAGGGGTTATTTCTTTTCTCTAGTGAACACTCTACCAATCTCCTGCTTAAGGAAGACATGGTGGGGACCTTGGAGAATGATGTAGGATGGGAAGTGATGGTGGTTGCAGTGGTGGTGACAGTAGTTATTGATTACCCAGGTTTTTGGAGCCTAACAAAGAAAGGGAGCTAAAAGTGGCCTCATTCAATTTCTTTATTGTCGTTAATCCTCCTGATTTCCTGTGCTGTGCCAAGTATACTCGACCCTGAGGTCTCTCTGTCTCAATTAATCTACCGAATGAAATTTCTGCTAGAATGGGATAGAAGAACTGCGTGATGTTGGAAGTAAGACCACAGTTGTACTGGTTGTCTAACACATCCCCTTATTTGGAGTATCATTACTTACTCTCACATTTGCTGGCACATGGTATTGCTAATTTTTGGAACTTTGCGGGTACTGTTACATGTTATCTTGCTTGTCTATGGCTTTCCTCTGTACATGTGAATGGTATTTCTCTGCTTTGCTATTTTCTCCGTTCATTTTTAATCTTCCCCCAATCATGAATTCTTTTCCTTTGTTCCTTCCTTCCTTCCTTCCTCCTTCCCTGCCTCCCTCCCTGCCCACCTACATTTCTTTCTCTTTCTTTTTCTTTCTTTTTTCTTTCTCTTTCTTTCTTCTTCCTTCCTTCCTCCTTTCCTTCCTCTCTATTTCCCTTCCTTCCTTACCCTTCCTTCCTTTTCTTTCTTTCTTTTCTTTCTTTCTTTCTTTCTTTCTTTCTTTCTTTCTTTCTTTCTTTTTTCTTTCTTTCTGTCCTTCTTTCTTTCTCTTTCTTCTTTCTCTTTCTTTCTTTTTCTTCTTTCTTTCCTCTTTATTTCTTTCTCTTTCTCTTTTCTTTCTTCCTCCCTCCCTTTTTCCTCCCTTCCATTCTTCATTACTTCCTTTCCTTCTCCTCCTCTTCCACTTTCTTCTCCTCCTCTTCCACTTTCTTCTCCTCATCCTTGCTTTCTCTGTTAGTTTCTCTTCCATTTTCTTTGTCTTTGGAGTTTATGACTTTATTTCAAAAAAGGGCACAGGTAAGGGCATGCATTTATTCAGCCACATTTAACTAAAACTGCTTCTGAATTGAATTATTTATTTTTTGTTCTTTGATATTTTAAGTTTACCAATGTAGACATTGATTTAGAAGGAATGAACATGCATGCTCTCTCCAGAGAACATGCACATCACATATATGTTGGGAAATTCTTCAGTCTAGATTGACTAGTTGAACATTTCTAGATTAGAAAGTTTTTCAGTGTATCCTCTTTAATTTACTGAGATGCTAAAATAATTGTTTTAATCAAAAATGCATGATTAATAACTTTAATCAATAATACATAATTAATTCCAACTTCTGTCTGTATTTTTACGATAGAAACCTGATATCATGGCTGAAATCATTCTCCTGATTTTACCCTATCCAGTCAATCACAGAACCACGTTGATTTTTCTTACATCTTGAATCTCTCGGCTTCTTACTTTCTCTGCAGCCAATAGTGAAATCCAAATCACCAGCATCTTTCCCTTAAATTTCTCTCACTGCCGTCTATTTGAATGGCTTTCCTTCTTTCACCTATTCTCCACTTAGTAGTCAGAGCTATCTTTTTTTTTTTTTTTTTTTTTTTTTTTTTTTTTTTTAACAGGGTCTTGCTCTGATGCCCAGGCTGGAGAGCTGTGGCATGATCTTGCCTCACTGCAACCTCAGCTTACTGGGTTCGAGCTATTCTCATACCTCAGCCTCCTGAGTAGTTGGGACTACAGGACTGCACCACCACACCTGGCTAATTTTTGTATTTTGGTAGAGACGGGGTTTCACTATGTTGGCCAGGCTAGAGCCATCTTCTTAAGTCACTGATATGATAATGTCATAATCATAGGAAACATTAAAAGTTTCCCATTCTCTTAATATGAAGACCAAAACCTTTACCATGGTCCATAGGGTCGCATGTGCTCTAAACTCACCTGAAGTTTCAATTACATCTGTCCCTGTGACTGTGCTAACCTTCTGATAGCTCCTACAGTGTTGCAAGCTTCTTCTCAGCTCGTGAACTTCACTCAGTTATTTTGCCTGGAACCACTGAGTTTTCAAAAACTCCACCTCTCTCATACGCAGCTTTCAAAAATTATTACTTGGTAGAGGAAGGGGTCAGGGCCAAGGGAAATCCTGAAACATTTCCAGAAATTGTTGAAGCCCAATCTCTACCTTGTACAAGCTGTGTGACTATTTCTGAGTCATTCATGAGCTCTTAGAGGACCATCAGTTTGCTCATAATGGGTGGAGTTAATCGAACAATGAATATAAAATATTCATCACAATACCTTTCAAGTAGTTCATGTTTAATACATATTAGTTCATGTCTCTTCTCTTCTGTTTTTTTGGCAAACTATCAGTAACTATTTGGTGAAGGCATATAAGTTTGAAGAAAAGTTAATGATCACTATGAGACATGATATTAATACAAACAGACTGAAAAATCTTTCTCCTCTTAAAGTTTAGTTACAAACTTCAAAAATAATTTTAATAAAAGCAATCATCTCTGAAATAAATTACAGAAAGAGCTATTTCTGAAATTCTTTTGAAGTTTTGGGTTTTTTTTTTTTTTTTTTTGTATTTTACTTTTCCTATACCAATTTCTAAACAAATGTGTACCATTTGCACAGTGACAAACTCAGGAGATTTTTGAAAGAAAGTTATCCATAAATATGAAGTATTGCATTTAGATGGAAAATAAAAAATGTTAGTGATAATGGTAATGCTAGTGTTGATTTTTACATTTATAGAGCATATTTGTTTTCAAAGCACTGACAGAGCTTTCTGTTAAGGAAAGGAAAAAATTTAAGTGATGATTTCTCAAACATGATTGACTAAAAATTTATATCATAGAGAAATAATGCCCAAATGTAGATTCCTCAAGGGTTGGCAGCACACTATGTCAGAGAGGCTTTTGTGCAACTCACTTATCCAGAAGCTGACTCAAAGAGATGTTCACTGAGAACTTTCTTAAGGCAACTCATCAAACACGACTCTTACATGAGGTTTCATTTCCATGATTCTTGGCCAATTTTTTTTTTTTTGGTCAAAAAAACTTTCACTTCCGTAAATCATCCCTAAATCATATTATTTCACATTCTCAACTGCAAGTATTCACACAGGTTTTTATCTTTGCTTTTACCTTTTTTCAAAGATGTCATGACACCATTTCTTTCTCCAAACACTGTGTTGTCTGTAGTTGTTATTCAATAGCACAAAAATGTGAACTCAAATCAATCACTTAAGATTTGATTTGGTCATTTCCAAGATTTGCAAAAACCTTAACTTGATTTTATAACCTATGTTCAAAAACTCTAACCCCGGAGATTTATCCTAGCTCTATTCCAAAGTACCTGTGTTATACCAAATGCACATCCCATCACTTCTCAGAGCATCAACTTGTAATTCTTTGCAAACTGTGGAATGATAATGGTATATCATTCATATCAAGCTGATTTGAGTAAGAAACCATGAATAAACTATATTCTTTGTTCATGAGCTTTTTTGCTTTTTAATTTTCTACTTTGAAAATGTACTATTTTTAATAGTATTTAATTATATTACATATTTTTATCTAATCGGAATTTAAGATTTTCAAAACTACCCAATCTCAAAAAAGTACAGAAATTTCCAGAAAAGTTTAAAAATTTTGTTCCATTCATATCTTGAGTAATTTCCCATCATTGGCCATTGAGTATGCAAAACATATAAACTAAGTTTTAGTGCTTTTAAATTCAGTGTCCTGAAGGCATTTGCA
The DNA here is from genome assembly GCF_000001405.40 of Homo sapiens. Taxonomy (NCBI): domain Eukaryota; kingdom Metazoa; phylum Chordata; class Mammalia; order Primates; family Hominidae; genus Homo; species Homo sapiens. The sequence continues at coordinate 128,650,984 of NC_000008.11, forward strand.
GCAAAAGATTAGGTATAAGATGGATTCTAAATTCAAGTTGCGCTTTACTATTCATCTTTTGTTGTTTAGTGTTTTCTTTTTCTCCATTAATACCTTAAAATCTCAAAGCCCCAAAGTGGTAGAGGAGGGAAGAGGAAGCTCATAGAGATGAAAAATACTGGTGTTCTCCGGAACCCCTGAGAGGGCCTTATAGCCCAACCTCCTCCTTTAGTAGATAAAGGCCTGGAGACTTGGAGAGAGTACAACTGGCTGTTTACAGTCTAGAATTCTTTTAGTCCAGGGGCCTTTATATTTTTCTTATGTCTAGTTATTTCCTCCTCTGTACAGCACCTTACTAGTCATATAACCTTTCATGTGTTCAATTTAAAAAATCTCTTGGAGGCAACAAGATGGAAAGGATCTTGATCATTGTCTTCTCATTTCTTGTTCTTTCTTTTTGAACACATGTGAAGATGCAATTCAGCAGAACAGAGAGACTGGGGAAAAGTCTGCTCTGAAGTAGGAGCAGTATAAAGCCATGGGCTAAATTAAGTTAAAGTAAAAAAAATAGGGAGTGACAGAAAATATTATACACTTGGCGAAAATTACCCACCAAGTTAACGGGTGGTATATTCAATTAAACAACATAATTATCTTCTATGATGTTTTACAGTGAGCAGGTTCTAACAGGAATATGTATTATTAAAGTGCTGGTCTAGAGTTAACAGCTATGTCCTCTCTGAGAATGAGAATCCTGCCTGAATCCTCAGCGGATCCAACTGGCCCAGATCTCATATCTTAAAAGTTAACACAAGTGATTTCTTATCTCAGATCCTAATAAAGAGACAAAAATGAATAATTTGTTGATAATGGCCACCGACATCATTTATTAAATGCTTATTTGTGACAAACATTGTTCTAGATAACTTGCATATAGAATTTTTTTTACCATCACCACAATTTTAGAAATCTAGAAGTAAGTATAATTACCTCCATCTTATAGACGAAGAAATTGAATTTTGGAGAAGTTAAGCCATTTGACTTATTGATGCTAAAGACAAATTACCAAAGTTATGCCTGAGCTTAAACATGCTACATTTACATACACATTCCTAGTGCCAAGATTCATTTGTGAGAGAAAGTTTCAGATTAACGTACAGTTTCTTAGCACTAGGGAATATCAGAGAAATGCAGTATAGCTTCAGCTTAACTAAAATTCATTGCACATCTACCCTATAGCAAGTTCTGGGCTTTGCACAGCAAACAAGAGATAGATTTCAATAGATCCTGACTTTGAGCTATTCACATTATCACCTGAAAGATAGATGTGAAAATGTATAATTTAGTTGTAATGCAGGAAATGCAATGAGAGTGGTCGAGTTTTGCCTAGAGCTGGCCCTGACCTTCATCATGATTCCCAGGATATAAGCCTTGGCCATTTCTGTGTGGCAGGGTTCCATTCATGTCAAGTGTTAATTACGTGATAACCTCTGCTGTGTGAATTCCTGTGTACAGCACTGGAGGTCTGGAGCTTAGTGTTAGGAGATGTGAACATCTCACTAGATCCAGGGACCTATGTTAGACTGCTCATTTCCTACATCACAGATTTATATGTCTCTATATGTATAATTTCTCAATGTATTCTGGTCTTTAAAGTTGCCACCATCAATTACTCTGTTATAATTGCTTTAATTCCTTTTTTGCTGTTCACAAATCCATAAACATGCTGAAGGGTAAGAAGTTTCCTTGACTCCATACACAATCTGAAACCCTAACACAGGTATCTTTCTCTGCATTACAACAGTGGGAAGTATTTTGTTTTTTTCCTTTGCTTTTTGCCCAGGAATGACAACTTTTACCTGAAATAGGCTTCCTCAACTCCCTTAGAAGCCCCAAATCTCCAATCAGATGTCTCCCAGGGCAGTAGTTCAAGTTAAGAACTATCTTCCTGCAGCTTTTCTAAAATCTTACTAATTTACTATTTCAGGCCCATTTGTCTCCAAAATTTAGGAGCAGGCTGCATAGTTGAATACTCTGTTTCTTGCTTACTTGCTTTTTGCTAAATATGGATCACTTGGTTAGTTGTTTTTTGTTTTTTTTTTAAAGCTGTGTACTTTGTATCTACTAAGTAAAGTATAGGAGAAGAGATTATTCATTGCAGCTTTCTTTTTAAAAGGAGGTGTTCCTCTAAATGTTCCTTGGAGATATAACCTATATCTTTTATCTCTCATTTGAAAATTTGAGCTCTGACTTGGTGACAACTTTTGAGTGATTTTGTGAAGGCCATTTGAACTCTCTTGGCCTTAGCACACTCATTTTTACAATGAGAGTCAGGTGAGGTGCTCTCTTAAGTTTTATTTCAGCTGTAACATTGGTGATTCTATTGTTTGAAATCAAGGATCATTTCTTATAAATTTCTATGAAAGCTGCAATATGCTCTGCAACAGTCCTCAGCCAGCACAAACTCGATACAAATAAGTATGAATTTGTAGGCTTACAAAATCTCAGAGTTCAAAGGGACTGTCAAGGTCGTAGAGCTCATCCCCTGTGGTGATACCTGAATACCTTCTACAACATCTCCACCATGTGGCCAATGAGTCCACAGGTGAACACCTCTACCAGACCCCACTACCTCCCAAGTCAACCAGTATTTTTCTGTGGCTATTACAAAGTTCTTTTCTCCAGTTGTTCCAAATTCTGCTGCATGCATTTTTCATTAGTAGGTCTGAATTCTGCCACTTATTACTTCATTAAAAATAATAATTCTTTTTTTTTACATAAAAATTATTTACATATTTGAAAACAATGACACAAATAGTCTTGTCTCCAGGACAAATAATTCGTTTCTTTGAAAATAATAATTCTTTTTTTTACATAAAAATTATTTACATATTTGAAAACAATGACACAAATAGTCTTGTCTCCAGGACAAACAATTCGTTTCTTTGAAGAATTCTTGCTGTCTTATGGTTCTGAATGTGTTCCTAACTCTGATCACTTTCTTCTTAAGTTGATCCAGGTTGTCAATGCAGATTTTACTGGCCTGCAGGACTGGTCAAGGAAGTCCTAAGTAATCCTTGGTGATAGAACTTGAAAACTGACTTTTGGGAAGAAAGAAAGATAATCACTGTCAAATGAGCAAGTAATGACACGCATTTGTGCAAAGAGGGCAGGAGAATACTAATATCTGTTGGATATTTTGTGTTTCACTTTAAGTGCGTTGTTGCAAGCAAGGTAATTACTGAGTCCTCATCTTACAGTTGAAGTTACTGATACAAGACTGGTATCTGGTAGGGCTGGAAACCCAAACATTTTTTTAGGATTCAAAAATCCAGCAATATCCCTCAAGAACAAGGAGGATTTCAGACATATTGTATGAGGAAAAACTCTACTTCAATAATATAAATGGTTGGAGTCAGGAAACTTGCCCCCTACTTAGTTTTCAAGGGAAATTGCTTTTGAAAATTTTGTAGAGAGAAGCTTCCTAGATTAGGTCCATCATGCTACAAAATGACAAAAGGCTTTGGTACCCCTTTATAGAAATTAGAATGAGTTATGTATGTTGATGTATGGTCATTTTTCTCCCAGGCTAGTTCTGTCCTTCCCAAAAGGGGCCTAAGAGAGGGGATTTGTCTTCAGGCCACTGGGTAGTTCCTGCAGCTTGTGCGGAGTGGTGTAAGTGAGTCATCCACAGCAACTCCAATTTCTGGATAAATAGACTTTTGTACATATCTTTTTGGCTGGCTAAGTTTCTGCTGTTTTTTTCCTTGGAGTATCTGATACATAGAACAGCCATCACTTAGAGTACCTATCTCGTACCATGCACAGAAAAACCTCCATTCTCCAGGAATGTCCACTGTGGTACAATCAGCCTTCCAGAGAACAAGGCAAATAGTCAGGGAACTGAATAAGAAGAACAGAATTATATGCAGTGGGGGGTGGAAATGGGCTCCTGAACATATCGGATGAGTGATTTGTAACCAGTGATTGAGCCTTATCTGTGAGTAGCTCCAAAAGGGCAAGAGGAGTATTAAGTGAGTTGATACATGAAAGGTGCTTAGAATGTTAATTGGTACGGAGTAAATGTTCAATGGCAGTGATGATCACAGGTATTATTATTGGCTCAGAAGTTTCATTTGTGGAAAAAATAAAGATATCTTGGTTATATACTGGAGTGATGATTCACTATGGTCTCCTGTGTTGAAATTTGAGATCTGAGGCCGGGCGCGGTGGCTCCCGCCTGTAATCCCAGCACTTTGGGAGGCCGAGGCAGGCAGATCACGAGGTCAGGAGATCGAGACCATCCTGGCTAATACAGTGAAACCCTGTCTCTACTAAAAATACAAAAAAAAAAATCAGCCGGGCGTGGTGGCGGGTGCCTGTAGTCCCAGGTACTCGGGAAGCTGAGGCAGGAGGAACGGCGTGAACCCGGGAGGCGGAGCTTGCAGTGAGCCGAGATCGTGCCACTGCACTCCAGCCTGGGTGACAGAGGGAGACTCGGTCTCAAAAAAAAAAAAAAAAAAAAATTGAGATCTGATACTCAAACTAGTAAACCTTGAGACCCACATGATCCTTTGCAATGAACAAGTAAGTGAAGCATGATTGTTCTCTTATTTCAAACTTTACTGGTGCCCCCTCTCCTGCAGAAAGCAGTTTAAACTCCCAATGAGGGGAAATATACACAGCATTACATGGCTGCTGCCTATCCCCATCCCCAAGCCCCTCCCATCTCTTATTTTATTCCCTTGCAATCCTGCACGTGGACACCAAACTGTTTTACCTATTGTGTGTTTTTGTCCACCCTGTTCTTTCTTCCTTGAAAGAACATTATTTGCCAGAAGGAAGAGTGGAGCTATACAACTTAATTGTCATATCCCTTGGGTCTGCTCTGTTAAAGGCTTATGAGGTATTCAATTATTTTGTTAAAATTACAGAGAATCACATTATTTATTTCACAATCATTTATCAATTGTCTTCTATATGCCAGGCAAGGTGCAGAAACTAAGAAGTAAGACAGAATCCTTGTCCTTACATAGCTTATGGGAAGAGAATAAATAAATGTAGCATTAGACGGTATGGTCAGGATAAATGGAAAGTTCAGCTGAGGAGCTCTGGATTAAACCTGAGTATGTCAGAGATATGGGAGTGACTGGACTTTGCAGAAAGACAAATTCTCCTAGCAAACAAATGAGTGAGTAAGCATCCCAACAAAGAGAGAAACATACTTGGACTTGGTCTATGGTAGGTGCATGACGTTAAAAGCACACCATGCTTGCCAAGAGAAGGAAGGTATTTTTGCCCGATACACTCAGTGATGTGGTCAGACTCTGTCATGAAAGCTCCCAAAGTACCGCAAGGAAGGAAAGTGGGAGTGGTAAGCCCTGCCAGACCATCTTCAGAACACGGTTGTGATGACCCTAAGAGGTAAGAATAAGAGGATGGCTGGGCTAGGAAAGGCTTTGTGGACTGTGAGCTGTGGCACAGGAATGGGCCAAGACAGGGAGTTTCTGTCTCAGTGTTCTAAGCATCTCTCTGGCCATGACATCCCAGGATGCAATTGGCCAGCACTATACTCTGAGTTCTTCTCCAGGCTTAAATCCTCAAATGCCTCCAGTTACTGACAGGTGTCACAAATTTGTGAGCCATGACAGGTGTAAGACAAAGGGAGCAAGTTGCTCAGATTGATAGCAGTTGGCCTTACTTAGCTACATTCTCTTTCAAATACCTTGGTTCCCAAAGAAAACAGAAAAACACAAAAGGGACCCATAGGCCTCCCATCGGTGATCTCTTGCAAGGCATTCTCTCTCCCTATAGTCCCGTCTCTAAAGCCATGCCTTCCTATATCTCTGCCAAACAAATCTATGTGATCATGACTGCCACATAGGGAAATGCAAGGGAATAGGCTTTGGAGTATGGCAGGCCTGGATTCAGAGCACTTATAAACCATATAACATTATTCAATGTCTCTGAGTTTGGTTTTCTTCATATTAACTCCCACTTTGAAGAGTTGCTGAGGTTTACTAAAATATACATGATATGATAGACAAGATATCTCACTTGCACATAGTAAGAAGTCAATAAACAAATAATAGCTCTCATAACAGTTACTTCCAATTCTATTATTTCTACTTCAGTGGAAGGAACAGGTAGTGTGATTGAGACTTTGGATACTAATGGGGAACATTATGTAGCCTCTGGGTTAGACTATACATGTTGCACTCACCAATTGTCTGGACCATCAACACATTCAAGGGTACAAGATGCACAGTGTTTGTATCCTGTCTGGCAGCACAATACTCCCCAGACTCCATAATGATCTGGAAATGCCACCATTCATATCTGCCCTCCTGACACCAAGATATGCAATCATTTCTTTGATTAGAGACGCTGGCCTCTGTAAGGCCCCTCTGAAATCACATAGACTTGACATTTTTAGTACTCACCCTTACATTAGAACAAAAGAATTTGGCTGATATCCAGGATGAGCTGATTTTGCTGAAAGTGGAGGTGGGGAAGGAGAAAGGGGAAGACCCCAGTAAGGTGTAAATGACAAAGAGAGGATGTGGTCACTGAATTTCAGGGGCAGTTTTCACCAAGAAGAGCATGACAGAGGAGTGCAGGTGATCCTTCCTGTGGAAACAAGGTAGTTCTCTGTGGTGAGTCACCTATCTGGGGTTCCCCCAAATCATAAATGGAGCCCGTGAGCCCTTGAACACAGAGACTGTATGCAACTAGGAGCCCTGAGACCTGTATCTTGGCCTTGCTGCTGCCACTTGCTCATTTGCTGTGAGATCTCATGCCAGATAGTCCCTCTTGGAGCCCATTCGCCCATTTGTCCATTAGAATGAGTATGTGTGTTTGGGAAGGAGTTATTTACATCTATGATTCTTTCCTAATGTGATTCTGCACTGATAGAAGAGGAACTTAAAGTGAGACTGAGAGAGGTAGCAGTAAGGCGTCTAGCAAAGACTTAATAAATCTTAGTTATTGGTATCTTGATCACCATTGTAGTTGCTGTCCCTATCATCATGATTGTCTTCTTTAATCATTACAAGGAAGTAGACAAAAAACAGTAAACAATCAGTTAGTCAACATTGTGCTTGGCAGGAAGAACACAAAGCTGAACAAAACACACTCCCTGTTCCAGAAGCACCTGTAGTCTAGACAGGGAAGCAATTAAGAAAATAAACCACAGCACTAGAGCCTACTGTGAATATAGAGTGGGAATTAGAAAGCAAAGGGAAGTCCAAGTGCTGAGCTCAGTACAGGGCAAAAGGGAAGTGAGAGGCTGCCTGCCAGGAGACCCTAGGTGGCCACACCCCTGCTCTGCTTCCTTTAGGCCTTCACCTGGGCCCAGCTGGACCAGGTGGTGGAGGTGGGGAAGGCATGGACCTTTTCCTTCTTCTTACTGATTCCTCCATGTAAATTTACATCTTCTCTTGAGAAATAAGTTTCTAGTGATGCCATTTAAATAAAGGGATTAAGACATATTCTAAGGAAAAAAATCTGTGAGAATTTAGTAAGATTTTAAAATTCCTAAAAATTTCCTAATTTCCGATTTTCATTTTTTGTCTACTTCTTTATAATGATTAAAGAAGACAATGATGATGATGGTAATGACAGTAATTATAATGATGGTGACACTAATACTAATAACTAAAATGTATTAAGTCCTTACTATGTGCCATGAACCTTGCATGCATTTTGTGACACATTAGTCCTATTTTTGTTCTAATTTTACAAATGAAAAAATTGAGACAAAGAATTGGCTAAAATCGCACAGTTTTACAACAGGAGGAACCCTATTTGAACCCAGATATGTTTGATTTCAGAGTCTGAGATCTTCACCGCTCTGCCTGCCCTGTGCAATTTCATGGTCTTACACTTTTGGTTTGGTGTCCTGGCCTTCAAGAGATGCAGAAAAGAGGTAGCTGGAGAGGCAGAGCTCCACTCTAACAAAGAGGCCCCTTACGGAGAAGTTGAGAGTGGCAGCTATGAAAAAGAGAGCAAACAAGCCAAACCTCTGGGATCAGCAAGGGGAAAGTAATGCATTTCTTGAGAGGGGAGCTGTGACTAAGTGGCCCAGGGAAGGAGAATTCATCTGGCTGCTGTTGGACAGAGCGTGCAAGAGTTGCTAATAAAATGAAAGTGATCTAGATAAGTACTTCTCATGCACTGGGCTGGCTCATCCTCCCAGAAGGGCAAAGAGGGAAAAGTAAATTCCTGCTTTGGAATTTGGAACAATTCCTGCTTTGGAACAATTCCTGCTAGTGACTGCAACATACTTTTCAAGGACTCCAATATATATTCAGTGTTTTGTGCCTCCACTTCTCCTTTGGAGGCATCTTCTAACCACATCTACCCTCTATAGAGGTGTAGCCACCTATTCAGGTGGCTATTTAAAAACAAACAAACAAACAAAAAAAAACAGCTAATCACTTTTAGTAGCTGCCAATGTTGAAAATTGCAAAACATCTTTCCCGTCTCACTGATTTTGCAGCTGTAGGTGAGTTTGCATTGTAGACTCAATGTGGAAGGAGACTCCTTTTAGCTCAGCTCAAGTAAAAAAGTAGCCTTGTAATCTCCTTCCCGCTGTCTGGTCCTGTGCTACATCTTCTCTCAGTACATTGCACAAGAAACATCATCATGGCCTCCATTTTATGATATCTCCCCTGAAAATTTGCTTAATAAGTTTCCCGCCAGAAAATGAGGGTTATGTAGAACTTAAAGGTGATTGAAACAGAAAGTTTAGGGCTCTTTAGAGGCCGTGTGTGTGTGTGTGTGTGTGTGTGTGTGTGTGTGTGTGTGTGTGTGTGTGTGTGTGTGTTAAGGCTATAGAGCTATATATAGCTGCTGCTTTTAAGTTCCCATCTACAGTGAAACACAGCTTCCGGCTTTCTCTGAAAAAGGGGCTCGAGCTTGCAAACAGGCCCAGTCACTGAGAAATACCTACATCCAGATTAGAATTGGTTGCATTTTTTTAAACCATAGGCAAAACTAATCTTATGTGGGGAAAATGTAATCCTTTCCCCTCTGTTACTTCTCCTGCTTAACCCTCAATCCCCTCCATCCCTGCAGTCATATAAAGGTGTTCCGGAGTGTTACCTATTAGGATGAAAAGAGAATTCGTATCTGGCCTTTAGCTCTTGTTAAGTGGTTTTCTAATGTTGAGCACCCATATTTTCACTGGTTTTAAATAAACACTTACAGAGTGAAGCACACTGGACTTGAAGAAAGAAGAGAGAACATTCACATTCCAGCATCATACTGGAGTTTGGGGATGTTGGTCAAGTTACTTTTGTTTCCACATCTGTACATGTCATGGGAAAATTTAAAAAGATATATAGAAGTGTTAACAGTAAGTAACTGGTTAGTAAGGACTTGGAGTTAGTTGAACGTCCACAAAATTTATTCTAGATCTTATGCACTGGGTGCTGAGCAAATATTGTTGCAAACACCAAAGTCACACTTTTAATGTATTTTTTTGTTAGAAGTGTAATTTTCATGAGTGGCAAATAAGCTCGTAAAAATACCTGAAACTTTTATTGAGGTATATGTGTATATATACTATTGGTGATGTTAACTTTGATCACTTGGTTAAGGTATGTTCACCAGGTTTCTCCACTGTAAAGTTACCATTTTTCCATTTGCAATTATTAAATAATTTGTGGAGAACGCATCACCCAAAATGAGATGAACTGTCATGATGTGACTTCTAAGATGCACTGATATCACTTTAGTGGTGTTCCCACCCAAAATGCTTAAAATAAATCTAATCATTAGTAAATATCAGACAAAACCCAAACTGAGGAGCTGTCTACAAAATTTGTGATTAGTATTCTTCAAAAGTGTTCATGTCATGAAAGACAGTAAGCCTGAGGAACCATCCCCCAATAAGAAGACTAAGAGATACAACATCAGAATATAACATATGATCCTGAATTAGGTCCTGGACCAGGAAAAATTGCCATAAAATATTTTATTAGGAAAATTGTTGAAATTTGGGTTAATTAAAAATGTCCCAATGTTTTACTGATTGTCATAATTGTACTATAAAATGGAAGTGAATGCTCTTGTTCTTAAAAATACCCAATGAGAGTTGAACAATGGGAACACATGGACACAGGGAGGGGAACATCACACACCAGGGCCTGTCAGGGGGTGGGGGGCTAGGGGAGGGATAGCATTAGGAGAAATACCTAATGTAGATGACGGGTTGATGGGTGCAGCAAACCACCATGGCAGGTGTATACCTATGTAACAAACCTGCATGTTCTGCACATGTATCCCTGAACTTAAAGTATATATATAAAAAAAGCAATCACCAAGTTTAATCAAATAAAAAATATTCTCTTAATTAAAAATTACCCACTGACGTATTTAGGGATAAAGGGGCAAGACATCTGCCTTATACTATCACCTGTTTCAGGAAAAGAAAAAAGAAATATAAGTATATATATGAGAGAAAGCAGGAGAAGGATAAAAACAAATGTGGAAAACTTTTAATAACTGGTGAATTTGGATGAAGGGTATACAGAATTTTGTGTGTGTGTGCGTGTGTGTGTAATTCTTTGAGATTATTTCAAAATTTAACAAAATGAAACAATCAAATTAGAAATCAATACTTCAGAAGAGAAAAGCAGCTTAACTGCAAGCTCAAATTGCTACATTTCTCAAGAACTCAAAGGAATTGAGCATGGCGTTCCTGAATTTTGTTGGCTGAGATTGTGATTTTATCGTCATGATAATTCCCCCAGGGAATATATAATTATAGCTTCTCCATCACAGATGGTGACTGAGGTGGGGTAGGAATCCAGAGAAAATCTAAGCACTTATTTGAGCTCTTTTCCAAAAAGTTTTGAAAAAAGTTACCTAACAAGACACCGTCAAGCTGATAAAAATTTATTGAGCACCTAATATGTTTCAGTTCTGCCTAGGTTCTGAAACACAGGCTTGGATAACGTCTTGCCTCATCACTCAAGGAGTTTACAGATTAGATGGGGAGGCAGTCATGTTATAAACAGTGATAGTCCAGAGGGCAGGGACTGTAGTAGAGATAGACCTAATATGCTATTAAGGAAGAAGAAAACAGGAAAATAGTCTTCATAAGGAGATAACGTTAATGTATGACTAGAATTGTTGCAGATGGAAAGGGGCCTTTCAGACAGAGAAAAACATGGTAGCCTAAACAATCACAGTATACTTGCATGAAGTAAACTACTTGATGTTGATGGAATCTACACTATGCAGTGAAGTGAAAAGAAATGCAGAAAAACTCTTATTTTTAAAGAGTTGTTTCTTCCATGCTAGAGAGTCTATGCTGATTTCAGTATTCCTCTTTATGACCAGTACCCGATCTGAGTATCTCCCAAGCCCTCCAGCTGATGGTCGTCATTCACCATTTTCCTTTAATGTTCAAATGAAGAGAGATTCAAGCAGCCACCTGCATACATTGAAAATCCCGGCCGGGCGCGGTGGCTCACGCCTGTAATCCCAGCACTTTGGGAGGCCGAGGCGGGCAGATCATGAGGTCAGGAGATCGTAGACCATCCTGGCTAACACGGTGAAACCCCGTCTCTACTTTAAAAAAAAAAAAAAAAAATATATATATATATATATATATATATATATATATATATATATATATATATACACACACACACACACAAAAATTAGCCAGGCTTGGTGGCGGGCGCCTGTAGTCCCAGCTACTCCAGAGGCTGAGGCAGGAGAATGGCGTGTACCCGGGAGGCAGAGCTTGCAGTGAGCCGAGATCGCGCCACGCACTCCAGCCTGGGCGGCAGAGCAGGACTCCGTCTCAAAAAATAATTTTTTTTTTTTAAACTGTGCTTGGATTTCTGTTGAGGAAGGGCGCACGTTTCCCCCAGTCTTCCCTTATTCCATGTTTCTCTTCTGGATTCTAGCTCTCACTCTTTGTGGCTTTTGTTTTTCTACCTTGGGTCAACCCAAATCTGGAAGCTAGTCTTTTAACTACTTTGATTCAAGCTTCAGGCTTCAGAGAGAAAAGGAAGTTGTTTGTTTTTTGTTTGTTTGTTTCTTTTTGGAGGTACTATGCAGTAAGCCACTGAAAATTGCTAATGAAGTCTCAGTTTTCCAGACAACTACAGACTCACTCTTGAAAGTTAACTTTTCACTGGCTGGGGTCTTCTCCGTGGCTGTCTCGTCTGCCATACTGACCAGGCACTCACTGTCTTTTTACATTCCTCGTGTTCTCCCAGATTTTTTGAATCTCTCTCTACCTCTATTTTGGGCCTCATCTAAAAAACAAAACAAAACAAAAACTTAAATATTTTATATGTTAATATACAGAGCAATTTATTTTTCACTAAAACTTACAGGTCTGCCAATATGTAAAAGGTTATTATGGTTTTCTCTTAAACAAAGGGCCATCTATTTGGGCCTTTGTTGGGTTCTCAACTTTGAGCAACCAAAGAATTGATAGAAGCTTTGAAACTACAATCTTCTTTTAAAACTACTCACTATGTGGGTATAGCTTCACATATGTTTGTAAGGAAGGCAGCCATGTAAAGACATCCTCCCACTGATGTACATTATTTTACCCTATGGAAGGCAAATGTGGTTATCATTAGTTGTTTATTAAAAAGAGTAATTATTTTTATTTTCATTACATTTTCACTTCTGGAGAGAAGGGCTTTTATGAGGGGAAGTACATGGGCATTGGAGTCAGATAAATTTGAATTTTTACCCTGACTCTCTCTAATGAGTTGTTGGACCTTGTGCAAAATATTCACCAGCTCAGGGGCCCAGTTTTGTCATCTGTAAAATGGAAGCAGAAATACCTATGATTGTTGTAAATATGGGAGATCATGAATTTTAAAATACCTGCTTAGTACAGAATGGGTATTTGATAAATTGTACTTACTATTAAGTCTAATTAGTTTCAAGGGACATAAATATAGCAACTTGTAAAAGTGCTAATGATGTATCAGACACTGTGTCAGTATTATAATAATGTATAATAATGTACATTATTTTATTTTCTGGGTAATAACATAGGATAGCTATTATGTCCTTATTTCATAGCTGAAGAACCTGAGCCATAGAGTAGTTAAGATAATAGGAAACAAAAACACAAATATGAAATCATCTGACCAGTCTAATAGTAATTGATCATTATGGAAAGTATCCTTCTTAGTAAATGATGCTAGCTACCCAGTTTCTTAAGCTAGAACACTAGGTCTTCTGGATTTCTCTATTTTCCTCATGCTGCAACATGGATGCATCAGAAACTTCACTTCCCAAATACATCTGAATTCATCCACTGCTTTCAACCTCCACTGCTATCCCCATAGTCAAAGTCACCTTTCACTTGGGTTTCTGCAATAAAACTTCTAACAAGGCTCCCTGCTTTTCCTTTTATTCTCTACAACCTAATTTTCTCCATAGGAGTCAAAGCTACTTTGGCCTTGTCGTTCTTGTATCCAGAACCTTCCAATGACTTCTCAATATATGCATAAAACACACGTACTGATTTCATTCTATGTGTAGACTGTAAGGCCACAACCCATAACCCGGATGTGCTCTGGACTCTATTTGCCTTGCTTGCTGCATCTTGTGCCTTTCTCTCTGTTGCTTTGTCTCAGCCTTGCAGAAATTTCATCCCTGATTCTAACATTTCCATTTATTTCCCACTGTACGGCCTTTGCAGCAGCTGTTACCTCAGGCAGGAATGACTATTCCCCACGTTTTTCAAGACTCGGTGCTCATGACATTCAAGTTCTAGCTGAAATGATGCTGCTGCACTTAATTTAATGGAAGAAATAGATTTAAAGTATTCTGAAAATTTAAATTTACAGATGGGTTTTGCAAAGACAAAGTCCATGTGAATAAGTACGTGAAAGATGCTTCTCATACACAAATGTATTGTCTTTAACCACTCCACTGAATGCCTAAAGTCAAACATGAAATCTCCACGCTTGAGGATACATATTCTAGAGGTTGTCCTTCCCTGTTGAGTTTGAAAAACCTTCTGAAAGTCTATAGACACATAGCTCGGCTCTCCTTAAATGGTTCAATTTTAGGGCATGTAATACTTCCCAAGACAGCCCATTTCATCTCTGGATAAGAGAGCAAACTACATTATAACTCCGAGAAAAATTACACCATTATTATTGATAAGATAAGAGTTACTGATGCTACAGAGAAGAGTTGGCATACTACCATCTGAAGAACAAATTCTGCCCACCACTTATTGGTTTTTATATTTTTTTAATTGTTGAAAACAAAATCAAAACAAAAATAATATTCTATGACACTTGAAAATTATAACGAAACTTAATGAGGTAATGAATTATGAATTTTTATTGGAACACAGACACATCCATTTGTTCACACACCACCTATGGCTGCTTTCTCTACAATGGCAGAGTTCAATAGTTGCAATAGGGACCATATGACCTGCTACTGGCCCTTTACAGAAAAATATTTATAGACCACTGTGGTGGAGAATGCAAAATTGAAAATTACCACTTTTGAGTCTAGCTTTCAAGATACTACATAATCTGCAAAAATCCTCATATTGTAATTTTTTGACTTATGGTTCTTCAATCTTTCTGCATGTCTCTTTAAAGAGAATTTATGGCTGTATGTAAGTGTGTATCCATAATTATAAAGTGTACTGTTTGTCCATGTATGTGTGTTTATGCCATAACAAGAACTCTGCCTATGTAGATTTATACTGATTAATTAAATTAAATGGAAAATGCTTTCATTTTAGATGTACATGTATGGTTATATTATTGATGATCAAGCTTGAATAAAATCTTTAACTATAACATGAAAGATTAAACTATTAAAAACATCTTATCTTGTAATAGATAATTAGATGCTCTTTTTTTGTGGTACTTGCGGTTGCATGTTCATTTTTTAAGATAATTTCTTAAGTAAATAAGCTTGTGTATGGCCTGTTGTCCTCCTGAGCATTACCTCATATGTTACTTTTATTCTTATAATGCTAGGTTTTTTTACACTCCGAGAAGTAAAAATAATTTCAGTTCTGTGTTAACTTTAACAGGTCATTTGAATCATACATTTATTTATACTTGTGTGGTCCTCTTTATTAAGATAACAGCTTTGTCAAATGTCAGATAATCCTTCCAAGGATAGGGCAAGTTTCATATTTCAGTAAGCCTCCAGTGGAAAGCCCATTTAGTTCTGTGAAATGACTCAGAGGCTGACTTGTTTTGTAAAGAAATACAGATCTACTACCTCAATATGTGTGGGAATAAGAATCAATGATTTGCACATTCCATCACAGGGACGTGTTCTTATGAGTAAGAAAGGAAGGAGGCAGGGAAGTGTGGTGGAAAGAGTACCAGGCAAGAAGGATGTTTGCTTCACTCCTGTTTGACTACTAACCAGCATTAGGATCTTGTCAAAATTACTTAACTTCTTAGTCTTAAATGTCCCTGCTTTGAAAATTAAGGTATTAGTTCATTCTTTCACTTTTATACATTTTAAAGCAGCAAATTCTTTGATGAAATATAATCTCTAGTGCAAACCAAAAAATGAAACCAATGGGAGTAGAGTTGACATAATTGCAGTCAGAGACCACTGGACCTTCATGTAACCCCTGGCAGTAGCTCTAGAAGCTCTTCTTTAAGCTGAGCGCTTGGCAGAACAGCCTAATAACTGCAGGATTGTTTACAAAGTAGCCCTTTTCTGCTAAAAATAACCTGCGACTCTGTGAATAAGTTGCCCCAGGCATTGTTTGTATATGCATTAAAGCATTGGATTTGCTGAAAAATAATGTATTCTCTTAAATGATCTAGCATTTCTATTCCAGTAATATTTTTCTTACTTATATACTAGGCAAATCTTGTGGACAGAGATACAGGTTGAGTCATCTCAACCTTATGCACTGACAATGGGAATCACCATAGAGCAGTGATTCCCAAGCAAATATAATGTATTTGGGTTGTGTGGCTTTGTATTTTTATACTTGTCTTTATTAAACTTGAATTCTATGAGAAGGATTTGTATCTCAATCATCTTCTCTAATCAGTGCCTAGTCCCATGCTTAGCAATAGAAAATGTCCTGAAATTGTTCAGTAAATCAATATACGAATGAGTGGTTCTAAACTTGTATAGATTGTCACACGAATACATGAAATGGGAGGCGTTATCTAGGAAATATGGAAATAAAACTTATCCACTGGATAATTGAGGGTTAAAATCATCCAGCAGTGTCACAAGCTGAAAGATCCCTGGGCCAGAAATCTCATTCTTGCATTAACTTCACTTGTCACCTTGGGTGCCCATCTATAAATCTCAGTCCCAGAGAGACTAACCATGCAATCTCTGAATTTTATCCCAATGGTGAGATTCCATGAGGCTAAGATTAAATTGACTCAGAAAATGATCCCATTAAAGTTTTTCTCATGAATTATTTAGGTGATTGCTGTAAATCTCTAGTTCCTGGGTCCCTCCATCTACAAACTCTGTGGCTTTCCCAAGCTCAGCAACTCAAGGGCCATGGAGAAGCATCAACTCCTTCCTCTGCACCACCCAACAGGGCTTCCATCTTGATATGTGTACCTGAATTTTCTGTTCTGGACCCCACAAAATGTTAACGATGACAACTGTGATTTCATGCCACTGGAGGCTGTATGCCTGGCATAATGTGAAAGAGGAATCGCAGAGCTGGAGAACTATAGAAACTTCTGGAATTGTATCAAAGGAAGTATGCTAAATAGGTGAGAGCAATCAATGTTGTTTGGAGACAGGCAATGAAGCCTGCTGTTCCTAATGTAATAGTATCATTAATTTTACACCATACTCCATGTGGGGAAAGAAATGTATTTTTTTATTTGTGTATAGCTCATCTAAGATTGATTCTGAGCCTCAAATGTACTGGGTAGAAAGAAAAAACTTGCGGATCTCAGTACCTCAGTTTTTATAATACTAATAAAATCCAAACAGTTTAAAAGAATATTTAAGAGGTAAACTATCAATATTTCACATTTTCATCCACTCCCCTTCCTTCTCCCCAGGGTGGCATCTAGGAGTATCCGAAAGCTTTCTCTGTTCTTCTCAGGAAAGGCGGGGGCTTTAGATGTGTGTATGGGTACTTGTTTCACCCTCTAGTCCTTGCTAGGTTTGACAGAGATAGCGCTTCTTTCCCAGCTAGTAAATATTTGCCTGGATTACATTCACTTCAGAACAAATATTCCGGTATATTTTATTATTCTTGGTCAGAATCTCAGCTGAATTTAAATCCCAGCTGAAACATTTGCTAGTTATGCCGTCTTGATGAAGTCATTTGTCCTGTCTTCAGCTTTTTTCTTCTGTAAAATGGATATTGTTTCCAGAGTTCAATGAGATAATACATATTCAGTGTTTGACATGTATTAAGCACTAAATAAATGTTAACTGCTACTATTATTATTATTATTAAAATTGTGTACTAGGCATAGAAAATGGCAAATTTAGAAGCACAGTGGGATAGAACTGTTTGTTGGCACCATTATTAATTCTCGTTTAGGGTCTAAGTTTGCTAGTCTCAAGATTGATGTCAAACACAATAGGCTGCATGACCTGTTATAAATTTTGAGTATCTCCAAATACTAAGCATATGAGAAGATCATCTGCCTAGTATGCTTCTCAAGCTTTTCTAACCTCAGGCTTTAAAACCAGTAACAGACAGTTATTGATAAGCAATCAAGTCAATATATTTTTTAGAAACTCAAGAAGGAAGGCACTTTCATCTTTACTCTGTCTGGCTTTCAATCATTTCCTTATAGATATTGAGGCCTGCCACTAATTTCACAGCATTCAAGTATGAGAAAAGATCATTCAAATAGTGACTGTTAAAAGAAACCCTAAAAAGGCTTCTGGCTGTTGGGCCATTGTACTTTCTAAATCAATCATATTTAATGTGTATCTATCTGCATTGGTGGTTTCATTGGCCAATAAGTGTGTATTCCCTTACCAGGGCTCTGCAGACCTTCAGCTCACTTAGTCATTCTGCTCACAAAGATATCACATATTTAGTTTCGAAAGATTTTGGCCTTTACTCTGATTAGACCTCCACTCACACAGTTCTTCAATTTCCTGTGAGTATTTCATGCACCCAGCAGTCACTACACTAATAATAACTTTAATCTTTCAACAAACATTTAGTAGCATCTACAGCATAGACAGGCTTTGTGTCATGAGTTGAGAATACATACCCTAGGAAACAAAACTATTGAGACTCACATTGATGATGGGGGGCATAGACAATTATGATACTATGGTGGAGTTTAGAAGTTGAAAGGGGTCTTGGAGGTCATTTGGTTCCAAAGGTGGTGGGAAAATGTACCCATATAGCAGCTGGATTATTCCCTTTTATCTGTTGTACTAGTTTTCTGCATTTCTCACCACCTTTAAAGGGGTTTCTGTGTATGTTTTTCCATTTTCTCATCTCCCACTCCATCCTGGCTTCTACTCCCATCACTTCTTGGCAATGACTGTCCAGAAGAATCCAGTGATGTTCAGGCCACCAATTCCATGCAGACTTTGCACTCATCCTCTTTACTGGACCTATGAGCAATGCTGACCACTATATTTTTGAGATGGAACTCTTTTAAATTGCCTGAGACACTGTTCTCCTGTTTGAACCTAAACCTTTGGTCGCTGCTTGTCAGAGCCGTTCCCAGTTGTCGTTTTTCTACTTTATAAACAGACCTCCAGGAACTCTGAGTTCCTCACCACTATTTTGTCACCTTAGTCTAGAGCTTCTCCCTAGATCATATTTTCTCTGCCTAAGGTTTCATTAATACCTCAAAGGCTATGGCTTTCCAGGCTCTAGATATGTGCCTGCTTATCCAATCACTGACTTGACATTTTTATCTGGATGTTTCACAGGTAAATGCAACCTAGTACATCCCAAACTGACCTCATAATTTCCCCCCCAAATATGCTACATCTCTAGTGCTTATCTTAATAAGTGACATCTCCAACATCCCATTGGTTTATGGCTATTACCTTAGTCATCCTGGACATCTCCTTTGTCCTCAGATGCATATCCAATTCATACTTAAATCTTCAGAGTGCTTCTTCTAAATATTTTCTAAAATTCAATCACATATTTACATCTTCATTGCTGTGACCCTAATGCAGGCTACCACATCTTTTCCATGGAGTCTCCAGAATCTTTTCATCCAGTCTTCACCCATCTTCTTTTGCCCTTCTTCTTCCTATTCTATCAAGAGTGATTTATTAAATATTCTTTTGACCCTGTGCCTACCTTGCCCTTAAACAACTTCCTATTATTCTTAGGACATTGACCAGCTTTACTATGGCTTAGGAGTTGTTACATGATCTTGTCTTTTTGTATTACCCCAGCCTAACCTCATGCCACCTCTCTCCTTCCTCATGTCCTCTCGGTCACCCGGATCCTCATTCTCATAGTACCCAAAACTGATTCTCATTTCGCTATTCCATCTGCCATTCTTCCTTTCCAGCTAACTCTTACTCGTCCCTCATGTCTTGTTCTAATTATTATTTCCTCAGTGAGCCTTCTCCAAACACTCCGATCAAGTTAGGTCTCTTTCATGCCCTCTCATTTCAGATATATTTATTGCAATTACAATCATATGGTGATTTGTTGCTCTATTTATATTCTCTTTCTCTAGTAGACTGTAAAAACCATAAAACAGAGGCCCTACTGCATTACTAAGTTTTCTGTCTTCATCACCAGTGCCATCTAAAGGTATCTGTTGAATTAAAAAACAAGTCAGCCATATAGCTTCTGCTTAAATGCTTTAAGCTTCTACCAGGAAACTTGGCATTTTTCCTCAGTCACTTCACCTCCGTGTAACTCTGTAATGTGGGGTAAATAAGGCCCATCAAATGGTTTTGTTGTGAAGAGTAAATATATTTTGCATCTATTAATATGTGAAATTCTTCAGGAACACATACACAAAGTATGTTAGATGAATGAACAGAAGTATTAAAATGGACATGGGGAAAACTTGGATTTGTCATTTTGGAATACTCTACATGTCATTTTCTAAAAGGAGAACCATGGTAACAAAGTAAGCAACCTCAGCATCCAGCCTGGAAGAAACTGGGAGAGCTTTTATGGATTAACTTTAACATGTTTCTACTTGGAGAGCAGTACCACTTACTAGTGATGTGCCCTAGGGAAGAGCACGGCTGGTTTCCAAACCTTCTTCCCAGGATGAATGCGTCAGGTTCACAAAAGAGTTCCGCGGTCCAGAAATAGAATGGAATATTGAGCCTATGAGGTAACGTCCCCAGGGTCTTAGCACTTTTGTTCACTGTCACAGCATTAACCTAGAAAGGTGAAATATGTCTTCAATTTCACCTTTATTTAATTAATTGATCTAAAATAATTTTTCTTCTCAGGGGCCGTGACGAGGACCCAAAGAAGACCGCTAGATTAGGCAAAAGTCAGCACATGTGGCTTCTTCCTCGCACCCCCACAGAAAAGAGGGCCAGGTGCCTTTCTAGGAAATACAATTTTCTGAATTGTTCTTTTGTCATGTATTACTAAATGGTGCCAATAGCCACACATAATTTGAAGAAGGAAGGTTATAAATAACCACTCATTTACCTACTACCTACCTAAAAATAAATTGATAAGAATTATCCCTTCCTCCTACCAATTCTGTGTCTCCTTCCCTCCCTTCCTTCCTCTTTACAATGTATTGACTTTATACATGAATGCATAAACACACATCCTACTCACCACTCTCCAGTTTCACCCTGATCCACTAAGCGGATCATTCTATTTGAGTTTTATGGTAAAGAAAAGTAATAGTCAGTATAGCACAGGACTTGTGAGGTGAGGCCTTTGACTCAGAGAGACCTCTTTTGAACCTCAAGACATTTTAAAATAATGTGATCTTGGACAAATTGCTTGAACAATTCAGGACCCAGTTCTTCCTCAATACAATGAATATAAATAACAACATCTCTGTTGTAAGATATGTTCCATTTCATCACATAAAGCACTTAGTATAATATTTGACACACAATAAGTGCTGAGTAAATATTAACTATTTATTTTCTGTGTATTCTGCTTTTAATAGTGCAACAGCAGTAATTGATAATTTCCTAGCAGGCAAAGAAATTTAAATTCTTTAAGCAGTCATTTATTCTAGAATTCTGTCTCCTCAGTATTTTCCCTCTCTGTCCAAAAAGTC
This sequence comes from Homo sapiens, assembly GCF_000001405.40. Lineage (NCBI taxonomy): Eukaryota > Metazoa > Chordata > Mammalia > Primates > Hominidae > Homo > Homo sapiens. The sequence goes on from NC_000008.11 coordinate 128,672,157, forward strand.
ACAGAGCCTCAGAAATGGAAACAGACAAAACAAACTCTACGTCTAACAGGTGTCCATAGAAGCATCCAGGAAAAGCCCGAATTACAAAGGGGAGCCAGGCCTAGCAGAGATGGGGCTTGTTTCATCAACATTTTTCTAACTCTGAGGTTTGAGCACTCTGCTTTTAGCTGTATTCTGGCAGAAAAGCATTATTGAACACCTACCATATATAAGGTCTTATCATGGGTTTAATGTATCCTCCCAAAATTCATATGTTAAAGACCTAGCTCCTAGTGTGTCAGCATGTGACCTTATTTGGAAACAGGGCCATTGCACACATAATTAGTTAAGATGAGGTCATTACTGTATGGGGTCAATTGATATCAAGCTACAGTTATCTGAAGGACTGGGAGGTGTTATTCTGTATTACTCTAGACAGAAGAACTAAGACCAGAGGTAACCCAGTATGACTAGTGTTCTTATGAAGAGGGGAAATTTAGACACAGACATGCACACCAGGGGAACACCATGTAAAGATGAAGGCAGAGATCAGAAGGATGTTTCCACAGGCCAAGAAAAGACAAATTTCCAGTAAACTACAAGAAGCTGAGAGAGAAGCATGGAACAGATTTTCCCTCACAATTTTGGGAGAAGCTAACCCCGCGAACACCTTGAGCTTGGACTTCCAGCCTGTAGAACTGTGCAATAATACTTTTCTGTTGCTTAAGCTATTTTAGGTTATGGTACTTTGTTACGGCAGTCCTAGCAAATAATACAGGCCAAATGTATTCCATGTCAAAATTACTGCATGTAAAATAAATGTGCTGAAGTTACTTTTTCTACTTCAAAGGAGTTAAGCCTAGTGAGAGATATACACATTACACTTCCCCAGTGCTTAACACTTCTTTATTTCTGGATGGCTAGTTGTGGATTTCATTTCTGTTCATGCTTTCTAACTTCCACAACACATTTTCTGAATCTTTTTTTAATGTGGAGGAAAAAGGGGCTTCTTTTTATAATTTTATAAGAATGGTGATTCAGCCTATTCCCTTCCAGGAGTCTCTGGTATGGCACATCACTCTCAATATTCCCACCTCTTAAATGCTATGGTTGTTGAAAAGTTGCTTCTGATTTCGAATAAATTTATTTTTTCACAACTTTGGAAATTTTGGCCTTAGTTCTTGTCTCTAGAATAATACAGAATAACACCTCCCAGTCCTTCAGATAATGGAAGATTGATATCATTTGACCCCAGACACTTCTTTTCTCAGGATTGCACCAAGCTCTGGACTGAGGTGGCTTCAGGATCAGTTCATAATGAAATTCGAAAACATGCAGGGCCCTTTCCTAAACACAAATGCATTTTCAGGGTACATCTGTAAGATAGGCACTCTCGCCATGTAAGGAAAGGAACCGGAAGTTGGAGCAGGCAAAGTCATTTTTCTGAGGTGACACAATTGAGAGGGGCCAAAGGTGGGATTTACACATCGACCTGTCTGACAATAACCCAGCAGCTTCTGGCTCCACAAATCAAAATTAAACTTTTTTCAAGAGTGAGTCTGATTTACCCTCTAGCTCTGATGTTAACTTTTGCATTATGAAAAGGTTTATGACAGTGTTACATAAAAACTGGTGCCATACTCTACTCAAACGATGTCTATTCAACAAGAGCAAGCACTAGCTGGCATACACCTTTGGGTGCCAGTAGATCTGAAAGTGTAGGTAAAACAGTCTTGATTGGCAGCTGTTGCCTTGTCCAGCTGTCCGAAAGATAGGGGGATGAAGAGCAAAGTGGCCAAGCTGGCACCAAATATTTCTGCTGCTTTTTTATGCTGCCTGAATATCAGATCAATAAAACTGTTAAGTAACATTGTCTTTAAAATAGGGGCACTCCTACGCAACTATCAAAAACTCCCCCTTTATTATGTAGTAGGAAAAAACTGGTTTCTAGGTGAGGTGTCTGGTTTTACCCTCAATCTGTTGTTAACCTGCTATGCAAACTGAGACTAGTCACTTGGATTTTAAGGGTTCAATTTCGTTATTCATAAAAACCCTTCACAGTTTTGTTTGATGACCAAATGTGAGGGTGTATTTGAAAGTTATTTGAAATGTATAAAGTACAATAGAATATAAACATACTGGGATTTTAGGTACTTGACATGCAAAAACAATTATCTGAGTGCTGTAAGTAAATGTGGAGGATTTGGGTAAAATTGCAGGAAGAGAACAAAACTCAGCAGATTAGAGGATACGTTTTCTTATACAAACATTTGCAAATCATACTATTACATTAAATAGCAAAGTGTTGCACTTCTGTGAAATCAACTTGTTTGTTCTGCTAGTATTTTCAAATTGGCACAGATTTTTTTTTAATTCCAACTTTTATTTTAGATATAGGAAGTACATGTGCAGGCTTGTTACATGAGTATATTGCACACAGGTAGCGAGCATAGTACCCAGTAGGTAGTTTTTCAACCCACAGCCTCCTCCCTTCCTCCCTGCCCCCAACACCCCCCCCTCGCTAATAGTCTGCAGTGTCTATTGACCTCATATTTATGTCCATGTGTGCTCAATGTTTAGCTCCCACTTATACTTGATAATAAGCAGTATTTGGTTTTCTGTTCCTGCATTAGTTCACTTATGATTATGGGCTCCAGCTTCATTCATCTTGCTGCAAAAGATATAATTCCATTCTTTTTTATGGCTGTGTGGTATTACATGGTATATATAAGTACCACAGTTTTTTTGTCCAATCAATCTACCATTGATGGGCACCTAGATTGATGCCATGTCTTTTCTATTAGAAATAGCATGGCAATGAACATATGACTGCACATGTCCTTTCAGTATAATGATCTATTTTCCTTTGGGTATATACCCAGTAATGGGATTGCCGGATTGAATAGTAGCTCTGGGCTGGGCACAGTGGCTCACACCTGTAATCCCAGCACTTTGGGTGGCTGAGGCAGGCAGATCACCTGAAGTCAGGAGTTCAAGACCAGCCTGGCCAACTTGGTGAAACCCTGTCTCTACTAAAAATACCAAAATTAGCTTGGCATGGTGGCACATGCCTGTAATCCAGCTACTTGGGAGGTTGAAGTAGGAGAATTGCTTGGACCCAGGAGGCGGAATAGCAGAGCCAAGATTGCAGCCCCTGCATTCCAGCCTGGGTGACAAGAGCGAGACTCCATCTGAAAAAAAAAAGAGTAGCTCTGGTTTAAGTTATTTGAGACATCACCAAATTGCTTTCCACAGTGGCTGAACTAATTTACATTCCCACTGATAATATATGAGCGTTCCCTTTTCTCTGCAGCCTCTCCAGCATTTGTTGTTTTTTGACTTTTTAATAACTGCCATTTTGACTGGCGCGAGATGATGTCTCATTGTGGTTTTGCATTTCTCTGATGACTAATGAATATGGGCATTTTTCATATGTTTTTTGACTACTTGTATGTCTTCTTCTGCTTATGTCCTTTGCCTATTTTTTAATAATGTTATTTGTTTTTTGCTTGTTGATTTATGTACACATAGGTGCTGAATATTAGACCCTTGTTGGATACACAGTTTGTAAATATTTTCTCCCATTCTGTAGGTTGTTGGTTTACTCTGTTGGTGGTTTCTTTTGTTGTGTAGAAAGTTTTCAGTTTAATTAGGCCCAATTTGTCAATTTTTGCTTTTGTTGCAATTGCTTTTGGGGACTTAGTCAAAAATTATTTGCCAAGATTGATGTCAAGGACGGTATTTCATACATTTTATTCTAGAATTTTTAGAGTTTGAGGTCTTACATTTAAATCTTTAATCTGTCTGGGGTTAATTTTTGTATATGGTGAAAGGTAAAGGTCCAATTTCATTCTTCTGCATATGCTAGTCAGTTACTTCAGCATCCTTTATTGAACACGAAGTCCTTACCCCATTGCTTGCTTTTGTTGGTCTTCTTTAGGATGAGGTGGCTGTAGGTGTGCAGCATTATTTCTGAGTTGTCTATTCTGTTCTGTTGGTCTATGTGTCTGTTTTTGTGCCAGTACCATACTGTTTTGGTTAATGTACTCTTATATTCTAGTTTGAATTCAGGTAGTGTGATGCTTCCAGCTTCATTCTTTTTGCTTAGGATTGCCTTGGCTATTCAGGCTCTTTTTTGCTTGCATGTGAATTTTAGAATAATTTTCTGTAATTCTGTGAAGAATGACGTTGGTCCCCCTTGAGAACTGGAAGAGGACAAGGACGCCCACTCTCACCACTCCTATTCAATGTAGTACTGGAGGTCCTAGCCAGAGCAATCAGGCAAGTGAATGAAATAAAAGGCATCCAAATAGAAAAAAAAAAGGAATCAAACTATCTTACTTCACTGATGTTATGATTCTATATCTAGAAAATCCTGAAGACTCTTCCAAAGACTACTAGAACTGATAAACAATTTTAAGATGGTTTCGGGCTACAAAATCAATGTGCAAAAATTAGTAGCATTTCTATATACCAATAATGTCCAGGCTGAAAGTCAAATCAAGAAGACAGCCCCATTTACAATAGCCACAAGGAGAATAAAATACCTAAGAATTCATCTAACTGAGGAGGTGAAAGATCTCTGCAATGACAACTACAAAACACTGTTAAAAGAAATCAGAGATGACACAAATAATCATGAATTGGAAAAATCAATACCATTAAAATGACCATCCTACCCAATAATTTACATATATTTTTTCATTTTGACTGGTTGGTTTTTTTTCTATTCTACACGCAGATATCAACTGAAAGGTTAAGCCCTTCTTATCAACTTTTCTTGGATGAGGGTGGTGTCATTTCTAAGGAATACAAATGATGCAAATATATTGTTATTTAAAAATTATTTTTCATGGAACAGTAGATTATTTATGAGAGATTGTGGGGAACAGTTTTGACTCACTAGCATTGGAAATTATGATGCCAATTGAGTGCCTATGCAGTGAGCATAAAATGTTAGAGTTCAATGGAACTGCCAAAATTATATAATCTAAAACTCTCATTACAGGGAGGAAAAAAACTCATATTCAGAGAGGCAAAATGGAAAAAGAGAACAAACATTTATGAAGCATCTTGGCCCTTTCTTGCTCTCTACAACTAGCTGTGGTTTCTTCATCTTTTAATTTCTTAATGGAACTTGTTCATTTCTCTTTTTTAGTGCTCATCTCTCTATGTATAGATGGATGATCCTCTACACAGACGCAATAGAAAATCTTCATGTTTAAAGATTTTCCCATTAAAACCCTAGAGTCAGCATTGACTAGCATTGCTTATGGGGAGTCATACAGCAGCTGGATATTTCAAAGGATAAGATTCATTCTTGTGATACCATGTTTGTATCAATCTTTCCTTTTAGGTTGAAAGCTTCCTAGAGTTAGCCACAGTTCTTGCTGCTCTACATTGCCAGATTTAATCCTCACCTCAATTCTATAAATTTGATAACACTGATAAATGTCATAATGCAACATTTGACTAGAAATTTCAATTTTCTTATAAAAATCAGGAACATAGAAACAGACCCTCCCACTTTGGTGACATAGGCTTTTGGGAGGACAATTTAGAATGCATCCATTTCATTTAAAGAGGTCATTGCCATCTGAAGTTTATGCATTGCACAAATTTGGGGGAAAAAATCAGACAAAGAAATATTCAAAATAAGAAACAATTATTGGACATACCTTTATATAGTCACAGTGGAAAATCTCTTATACTTTAATGACTGAATTTTGCACAATGTGAACAAAACTAAGAATCTTTTATATTTGTTCAGCATTGATTAGTCTAATATAAACATGCATAAAGCATATAGTGTTGAGTTGTCAAAGGGCAATGAATAAAGTTTGGTACATAGTTTGCAAAGATGACCTCAACAGTTTTTCACATCCCAGAACACATGTTCCTTTGCAGTGTGACCATTCCTTCCATCAAGTTGTGGCACATATTTCTCGTTCCCTGGAATCTGGGCTGGCCTTACACTTCGCTTTGACTAAGTGAATGTTTCAGATGAGACACTGTATAACTTGCAAACCTAAATTCCAAGAGGTTTGTAGCTTTTGCTCTTGTCCATTGGGAATGCTTCCATCATCCTGCAAAGAAACCTGATCTAGCTGCCCTGAGGAGAGGCTATGAGGAGCAGTGATAAATCATCCCAGCTGAGGGCCCCTGGACCAATTAATCCATAGCCAGCCTCATTCACCAAAAACGTGAGTGAGGCAATCTTGGATTATCTAGTCTTTGATGAGCTACCAGGTACCTAAGTGATTTCAACCAAGACCAACAAATGAACTACCCAACTAAGACCAACTCAATTTGTTGGGCCACAGGATCATAAGCAATTGATTGTTATATTAAAAGTGACAGTTTTAAAGTTTTTTAATACAGTAATAAAGAACTGATATACCTAGCTCCTTCCAAGTAAGGTCTTTGGCTTAATTCAACAAACATTTATTAGTTCTTATGGCCACAACTATACCCTAGTCAGGTGGATATTGGTCATTAACACTAGAAATAAGCTTTAGTTGTGCCTGAATATTATGTATCTGTTACATATTTAAATTAATTATTAGTCCAGGATTACAAAAATGGATACACTGGGATGATTTGGAACAATGGATAATTTTCTCCTTTCATTGAATTTCTGCTTATTTTGTCATCCATAATTATCTTTAATAACCAGGTTATACTTCTTCTATGAAAGAAAGATCTTTTTTTGTTTTAAAGTTAATATTGTAACTATATAAAAAGTTGATATTAGAAACTACTCTAAAATAGAATTTAGAATTAAGTTTTTGCCTTTTTTCCTTTGCTTTTCTGACCAATATTAATCAGCCCCTTATATAATTATGTTTCAATATGTCACATTCTCTTCAAATGTGCCAGCTTTTCCTGTTCGTGTCCTAGTCTATAACTGATGCAATTTGAGGGCAGTTGAAAAGCTATCCTTTCTTATAAAATTTCCAACATTGGTATCTACATGTGGGAAATGTTAGGAAACTTACAATCATGGGGTAAGGAAAAGGGGAAGTAAGAAGCTTCTTCACATGGCAGCAGGAGAGAGAGAGAGAATGAGTGGGGAAGTGCCACTTTCAAACCATCAGATCTTGTGAGAACTCACTCACTATCATAAGAACTGCATATCATAAGAACTCTCCCCTGACACATGGAGATTACAACTTGACATGAGATTTGCGTGAGGACGCAGAGCCAAACAATATTATAGCTCTTTCTATTTACTTCCTGTATAAAACAGACTATAAACTGTCTTGAATGCAAAGTATCTAGAATAATTTTCAAAACATACTCAGCAAAAGGAAATGTAAAAATATTTGCTGACTTAAATTGAATTGAAAACTCAAATTACCCAAGAGAGTATTTTCTTCATGTTTTTTAAACTGAGCTTGTTTCCTATGTGTCTCTCTGTAAGGGCCTCTGACTGTATTTTCAATAACAACAATAAGAGAGTATGGCTGTGAAGATAGCATTTTCCATCTCTCCCTCAAAATCAGAATTTGAAGGCCATTTGCAAAAGAGGCCATTGTTTGCTGACAGTGGCAAAAGGTGCTGTCTCTGAACCTATGGGACTGACTCATTCCTGCTACAGATCTTTGGACCATCATACCCACTCGATGTCCACCTCCCAATCATTAAGCCCCCTTGAAAAGTCAACTCCTCCTCATGAACTAAGAACTTGGTCTTCATTGACTCTCTTATTTGAAAACTATGAAGAGCCTCATGTTATTTGAAAGATTTGACAACTGGCAGTATGCAACCCTCCCTCTCCCTGGACACCCTTCTTGGGTTCAAGATGAAGTTACTACTCTCCCTCTCAGCCATTTCCTAACTTTGGGGGTTGATAGAGGATGAGTCTTAGCATACTCAGACACTATCTTTAACAGTTGGAGAGAGAAGTTAGAGCCCTTGAATCTTAGACACACACACACACACACACACACACACACACACACACACAACACATACAGTAAACAAAATCAGACACATATTTCATTTTTAAAAATTTTCTGAAAGCACAGAAACTATTAAAAAATAAAACCCATTATCTGTAATTCCAGAACTTTGGGAGGCTGAGGCGGACAGATCACTTGAGGTCAGGAGTTTGAGAGCAGCCTGGCCAACATAGCAAAACCCCATCTCTACAAAAAACACAAAAATTAGCCAGGCGTGGTCGTGCGTGCCTGTAATCCCAGCTACTTGGGAGGCTGAGGCAGGAGAATCACTTGGACCCAGGAGGCGGAGGCTGCAGTGAGCTGAGATCATGCCACTGCACTCCAGCCTGGGTGACAAAGTGAGACTATCTTAAAAAAAAAATTAAAAATAAAAATAGATAAACAAATAAAACCCATGCCCCTAACTAATGTAAATCACAATTAATATGTTGTCAAATTTGCTGTAAAATTTGACTTATTAAGGAACAGAACTTGCAAGATAAACTCGAAGCCTCCTTTGTTGTTCCCTCCAATCTCATGGCTCCTCCTCCCTCCAATAATATAACAACTATAATAAATTTGGTAACTTTTCTTCCAGGCCTGGCTTTATACATGTTTCATGTATATGTGTCCATAAATAGTATTATTTATTAAATGTTTATAAATAGCATAGGATTATATTTAACATTATTCAATTTGTTTTTTTTCTTTTTACTCACGCATATTAAAGAACAACTCATGCTAATGCACTTACACTTAACTGATTCATTTTAGTTCATCATAATCTATTACTTACTTTCTTAGATTGTACTATTCATATCATTGTTCCCCTGCCACTAGACATTTAGATTGTGCCCAACATTTTTTGCTATTATCAATAACACTACAACAAAGGAACAAATGCTGTATTGGGTATGGATTTCTCTAGGATATAAACCTACAAACAGACTTGTCAGGTTCTTTGTTATTTTGTGTTTTCTTTTTTTTTTTTCTTTTTTTTTTTTTTTTTTGAGACGGAGTCTGGCTCTGTCACCCAGGCTGGAGTGCACTGGGGCAATCTCGGCTGACTGCAGGCTCCGCCTCCCGGGTTCACGCCATTCTCCTGCCTCAGCCTCCCGAGTAGCTGGGACTACAGGCGACCGCCACTACGCCCGGTTAATTTTTTTGTATTTTTAGTAGAGACGGGGTTTCACTGTGTTAGCCAGGATGGTCTCGATCTCCTGACCTCGTGATCCGCCTGCCTCGGCCTCCCAAAGTGCTGGGATTACAGGCGTGAGCCACCGCGCCCGACGGTTCTTTGTTATTTTAACTTTTCCCAGATACTCCTGCACTTTCCCTGCCTCTTACCATTCACCAGCGCTTCTCTACTGCCACCCAAGTAACAATTCTAAAATGCAAATTGGTCCTATCCTGAAATATTAAAATCTATTAGTGACTTCCTATAATCAGTAAGATTTGGTATAAGCTTTTAAGCCTGACATTCATGACCCTTCATGACACAGCCTGCCTGCTCCTCCAAGTGTGTCTCATTCATGCTGTATCCCCCAGCAATATTGATTCAGTGCCATTTTAGGATGTCACAATGGAGTGTGGTGCCCCTGTCCCTTGCACAAACTCCTCCGCCTGGCTGGAATTTTCTGTCTTTTCCTTGCTAGTATCATTATACCATTCAAAACTTACCATAGGTCCACCTCCTTCAATAATAATAATAGGCAACATTTACTGAGTATTTGTCATGTGCTTGAAATCACTCTGCCAATTTTTCTTCCTGACAAATACTTTTGCCTCCTCTTATTTGAAGATATTTACAAATCTTCCCAAGTAGAGTTAAATACTTCCCACGATCTCCATTATTTTGTCTCTCTATATATTTATTATTGAATCTATACAAGGAACAATGATAGTATCATGATGTTTTTCTTTTATTAATTGCCTGCTTTTAATTGTGCTACTCACTTTACTCATATTTTCAGGGACTCGCTGCAATATTCATATTTGTAACCCTAGTACTCAGTGTAGGGTGAGGATGTTAAATAAATGTTAAGTGTACTGTAATAAAGTGTCTTTTCCTTTCCTGGAAGATCTCACATAGGGAAGAATTTGTAATAAGTTCTAACCACTGAGCACTTCTATTACCACTAACATTGGTGGCATAGGCACTTTGCCAAATGTGAGTTAAAAGTAACCTTTTGATGTTGAAACTACCCCTTAATAACCAAATAATGAAGCCACAAAAGGTTCACACGTTTCATGCTTCTAGTTTCACTTACAGATCACATCCTTCCTTTCCCAGAGTTGAATACTTCCTCAAACTCATATTGGCTTGGATAGGTTCCAGTTTCCAAAATTCATTGGTAACAAAAAGAGGAGATTAAAAAAGTTCTGCTAGTTTCCTTTAACTAAAATATTAAGCGAAGTTAAAAGAAAATAAATTACTATCTCTGGAGTCTAGCCTGATGCCTCACACAAAGAAATACCGACAAGCTTGTTTAGGAGAGACTCATTTCGTCTTGGTAAAACAGAACTGTATACTCAACTGTGGGCAAGAGAAGGAAAGAAGAGAGTCAGAAATAAGCAGAACATTTAGAGCAGGCGCACTTGGAAAGGTCTAGTGGGTCACAATATGCCTGATGAAATATCAGGACTCTAAATACTCTGAACATTCCCTAGCATCACACTCAGAATCCCTGGCAGGAAGCTAACAATTCAGGAATAGGCAAAAGAGACCTAGCAACAAACAGTAGGAACAATCCCTAGAGAAAATTATATAATCTTTGACCTTTTGGTTTCTTCCTATGTATGACTTCCTTTTAGGGAAGCTATCATAATTTGTGATCTACAGCCAATTGGAATCCATAAGTAGATACATCTGTTTTGTGTACATTGTGGAAATGCCTTGTGAATTAATTGATTATTATTGTTTTATGAATAAAGGTCCCTAATGGTATCTTTCCAAAAGCTCACCTCAAAGAGCACTTGTCAAACAGAAATATTTCATTATTAAATATTTTTTCTAAAACATCACATTATACTCCGTAAATATGTACAAGTATTATTTGTCAACTAAAAATTTAAAAAAGAAAAATAAATTTTCTCAAGTTGGTAAAGAATTAATGCCCAGCATGTCAATGACTCAAGCACATTGACAGTGGACTAAATGTCACATTAAAAATCTACTGAGCTCTTGCCCTATAGGTTAGCAATTTTGGTTCTGCTGCACACAAAAACATAAAATAACTACCATTTTTTAATACCTACTTGATATCAAGCACTTAACTGAGACATAGTCCTACTATATACCAGACACTTAAACAAGTCATCTCTAATTCTTACAAGACAGCTATAAAATATGCATCACCTGCTCACCCCATCTTCTATTTTAGAGATGAGAAAATGGAGAGTAAACAGTTTGTGAAAGTCGCTAAGCTGGTGGTTATAATGCAGTGCCAGAACCAGAATTTAGGTCTAGGGAAATCTCAAAATCATATTACTTTTTACAAAAATCTCCAACATCAAAGCTGGACTCTATGCCAACTGTCAGTGAATGACACTTTGAAAGAGTCAGCAGGAACTGTTGGCATGACATGGAGTGACAGTTTCCTCTTCAGCCCAGACCCCTGGTGGTGATTTCTCTTTCTCTTGAGAGATAGAACAGTCTACTCTGTGACCAAGATACACATGATGTTATAAGCTGCTTTTAGAGAGTGATGTAAATGCATGAGTATTTATTAGTAACTGATAGTAAAAAAAAATAGGCAATGGGAAGCACAAATCTGCAACTAGTTAAAGTGGGAGGTTAACATTCCAGCCAGATTGTAAAAGGATAAGGCTGGAGATATGACTTTCAGTTGCAGAAAATAAGGTAAACTCTATTATGTGCTCAGTGTCTTCCATTATAAAAATAAAATATTCAGAGAGAGACAGAGAGAGCAAGAAAATAGCATAAAGTGTGCTAAGTAAAAGCATAATGGTCAAATGGGCTTCAACTGTTTCTGTTCTGATACTGGCTATGCAAAAACAATACTGGAGCAATTTACTTAAATTGTGGTGGTGGAAAGCGTACCTCATCTCTCTGGCATCCAGTTCTCTCATACGTAAATTAGAAAAAAGTAACTATTCTTAACTCATAGATGTAAGAGAGAATTAAATGAGGTAATACAGGAAAAAGGCTTAGAACAGCCTCTGGCAATACACTAAGCACTCAGTAAATGTTAGTTAGAATCTTAGTCTAGACTAGCATGTTGAAATTAGCATTGTTTTGTGGGTCAGAAGATGAGAGTTCAAACGTGAGCATAGAGCCATTACCCAGAGACATCTACATTTTTTTCATTTGTAAAATATAGGTGCAAAAAATCCTTTAAGCTTTAATCAGTTATAATTCTCTGCTTTTGCTGTATTTAGACACTTTAATTCCTTTCTAGAAATATATACAGTCATTTCTAGGTATCAATGGGGGATTGGTTTCAGGACCTCCCATGGATACCCAAATTCGTGGATGCTCAAGTCCCTTATTCTTAATTGCCTAGTATTTGCATATGAGCTCTCCACACTCTCCGTAGACTTTAAATCATCTCCTGATTACTTAAAATACCTAATGCGATGTAAATGCTATGTGAATAGCTGTTACACTGTACTGTTAAGGGAATGCTGACCAAAAAAAAAAAAAAAATTCTGTACATATTTGGTACAGACACAAACATTCGCTTTTTTCCAAGTATTTTCCATCCATGGCTAGTTGAATCATCCACAGATGCCGAACCCATGAATACAGAGGGCCGACTGCATTGCAAACTGAAAAACAGAACAAACCAAAACATGAAAGCATCCAAAAATATATTAAGCTGGTAGATAGAAAGATAGCTTAATGGGGACATGGTCATAGTATAAAGATTTTTTTTTTAAGTGCAACTCAAGGTTTTCTCAGGATTAAAAGAAATAAAAACCTGAAACCAGCCCAAAGTTTGCATTTCTCATTCTGAGAAAAGAATTTCCCGATATTGAACTACATGACATTTAATGACACATGGTGAAAATTTTATAGTAGGCCATACACCTATGAGTGACTCATAGTGTATTTTCTAGAAGAAAAAACGGTGCCCTATAAACCAAGGTAGGCCTTCTGAGAAAATGAGGGGACTAAGAGTTGGTACTGCTTCTGGAGATTTGGAAAGCCAGTTTGATGACTGTTTTCCAAGTTGTGGTCACCATTTTTGGCCTCTGTATAGTCACTGTAGTTTAACATCATGTTAATCAGGAAACAATTATGTCATACATAAAGTGGAGTTCAGGAAGTTTTATGGTAACCACGTTAAGTATACCCACTTACAATCAAAACTACTTATGCTTGGATGTGGTGACTCGCGCCTGTAACCCCAGCTCCAGGGAGGCTGAGGTGGGAGGATTCCTGAGGCCAGGAGTTCAAAGACCAGCCTAAGCAATGTTGCGAGACCCTGTCTCTACAAAAATTAAAAAGGGGAAAAAAAAATGTTGGGTGTAATGGTGCATGCTTGTAGTCCCAGCCACTTGGGAGACTGAGACAGAAGATTGCTTGAGCCCAGGGGTTCAAGGCTGCAATGATTCATTGTCACACTACTGCGCTCCAGCAGCTTGGGTGACAGAGTGAAACCCTGTCTCTAAAAAACAATCTAGAAAAACTACTACTTAGCATATATTTACTTCTCTGCTTTCTTGCTTTTGGAACTAGAATTTTAGAGATACAGTTGAAATCGCAGTGGCGTTTATCTTATTTTCATCATCTTTCCATTCAGTCTGGGACAATTATTATGCTAAACTCAGTGTCTCTCCTTCTACAATACAGCAGCAAACATAACTCCTTGGTCAGTCAAAATAGAAAGAGTATGGTTTCATTTTAAACATTTGCATACATTGGTTTTTCATCAACAAAAGTTTAAATTTCAATGTTATGTTCCTGAGATCTATTTATGTTGATACAAATGTTAGGTTTAACCTTATAAAATTGCCAACAATCCACTAGTTCTGACTTATACAAACAGCAGTACATCTTTTTTTTCAGTTTAATTGCTGTATTATGCTCTGCAACTTTTAAAATATACCTCCTTGCTGATTCTAATATATATATATATTTTTAATTTCAGCTTTTATTTCAGATACAAGGTTATGTATATGTGTAGGATTTGTAACATTCATATATTCCACCCACATAGTGAGCATAATATCCAGTAGGTAGTTTTTCAATCCATAACCCCTGCCTGCCCCTTCTTGTAGTCCAGTGTCTATTGTTCCCATGTTTATGACCATGTATGCTCAGCGTTTAGCTTTTCTTACTTATAAGTGAGAACATACAGTTTTTGGTTTTCTGTTTCTGCATTTTCTTAGGATTATGGCTTCCAGCTCCATCTATGTTGCTGCAAAGAACACAATTTCATTCTTTTTATGGCTGTGCAGTGTCCCATGGTGTTTAAGCACAACATTTTCTTTATCTAATCCACCACTGATTGGCACATAGGTTGAATCCAAGTCTTTGCTATTGTGAATAGCATTGTAATTACCATACAAGTGCATGTGTCATTTTGGAATAATGATCTATTTTCCTTTGGGTATATACTGGGTATGCTGGTTAGAATGGTAGCTCCTTTTTAAGTGCTTTAAGAAATCTCCAAATTGCTTTCCAGAATGGCTGAACTCTGGAAGTGTATATGCATTCTCTTTCTTCCTCAGCCTCTCCAGCGTCTGTTGTTTTTTGACTTTTTAATGATTGCCATCCTGACTAGTATGAGATGGTGTCTCATTGTGGTTTTGATTTGTGTTTCTCTGATTAGTGATTATGAGTGTTCAAATGTTTGTTGGCCACTTTTATGTCTTCTTTTGAGAAGTGTCTGTTTATGTTCTTTATTCATTTTTAAATGAGGTTATTTGATTTTTGTTTGGTGAATTAAGTTCTTTATAGATGCTATATATTAGATCTTTGTTTTATGCATAGTTTGTGAATATTTTCTCCCATTCTATAGGTTGTCTGTTTACTCTGTCTATAGTTTATTTTGCTGTGCAGTAGCTCTGTAGTTTAATTTGGTCCCATTTGTCAACTTTTGTTATTGCAATTGCTTTTAGGGACTTAGCTAAACATTCTTCACCAAGGCCAATGTTGAGAAGGGGATTTCCTAGATTTTCTTTTAGTATTTTCATAGTTTGAGGTCTTAAGCCTCAAAGATATGAAATCTTTAATCCACTTTGAGTTAATTTTTGTATATGGTAAAAGGTAAGGATCCAGTTTCATTATTCTGCCTATGGCTAGCCAGTTATCCCAGCACCTTTTATTGAATAGAGAGTGTTTTCCTCATTACTTGTTTCTGTTGGTCTTGTCAAAGATCACAAGGTTGTAAGCGTGTACCTTCGTTCATGAGTTTTCTATTCTGTTCTATTCTTCTATATTTGTAATATTTTATGATTATAAACTGTGCTCCAATTCATTTGCACAAGTCTATATTAAGAACAATTAAAAGTCTGGAATTTTACCCTGTTTGTAAGCTAAATTAGCCTGCCACAGTTTTATAAATTCTGAGAAAAGATACAAGGCTCCTGGGTCAGAGGCAAAGGATTTTATTACTCATAGCACAACAAGCAGCATGAGAATTAGCATATTTTCACCCATTTCTCTTTTGTGCCCAGTTTCCATGGGAGCAACTTGTAGAGACCCAGGTGGATTCTATATACACAGTGGATTTGCATTAGAACTGAAGAACTCTGAGTTTATGGAGCCTAATTTTTTTGTAACACACCATAAACAAATATACCTGAAGTTTGTTCCAAAGGGAGACATTACTTTAATTGTACTAAATAGCAAGTAAACCTGCCCTCTACAGACATGATCTCTTTCTTCCAAGTCTGTTTACCTTACTAACATCCTTGAAAAGATAATTTGGAACAGAACAACAATTTGTAACTTTGCTTGCAAATATGTAGAAACTTGAGAGACCCATGAATAGTTGCCTCCCAGTAATTAACTGGTCCATATATAAGAATTTGATGGGGACAGGTATCTAAACATAGAATGACTAAGGATATCAGACGTGTGCATCAACACTGTTTTTCAAATATTGGGAAATTACTCTCCAAAGTTGTTATATCAATTTAGACTCCCATTATTGGTATAAAAACTTAGCCTCTGTTTGTCTCAGTACTTGTTTTAATCCTTTCCTAACTGATCGTGAATATCTCATTGTTGTAACCTTCATTTATCCAGTTCCTAGAAATATCAAATTTATTTTCACATTTCTTAGTCTTTAATATGGTTAGGCTTTGTGTCTCCACCCAAATCTCACCTTGAATTGTAATCCCATAATCCCCACGTGTTGAGGGAGAGACCTGGTAGGAGGTGATTGGATCATGGGGCGTTATCCCCCATGCTGTTCTTATGATAGTGAGTGAGTTCTCATGAGATCTGATGGTTTTATAAGTGTCTGACCGTTCCTCCTCCTCCATACTCTCTCTTGCCGGCCGTCATTAAGACATGCCTCTTCCCCTTCCGCCATGATTGTAAGTTTCCTGAGACCTCCCCAGCCATGCAGAACTGTGAGTCAATTAAATCTCCTTTCTTTATAAATTACCCAGTCTAGGGCAGTTCTTTATAGCAGTATGAGAATGAGCTAATACAGTCATTCAGGTTTCCTCACCTGTAAAGTTCCTTTTTTCATGCTTTATCATCCTTTTCCTGTACTGACCTGTCACCCTGCTGCTTAAAACCCTAGCAAGAGCATGCAGACAAACAGGTGCAGAGGCTGCAGGGAGTGCTTTTGGGCTCCATCCCCACAGCAGCATCAAGGGGTGAGTGTCTGCGACTCCCAAAGCCCAAATGGGCGTGTGTTACAGTGTGCTCTTTCAGCTTTGCTGTCTGCGGATGGCTTGTGTTAATCAGCTCAATAGACCCTCTGCCTTAAGACAAGGGCAGAGGGCCAGTGTGACAGCTTTCTGTATCCTGAGCTCTTGCCCAGTGTACCAGAAAAATCGGATCACACGTGGGCTCAAAGGATGAGTGCAAGGTTTGATTGAGTGGTGGAGGTGGCTCTCAGCAAGATGGACAGGGAGCCAGAAGGAGGAAATGGAGTAGGAAGCTGGTCTTCCCCTGGAGTTGGGCCACCTAGTGGCCAGACTCTTCTCTGACGGCCCCTGGCGGAATTCCCGTCAGTGTCCAGATGTCCCTCCTCTTCTCGCTTTCTCTTCCGCAACATTCCGCCATTGCTGGTCTGCAGGTCTGCTGGTGTCTGCTGCTCTGTTCTTCTGCTCCTCTGCCTGCTATGGTCTCAAGTTTATATGGGGGCAAGATGAAGGGCGTGGCAGGTCAGAGTGGTCTTGGAAAATGCAACATTTGGGTGCAAAAACAGGAGTGCCTGTTCTCACTTAGGTCTGTGGACACAGGCCCGAGGGTGCATCTCTCACCAGGGACCCCTTCCTTCTCTACCCAGCATTTCCCTGCCCGCCTCCCATATCATCTGTGATTTAAATTTCAAAGAACTTGAAACCCAAAAGTTATTCTTACCCAATTTCTAATTCCACTCATTGTGAACTAGAGACATTCTTGGCACTCAGTAGAATTTGAAGCAGCTACAGCTACAGGAAGGTAAGTAGTTTTTTCAAGGCCTCCGAAGTAGAAATAGTTCCACACCACGTTTCTAATGTACTTGGTTTTTTAAATTACATTTTTAATTTTAAGATAAAAAATAGATTCGCATGCAATTGCAAGAAATCAGAGAAACTGTGGATCTTTTGCTCAGTTTTCCCCAACATAGCATCTTGCAAATTGCAATACAATATCACACAAAAATATTTACATAGCTAGACTCAAGAGACAGAACATTCTACAAATATTTCTCATGTTGTCTTTTTATAGCCACACTCACTTCCCACTCACAGCCCTCCTTATTCCCTGGCAATTACTACTGTCCTTCATTTCTATAATTCTGTCATTTCAAGAATGTTATAGAAATGGAATCATACTGTATGTTACCTGCTACCTTTCAGAATTGGCTTTTTTTTCTTTTTTTACTCAGCATAATTAGAGATTTATTCACATTGTTGTGTGTATCAACAGTTCCTTTCTATTGCTGTGTAATATTGAATACTATGGATGTACCACAGTTTGTTTAATCATTCATCATACATTAAAGGATATCAAAGTCCTTTTGGGTTATTATGAATAAAGGTAATAAGGATTTTACATAAGTACATAAATACATAAGCATTTATGTATAGGTTTTTGTGTGAACATAAAAGTATGTCTCTAAGATGATCATTCAGAAACACAGTTTCTAGGTCATATAAGATTAGAATGTTTTCAATTTTTTTTAAATTAAAATAGTAAAGTGTTTTCCAGTTGGCTGCGCCATTTTACATTCCTACAATGTATGAGTAATCTAGTTTCTCGCATCCTTGCCAGCATCTGATGTTGTCACTATTTGTATTTTTACCATTTTGATAGGTGTAGAGAGATATAATTGTGATGTTAATTTCCACTCCCCTAAGACTAATTATGTTGAACATCTTTTCATATGCTTATTTGCCATCTGTATCTTCACCGCAGTGAAATGTTTCCTGACGTAATCTTCTTCATTTTCTAATAATGCTGGTTTTTTACTGTTTAATTTTGAGAATATATATGTAATATATATTAAGACCTAGATTTTGTCAAATACTATATGTGGTTTTCAAACATTTTTTCTCCCATTCTATTATAGCTCCTCTCTTCATCCTCTTAACGTAATCTTTTGCAAAAGAGAAGCATTAAATTTTGATGAAGTCTAATTTATTCATTTTTCAAATAAATATTGTTTGGGGTTTTTATCTAGGATCCCCTTGCCTAGCACTAGATCCTGAAGACTGAAGATTTTCTCCTGTTTTCTTCTAGAAGTCTTATAGTAATGTTTTATATTTAAATATGTGGTCTGTTTTGAGTTAAATTTTTTATAAGTTGTGAGAATCTGGTTGAAGTTTGATTTTTGCCTGTGGATATCCAATTGCTCCTGCACCATTTGTTGAAACGGCAATCTTTTTTTCCACTAAATTGCTTCAGTACTTTGGTCAAAACTGTTGGGTATATTTGTCTTGCTCTATCTCTGGGTTCTCTGTTCTCATTTCTTAGTCTATATGTCTCTCCTCTGCCAATACCATGCATCCTTGACTACTGTAATTATATAAGAAGTTGAGATCAGACTGATTTCTTCTACATTATTAGTCATTTTTAAAGACTGTTTTAGCTATTCTGGTTCCTTTCCCTTTTCATATAAATTATTGAATACTCTATATCTAAAAAAACTCTCACTGAGATTTTGATAAAAATTGCCTGACACATGAATATCAATTTGGGGAAGACTGGCATCTTGCTATGTTGAGTCTTCCAATCCAGGAGCTAGTATATTTCTCCATGTGTTTAGATCTTTTACTTCTTTTGTCAATATTTTGTAATTTTTCAGCATACAAGTTCTTTATGTGTTTTGTTAGATTTATACCAAAGTATTTCATCTTTTTTTTAGTATTTTTAATTTGTGTCTACATGTTCAGAGGTAGTATATAGAAACACAATTAATTTTCATATTTTTATCTTATGAGATCTTGCTGAACTCATTTAGTCATTTATAAGTTCTGCTCATTATATTTGTCTGAGTTTTTTAAATAGTTTTTAAAAATTTTTCTATGTTGATAATCTTGTCTTCTGCAAGAAATAACAGTTCTATTTTTCCACTTGTTCTGTTTTTATTTTATCTCCTTCACTTGCGTTTTGCACTGGGTAGAATGTCCGGCACTATTTTGAATCAGAGTGGCGACAGTGGGCATCCTTACTTTGTTCCTTATCTTAAGGCTTTTGTCATTATAATGTTAGCTATAGTGTTTTTTTGTATAAGCTCTTTAACAGTTGAAGAAGTTTTCCTCTATTATTTTATTTTTCCTAAAGTTTTTATTGTGAGTGGGTATTGAATATGGTTAAATGTTTTTATACATTAATATAATCATGTGTTCTTTCTTTTTTAGCTTTAATAAGGTGGATTACATTGATAAATTTTCAAATATCAAACCAGCATTACATTCCTGAAATAAAACCCACTTGGTTGTGGTGTATAATAATTTTTACATATTGCTAAATTCTATTTGCTAATACTTTGCTAAGGATTTTTTACATCTAAATTCATGAGGAATATTGATTTGTCAGTAGTTTTTTTTTTGTTTCATCTTTGTCTGGTTTTGATACCAGAGCAATACTAGCTACATAAAATTAATTGAGAGGTGTTCACTACCATTTTCAGGAAAATCATGTAGAATTGGTGTTAATCTTTTCTGAGTATTTGGTAGAACTTTCTAGTAAACCATTTATGTCCAGAGATATTAAAGGAGGAAGTTTAATTATGAATTTAAATTATTTAGTAGTTATAGAACTATTCTGAATATCTTTTATAATTATTGAGTTGTAGCTGTCATTTTTCAAGAAATTAGTCTTTTTCATCTAAGTTTTTAAACTTATAAATGTAAAATCACTAATATTTCCTTATTTTCTTTTTAGATTTGCAGAGAATGTACTGCTATCACCTGATTTTCTTTTTGGTGTTGGTAATTTGCATCTCCTGTTTTGTTAGTCTTGATAGAGGTTTGTTAATCTATCTTATTTTTTCAAAGAATTAGCTTTAATTCATTATGTTTTTCTATCTTTTTATTGTTTCAGTTTCATTAATTTCTGCCCTTATATTCATTGTTTTTATTATTCTGCTTGATTTGGACTTATTTTAATTTGCTCGTTTTCTAAGTTCTTAAAGTGGAGGCTTAGAGTTTTTATTTGAGACTTTTCTTTTTTCATAACTTACGCATTTAGAGCTATAAACATCTCTGTTATCACTGCTTTATCTGTCCTACAAATTTTGATATATTGTATTGCCATTTTCATTTCAGGTCAATGTATTTTTTTATTTCCTTTGAAAATTTCTCTTTGACCCATGGATTATTTAGAAGTCTGTTCTTTAGTTTTTAAGTGTTTGGCAATTTTACTGTTACCTTTTGGTTATTGATTTCTGGTTTCCATTGTAGTAGAGAATATACTCTATATGATTTCCATTTTATAAAAATTTGTTGAGGGCTGTTTTATGACCAAGGGTATGGTCTATTTTGTTATATAATTTGTGGAGCCTTAAAAAAATAATATTCAGCTCTTGCTAGGTGGACAGCTATATAAATATTCATTAAATCCTATTGATTGCTGGTGGCATTGAGTTGTTCTATATCCCTGCTGATTTTCTGTCTAGTTGTTCTATCAGTAGAAAGAGAATATTGAAGTCTATATCTAAAACTCTAAATTTGTCTGTTTCTCTTTTGAGTTCTATCAGTTTTGTTTCATGTATTTTGCAGCTCTGTTGTTTGGTACATGCGTATTTCAGATTGCTATGTCTTCTTGACTTATATATTTTTTTCTCAATCTATAGTGTTCTTCTCTGTCTGCGATCATTATTTTTGCTCTACAGTATACTTTTTATAATATTAATATAGCCCCTTCTGCTTCCCTTAATGTTTGCATGATATATTATTTTTCACTATTTTACTTTTGTCTATGTTGTTATATGTGAAGTGAGTGTCTTGTAGACAGCATATAGTTTGGTCATAATTTTTAATCCCCTCAGCCAAACACTCCCTTTTTGTTGATATGTTTAAGCAGTTTACATTTAATGTACTTATTGGTATGTTAGGACTCAAGTCTGCATTTTATATTTTTGTTTTCTAGTTTTCCTTTTTGTTTCTTTTCTCCTGCTCTTCTTTTTCTTACCTGAACACTTTATAGGATCTCATTTTGATTTATTTACAGTATTTTTCAGTATAATTCTTTATATGGCTTTTATAGTGGTTGTTCTGAGTATTAAGTTTATATGACATAACTTATCATAGTCTACTGGTATCATCATTTTAGGGGTTTTAGTGAAATATAGAAAGCTTATCTCCCTTTATGTCCCTTTACCTTCTCACATTTATATTACAGTCATCTTAAATATTTACCTACACAAATTGAGAATCAATTTAGACAGTGTTATACTCTCTACTTCAACTATCAAACATAATTTAGAAGACTCAAGAAGAGAAGGAGAACCTGTTGAACTCGCCCATGTGTTTCCTTACTGTGTTCTTCCTTCCTGCTGTTTCAAGATTTCTTATTTTATTATTCCCTTTCTGTTTAGAAAATTTCCTTTAGTCATGCTTACAGTGTAGGTCTCCAGGTGACAAATTCTTTTAGTTTTCATGGAATCTCTTGGTTCATGTTTTCTACCAAATTTAAAATGTTCTCAGCCATTATTTATTTAAGAGCTTTTTCAGCTTCTACTCTTTTTCTTCTACAACTCTGCTGACGCAAATGTTATATCTTCTGCTTTCTTTCCACAGGTCTCCTGAGGTTCTTTTTTTTTTTCTATTTTTTAATCTACTTTATCTCCCATCAGATTGTTTAGTTTCCATTGTTCAGTTTTCCAGTTTGCTTATTGATTTCTAATTTCCATTGTAGTAGACAATGTATGCTATATATAATATAATATTCATTTTAAAAATTGTCAAGGTTTGCTTATGGCCAAGGCTATAGTCTTATCTTGTTGTATATTTTGGGGTTCCTTGAAAAAAATTGTATTCCACTCTTGCTGTGTAGACTGCTATATAAATGTTAATTAAATCCTATTGATTTATGCCACCTGTATTCTGCTGTTGTGGCCATCCACTGAACTTTGTATGTGTTATTGTATTTTTGAGTACTAAATTTTTAATCTGGTTCTTATTTGCATCTTCTTTCTTTGCTAAGACTTTCTAATTCTTTTCTGAGGTTTTCTATTTTATAAAATTTGTTTCTAGTGTGTTTGTAGTTGCTTGTTGAAACAATTTTATTATGGCTGCTTTAAAATATTTGTCAGATATTTCTAATATATCTGATATCTCTGTATTGGAATCTATTTACTGCCTTTTTAATTTAGATCTTTCTGGTTCTTGGTAAAATGACTGATTTTCAATGGAAAGCTTAGCATATTTTAATTGTGCTATAAGATTATGGATCTCTTATTTAAATCTTCTGTCTTAACTGGCTTTTTTCTGATTTCACTCTGGCATTACAAGAAGGAGACAATTCCTCATTACTGTCAGGTAAAGGCAGAAAACCAAATTTCCCACTTGGCCTCTGTTGACACCTAGGAGGGAGGCTTCTTGTAACTGTTGAGCTGTGGTGAGAGTTTTGGCTCTGAAAAGAGTCTCCACTGACACTGTAATGAGGATGGTCCCATTACTGCTGAAAGATTATGAACATCTTGACTCTTCACAAAGCCTTTTCTGACACCATCTCAGTAAGGAAATAAGGGGTACCTTATTGCTGCCAGCCAGAGGTAAAAGTCAAGCTTTCCACATGGTCTACAGGTAAAGGGTGGCCTTGTTATTGTCTTGCTTGAATAAAAGTCCAATTTCTCTACTTGACTTTCTTGACACCACCCCAGCAGGGGTATTGAGGCATTTTGTTACATCTTTATGAGGCTCACCCCTCAGCCTTTGCTAAGTCTAGGCTCACCACTCAGCCTTTGCTTGCATGACTTGGAATAAGGCTAGGTCATCTGCAGTATTGTGCTTGAGTAGGGTTGTTATTGTCTAAAAGTTTTCTGTCTCACTAACTGGCCCCTTTCCTCATCCTTGGCTAGAGAGATCAGGCTTTTATTGAAGCTCTTGTAAAAAAAAAATCTGTGCCCATTGGTATTTCTAGTTTGATGGCTTCTCTAGTCCTAAGTGTGGTATATATTAGGCAAAAACAAAACCTAGCTAACTTACCACCTTGTCATTCCTCAGGATCCGAGGTTTCTAGCTGGTCTGCTCAGAGTCTTCTTATGCTTGCTTTATGTACAATATCCAGAGTTTTAATTTTACTTAGCACAGGTAATAGAGAAAAAGTATTTCCATTCAATTTTCCTGAAAATGAAAGTCCACTGACACTGTAGATTTCTAAGAGCCTGAAGAGTTAATAGAACATACAAGTTTTTTTAGTTAGCAAAATATTGGAGATAACCTTCTGCTTCATATGTACAGATGTTCCCTAGGCCACACACAAATTTGAAAAACAATCTAATCTTCAGCCCCCTAAAGTAATTATCACTGGCAAAATTATGTTCCCAGAACACAATATTTACCATTGCCAAAAAGCATAGCAGAAACTCAGTGATATGTGAGTGAAAGGGAAAAACCTGGTATGGTCTTACCATATTGCTAGGTAGTTTGTGCCATATTTCTTGAATTAATGACTTATGAGTTTAAACTTAATTGAGAGAAATCTTCCAGCAATATTTTGGCATTATGCATTCACCTATTTTAGAAGAAAATCAACCTGTACATAATTTATTTCTAGTTGATACCCTGGTGTTTAACCTAGATCCCTTGTAGTGCCAACAAAGCCATGTCTTCAATTGCTGATGACTGACAGCTAAGTCCTCACTGGGACTATTTCTTGGCTAATGGGATCTACTTCACTAAAGCCCACAGCCCTCCCAGGAGGCTGTGGCTCAGACAATGACAGACTCATGTAGGGATACAAAGTGCTGTTTTCTTGCTGCAATTTGAGACAACTTTGAAAGGCCATTCTAGTTTCACAGATTTTTGTAGAACCTGCTAAGAACTCAGTTGCCACCATATCATGACTCGTTTTCAACCAATGCTGTCTTCTGTCTTCCACACTTCCTTATAATTGTATCTTCTGATAAATTTCCTGCATGCATTATTCATATTAAATTACTTTTTCTTGGAAAAAAATTTAAGCTCTTAATGTCCATTTCTTACTTGAACCTTGTATTTCTCACTTTATCCCAAAATGAGTGCAAAACAGCATCAAAATTAACCTATGGACAGAAAATTTTGGTCTTGTGCCTTATTAACTCTTTCTATAATCGTTTGAAATGGAATTGCTTTGGCTTCAGATATCTGATCCCCAGGAAGTTTTCTCCCTCATATGTCCTTAATAAACTAGAGTTAACTAGAAGCCTCATAATGGATAGGGAACATTTGCTGAGTATGTAGACACTACTCAGGGATTCAAGGGTTTCACCTCTAAGGAGCTTTCCTTGGCCATGAGTCCAACATGGCACTAGAGGCAGTGCACACAGGGCTATGCACTTTGGCCTGACACTGACAATTGAAGGCCAGGATTTCACTAGTGCTCTGGAGTGCACATTGAGCTTAGCTTCCTTGCACTTGAACAGTTTTAAATATGTTTTTGACCACCATTGCCCATGAAGCTTTAAAAAAGTCTTTCTCATATTTTTGAATCTTTGCCTTACCTTTCCTTTTTAAGAAGAGATATGCCTGCATATTCAGCTACAATGGCCTGCACCCTGAGGCTGTCACCTTGGCAGAGGCCTGCAGATATGGACCTTTTACAAGGTCAGCATGGGTTGGGAAAATGAATGCTTGCTGCCTATAGTCTAATATTTGCCACAGCTGCATCTCTACTTTTCCACACATGAATTTGCCAGGGTCACTCATAGACTTTCCCAGATTTTGAGAACCTTTGCTTAAGTCTTGACTTTTGCTTAGATTATTGTCTCTCTATAAGAATCCTCTTGCCTCAGGAAGAAAAATCACCACAAATTACAGTCACCCTCCAAACTATAAATAAAGCATGCTGGCTTAAAGCTTCTTGCCCAGCTGCAGCATTTAAAAGCTTGGACTGATAAAAGCTCCCCAATTAAACAGTCAGGCCCCAAATGCTCTGCCATCACAAAGCCCAAGGTTTGCAGCCAACACTGCCTAGACACTCCAAAAGCTTCTCTTTGTGAAATTGTGTTCATTCAATTTCTACTGTTTTACTTATTCATTCCTCAATGTTCTCTATGTGCAAGATATGCCTCTTGGAGGAGGCATATTAAGCACCTCTCTTTTTCATCTGGTATCTGAATAATTTTGGCAAATGGAGGCCACCTTTTTGCTTGGTATGAAAACCAAATGGGCCTGTTTAATGGACTCCAGAATTGGGTAGATTTATCTACCTGGCCTTTGGTAGTCCTCAGCATGGGCAATGTAAGATATTAGGCACCAAAGCAAGCCCAAGTGATTCTCAATTTCACAATCAGATCAGTCACTCCAACTACCCAGGACAGAGTAAATACAAGAATGGGGAAAAGCCAGAAATATCTCTGGAGAAAATGTTATTTTCTGAAACCATATGATTGCAGAAACGTGTTCCCTCTGATTCATTATTCAGAAACCTTTTTATATATTAATTCAAGCTTTTCTCTATGTACACACACTTTTTAACTAATCAATGATACATGTATGTTTTCATTTTACAAAACAAAATTGTAGTTATGAACTTCTCATAAAAATGGTATCAAACTGGGGCCAGGCACGGTGGCTCATGCCTGTAATCCCAGCACTTTGGGAGGCCAAGGCAGGCGGATCATGAGGTCAGGAGATCGAGACCATCCTGGCTAACACGGTGAAATCCCGTCTCTACTAAAAATACAAAAAATTAGCCAGGCGTGGTGGTGGGCGCCTGTAGTCCCAGCTGCTTGGGAGGCTGAGGCAGGAGAATGGTGGGAACCCGGGGGGCAGAGCTTGCAGTGAGCCGAGATCACGCCACTGCACTCCAGCCTGGGCGAAAGAGCGAGACTCCATCTCAAAAAAAAAATGGCATGAAACCATGCATGTTGTTCTATAACTTACTCCGAATAAAAATTAGAAGCATATTATAGATTTTATTCCATGTAATTTCGTAGAGGTCTACAACCTTCTTTTTAATATTTACTTTATAGTATATGATATAGGGAAACTATAACTTATTTCAGCATTTTCCCAAGTAAGTTCTTTTAGTTGTCTTCAAGTTTCTGCTATTAAATGTACACTTAATACACATATGCACATATACATATTTTGGAAATATAGATACATAAATTGGAAATATTATATTAATCTATGTAAACTTATACATACTTTCACCTTCCAGAATTTTTGTTCTAATTAGTACGTACCCAAAGCCTGTGTGAGATTCCCCTTCTTCCATACCATCAGTGATACTGAATATCTTCAAGTACTTGGAATTTAAATAGAATTTAACTGGTGAGAGTCTTTAAAAAATGTTTTTGTAAATTTCATAATTATCATTAACTTGTAGGCAACACTCGGAATTCATGTTAATTATTCTTTCATACCTACTTTACAAAATATACACAATAGCTTTTATCTTTCCTGTACTAATTTTGGCTTCCTTATGTAATATTTTCTGCCACAATGTTTAAAGCCCAATTTGCATCAAATAGCAAATGCAATAAAACATTATCATCTGTTTTACTGTGAAGTTCCCAAAGTCTACCAGCAATAAATACAGACATCAAGATATTAACGTGCTTTTTTTCTTTGTCTATAAGTTGGGTCTAAAATGTTTAAGTCAATAAAATTAATTATAATAATATAGTTATGCAAATATCGTGCAGAGCCAAAGGGGGTGATTGACCTAAAGAGAAATAAATGTTACCATATGCTGCTAAATAAACCATGTGTTTCTCAATTGAGTGTTACAACTCTTAAGAATTTGTTAAATTTCTATAATTGCATTTTAGCTTCCTTTATTGTTCTCCTAATATCAGCTGCCACAACCAGCTGCCACAATTTCTTTTTTTGAGATGGAGTCTTGCTCTGTCACGGAGGCTGGAGTGCAGTGGTGCTATCTCGGCTCACTGCAACCTTGGCCACCTGGGTTCAAGCGATTCTCCTGCTTCAGCCTCCCAAGTAACTGGGATTACAGCCACCCACACCCATGCCCAACTAATTTTTGTATTTTTAGTAGACACGGGGTTTCACCATGTTGGTCAGGCTGGTCTCAAACTCATGACCTCAAGTGATCCGCCCGCCTAGGCCTCCCAGAGCGCTGGTATTACAGGCATGAGCTATCGTGCCCAGCCACAATTTCTTATCTCATGTCATCTTTTTCGTTGTTGTTTTGTTCAAATACATCCTTAAATAATTTTTTCAGATTCAGTACATGGATGTTATTGTTTCTGAGTTCATGCATTTCTGAATATGTCTTTAATGCAGTAAGGGGTTTGCTTCTAATAGCCGGCATTATTGCTGAGATATGATATCAGTCTGATTTAGTGGAAGTTTTTTATTTTCTCCTTTCAGGAAAAACAGATTTTTCTATTTTTCTGCAGTGTTCTGAAAAATGAGTAGCATGTGTTTAGGCATTTCTTTTCTTTCTTTCTTTTTCCTATTTTTAGTTTTCTTGCCAATCAGAAGAAGTAAGTCTTTATTCAGTTCAGGAAAATGTTCTAATAATTTGCTGATTATCTTCTCCCTCCATTGTATCTACTTATTTACTTTGATTTTTGGTTTTTGGGATAGAGTCTCACTCTATTGCCCAGGCTGGAGTACAGTGGTGTGATTATTGCTCACTGCAGCCTCGAACTCCTGGGCTTAAGCAATCTTCCTGTCTCAGCCTCTGGAGTAGCTGGGACTACAAGCACATACCATCACACCTGACTACATTTTAAAAAATTTTTTGTAGAGATGGGGCCTTGCTATGTTGCCAGCTGGCCCCAAAAGATCCTATGACCTTGGTATTTTATTTTTAAAGTTTCGTTTAGGTAGATTTTGATTCTCTCAGGTATACCCCCTATGACTTTACATTTTTTGCTCTTATTTTATATCTCTTTGGGTTTTTGCCCTAGTTTCTGCAACATTTTCTTGATTTTTGCTACCTTTTTGCTAATATGTTTCTTGTCATGCATATTTTATGGATAAAATTTTAAGCTAAATTAAACTTTTGGCAATCAAATATCTAATTTTCAAGAAATAGTTATCCCTACTATTATGTGACTACACTATCGACTTAAGTCTTTTTACTCTAATCATCTTATCATTATTATTATTTTCATTTTTGTTACTCCCTGAGTTATCCATATCTTTCCCAGGGTCAGTTTTATGTTGGTCCTTTACTTTCATGCTATTGGGGTTTTTTTTAACGTTTCTGGTAAAAATGGCTAGCTAACCCCCCCACCCCCGCTGCACCATCCCGCAACACAACTTTTTTTAAGTATAATATGCTGGAATTTCTTTTACAGTTGCAAAGGTCTCTTTCCCTTACAGATTCCTTCTTTGATCGAAAGATCCAATTTGAAACTCTAAGTGGATGGAATTTGTCCATAGACATATTTAATTTTAGGGAAATCAGGTAGGCAAGCAGGTAAAGGAATAATTTGGTAAAATAATAGGCTTTTCTCTGGGAATGGAGCATTTTAATGAAATTCTCTTTGGATGAGATCTACCTTCATATTTTTTCTCCATATCTTTGTCATTTGTTAAGAGTTAAACTTTTTACACTCTTTCCTGCTTCTGTTCTAGACCTCCATACCCATTCTGGAAGTCTTCGCCATTCAAATTGTTCATTTTCTATGGAGAGCAATTTCTTTGGAAGCGTTATCGTGGAAAACCAACTTTCTTCTTATACTGAATACTTTAAATAGCATTAGGAAAACAACATGCTCAAGTGCTCTAAGAAGAAATTCCCTCACTACTTACTCTGTGTATTAGTCATGGTTCTCTATAGGGACAGAACTAATAGGATGGATGGATAGATGGATGGATGGATAGATAGACAGAGACAGATAGATAGATAGATAGATAGGGGAGTTTATTAAGAATTAACCTTCATGATCAGAAGGTCTCACAATAGGCTGTCTGCAAGCTGAGGAGCAAGGAGAGCCAGTCGGAGTCCCAAAACTGAAGAACTTGAAGTCCAATATTTGAGGGCAAGAAGCATCCAGCACAGGAGAAAGATGTAGGCTGGGAGGATAGGCCAGTCTCCCCTTGTCATGTTTTTCTGCCTGCTTTATTTACATTCACTGGCAGCTGATTAGATTGTGCCCACCAGATTAAGGGTTGACCTGCCTTCCCCAGCCCACTAACTCAAATGTTAATCTCTTTTGGCAACACCCTCACAGACACACCCAGGATCAATACTTTGTATCCCTCAATCCAATCAAGTTGACACTCAATATTAACTGTCACACTCTGGTAACTGTCTGACCTTCCTCCACATTCTTTTTACTGGTCACATCTGGTCACTGGTGGAAAAAATACAAAAGCAAAGCTAGTTCTCATCTTAGGTGCTTTGGGTTGAGATTATTTCTGCTCTGTTTTTTAAAAATTTTATTCATTCTTCAACTGCTGGTTCCAAAGCCTTAACTTTTTTCTCCCAATATATATTTGATCAAGTAGTAAATTCTATGGGCTCTACCTTCACAATATATCCAGAATCTACCTACATTCATTGTTATTAATTTGTACCCCTGGTGTTCGGCCAGTATCACCTTCTCCCAATCTATTTCAGCCAGTGACAATGAGGACATGCCTCAAAACTTTAATATCTAAGAATACCTCAGGATTGAGGTTTTCCAAGTTACAAATTACCCAGTTGAGACTAAGGATTCTTACTGTTTCAATTTGATTTTATCTTCTTGGTTGACAGGTGAGTACTCAGAGAAAAATATGGCAATGTTATTTGCTAAAGCTTTCATTAAAAATAGTATAATGACATTATGTGTAAAAGGACTGTCAGTAAATCCTTCCAAAAATACAGGAGTATAAACCCACTGGAACTTCTATTCACTATTTTAAAGAGAGTAAAGACCGTATACCAGGAATCATGACACTAAAAATTTTATAAATGTTATATGTCCTAACATTTTTAACTTGTAAACAGTTGTCTTTTCCAACTGGTTTCCCACACAATATCAGAGAGAGAAAACTCAAAGTATAATAAATATGTAATTAATGATTGTTTAAAATGTCTGTTCCATATGATATTACTCTGCTTCCAAGCCAAGGGAAGAAACTCCAGATCAATCACAAAAGGTTTTTTCACTGAACTTGGCCTAAGAATACCATTCTTACACAGCACATCAGACTGTAAATAATAGTTTGAGCCAATGTAGGTGAAGATACCTGCTGTCTACCCCTGACTTAAAGGCTCGCCATTGAGAGCAGCAATAAAGAGGTGTCTTAGTCTGTTTTTTTGCTGCTATAACAGAATACCACAGATGGGATAATTTATTTCTTATGGTTCTGGGGGCTGGAAAGTCCAAGAGCATGGCAATGGCATCTGGTAAGTGTTATTCCATGGCAGAAAGTGAGAGACAGAAGCAAGCATGCAAGACAGAGAAAGGAAATTGGGCTGAACCCACTTTTATAACAAACCCAGTCTCATAATAGTTATCCACTTCCATGATAACATCATTAATCAATTTATGAGGGCAGTACCCTCATTACCTACCCACCTCTTAAAGGTCCAATGTCAGTTAAATCTCAACATAAGTTTCAGAGGGGACAACCATTCAAACCATAGCAGGAGGCATTGATGAGGTTGGGGAAGGAATTTGTAGTGGCAGTATGCTATTACTCAGCAAGACATAAACATGGAGAGAAAATTCCTAAGGTGTAGAATTCATGATAGCAGCTGCTAGAAGGAAAGGAAATCAGGCTGAGTGTCTGGAGTCTATGACAAAGAAAGTGAGAAAGATTATCATAAGGAGCTGAGCATCTGGGTCTGAACATGGGTAGAAGACATGGGCAGGAGAAAGTCATTTAGGACTGTATATTGTACTCAGTTTATGCCCCAACCTAAATCCATGCAATTATGCCTTTCCTCCCCACCCACCCTGACTGTAGCCAAGGCCACTTATCTTGCTTTCAGACTGAGCAAAACCTAACAAAGGTAGTGAATCCAAGTTGCTGCTGCTGCTGCAGTGAGTGTCCTCATGCACAGCTCTGACTTGTAAAGATTGCTGTGCCTACACATTGAACAAAAAAATCCCATGGGACTCTGGTTTTCATAGTGCCTGCCAGGAGTGATTGAGAAGTGTGGTTAAGGCCCCATGAAGTAGTCTTTGACTGATGGGAGATGAGAGACAGAAAGCAATCAGAAGATATATTATTCTTTCTTCCTCGCTGTATGCACAGTTATTCTGAAACAGTAATTTCTGTAGCTTCTTTGAAAACATCTCACAAGACCAAGGAATCAGCTGCACTTGTCACAAAGCAGTCAGTAGCTTGGTGTCACTCTCCTTGACTGTGTTCTTTTTCCTTCCTCACCCAAATTTTCCTTTCTCCTTTTTGCTTTCCTCCTACTTCTGCATGATCACAGCCCCCAGAAAGCTTTTGTTTTGGATTGTTTTCTACATAAATCTGGCTGAGGCAGGCTGAAATGCATCTTGTTTATTTATGCAACAAGCATGTTTTAAGCAGTCACTAGTTATAGACACAAAGTACCACCTCTGTAATCTACCGTGTAGGGTGTTGTGGAATTAAATGTGTCAACCTATGCAATACGCCAGGCATAATGTCTGATACCAAGCATTATTTCAAAGAATGTAGAGCTAGCCATTTAGTTTGCTTTCTCCCCATTTTGTCTGTGACTACAGAAAAAATAATAATAACTGGCACTATTATTTGGTGGTTGCGATCCTTGACCACCATTGGAAAAGAAAGGCCAAAAAGTGCCTATCAAAGTAAGCGCCATCTATGCTTGGCCTTTAGGCCAGACTGTCCTGATCATCAGTTTCTGGCCAGGCTGTTCATTACCAGAGATGAGCAAGTCTATTGCAAAAAAACTGGAGTGGTCATTTCTTTGTGATTTCTCCTGGAAACCCATTTTAAATGTCTTCTGAAGGAAATAGAAAAATGCTGTGGTATCCAAACAGTTAGCAAATGTCTGAGAGTTGCAGTTTGTGTCGGATACTCTGGTTTCTGGTCCATTTATAGTTGCCTTGTGGAGTTCCAAAACCTCAGAGGTAGCTGAGGAACTTTAACATCACCTTAACTCCATTTCAGGACTTGCCTATGGAAGATCTTTTTATTAGAATAGGCATCAAAAAATATCCAGAGTTCTTGCTCTGTGCATGGCAACCTACTCGACTCTGGAAATGGACAATGACTTGGGGTCGTTCCCAACAAGATAAACTCCAGCATATATTCTGGTTGGGGAGACACATATGGAAGTAGACGGTATCAATGCAATGTGTAAGACCTATGGGAACAATAGCAAAAGGAACTATGTAACTACTAAGGAATCAGAAGGAACATAAATGAATCATGTTATTCTGGTCTGACAGAAACCCCAAAAGGTCACAATGATAGGAAGGCAAGCTTGTTTTCTTAGGTGAATCCCAAAGGGCTAATGGTACATTATATATAATGGAAGAGACACAAGCTTTGATTTAGACACACTTGAGTTTTAATCCCAAGTCTACTTTTTAACTGTGTGAATTTCATTATCACTTTATCTTTCTTATTTCTATATCTAAAAAATGGGCAAAATAGTACCCACGAAATTTATATTTTGTGAGAACCATATAGAGACAAAGATATACTAAGCATGTGAGAAATAATAGTAGCTTCCCGAGATTAGATGCTTTCTACCATTTTTGAGCTGCCCCGGGTAAAAATTCCCTTTCTCTAACACTGCTGTTCTCTATGAACTCTTACTCTTACTGAATCTTCCATCTAATCCCTTTCCCACCTTATAGGATACCAATGCTACTCCTCTTCAAATAATCAAGTAACTGTTTCTAGATGTTTTGTTTTATCTCAGAGTGATCTAAATTCATGATTAGATTATGATGAAAGAAGGAACCCTCCCTCTAAAGACAGAGCCTCCTGACCCCACCAGGGAAGGAGTTAGGATGAGTGCTGGTTCTGCATCTTAAATTAAGTAAAAAAAAAATCTTAATCCCATTAAGATCAATCATCTTTTTCTAAATCTCTGTCTAACCTAAGAATTATTAAAATGTAATTTTGACCCTATTTCAAACGAATGAACAACTCTGGCCTTATTATATGAAGAGAGACAGGTCTCTCCCTGTCCTAGCTTATCATGTTATGTTTCCTAAGCTAATATGCAATATGTGACATGCCCATACTGTTTTTCTCATATGGAAACAGGTTGTATATTGCTGGCCTGTTTGTTTGTTTGCTTGTGGGTGTGGTTGAATAAAGAAAAGTTTGATTTTACAGTCCCGTATACTTGTTTTATACTATACTTGTTTTCAGCAAGTTCTACCTCTTGGGGTAAGGGCATTTGTAATGTTTTAATGATAGTATGATGTGATAGTGTGAGCTAGCATATATAGAGCACCTTCTACTACACAAAGCCCTTTACACGCATACATTAACTCATTCATCCTTATAATGTCATCATGGGTTTGAAATGACATTGTTCACATTGTTTATTAATGGTGAAAGAGTTTTAGAACAGATAAATGACTAACTCAAGATTACATAGCGAATAATGTCTAAGCTAGATTTCTGAATTCACCTAATAAGTTTCTGCCACATAATGGAGGACAAATAATTTTAATGCACTTAATTAAATTTAATCAAGTTTGTAATGGCAGTTAAATAATATCTGAGGTTCCTCTGAGATTTATCAGTTTAAGATTTGAACATTATTGCCCTCCTGCCTCACTTAGTAGTTTTTAAATCCATAAAAATATAAAGTTTCGGAAGTATTTTTCATTGTCTTGGTGGAAATTGGAGCTGAAACAGCAACTCTAACTTTGACAAATCGTTTGACACACAAATTTGAGAATAAGTGTTTATGGATCAAGTGAAGATCAACTTGGGACACTCTACTTGAATCTTGAACTTATTGTTTCCCAATACGGGGTGGTAGCTAATGGCTCTATATGTCGTCCTATCAGCTGTCATGAAGTTAAAAGGATCTTCTCTTACCTCTAACAAAGAGATACCTTTTTTATATGTGACCTGAAAATTCATGCACACCAATCCTCTGCGACACACAATTTACCTGTATAATAATCCTGCACATGTATCCCTGAACCGAAACTAAAGTTTTTTTAAAGATATAAATTAAAATATTTTATTTTAATTTTTTTTTGAAGTGCCAAGATTTTATTTGAATCCCTTTTGATGGAAATATTTTCTTTCTTTTTTTAATTATTATTATACTTTAAGTTTTAGGGTACATGTGCACAATGTGCAGGTTAGTTACATATGTATACATGTGCCCTGGTGGTGCGCTGCACCCACTAACTCGTCATCTAGCATTAGGTATATCTCCCAATGCTATCCCTCCCCCCTCCCCCCACCCCACAACAGTCCCCAGAGTGTGATGTTCCCCTTCCTGTGTCCATGTGTTCTCATTGTTCAGTTCCCACCTATGAGTGAGAATATGCGGTGTTTGGTTTTTTGTTCTTGCGATAGTTTACTGAGAAAGATGATTTCCAATTTCATCCATGTCCCTACAAAGGACGTGAACTCATCATTTTTTATGGCTGCATAGTATTCCATGGGGTATATGTGCCACATTTCTTTTTTTTTTTCCCCAACTCATACTCTTTCTTTTTTTTTTTTTTTAATTATACTTTAAGTTTTAGGGTACATGTGCACATTGTGCAGGTTAGTTACATATGTATACATGTGCCATGCTGGTGTGCTGCACCCACTAACTCTTCATCTAGCATTAGGTATATCTCCCAATGCTATCCCTCCCCCCACCCCCGACCCCACCACAGTCCCCAGAGTGTGATATTCCCCTTCCTGTGTCCATGTGTTCTCATAGTTCAATTCCCACCTATAAGTGAGAATATGCGGTGTTTGGTTTTTTGTTCTTGCGATAGTTTACTGAGAATGATGATTTCCAATTTCATCCATGTCCCTACAAAGGACATGAACTCATCATTTTTTATGGCTGCATAGTATTCCATGGTGTATATGTGCCACATTTTCTTAATCCAGTCTATCATTGTTGGACATTTGGGTTGGTTCCAAGTCTTTGCTATTGTGAATAATGCCGCAATAAACATATGT
Source organism: Homo sapiens (assembly GCF_000001405.40). Taxonomy (NCBI): domain Eukaryota; kingdom Metazoa; phylum Chordata; class Mammalia; order Primates; family Hominidae; genus Homo; species Homo sapiens. Next base: position 128,707,907 of record NC_000008.11, read on the forward strand.
GTGCATGTGTCTTTATAGTAGCATGATTTATAGTCATTTGGGTATATACCCAGTAATGGGATGGCTGGGTCAAATGGTATTTCTAGTTCTAGATCCCTGAGGAATCGCCACACTCACTTCCACAATGGTTGAACTAGTTTACAGTCCCACCAACAGTGTAAAAGTGTTCCTATTTCTCCACATCCTCTCCAGCACCTGTTGTTTCCTGACTTTTTAATGATTGCCATTCCAACTGGTGTGAGATGGTATCTCATAGTGGTTTTGATTTGCATTTCTCTGATGGCCAGTGATGATGAGCATTTTTTCAAGTGTTTTTTGGCTGCATAAATGTCTTCTTTTGAGAAGTGGCTGTTCATGTCCTTCGCCCACTTTTTCATGGGGTTGTTTGTTTTTTTCTTGTAAATTTGTTTGAGTTCATTGTAGATTCTGGATATTAGCCCTTTGTCAGATGAGTAGGTTGCGAAAATTTTCTCCCATTTTGTAGGTTGACTGTTCACTCTAATGGTAGTTTCTTTGGCTGTGCAGAAGCTCTTTAGTTTAATTAGATCCCATTTGTCAATTTTGTCTTTTGTTGCCATTGCTTTTGGTGTTTTGGACATGAAGTCCTTGCCCATGCCTATATCCTGAATGGTAATGCCTAGGTTTTCTTCTAGGGTTTTTATGGTTTTAGGTCTAATGTTTAAATCTTTAATCCATCTTGAATTGATTTTTGTATAAGGTGTAAGGAAGGGATCCAGTTTCAGCTTCCTACATATGGCTAGCCAGTTTACCCAGCACCATTTATTAAATAGGGAATCCTTTCCCCATTGCTTGTTTTTCCATTTGTTTGTATCCTCTTTTATTTCCTTGAGCAGTGGTTTGTAGTTCTCCTTGAAGAGGTCCTTCACATCCCTTGTAAGTTGGATTCCTAGGTATTTTATTCTCTTTGAAGCAATTGTGAATGGGATTTCACTCATGATTTGGCTGTTTGTCTGTTGTTGGTGTATAAGAATGCTTGTGATTTTTGTCCATTGATTTTGTATCCTGAGACTTTGCTGAAGTTGCTTATCAGCTTAAGAAGATTTTGAGTTGAGACAATGGGGTTTTCTAGGTATACAATCATGTCGTCTGCAAACAGGGACAATTTGACTTCCTCTTTTCCTAATTGAATACCCTTTATTTCCTTCTCCTGCCTAATTGCCCTGGCCAGAACTTCCAACACTATGTTGAATAGGAGTGGTGAGAGAGGGCATCCCGTCTTGTGCCAGTTTTCAAAGGGAATGCTTCCAGTTTTTGCCCATTCAGTATGATATTGGCTGTGGGTTTGTCATAGATAGCTCTTATTATTTTGAGATACGTCCCATCAATACCTAATTTATTGAGAGTTTTTAGCATGAAGGGTTGTTGAATTTTGTCAAAGGCCTTTTCTGCATCTATTGAGATAATCATGTGGTTTTTGTCTTTGGTTCTGTTTATATGCTGGGTTACATTTATTGATTTGTGTATATTGAACCAGCCTTGCATCCCAGGGATGAAGCCCACTTGATCATGGTGGATAAGCTTTTTGATGTGCTGCTGGATTCATTTTGCCAGTATTTTATTGAGGATTTTTGCATCAATGTTCATCAAGGATATTGGTCTAAAATTCTCTTTTTTGGTTGTGTCTCTGCCAGGCTTTGGTATCAGGATGATGCTGGCCTTACAAAATGAGTTAGGGAGGATTCCCTCTTTTTCTATGGATTGGAATAGTTTCAGAAGGAATGGTACCAGTTCCTCCTTGTACCTCTGGTAGAATTCGGCTGTGAATCCATCTGGTCCTGGACTCTTTTTGGTTGGTAAGCTATTGATTATTGCCACAATTTCAGATCCTGTTATTGGTCTATTCAGAGATTCAACTTCTTCCTGGTTTAGTCTTGGGAGAGTGTATGTGTCGAGGAATTTATCCATTTCTTCTAGATTTTCTAGTTTATTTGTGTAGAGGTGTTTGTAGTATTCTCTGATGGTAGTTTGTATTTTTGTGGGATTTGTGGTGATATCCCCTTTATCATTTTTTATTGAATCTATTTGATTCTTCTCTCTTTTTTTCTTTATTAATCTTGCTAGCGGTCTATCAATTTTGTTGATCCTTTCAAAAAACCAGCTCCTGGATTAATTTTTTGAAGGGTTTTTTGTGTCTCTAAAATCAGAGCAGAACTGAAGGAAATAGTTATTTCTTGCCTTCTGCTAGCTTTTGAATGTGTTTGCTCTTGCTTTTCTATTTCTTTTAATTGTGATGTTAGGGTGTCAATTTTGGATCTTTCCTGCTTTCTCTTGTGGGCATTTAGTGCTATAAATTTCCCTCCACACACTGCTTTGAATGTGTCCCAGAGATTCTGGTATGTTGTGTCTTTGTTCTCGTTGGTTTCAAAGAACATCTTTATTTCTGCCTTCATTTCGTTATGTACCCAGTAGTCATTCAGGAGCAGGTTGTTCAGTTTCCATGTAGTTGAGAGGTTTTGAGTGAGATTCTTAATCCTGAGTTCTAGTTTGATTGCACTGTGGTCTGAGAGATAGTTTATTATAATTTCTCTTCTTTTACATTTGCTAAGGAGAGCTTTACTTCCAAGTATGTGGTCAATTTTGGAATAGGTGTGGTATGGTGCTGAAAAAAATGTATATTCTGTTGATTTGGGGTGGAGAGTTCTGTAGATGTCTATTAGGTCCGCTTGGTGCAGAGCTGAGTTCAATTCCTGGGTATCCTTGTTGACTTTCTGTCTCATTGATCTGTCTAATGTTGACAGTGGGGTGTTAAAGTCTCCCATTATTAATGTGTGGGAGTCTAAGTCTCTCTGTAGGTCGCTCAGGACTTGCTTTATGAATCTGGGTGCTCCTGTATTGAGTGCATATATATTTAGGATAGTTAGCTCTTCTTGTTGAATTGATCCCTTTACCATTACATAATGGCCTTCTTTGTGTCTTTTGATCTTTGTTGGTTTAAAGTCTGTTTTATCAGAGACTAGGATTGCAACCCCTGCCTTTTTTTGATTTCCATTTGCTTGGTAGGTCTTCCTCCATCATTTTATTTTGAGCCTGTGTGTGTCTCTGCACGTGAGATGCGTTTCCTGAATACAGCACACTGATGGGTCTTGACTCTTTATCCAATTTGCCAGTCTGTGTCTTTTAATTGGAGCATTTAGTCCATTTACATTTAAAGTTCATATTGTTATGTGTGAATTTGATCCTGTCATTATGATGTTAGCTGGTTCTTTTGATCGTTAGTTCCTGCAGTTTCTCCCTAGTCTCGATGGTCTTTAAATTTTGGCATGATTTTGCCACAGCTGGTATTGGTTGTTCCTTTCCATCTTTAGCGCTTCCTTCAGGAGGTCTTTTAGGGCAGGCCTGGTGGTGACAGAATCTCTCAGCATTTGCTTGTCTGTAAAGTATTTTATTTCTCCTTCACTTATGAAGCTTAGTTTGGCTGGATATGAAATTCTGGGTTGAAAATGATTTTCTTTAAGAATGTTGAATATTGGCCCCCACTCTCTTCTGGCTTGTAGGGTTTCTGCCGAGAGATCCGCTGTTAGTCTGATGGGCTTCCCTTTGAGGGTAACCCGACCTTTCTCTCTGGCTGCCCTTAACATTTTTTCCTTCATTTCAACTTTGGTGAATCTGACAATTATGTGTCTTGGAGTTGCTCTTCTCGAGGAGTATCTTTGTGGCGTTCTCTGTATTTCCTGAATCTGAACGTTGGCCTGCCTTGCTAGATTGGGGAAGTTCTCCTGGATAATATCCTGCAGAGTGTTTTCCAACTTGGTTCCATTCTCCCCATCACTTTCAGGTACACCAATCAGACGTAGATTTGGTCTTTTCACATAGTCCCATATTTCTTGATTTCTTGGAGGCTTTGCTCATTTCTTTTTATTCTTTTTTCTCTAAACTTCCCTTCTCGCTTCATTTCATTCATTTCATCTTCCATTGCTGATACCCTTTCTTCCAGTTGATCGCATTGGCTCCTGAGGCTTCTGCATTCTTCATGTAGTTCTCAAGCCTTGGTTTTCAGCTCCATCAGCTCCTTTAAGCACTTCTCTGTATTGGTTATTCTAGTTATACATTCTTCTAAATTTTTTTCAAAGTTTTCAGCTTCTTTGCCTTTGGTTTGAATGTCCTCCCGTAGCTCGGAGTAATTTGATCGTCTGAAGCCTTCTTCTCTCAGCTCGTCAAAGTCATTCTCCCTCTAGCTTTGTTCCATTGCTGGTGAGGAACTGTGTTCCTTTGGAGGAGGAGAGGCGCTCTGCTTTTTAGAGTTTCCAGTTTTTCTGCTCTGTTTTTTCCCCATCTTTGTGGTTTTATCTACTTTTGGTCTTTGATGATGGTGATGTACAGATGTGTTTTTGGTGTGGATGTCCTTTCTGTTTGTTAGTTTTCCTTCTAACAGACAGGACCCTCAGCTGCAGGTCTGTTGGAGTACCCTGCCGTGTGAGGTGTCAGTGTGCCCCTGCTGGGGGTTGCCTCCCAGTTAGGCTGCTCGGGGGTCAGGGGTCAGGGACCCACTTGAGGAGGCAGTCTGCCCGTTCTCAGATCTCCAGCTGCGTGCTGGGAGAACCACTGCTCTCTTCAAAGCTCAGATGGAAATGCAGAAATCACCCATTTTCTGCGTCGCTCACTCTGGGAGCTGTAGACCAGAGCTTTTCCTATTCGGCCGTCTTGGCTCCTCCCCCCGATGGAAATATTTCAATTAAAATATTTTAAAGAAAGCAATTCTTATTATCTTGGAATAAAATTAAAGAGATTGTTAAAAATGAATCTTGTGTTTGATTTTGATGTATCTCTACCTGCCTCTGGAATGGGAACTCTTTCTCTTGGGTGGTGGTGTTAGAGGGGAAATAATATCTTCTATCTTGTATCCCCAGGGACTCTACACAGAAGATTGGCAGTAAATATTTGTTAAATGAGTGACTGATTCCTAAAGCCTCACTCCTCTCAGTGCTTAGCCAAGAACCATCCAGAAAAGAAGGTAGAAGCATTCAATTCTTAATAAACAGCAATGTCCTATCTATCTTCCAAGGCTTTACTGAGGCACTGACTCTTTGCTCTTCTTTTCTAGCCTGATGTGCTTTAGTCTTTTTCTGCTATCTTTTATAATCTTCTATTGCTCAAAAGCAACAAGGGCAAGATGATTAACCAGACTTCAGTTCCTAGTCTTAGGTCTTAAGCCTTAAGTATGATTAAATCAGTGTGATATAATAAACATAATTTGGGGATAAAAATATCTAGCCTCAACTCTATTTCTGGTTGGCCAAGTGACCTTGAAAAAGTCACTTCCCTTCTCTGTTTTTCTGCTTCATTTGTAAAATGAAGGGTTTTTTGGCAGAGATAAGTTGTTTCCTGAATAGTAAAAATGAGACAATTTGCAAATGTATTTGGAGAATAATTAGGCCCTCTGCAATGAAATTATCAATAAAAAATGATAATTCTTGGAAACAATTAACTTCAGTTAAACAGTGATTTCGTCAGAACCCTCACGTGTTCAGGAAAATGGTGTGTACATTTATACACTCTCTGACATTAATTTATGATGCTATGGAAAAAGAGCATCTGTTGAAGTTTTGGAGAAAATCAAAATTGGTACTAATCTTCTATGGCAGAAAAATATGATCATGGTAATTATTGCATAATTACGATGCCCTGAATCTAATTTTAGCATCTGGGCAGAAGAAAAAATGAAACACTAATATAAAGGAAGAGCAAAACACAACTTTCCACTTTCCAAAGATAATGGAGCCATAAGAAATAAGATGATTGGGTTATAAAAGAACAAATCCTTATCCACAAGCCTCATTACAACCCCTCACCCCTAATTTTCTTTTGTGAAAAAAATGTTCAATTTTCAAACCAAAAAAAGACGAAGAATAATTATAACAAAAAAAACTTCAACTAAGTTGGTTTGGTTTCGCTGCTGTTGGTGAAAGATGCTTCTGAGCCAAGTTGGACCCAGCAGACATTTTTCTCTCTACTTTCACTGAATGGGGACTGATCTGCATGCTGATGTCCAGACACTGTTCAATATAAAAATACATTTATGAACCAAAAAGAAAACACACTGCATATTTGTTCCCATGGAGAAATAATTTCCTGATGCTCAGAATTGAAACATATTTGAACAAAAAGAGAAAGTTTGGGTGTAGATCAAGATATAGACAGAAGAACATGGTTTTAAATCTTTGATCCTCTTACGACCTATGAAATATTTCCAGCCTCAATTTCTTATCTGCAGTATGGAATAATAATACTTATTCATAAAATCATGAAGAATGATTATAATGTGGGTAAAGCACCTATCAGTGTTTGGCAAGTAGCAGATATTCATTGTTCTTTTCCCCATTGAGAAATATTTATCTAAAGTAGAGCCTTCTAACCAACTGCCTGCATCAATATCACCTGGCATCCTTCTTGAAAATAGGGATGGCCGAACATGTAAAAAACAATGGAGGGAGGAGCCAAGATGGCCGAATAGGATCAGCTCCTATCTACAGCTCCCAGCGTGAGTGACACAGAAGACGGGTGATTTCTGCATTTCCATCTGAGGTACTGGGTTCATCTCACTTGGGAGTGCCAGACAGTGGGCACAGGTCAGTGGGTGCACGCACCATGCGTGAGCCGAAGCAGGTTGAGGCATTGCCTCACTTGGGAAGTGCAAAGGGTCAGGGAGTTCCCTTTCCGAGTCAAAGAAAGGGGTGACAGATGCACCTGGAAAATCGGGTCACTCCCACCCGAATACTGCGCTTTTCCGACCGGCTTAAAAAACGGCGCACCACGAGATTATATCCCACACCTGGCTCGGAGGGTCCTATGCCCATGGAGTCTCGCTGATTGCTAGCACAGCAGTCTGAGATCAAACTGCAAAGTGGCAGCGAGGCTGGGGGAGGGGCACCCGCCATTGCCCAGGCTTGCTTAGGTAAACAAAGCAGCCGGGAAGCTGGAACTGGGTGGAGCCCACCACAGCTCAAGGAGGCCGTCCTGCCTCTGTAGGCTCCACCTCTGGGGGCAGGGCACAGACAAACAAAAAGACAGCAGTAACCTCTGCAGACTTAAATGTCCCTGTCTGACAGCTTTGTGTCTGACAGCTTTGAAGACAGCAGTGGTTCTCCCAGCACGCAGCTGGAGATCTGAGAATGGGCAGACTGCCTCCTCAAGTGGGCCCCTGACCCCCAAGCAGCCTAACTGGGAGGCACCCCCAAGCAGGGGCACACTGACACCTCACACGGCAGGGTACTCCAACAAACCTGCAGCTGAGGGTCCCGTCTGTTAGAAGGAAAACTAACAAACAGAAAGGACATCCACACCAAAAACCCATCTGTACATTGCCATCATCAAAGACCAAAAGTAGATAAAACCACAAAGATGGGGAAAAAAACAGAACAGAAAAACTGGAAACTCTAAAAAGCAGAGTGCCTCTCCTCCTCCAAAGGAACACAGTTCCTCACCAGCAACAGAACAAAGGTGGATGGAGAATGACTTTGACGAGCTGAGAGAAGAAGGCTTCAGACGATCAAATTACTCTGAGCTACGGGAGGACATTCAAACCAAAGGCAAAGAAGTTGAAAACTTTGAAAAAAATTTAGGAGAATGTATAACTAAAGTAACCAATACAGAGAAGTGCTTAAAGGAGCTGATGGAGCTGAAAACCAAGGCTCGAGAACTACGTGAAGAATGCAGAAGCCTCAGGAGCCGATGCGATCAACTGGAAGAAAGGGTATCAGCAATGGAAGATGAAATGAATGAAATGAAGCGAGAAGGGAAGTTTAGAGAAAAAAGAAAAGAAAGAAATGAGCAAAGCCTCCAAGAAATATGGGACTATGTGAAAAGACCAAATCTACGTCTGATTGGTGTACCTGAAAGTGATGGGGAGAATGGAACCAAGTTGGAAAACACTCTGCAGGATATTATCCAGGAGAACTTCCCCAATCTAGCAAGGCAGGCCAACGTTCAGATTCAGGAAATACAGAGAACGCCACAAAGATCCTCCTCGAGAAGAGCAACTCCAAGACACATAATTGTCAGATTCACCAAAGTTGAAATGAAGGAAAAAATGTTAAGGGCAGCCAGAGAGAAAGGTCGGGTTACCCTCAAAGGGAAGCCCATCAGACTAACAGCGGATCTCTCAGCAGAAACCCTACAAGCCAGAAGAGAGTGGGGGCCAACATTCAACATTCTTAAAGAAAATCATTTTCAACCCAGAATTTCATATCCAGCCCAACTAAGCTTCATAAGTGAAGGAGAAATAAAATACAGACCAGCAAATGCTGAGAGATTTTGTCACCACCAGGCCTGCCCTAAAAGACCTCCTGAAGGAAGCACTAAAGATGGAAAGGAACAACTGGTACCAGCCGTTGCAAAATCATGCCAAAATGTAAAGACCATCGAGACTAGGAAGAAACTGCATCAACTAACCAGCAAAAGAACCAGCTAACATCATACTGACAGGATCAAATTCACACATAACAATATGAACTTTAAATGTAAATGGACTAAATGCTCCAATTAAAAGACACAGACTGGCAAATTGGATAAAGAGTCAAGACCCATCAGTGTGCTGTATTCAGGAAACCCATCTCACATGCAGAGACACACATAGGCTCAAAATAAAAGGATGGAGGAAGATCTACCAAGCAAATGGAAATCAAAAAAAAGGCAGGGGTTGCAATCCTAGTCTCTGATAAAACAGACTTTAAACCAACAAAGATCAAAAGACACAAAGAAGGACATTACATAATGGTAAAGGGATCAATTCAACAAGAAGAGCTAACTATCCTAAATATATATGCACCCAATACAGGAGCACCCAGATTCATAAAGCAAGTCCTGAGTGACCTACAAAGAGACTTAGACTCCCACACATTAATAATGGGAGACTTTAACACACCACTGTCAACATTAGACAGATCAACGAGACAGAAAGTCAACAAGGATACCCAGGAATTGAACTCAGCTCTGCACCAAGCAGACCTAATAGACATCTACGGAACTCTCCACCCCAAATCAACAGAATATACATTTTTTTCAGCACCACACCACACCTATTCCAAAATTGACCACATACTTGGAAGTAAAGCTCTCCTCAGCAAATGTAGAAGAACAGAGATTATAACAAACTATCTCTCAGACCACAGTGCAATCAAACTAGAACTCAGGATTAAGAATCTCACTCAAAACCTCTCAACTACATGGAAACTGAACAACCTGCTCCTGAATGACTACTGGGTACATAACGAAATGAAGGCAGAAATAAAGATGTTCTTTGAAACCAACGAGAACAAAGACACAACATACCAGAATCTCTGGGACGCATTCAAAGCAGTGTGTAGAGGGAAATTTATAGCACTAAATGCCCACAAGAGAAAGCAGGAAAGATCCAAAATTGACACCCTAACATCACAATTAAAAGAACTAGAAAAGCAAGAGCAAACACATTCAAAGCTAGCAGAAGGCAAGAAATAACTAAAATCAGAGCAGAACTGAAGGAAATAGAGACACAAAAAACCCTTCAAAAAATTAATGAATCCAGGAGCTGGTTTTTTGAAAGGATCAACAAAATTGATAGACGGCTAGCAAGACTAATAAAGAAAAAAAGAGAGAAGAATCAAATAGATGCAATAAAAAATGATAAAGGGGATATCACCACCAATCCCACAGAAATACAAACTACCATCAGAGAATACTACAAACACCTCTACGCAAATAAACTAGAAAATCTAGAAGAAATGGATAAATTCCTCGACACATACACTCTCCCAAGACTAAACCAGGAAGAAGTTGAATCTCTGAATAGACCAATAACAGGATCTGAAATTGTGGCAATAATCAATAGCTTACCAACCAAAAAGAGTCCAGGACCAGATGGATTCACAGCCGAATTCTACCAGAGGTATAAGGAGGAGCTGGTAACATTCCTTCTGAAACTATTCCAATCCATAGAAAAAGAGGGAATCCTCCCTAACTCATTTTATGAGGCCAGCATCATCCTGATACCAAAGCCTGGCAGAGACACAACCAAAAAAGAGAATTTTAGACCAATATCCTTGATGAACATTGATGCAAAAATCCTCAATAAAATACTGGCAAACCGAATCCAGCAGCACATCAAAAAGCTTATCCACCATGATCAAGTGGGCTTCATCCCTGGGATGCAAGGCTGGTTCAATATACGCAAATCAATAAATATAATCCAGCATATAAACAGAGCCAAAGACAAAAACCACAGGATTATCTCAATAGATGCAGAAAAAGCCTTTGACAAAATTCAACAACCCTTCATGCTAAAAACTCTCAATAAATTAGGTATTGATGGGACGTATCTCAAAATAATAAGAGCTATCTATGACAAACCCACAGCCAATATCATACTGAATGGGCAAAAACTGGAAGCATTCCCTTTGAAAACTGGCACAAGACAGGGATGCCCTCTCTTACCACTCCTATTCAACATAGTTGGAAGTTCTGGCCAGGGCAATTAGGCAGGAGAAGGAAATAAAGGGTATTCAATTAGGAAAAGAGGAAGTCAAATTGTCCCTGTTTGCAGACTACATGATTGTATACCTAGAAAACCCCATTGTCTCAGCCCAAAATCTCCTTAAGCTGATAAGCAACTTCAGCAAAGTCTCAGGATACAAAATCAATGTACAAAAATCACAGGCATTCTTATACACCAACAACAGACAAACAGAGAGCCAAATCATGAGTGAAATCCCATTCACAATTGCTTCAAAGAGAATAAAATACCTAGGAATCCAACTTACAAGGGATATGAAGGACCTCTTCAAGGAGAACTACAAACCACTGCTCAAGGAAATAAAAGAGGATACAAACAAATGGAAAAACATTCCATGCTCATGGGTAGGAAGAATCAATATCATGAAAATGGCCATACTGCCCAAGGTAATTTGCAGATTCAATGCCATCCCCATCAAGCTACCAATGACTTTCTTCACAGAATTGGAAAAATCTACTTTAAAGTTCATATGGAACCAAAAAAGAGCCCTCATCACCAAGTCAATCCTAAGCCAAAAGAACAAAGCTGGAGGCATCACACTACCTGACTTCAAACTATACTACAAGGCCACAGTAACCAAAACAGCATGGTACTGGTACCAAAACAGAGATATAGATCAATGGAACAGAACAGAGCCCTCAGAAATAACGCCGCATATCTACAACTATCTGATCTTTGACAAACCTGAGAAAAACAAGCAATGGGAAAAGGATTCCCTATTTAATAAATGGTGCCGGGAAAACTGGCTAGCCATATGTAGAAAGCTGAAACTGGATCCCTTCCTTACACCTTATACAAAAATCAATTCAAGATGGATTAAAGACTTACATGTTAGACCTAAAACCATAAAAACCCTAGAAGAAAACCTAGGCATTACCATTCAGGACATAGGCATGGGCAAGGACTTCATGTCCAAAACACCAAAAGCAATGGCAACAAAAGACAAAATTGACAAATGGGATCTAATTAATTAAACTAAAGAGCTTCTGCACAGCAAAAGAAAGTACCATCAGAGTGAACAGGCAACCTACAGAATGGGAGAAAATTTTTGCAACCTACTCATCTGACAAAGGGCTAATATCCAGAATCTACAATGAACTCAAACAAATTTACAAGAAAAAAACAAACAACCCCATGAAAAAGTGGGCGAAGGACATGAACAGCCACTTCTCAAAAGAAGACATTTATGCAGCCAAAAAACACTTGAAAAAATGCTCATCATCACTGGCCATCAGAGAAATGCAAATCAAAACCACTATGAGATACCATCTCACACCAGTTAGAATGGCAATCATTAAAAAGTCAGGAAACAACAGGTGCTGGAGAGGATGTGGAGAAATAGGAACACTTTTACATTGTTGGTGGGACTGTAAACTAGTTCAACCATTGTGGAAGTGAGTGTGGCGATTCCTCAGGGATCTAGAACTAGAAATACCATTTGACCCAGCCATCCCATTACTGGGTATATACCCAAAGGAATATAAATCATGCTGCTATAAAGACACATGCACATGTATGTTTATTGTGGCATTATTCACAATAGCAAAGACTTGGAACCAACCCAAATGTCCAACATTGATAGACTGGATTAAGAAAATGTGGCACATATACACCATGGAATACTATGCAGCCATAAAAAATGATGAGTTCATGTCCTTTGTAGGGACATGGATGAAATTGGAAATCATCATTCTCAGTAAACTATCACAAGAACAAAAAACCAAACACTGCATATTCTCACTCATAGGTGGGAATTGAACAATGAGATCACATGGACACAGGAAGGGGAATATCACACTCTGGGGACTGTTGTGGGGTGGGGGGAGGGGGGAGGGATAGCATTGGGAGATATACCTAATGCTAGATGAAGAGTTAGTGGGTGCAGCGCACCAGCATAGCACATGTATACGTATGTAACTAACCTGCACAATGTGCACATGTACCCTAAAACTTAAAGTATAAAAAAAAAAAAAAAGAAAATAGGGATGGCCTTTGAAATAGGAGAGTACCTCGCCTGATTTTTTCTTGTCCCATGACTTTCACAGGTAGCTGAACTATCTACTCAATAAGATTTTAAAAATATTTTCCTGGAGGAAGATTCAACTAGGACTCAATACTTTCATCACCAAATATTTTCACCAATTTCCTGTCATTCTCATGATCACATTCAGGATTTATGCAAATCAGGATGACCAGAGACATAAATACTCCCCTACACTATATTTAGCATGGGAAGACAGTTTCACATTCATTACCCTGAATAATGGGATAAAATAAGTTATGAGAATTTAGAATTCTTCAAAGTGATAAAACTAAGTTTAAAGATCAAAAGAACAAAGACTCTGAAGAGTTGTTCATTTTTTCTACTCTATCAATCACTAACCCAGCTTTCTCTATGTTTGAGACTTTTACTATCATATAAATTATAGAACATTTTGTGATTAGAAAACATTTTTAATAAAACCAGTAAAAATACACATATAAATTCAAATATATATAGATGCATACAAAAAGCAATTGCATTTATTCAAATCAATTTGTAAATAACACTAAGCTCTTGATAATATTTGTAATTTGGGGTTCTTCCTGTTTCATTTTATTTTGCTTTTGTCTTGAGCAAGTGATTCCATTTTGAACAAAAAATGTCTTTTTAAAAATTTCTTCCATTCTTTCCTTCCACCCACCCAAGAGGTTGACTTTGTGGGTTTTCCTTCCTTTCACTCATCATGAGAAGATCCTTCACAGCAGAATCAGAAATTTAATACAGGGGCACTTTTTCAAATCTTACAAATTTTTTCCACATCTGCTTTTTCCCCCTTCGGGCTGATGTCTTTATCCTCAAGCATAAGTGACTGTCAACATCAGAAGTTATGAAGAGAAGGCAAAAAATTGATGTTATTTTGGGACGAAATTGATTCTGATTCTTAAGAATATTTTTTTTTTTAGCATACACAAATTTCCCAAAAGAGACAGGAAATGTCACGAGCTTTAAACTCTTCTAAAATTGGCTGATACGATTTCCACTGTGAAATAACATCTTAAGCTTCAGTGGCAAATATTTGCTCCTGGAAATGGATGTCAGATTTGGATACACATGCTGGGATTCTGAACAGGGATACTCTGGTTGCACAGTCCATTCACAATAGACTTACTGAAGGAGAACGTTGGACTCCCTGCTCTCATCTGCTGGAAGGTCAGCTGCTGGCTCCCACTTACTGAAAAAAACGTGTTTTCTCTTGGTGCCAAAGTATTTAAAAGTTCCTTTAGAAGAATATGATTTCCCCCCTCCCCCACCCCTACTCCCACCTATGGTCTCTGACCTTTTCTTGGGCTCCATTAAAGGCAACTTTACATACTACTGTTAGAAAACTACACAAAAAGCAGGACTTCAAAGTTAAGCAGTGGTAACTTATCTTTTGTCTTGACCTACTTACTAAAAATAAAATTTCAAGGCCCTGAAAAATACAGCATCTTGCTTTGTTACTAGTCTATCTTGTCTTACTCATTTACTCATCCACTTATTCCATCATTCTTTCAATCAGCAAACATTCATTGGTCCACCTTGCAAGACAGTGTTAGGTCTAATGAAGATCATGATTATGGAGTGATTATGATGATGATTATAGTGGTGGTGTCAATCAAATTACTTGGATACCACTTCTCAGTCAATAGTGCACCCTATATACATTTTTGATTCTCACCACTCTCATTCTGTTTCTTCAAGCCTCATTAGCTCCATTACATAGATGAGAAAACATTGATTGATTGATTGATTGATTGACTGTGATGGGTTCTGGCTATGTTGTCCAGGCTGGACTCAAACTTCTGGGCTCAAATGATCCAACTGCCTCAACATTTTAAGTAGCTGGGAGTATAGGCATGTGCCACTACACCCAGAAAGAAAACTTTTACAGTCACACAAGAATTGAGTAAAGCAAAGATTTCAACTCACATCTCTTGCTCCAATGACTGTATTTTTTCACTATATGTAAAGGGATATAATAAAGAATGGCAGCCTTTGTCCTAAAAAATCCCTCAGTCAAATGGAATAAACAAAAACATGCACAGAAATAGTGGTAATAACTAGAAAAAAATACAGTGATTAAAATCATACTCATTTCAAGTATAAAAAATATTCAATTATATTCTATAATGACATGGTTTTTTTTTCTTCAATGTATACTCTTTTCATTTTACTCAGGTAACCCTTCTTAGTATTTCAGGAAATAATATTCTTATTCTTGCTCCACAGTCTTCAATTTTTCCTCTTTCTCATGTTTTAATTCATCAATAAAGTCACTGTTCTCCATGAATTCATTTCTTGCCTCATTATCTCAGCCCTCAAAGACTTCCTTTAGTACAGCACTTACACACTATACTACACAATTCGAACCCAGTGTCATCTTGCTTTTTATTTTTTATTTCTTCACTCAATAGCAATCACAGTGTGATGGGCCAGAAATAATCATAGCATATTACATTTTTAGATTGTAGATTGTATTCACATACATTATGTCATATAAGCTTTGAGTTAACTCTGTAAAGTAGCTTTGGTGACCCATGCCATACACATAAGGAAGTAAGGCTCAGAGCATTCAGGTAATTTGCCAAGATCATAAAATGATAATAACTTATTGATAAAGCTGTGAATAGTAAATAAGTCAATACACGTAAAACTCTAAAAATTGTGCCAGAGATTTGGTAAATAATAAATTTTAGGTATACAAGTAGAAATTCAGGAACATGAACTGAGGTTTCCTACAAGTTCTATTTTGCCTACAACACAACTCTGTATAAGTTCCCAACTTGCCCAAAACCCGGTGCTTGTTTTCAAATTCTATTTCCTAGAACCTTAATTGTCTGGTTTTTTCATGATGTAAATGGATTTTATCAGAGAACGCTAACATATGAATATTGTTTGCCATTCTCATGACCAATACACATAATAGGAAAGACTAATCAATCTTGGGACTCTTTGAATACCATATGTAGCCATAGAATGCCTCTCCATACAGCAGTCTAGGAATATACTACCAAACTACTATTATTGTCTTGTTAGTTAAAATCTACCTATGTCTAGACTGGAGGACTACAATGTCAATTTAAGCTTTGTGATTTCAGTTGTTTAATAAGTTTGGCAGATCTGGTTGACCTTAACAATATCTGTAATTACAGGAGTCTCTGATTAAAGTATATGAATTATTTGAAGGCAAAAACTATACCTTATATTTCTTTGTACCTGCAAAGTTCTCAAGTTATAATTGGGTGCATAGTAACTGTTCAAAGTATTCTTAATGAGGAACAAAATAAAGTAAAATAAAATAGAGTTTTTTCATTCAATAACAATCAACAGAAATTTATTGAATGGCAGGGTATGGCAAATTCTGGTTAGAATTTAGAAATACAAGATGTTCTCTACCTACATACAGCTTACGTGGAAGCAAATACTGACTAAATAATCTCAGAAGTTCATAATTTAATAGCAGAACAAAGAGGAGTTGCTGCTATCACAGAATAGATTGTTTCAAGCAAACATTCATGTCAATATATGAGTATGAATGGTGGGTGCTTTGTGAAAACATGATTGTGATTCTTGTGAAAAAATGACTATAAAGAAATGTTTTGACAAATGGGGATGTTTGAAGTCATTCACAAAGCAACCAAGAAATTTAGCACTGGAAGGGGCAAGATTCCATAAAGACACTCCCCTCAAGGCAGTTTTCAATTTCTAAATTATGCTGGGCCAAGAAGCCAAACAAAAGGTGGTCAGGTCCTTTCCACTCAGAGACACCATCCTCTATGGAAGAAGCTGTTTCTCTTTCTCTTCTCTCCTACCTATTAAAAACCTCTGCTCCGAAAAAATAAAAAAACAAAAAAACAAAAAAACAAACAGTAAGGGTAGCCCAGAACTCTCAGCAGTCTTATAAGACAAGGGAGAATTAAATTTGTGCTCAGAAGTGAGTTGGACTTTCTCTAGTGTTTTTACATGAAGGGACTTGACAATTCCTAGGATGCGTGAAGGCGAAGATCCAGTAGAAAGTGGCAACTAAGACACTAAAACAGAAAAAAACATAAGTTAAATTATGGTGCTTGGAAGACAAAAACTGCAGTTCCGTTTTTAGTAAAGAGAAAGAAGCTTAGTAAACACTAGATTTTCAGTTAAGTTTCCTGAAAGATTGCATCCTATGAATGAGGACAAACTGGAAATAGATCAGCCTTTACTATGACTGAAAACCAGCCTTAAACTGTTCAATTCTTGATTGTTACAAGGTACTTCTCTCACTTTCTCAACCAATCAGAGAGAAAATTAAATGTTCCCTGAAAAAAAAAATAACATTTTTCAGAGCAGCTACTATTTTCCATAAACAATATTTGGCATTCAATAAAGAAAATACCAGGAATGCAAATAGTTAGAATCAAAAGCTGAAAACCAAGAGAATAAAAGGCAATAGAGGCAGATGCAAAAGTGAACCAGTTTTTTAAATTATTTAAAGCTCTAAAATTGGAAAATATTAAAAAATTTTAAATAACTGAATAGGATGTTTAAGAAAACAGATAATAAGATCAAGAATTTTACATGACTATTAGAAGCCATAAAATAAAATGGAAATCTGGAACTGAAAATTCAAATAAATTTATTATGACAAAAACATTAAATTGGTTAAGCAACAGTGTAGATGAAGTAAAACAAAGTAATTTAAGTAGCAGTTAGGTCTGTTGAAATTTTCCAATTGTACAACAAGGACAAAATGAGAATAAACAATGGAAAATAAAAAATTATGAAAATAAATTTTTTTAATAAAATTAAAAGTGAAAAGAAGAAATAAAATTACATAACAGACATGAGAGATAGTGAAAAGACCTGCTATATTTATAATTGGAGACCCAGAAAGAGAAAAGAAATAATACATGTCAGAAGCAATATGTGTGATCATATTGGCTGATTTTTTTTTTTTGAAATTGATGAAAGTCATCAAACCAGAGATTCAACAGCCAACCACAAACCCCAAAAACCTAATAAAGAGTGAAATTGTTAAAAAACAAAAATGAAAGAAAAATCTTAAAAGCAGCAAGAAATAAAAATAAACTATCAAAAAAGATTAAACAATAAAACTGAGAACCAAAAACTCATGGGCATTGTTTACCAAAAAAGCAAGTATCCTCATGAACTCCAAAATACAAGCAAGTGAAGGCAAATCACCAGTAACCTGAATAGAATCAGCAACTAACTAGAAGAATCAGAGGGAAACAATGGGGTGACACTGAGGAGAATAGAATACTGGATAGCAAGGTAGGGACCAAGGCCTTTGACCCTTGAAGATTTGCTGAAAAAAAACATCAACTGGCAAAAGGCTGATTAATTGAAGAAAAAGTATTCAAATTTATTTAGCATTTATACATTGGAGTCTTCACCATGAAGATCCAACTCTCCAGAGGGATACAGAAGCTGGCATACCACCTTGGAGTTAGAGAAAAAAATGTGGGGTTGGTGCATGACAAAAAGTTCATGGTGGTAAATCAAGTTTTAATGGCAAGGCAGACTATGGAAGCAGGAGAGGCTCCATGCAGACCTAGGAAGTCACAGGCAGGCTTGGCCGGGAGGGACAGAGAAGACGTGGCTGGTAAAGGTGGTCTTGTTATATAGATGAAAATTCACTAGTAGCTGCCCTCAGAGAGAATAGATAGTAAAGTATTATTTTAGATCTTAAGGTGATAGACTCAGTTAATCTTTCCTACGTCTGGACAAGGAAAGGCCAGACTGCATTAATGCAGATTTTTTACAAATGCGTATTTCCCAGCAAAAGATGGCTTTGTAGGGTCATTTCTGTTTGCTGGCCCTCTAACAGGCATCTCAAAATATGTCAGAGAAATATGTCTTGGGTTAAAATGTTTTTATTTCTTTCAGCGAAGTGGGACAATTTGAAAATACCAGCTAAAACTTAGGTATTCTTTACCACTCCAGCAAACGGTGAGTGTGAAATGCCTGTTTTAAGGAGCTGGATTACTCTAGATTATATGAACTCTCAAAACTCACCAGCCAGAGTTCGTCTTCAGAGCAAGCCTCCACAAAGAGAAATATATAGAAATTGAATCAAAATGGAACTGAAGAACTGGACAGAGAGAGAGAAGAGAAGGTGAAGTTAAAAGCAGAAGAAGAGAAAAGAGCCATGAAATCCTTGAAGGCAGGCTCCCATATTTTCAAACACTACTTAAAACAGCAAAAAAGGAGATGAAGTTGAAAGTGTTACCCTGAACTGTAGTATCTTCTAAAAATCTATGTAAATTAACTTTACATAAAACCAACCAATAGAAAAATGTTGAAATCATATCCTATGCAAAGTGATCATAAGAAAAAAGTGGAACAAAAAGCAGATATTAAATCCCTAGAAACAATAAAATTATAGCAATAAAATGGCTTGTGATAGCCATTGAAAGTGAGGCTCAGTTTTGTGAGACTGTGTCCTTAGCCTGTGTGATCTGATACTATCTCAAGGTAAGTAAAGTCAAAATTGAATTGAATTAGAGGGCACCCAGCTGGTATCCACTGCAGAAGTGATTGCTTGTTTGTTGGTTGGGAGAAATTCCCACACATCTGGTGTCAAAAGCATGTTGTGAGAGTATGGTGGGAGAGACAACAGTTTATTTTTTCTCCACAGAACAGCTCATTCTACTTGGCCACACAAAGTAGAGAAGAGATTGTGTCCATGGGAGAGGAGGTCCAAATTGAGAGAAAGCTGGGGCAGGAGCACCCCTGATTTCTTTCTGTTTCTGACTCCCAGTAATAGGTACTAACAAGATGACTGCTAAGTAACAATTGCTTTTAATGGAATAACATAATTGTAGGCCCTGTTCTGTTGCTGACTTGGGCAAGTCATTTTACTTTTCTAGGGCTCAGTCTTCCAATCCCTATAATGGAACTGAAAATAACATTTACTTCTAGGATGGTATTAGGATGGAATAAGATAATGCATTAAAATATACTTTAAACCTCTAAAATCCTGTATATGTTTACATGGTTTAAATAAAGAGAATTTGTCTATATATTTCTGTGTTTAAAATATGCAAAGGTACTAACATTTTTGTGTCTATGGGGCAGTATTCATTTTTTGCACTGTGTAATGGTTATAATTCATTTCATTTCCAGAGACAGGAAACCTAGTAATTTAAGTTAAAGAGACAGTGTCTTATAATGATGTAGAGCAATTAAGCGAAAGCTCAGAGAAGTATCTGGAACCAGAGACAAGTCTGTCCTCAAGACCTCCTTTTTATCCTCATGCTTCTCTTCGTATCTCTGTCTTCTCTTTCACTTTTTTTTTTTTTTTTTCAAATTTCTTTCCTTTCCTTCTCTGGTCCAAATGGTGAAAAATATAGCTAATCCAGTGGTTTCCATTTTTATATTTTATCTCTTACAATCCGCAAGATATACATTTCAATTTTAAAGCTGAATTGAATAAAAATTTGATGACTGAATTTGGAACAAGTGCCTACTCCTAAACAAATCAACTCTGGGATCAAGTAACATTGCTGATACCATGACCATCATGTCAATATTGTCAATGAATGGGTCATTCCCAGAAAAACACGGACCCTGCTACTGTGTTGACAAAATAACAGGAACTCATTAAATATGTAACTTTTTTTGTGCACTAAAATGGTTAAATTTGGTGGTATAATTATATGTTTATTCCCTGGGACTCAATATACTTAAAAAATTACTACCAGCCAAATTTAATTACAATGTGAGTCCTCAAAACAATGTTCAAATCCAGATTAAAAAATCATTGTTAAATTAAGATTTAATTCGTATGACAAAAAATTAGCCCTTTTAAAGTGAACAGTTCAGTGACATCTAGTACACTCAAAGATGTTGTGTAACCATAACCTCTATCTAATTCCAAAACATTTTCATCACTCCAAAATAAAACCCTGTAAGCATTACCAAGTTAATTGCCATTTCTTCCTACTTTCTGTTTTTATGGATTTATCTACTGTGGATATTTTATTTAAATAGAATCATACAATATATGACCTTGTGTCTGGCTTTTTTTTATTTACCTTTATATTTTCAAGATTCACCCATTTTGTAGCATGCATAAATACTTTATGACTTTTTCATGAATGAATATTTCATTATGCGTGTGTGTGTGTGTATTGTTTCTCAGTGTGCATATGTGTGTGTGTGTGTGTGTCTGTGTATTGTTTCTTCATTCCATTCATTGATGGACATTTGAGTTGATTCCAACTTTTGGCTATTGTAAATCATGCTGCTATAAATATGCATGTGCAAGTATTTTGTGAGTATCTGTTTTCAATTTTTTGGCTATATACCTAGAAATGAAATTGTTAGAACACATGGTAATTCTCTCTTTCCCTTTTTGAGAAACCAGTACAGTGTTTTACAGAGTGCTTGAATGATTTTACATTCCCCGCAGCAATGTATGAAAGTTCTAATCTCTCTACATCCTTGCTAACACTTGTTGATTTTTGTGTTTCTGATTATAGACACTTTAGTGGGTGAGAAGTATTACTGCATTGTGGCTTGGGTTTGCATTTCCATAGTAACTAATGATGTTGAGAATATTTTCATGTGGTTCTTGGCCATTTGTATATCTTTTTTAGAGAAATGTATATTTAAGTTCTTTGCCTATTTTTTAATTGGCTATTGTTTTATTGTTGTGTTTTAAGAGTTCTTTATATATTCTGTATAGTAGACCCTTATGAGATACAAGATTTGCAAATAATTTTCTACATTCTGTAGGTTATTTTCACATTCAGATAATGTTCTTTGACGCATAAAGGTTTTAAATTTTGAAGTCCAATTTATTAATTTTTCCTTTTGTTATTCATGTTTTTGGTATGGTATCTAAGGAATCATTGTCAAATCTAAGCTGATGCAGAATTACTCTATGTTTTCTTCTAAGAGTTTTATAGTTTTAGTTCATATATTCAGGTTGTTGACACATTTTTACCTTAATTTCTGTATATGATGTGAGATGAGTCCAATTTCATTCTCTTGCAGTTGTCATAGCATCATTTGTTAAAAAGTCTATTCTTTCTCCATTGAATGATCTAGAAATAATTGTCAAAAATCAATTGGCCATAGATATATGGGTTTATATCTGGAGTCTCATCTCTATTCCATTAGTCAATATATCTACTCTTATGCCAGTTACACACTGTTTTGATTGCTGTATGTTTTTAGTATTTTTGAAATCAGAAAGCATGCGTCTTCCAACTTTGTTCTTATTGTTCAAGATTGTTTTGATTATTTGGGATGTTTCACAAATAAATTTGAGAATCAACTTTTCCATTTTACAAAAAACATTGTTAGAATAGCAGTAGAGATTGCACTGAATCTGCAAATAGCTTTTGGTGGTATTGCCATCTTAACAATATTAAGTCTTTCAATCCATAAACATGGAATGTCTTTTCATTTACTTAGAACTTCTTTAATTTCTTTCAGTAATACTTTAGAGTTTCTGGTGTGCAAATCTTTCACTTCCTTAGTTAAATTTATTTTATTTTTGGATGATATTAAAAGTAGAATTTTTAAAACATATATTTTTCTTGGACTGTTCATTGTTGGTTTTTAGAAACAGAACTGACTTTTCTGTTGATCCACTTTGCTAGATTTTTTTGTTAGCTCTAATTGTGTGTGTGTGTGTGTGTGTGTGTGTGTGTGTGTGTAGACTTTGAGATTTTATGTATGTTACTCTATCATGTCATCTTCAAATAGAGATAACTTTACTTTTTTATTTCAAATTTGGATAGCTTTTATTAATTTTTCTTGCCCAATTGTTTTGGCTAGAATTTTCAGTACAATGCTGAATTGCAGTGGTGAAAGTGGTCATCTTTGTTTTGGACCTACTGTTAGAAAGTTTTCAGGTTTTCACTATTAAGTATGATGTTAGCTGTGACTTGACTTTTTCATAAGTCCCCTTCTTCATGTTAAGAAAATTTTCTAAGTGATTTTTTGTTATCATGAAAGGATGTTGGATTTTACAAAATGTGTTTTCTGTGTCAAGTTAGATGATCACATGCATTTTTTCTTTTTTCTATTAATATGGCATATTACATTAATTTTTTATATTGAAAAACTCTTACATTACTGGGACAAATCCCATCTGCTTATGGCATTTAATTATTTTAATATGCTATTATAATTGGCTTGCTAGAATTTTGCTGAGAATTTTTGCATTTATATTCAAAAGATATATTAATCTCTAGTTTTATTTCCTTGTGATATCTTTGTCTGGTTTTGGTATAAGGATAATGCTGGCTTTATACAATGAATTGAGAATTGCTCCTTCATCTTCTTCTTATATATTTATTTGCCAGAGTTTGAGAAGGATTGGTGTTAATTCCTTTTTAAATATTTAGTAGAATTCACAAGTGAAGCCATCTGGTCCTAGACTTTTCTCTGTTGGGAGGTTTTTGATCATTTATTCAATTTCTTTACTTGTTATATGTCTGTTTAGATTTTTTATTTCTTCTTAAACCAGTTTTCATAATTTGTTTATTTCTAGGAATTTGCCCATTTCACTAGGTTATCTAAATTATTACTATATGGTTGCCATTGTGTTTTCTTATAATTCTTCTATTTCTGTAAGGATGATAGCAATGTCTCATTTTGGTTTTTGATTTTAGTTATTTCTGTCTTCTCTCTTCTGTTCTCAGTTTAGCTAAAGGTTTGTCAATGTTGAAAATTTCAAATAACCAACTTTTAGGTTTGTGAATTCTGTTGTTTTTCTACTTTATTGTGCTTATATTTGCTGTACTCATTATTATTCCTCTCCTTCTAGCTTAAGTTTAGTTTGCTTTTATTTTCTAGGTTTTTGAGGTGTAAAGTTAGGTTTTTGATTTGAGATCCTTCTCCATTAATACATGCATTTAAAGTTATACATTTTCTTCTGAGCACTGCTTCACTGCATCCCATCAGTTCTTGTAGGCTGTGTATTAATGTCCATTTTTCTTTAAATATTTTGCATTTTCTTTTTGATTTCTTTTTTTCTTTTTTTTTTCAAATTGTATTTTAAACACAGTTGGTACATATGCAGGTTTGTTGTATTGGAATATTGCATGATGCTGAGGTTTGGAGTATGGTGTTATGAGCATAGTACCCAAAAGGTAGTTTTTCAACCCATGTTCCTCCCTTTCTCATCCTTCTAGTAGTCTGCAGTGTTTATTATTCTCATATTTATGTCCACGTGTGATCAATGTTCAGCTCCCACTCAAACGATTTATGTAATGAACCACTGTCAAATAGTGGCTATTTAAGAGTGTGTTGTTTAATTTCCATGTATTTGTAAATTTTCCAGTTTTCCCTCTATTAGTGATTTCTAGCTAACTTATATTGTAGTTAAAGAAGATACTTGGTAGGATTTGAGTCTTTTTAAATTTCTTGAGACTTACTTTTTGGACCTAATGTATGGTCCACCCCGGAGAAAGTTCCACATGCACTTGAGAATAATGTGTATTCTGTTATTCTTGTGTGCAGTATTATATTTGTCTGTTACATCTGGTTGGCTTATAGGGCTTTTCAAGTCTTCTATTTCTTTATTGAGCTTCTGTCTAAATGATTTATCATCTATGTAGATGATCTATCATCTATCTAGATAATTTTTTTTTTTACCTGGATGATATATCTATTATTAGAGTTGGAGTATTATAGAACTGCCTATTACTTTCTTCAGCTCTTTCAGTTCTTTTCAAACTTATGATTTTTTTTTTCAGTAAAGAGACCAGTTCTTTTTTTTTTAACCCAGCCTAGGACAAAGCTGAAAACAGACCAATTATTTGCGGACCTTGCCCCCATATTTCTCATTATATCACTCTAATATATTTAACATTGATTTTTTTAAAATGTGGCAATAGTTTTTGTTTTTGTTTTTGTTTTTAATTTGCCCTTATATTAAGCAAGTAGTTGTTCTTCACTGGTCGAGCTACATAACACAGGATAGCCTTTCCAGCCTTCCAAGTGGATGTATTTCTGCTCTCTATTAATTACACTAAGTGCAGTAACATGGTCCCGCTTTTAAGCGAGCCAATTCTGAATTTACAGCTTTTCTCACCAGAAAATTCTTGCTCATGATGACTCAAAAGTAGGCCCTCAGTAAGTTGGTGTTTTAGTCCTAGCTTTAGGTTCTGGCATCACATGAAATAATCACCTTTTAAAAAAAAATTCCTTCTAAATTCTGAACTTAGGTATTACGGTATAAGCATAGCCTTTCAGGGACACAGGTGAAGAAAGTTATTGAACTGGCATGAGAAGGAACACCACAATGTCTTGTCATTAATAATCAAAAATATTCTACCTTTATCAATGAATTCAGTTAAATACAAGATAAGCCATGTTTAGTAATAGCATTTTTCTAGGTAGTAGTAAATGAAAAATAAATAAGAAAGGTATATGCTCTGACCTTGATAAACTCTCATTCTATTGCAGGAAACAGATAAATGACAGAGAAAAACAACACTATGTGATAAACTCTGTAATAAACTCAATGTTTAACATGTTGCCTTGGAGATAAGGATACAATAGCAATTCTTCCAAGAGAAAGACAGTTAGAGAGAGATTTAAAGAAGAGGTCATAGTCAAGTTGGGTGATCTCAAGTTAGACAAGGAAGGAAAGGGAATGTGGGCAGAGAAATCAGCCTGCAAGAAGATATAAAAGTGGGAAAATGCTGTGTTCTTTAGGTGCAATAGGCAGAATAAAGACCACTGTTCCTCAAAGCTGCTCATGACCTATTGCACAAAGCCTCTGAATATGTTACCTTATATGACAAAAGGACTGTACAGATACAATTATGATAAAAATCTTAGAACAATAAGATTATCCTGGATTTTTTGTGGACTCCATGTATTTACAAGCATCCTTATAAAATAAGAGAAAAACAGCAAGATACGACCAGAATTGCAGAAAGATTTAAAAATGCCATGCTGCTGTCTTTGAAGAGGGGGAAGTGGGGCCATGAGCCGAAGAATTCAGTCTCCAGAGTCTAGAAAAGGAAATTAAACATATTCTCCCTTAGGGTCTCAAAAAGAAACCCAGCCCTGCCTGCACCTTGGTGTTTTTAGTCCACTGAGACTCATGATGGACTTCTGACCTGTGGCTTAATGAAATAATTAATGTGTGTTGTTTTAAGTCACTAAGTGTGTGGCAATTTGCTATAGCAGCATTAGGAAACTAAAATAGTGGGAATAAGAGGATGGCTGCAGTGTAGAATGTGCATGTGTGTGTTTATGTGTTGGAGTACAGAGGAAAGGAAGGTGAGAGATGATGGCAGAGCAACGAAAGACTGGAATCTATTGCAAAGGAATTTGATAATATGTATGGAATTAAGCAGTCTGAAATTTTATCCTTAGAGAAAGTGATCCTGAGCATATGATCCCATGTATAGAAGCTACCATTTCATTGGCTCATTGGCCTGGTTTTGCCTGAGTTTCATATTCGGAAACTATAAATCTTATCTTTCTACCTAGATTAAACTCCAGGTACAAATCTTGGGTTGTCTTTTCACTTTGGCATCCACTATTATTCCAACACACACACACGTCCCTCATTATAGTCTCCTGAATACCATTCTTTTAGGGCTTATTGAGCATTTTAGGGATGATAAGTGGTAATCTGTTATAAAAATAAAGCCACAATCTTTCATAAATGCTATAAAACAAAAAAGTGTGTTTCTGTGAAAGAGATTAATGAGGAGCTCTTCATTAGATTCACTAGATAAAGGTGTCTTTAAGGTCTCTTTGCCTCTCTTCCGCCTCTAGCTTCCTGAGTCACTCACATCCTCTGTTTTTATTTCCTCCTTCATCATTTTGGTTGGAGGAAGTGGTCAGAAGTATGACAGAGGGGTCAAGAAGGTGCATTAACATTCTATCTTTATCTTCTTAACCCTAATCCAGCTCATGTACTCATAATTCCGTTGTAAAACAGAAGCCTGGGTATATGCATGGCTAGATTCACCAATCATGTTAGTTGTTAAAGAAACTCTCAAAATAGGAAACAGACCAACAAAAATTAGGCCTGGGAGAAGAAGGAGAATATGAGGTACTAGAAGTTCTTGGAAACATGAAAAAGAGGCTTTTTGGATGTCAGCAGGGTTTCTCTGGACTTGGAATCATCCCTCTGCTGTGTATGACATTGCAAAATGCAGTAAGAGTTTCACAATCACCGTGTGGTTTGCTGTGAAGTCACTGGCGGCCTCTACTCCCGAAATCACTTCCCAATAAACACTTTGATCCTCTATGATATCAGTCTCTTGAGCCACTAATTGCTTCCAAGTGAATTTTGGCTTGCCAAGAGTCTGGGTGGTGTCTCCCATCTGATACAGTTCTTTGCACTTACATATTTGTTTGCTTCCAAATTCCTCTGAACAGTTTATGAACAGAAATCCTCCCAACACACCCGAGCTGAAAGATATGCAATTGTCTTGAAAATGGAGTATCAGTTCTTTCTTGCTACAGCAGCCAACTCCTGGGGAAATATACTACAGATGCAAGTTCCTAAAACTTAAGTTTTTCATCTCAAGGGAAATACATATCTACCTCTATAAATTTCAAGGTAATTGTATTAGAAAAAAATGTGAGAGATGTAAAAAAATCACTGGAGGAAGGTGGTTATATAAGTCCCAAAACTTTCAACACTCTAGAGACTTGGAATTCGTTATTTAACTATCACTATCTTTCTTCCTCATGCCTACCTCCAACCAATGATTCTGTTAATTATGCTTCCTGAATTCTGAGTTCTCCAATATGCTGTGTTTCTTCCCACTTTTCCCTTCCTGCCCTTCTTTCTTCAATACCCCTCCTCTAAGATACATCAATCACTTTTGATCTCCCCTAGAATTGTGAATAGTTTCTCAATTTCTAAACCTTCTTCTATTCATAATTTCAAGTGTCGTATTTGTATCTGTTAAATGAGCATACTAATCCTTATTTCTGGTGGTGGCTGTAAAGATTACATAAAGCAAACTTCAGTGTATCCGTGAAAACCCCTAAAGTATATCCTGGCATATAAACTTAGCTCAGTAAATGTTTTCTTCCCTCCTAGTTTCTGAGGATCGTCTTCCCCAACTCAGTCAGCCAGACTTGCCTTTCTAAGACAGAAATTTGACTATCTCACTACACTTTAAAAAAATCAACGGCTTGTTATTGCTCAAGTGATGAAGTTCAAACTGGCATGGCAGGGTCTTTACTGACTACAGTCTGTCTTGCTGCTCCTCTCTGCTCTGACTCTCCATTTGACATCCCCATTATAATCACTGCAAGTTATTTTTAAATGTCAAACTTGCTCATTTTTCTGTGCCCTTTGCACATGCTGTTCCCTCTGCCTCTAATGACGGAAATGTCTCATTGCCTTATTTAAGGAAATGCCTCTATTTCACCACTGGTTTGCCATCTCATCCTTCTGTCTATCTTTGTAACTTCTTCACTTAGCAAATTCACTCATCTTTTAGATCTTCAAGTTAATCTCTCTTCCTAGGTCTTCTCAAAACTCTTAAGCCCTGCCAATCGCCCATTATGTTTGCAGTGTTTATTATTGCCAAGATACTTAGCACATTGAGTTATCCTTGCTGGTTTGCATTCTGAGTTTTCAACCAGACTGAGAGCTCCTGGTGCACCAGGAGCTGTTTTGTTCAACCTTGTTTTATTATAATGTTGATCAGAAAAAAAAAATTGAGGACTGGCTAGGACCACTGTCTGTGTGGAGTTTACACATTCTCCCATTGTCTACATGGGTTTTCCCTGGATATTCTGGTTTCTTCTCACATCCCAAAGTTGTGCCATTAGGTTAATTGGCATGTCTACATGGTCCCAGTCCGAGTGAATATGGGTGCGTGTGTGAGTACGCCTTGAGGTGGATTAACATTCTAGCCAGGGATGGCTCCCACCTTGCACACTTAGTTGCCAGGGATAGGTTCCAGCCGCCCACATGACCCTGAACTGGAATAGTGGGTTAGAAAATGAGTGAATGAATACAAATTATTATAAGATAAAGATTCCTAAGGTATGTAATAGTCATACAAATGCACAACAGTAAACAAACAAACAGTGAGGGACAAAAAGCACTCAGAGGGCTGTCAGAATTACTGTTTTTGAATTTTGTGGTGGTAGGAGGGAATCCTTAAAATTTTTGTTTTGCAAACATTTATTCCTTGACTTGACCAACATCCACTAAAACCACTGTTACTCACTGATTCACCAAAAATGAGGTAAATAATAATTATCTTTCTTGTTTTTGTTAATCTTTTACAAATGTATGTGTATGTATAGCTCACATTTATTTCAATGTTTAATATCAAAAGTGTTTTTGGCCTTTATTTAGAAGCTTGGTTATATTTTTGTGACCAGAAATGCATCATTGGAACTTAGCTCTTGTTTATATCAATTAGCCTACAGTAAATTGGTTTCATTATACATTGTTTTGCTAAAAGTTGCAGTTTCTAAGAACCTATTGAAGCCATTAAGTGAGGACTTACTGTACACATCTTTATTTTATACTAGTTCATTCATTCATTCATCCAATATATATTGAGTATCTGTCATCTATCAAAAAGTATGCTAGGCTCTGTGGAAGATGCATAGATAAATAAAAATAGATCCTGCTGTCAGGAAATTTACAGTTTAGTTGGGAACATAGCGAATGTTTCACATACCTAGAACAGAAATTGAAAGTGTCAAACAAGTTTCAGAAAGAGAAACATAAAGCTCTCCAACTGTTAAAAGAGACACATTGAGTGATCCTTATCAACCAGCAAGTGGTCCTGAGTCCTAACACAGTTTCCATTCCATCTATTATTGTGCCAGAAACCAATATTCTACTGGCTTAGAGGATGTCAGCCTATACATGGGATATCTTGGCAATAATCTACAGGAAAGTGACAGGAGAGATTTGTTTCAATCCTAGAGAAAGGACGATATATTATTCATCTTGTTTACCTTTTGGACTCAGTAAAGTCTGGACCATTGTGAATAGTTAAATGTGTTTTTGTTGAAATGGCTTAAAGTGTTTATTTAATGAGATCAATGTGTAGTTCTAACGCAAATAATTTAAAGATTTAACTTGCTTTGAATTAGTGACATTGTCAAATTTTAAAAGCACAGCCTTAATGCTCCAGTCTTCATTTGTTCTTTCGTGTAATTATTTTCATTCATTCATTTAAGTATGTATGTATTTGTTTATGCAGTCAGACAATAAATACTCATTAAACTAGCTCTTTTTACTCTCTGCCTTTAATTGCCCTCTCTTTCTCATGGATTCATTTTTATTCCCAAATAAATTTTAAGCTCTCTTAGGGCAGGGACCTAGCCTCTCTCTAACATTGAGCTAAGTAAATATTCAATACTAAAAATTTACTTGGTAATTTCTGCTCTCCTCTTAACTGTGACAAGCAGCTCATGCCACAAACATATATTAAATGAATTCTTATTTATAACAATTAAAACTGATCAGATGGACCCTTTTCTGTTTCATCTCCATGGAAACTTTTATTTTGCCTGGCTGTGGATGAGGGAGGTGCACAGTGGCGATGACCTAACCTTGGAAAAACTCTCATTTCAGGTTGGAGCACTTACTCAGAAGCTCTGGCGTATAGGAAGCTCCCAGCACAGGGAACTTTAGAAAACTCATAAATGCAGGTCTCCAGATGCCAGAAGATTAAACAAATGCCAGCTTCACAAGGCCATGCTTTTCCAGCAGAAGAGAGATGCAATGTAAACAAAAAACTTGTAGGTAAAAATAAAATTTTGGAACAGAAAGAGGACACAAAATAAGGATTTAAGGCTGACAGAATGGGAGGAGAAAAAAACAAGAATTCAATATACCAACCAAGCAAAAAGGCTGCAGAGAAAGAAGTGAGTCCTTTGCTTCCTGATTCAAGGGGTCCAGTGACAGAGCATTCAATCCAGTCTAACAAATATTTATTAATGCTGAGGTGGAACTTGAGAAAGTGGGTGGGAGAGGAAGGTGGAATTGGGAGTGGATTTTGACTGTGGGAATGGGAGGTTGGGGAAAGAAACATTATTTACATTGTGCCAATTTTTCTATATATTTAATGCTAGTGAGGACTTACAGCAAAACTTTGAGACAGGCAATGTTATCCTTCATTTAGTAGGTAAGAAAGCCAAGACTTGGGGGTCAAGTAACTTCTCCAATCACATCTACACCGTTAATAAATGCCAGAACCTATTTCCAAATTTATGTGCATCTGATTCCAAAAATCTATATCCTACCCCCTACATTATTTTATCCCTATGCCTCATTCAGAGCAGTGTGATGGAGTCTGAGGATGGGAATATAACAAAGGAAGCAATGTAGGCCTTACATTTTAAAGTGTTCTGAACTAATAAGGGAAGAAAGGCATGTAGACAATGAGCCATATCACGTGACAGAATAAAATATGGGCTTGGCTAGATATAAACGACGTACTGAGGATGACAGATAAAAGAGCATTTCATTGATATTTCTGTAAGGGATAGTATGTACTCTCTAGTACTTACTAGATATGATGTTATTGGACCTGAATGCAAAGAAAGATATTGAATCAAGCTTAATAGGTTAAGAATTAAGGGACAACCATCATGCACAAAGAAGGGGAAGGGATTATAATGCATGGACAGAAATAAAGTTGAAAAAAATGCTTGCAGTTAGATCATGGAAATTCTTGAATACAGCCATAGGCAGTTTGGACTCAGTACTTTGCACGATGGAGGTCAACAGGAGATATTAATATTTGGAGAAGGAAGATAAGTGATCTGTTGTATTGATATCTAGGGAAAATCATTATTTAAAAAATAACCATAGCTTACTTTGAATAGGTGCTATAGAGTTTGGGGAATTATACAAGTATCTTTTCCTTCAAATTCCCATATTGTCTCTTAGCTAGATGGCCTGGAATTTTCTTCCTTTGTATTTAAAATTTGTAATAAGTAATCTAAGAATACAAACTAGAAGTTTTATTAATGTGTCTTCTCATGCATCACAAACCCAGAAGAAATGTCATAAACCTCCACATCTTCTCTACCTACCTGGGAAGAGCAATATTTTAATAATGAGGAGTATGGAAAAAGGTGGAGAAGAGGGCCTAGCTACAATGGCGTAGGTTCAGAATCATGACTGTGGTCTTTAGAAACCCTAAAAGGAATAAAGGTAGGCATCCCAGTCCTAGAGAAACTGGAATATCAGGCAGGTAGATAGGTATCAGACATTTACAAAATTCATACCTTGGATCCACAGTCTAGAACTTAGGGCAAAATTTGGAATAGAATCCAGAGCTTGACTTCCCTGGTAATAGATGACCAGGCCATGAGATTATTTTTCTTCTCACAGGGAAAAACTGGTTACAAAGAATGAGATGAGGTTAAGTCTGCTAGCAAAGCAGAATAGTTCCAGTTTTATAGTCAGATAGCCAAGGGATCAGAAAATGTGGCTAATTTATGCAATACAAAGAGACATCACAGGTTGTGTTTGGGGAAGTCAAAGGTCTATTGGAGTACTTAAATTTGAGAGAAGGCAATGAGTATCAGTTTTTCTAATAGGAATTTCTAGTGAAACAACAACAACAACAACAACAACAAATCGATATTAGGTTGTAAAGTAGGAGGTCAAGCAAAGCTCTCAGTAGCAAATAGATGTAGCCTTGATTACTGTCTTTCCCTTTGACTTGATGTGTTATGTTGATCTAGACAGAAAAGCTGTCTGAACCTTTATTCATTAATATGTGAAATGGTAATAAAGATGACTACTTCATAAACAGACTATGAGGATTTCAATAAAATAGTTTACCTGAAATGAAGATAAGCTGTCTGTGACAAGCAGGCTCTAATATGATACCCACCTGCTAGTGTTTATGCCTGTATGTGATCCTCTTCCCTTGGTTGCTGGCTGGCTTGACGATTTGCTTTTAATTAATTGAATGTGGTGAAGTGGCAGGATATCACTTCCCTGATTAGGTTACATATGACTGTGGCTTCTCTCTTGCTAGGGAATTCTTCCTCAATTGTTTGTTGAAGTTAACTATTGCATGAAGAGGCCCATGTAGCAAAGAACCAAGAACAACCTCCTGTCGGCAGCCAATGAGGAACTTAGACCCCCGATGTAACAGCACGCAAGGAATGGAATTCTGCCAATAACTAGATAAGTTTAGAAAGCAAATCCTTCCCTGGTTGAGCCTTCTGATGAGACACCAGTCCTAGCTGACACGTTGATTACATCCTGTGGTGGTTAATGTTGTGTCAACCTGGCTAGACTGTGGTTCTCAGTGGATTGGCTAAATATCAGTCCAGATGTTGCTGTGAAGGGTTTTTTTTTTAAATGTGATTAAGATTTAAGTCAGTAGACTGAATAATTATCAACATTCATATAAGTAGACTTTGAGTAAAGCAGATTCTACCCATAATGTGGGTGGGCTTCATGCAATCAGTTAAAGGCCTTAAGAGCAAAGAAAGACTGAGGTTGACCCCAAAAGAAAGAGTTTTCCTTCAAGATAGCCACATAAAATCCCAGCTTGAGTTTCTAGCCTGTTCATCTTTGGTATGTGGACTAAGATTGCCACATCAACCCCTGCCAGAACTCCAGACTGTGAGCCTGCCCTACAGAGTTCAGATTTGCCAGTCCCCAAAAATCACATGAGAAAATTTCTTAAAATAAATTTATCTCTTTTTCTCTTTAAATATAAAAGAACTTAAAGCAGAAGATCTCACTAAGTTATGCCTGTATTTCTGATCCACGAAAATAATAAAACAATATTTATGGGCTATTTTGCCTCTATATTTGTGGTAATTTGTTATACTGCAGCTGTCCAATGAGAGATTTTAAACAACTTGGTTCACATTACATATCCCTTGACTGTTGGGAAGTTCCATGCCCTGTCTAAGCTTTCTGTAACTTCTTGGTGGTGACATATTTACATTCGGCTACTTACTATTATTTGCTCCGAGTTCTGGCCTTTAACAAACTACTCTGATTTTCATCTTGGCTCCTTTTGATTTGTGACATTCTGTCTGTTTCAAACTAAATATAAAACACACCCCCTTCCCTGGGCATAATCTCAGAGTCATTCGTACTGGTTATTAGTGTGTCTTTATGGTGCTCTGCCATCTGATTTCCCATTGGTCACTTCTGTCTGTGGACTCCAACTTTCCATAAGGTTATTTAGGACTTCTGTCTCCCTTTCTGCTCCCTTCAACACAAATTTCCCTCTCACTTCTCTTGCAGAGTTTTATCTGTTTTGAGTCACCCAGCTAAGGTGGTCTATCAAGGCATTTTTCTAGACAAAGAGTTTCATTCCTAAAGGAGGCTTTCATGTAAATAGTTAAAATATTTTCTTTACTTTTCTACCTATGTAAAACTCCCAGAAGATTGCTGGAAAGAGAGCAAATACTTGACAGGTACAGAGTTCCCTTCTTTTTCCTCCTCTCTCACATTTAATCTGCTATCTCCCAGAGAATTATGTTTATAAGGCCAGACCAATGAGGTTAGGAGAGTGGTATCACACAAGGTTTTAGTTTTTTCAACATGAAAAATATTTTCTCAAGTAGAGTTTTCCAAACTGTTTGTGATGAAGGACCAGATTTGCTTTTCCTTTAAAAAAATTTCAATACATCTCAGATGAACACTTCAGTAAAACATAATAAAAATGAATGCCAGACTAAGGATCTCAAGCTTTGTTTTCTCTGAATTTTGAAGCACTATTGAAAAGTTTTTGCTATAAAAGACATATGGTTAGACCTGTGGTTTAGAGGAATCATTCTAGTACCAGAGTGGGGGATATACTATGTATCCTGAGGTCCCTATAGGCATTAGATGATAGTCCAGGATGATGAGAGAAAAGAAGGTATATTGGGGGAATTTTAGAAGGTAAAATTGGCAGGATTTTATTCTCATTGAAGAAAGGAAGAAAGACAGACAGATGAAAAGAAAGAAAACCACTGAACATAAAAACAAATTAAAAGACATGCCTGGACTTTCCAAATGACTGAACATTCCCATTAATCTCTCTCTGCTGTTTCTTGAAACCCCACTTAAAAGAACAGTGAAGAGATTTCTCTAAAAGGCATACATTCATGAAGTCAAAAAGAGAAGAAACAAACAATTTCAACAATATTTTGCAAAGAGTTCTTGAAAACTAAACGTATAATGGTCAAATGAAAAAATGAATAGGAGATTTGGAAGATAAATTGAAAGAAAACTCCCCCCAAAACAGTACAAAGAAATGGAAGATAATACAGACATTTTAGAAGATAATCCAGAAAGTAGAATAAAGACAAATAGGGAAAAATTGAAGAGTAAGATTTTTTAAAAAAACTAAAACATCAATATGAGAGGTAAAGGCCTGAATTCTAAGAGTTTCAGAAAATGAAAAATCAAGGCAGTTATGATTGCCTTCACTGCTGTCAGACTTGACTTCACACGATTAACAATTAGAAAATGGAACAAAATTTATAAGAGCTGTTTTTATAGATTGTACAATAGGTAACACAGGACTGTAATCTTTGAATAAAGAGAAACAAATAAGATAAACCCTATGATACTCCAGGCTTTCCATCTAGCATTGCATTCCAGGCTGCCTACAAGAAGGCTGTGTTGGTTTGCCAGGGCTATTGTAACAAAATACCACAGACTGGGTGGCTTAAATAACAAAAAGCTATTTTTTCACAGTTCTGGAGTTTGGAAGTCCAAGATCAGGTTTGGTTTCTTCTGAGGCTTCTCTGCTTGGCTTGTAGATGCCTGCTCTCTCGCTGTATTCTCATCTGGTCTTTTTTTCTTGCATGTGCATTCCTGGAATCTCCTGTAGGTCCAAACTTCCTCTTATAAGGACACCAGTCCAATTGGATAAGGTCCAATTGGTCTTTGAGGACTATTGGCCTCATTTTAACTTAATTACCTTTTTTTTTTTTTTGAGAAGGAGCTTCACTCTTGTCACCCAAGCTGGAGTACAGTGGCGTGATCTTGGCTTATTGCGACCTCTGCCTCCCAGATTCAAGTGATTCTCCTGCCTCAGCCATCTGAGTAGCTGTGATTACAGTCACCTGCCACCACACCTGGCTAATTTTGTTTTTTTTTTTTGTTGTTGTTGTTGTTGTTGTTTTAGTAGAGATGGGGTTTCACTATGTTGGCCAGGCTGGTCTCAAACTCCTGACCTCACATAATCTGCCCACTTTGGCCTTTCAAAGTGCTGAGATTACAGGCATGAGCCACCATCCCTGACTTTTAATAATTACCTATTAAAGGCCCTACATTCAAATCCAGTTAGATTCTGAGGTATGGGGATTAGAGCTTTAATAGATAAATTTACAGGGAACACAATTCATTCCATAAAAAAGACCAAATCTAATACAAGCTCAACAATCTTACTAAGTTAAAGAGGCAAAGATAAAAGTTCAAGACATTGAGTCCTGCAGATTTTGTGGGACAGAGTACCCAGAAAGAGGATATACATAAAGCAAAAGATATCCTTAAATCTGCCTAGGTATCCCCTTCCTGCCCAGGTGTGAAGTAAGAGTCTAGTCTAAAAGTCTAGCCAAAAATCAGTTACTCAAAGAAGAAAATAACTACTAAAAAGCTGTAAAATAAACAATTACCAGAGCTGACAAAGGTTATAAAGTGTTGGACTTCTAAACAGGACCATCAGTAGGGACCTCAAAAAGGCCATATCATAGTAGTAGTACAAAACTAATTCTATAGTAAAGGAAACACTAGAGCCACCTAGAGAAAATTTAAAAACAAGCTTCAAAATGGCCAAGACTATGTGCAAAGAACAAACATATTTGACAAAACGAAACTCAACATTTGTTAAAAATAGTCAACAAAATCATACACTACACAATGTAACATTCAATGTGTTAAGCATCTAGTCTAAAATTACTAGACATGCAAAGAAGCAGTAAAATGTAATTCATTATCAGGAGAACAATTAATAAAAACAAACTCAGAAATGACAGCACTGTTGGAATTAGCAAGCAAATAAGAGCTTTATAACTTTATGTTCAATAATTTCAAGGAAAGCATGGACAAGATGATGAATGAAATGGAAGCCATAAAAAAGAACCCAACAGAACATCTAAAAATAAAAATGAAATTTTGGAAATTAAAAAGAATATATATTTGATAGACTTAGCAAATTAAACACTACAGGATGAAGTAAAAGTGAACTCATTGGCATAACAATTAGATAGTATCCAGAGAGGGAGGAGCCAAGATGGCCAAATAGGAACAGCTCCGGTCTACAGCTCCCAGCCTGAGCGACGCAGAAGACGGGTGATTTCTGCATTTCCATCTGAGGTACCGGGTTCATCTCACTAGGGAGTGCCGGACAGTGGGCGCAGGTCAGTGGGTGCGCGCACCGTGCGCGAGCCGAAGCAGGGCGAGGCATTGCCTCACTCCGGAAGCGCAAGGGGTCAGGGAGTTCCCTTTCCTAATCAAAGAAAGGGGTGACGGACGGCACCTGGAAAATCGGGAAAATCGGGTCACTCCCACCAGAATACTGCGCTTTTCCGACGGGCTTAAAAAACAGCGCACCACGAGATTATATCCCCCACCTGGCTCGGAGGGTCCTACGCCACGGAGTCTCGCTGATTGCTAGCACAGCAGTCTGAGATCAAACTGCAAGGCGGCAGTGAGGCTGGGGGAGGGGCGCCCACTATTGCCCAGGCTTGCTTAGGTAAACAAAGCATCCGGGAAGCTCGAACTGGGTGGAGCCCACCGCAGCTCAAGGAGGCCTGCCGGCCTCTGTAGGCTCCACCTCTGGGGGCAGGGCACAGACAAACAAAAAGACAGCAGTAACCTCTGCAGACTTAAATGTCCCTGTCTGACAGCTTTGAAGAGAGCAGTGGTTCTCCCAGTACGCAGCTGGAGATCTGAGAACGGGCAGACTGCCTCCTCAAGTGGGTCCCTGACCCCTGACTCCTGAGCAGCCTAACTGGGAGGCACCCTCCAGCAGGGGCACACTGACACCTCACACTGCAGGGTACTCCAACAGACCTGCAGCTGAGGGTCCTATTAGAAGGAAAATTAACAAACAGAAAGGACATCCACACCAAAAACCCATCTGTACATCACCATCATCAAAGACCAAAAGTAGATAAAACCACAAAGATGGGGAAAAAACAGAGCAGAAAAACTGGAAACTCTAAAAATCAGAACGCCTCTCCTCCTCCAAAGGAATGCAATTCCTCACCAGCAACAAAACAAAGCTGGACCGAAAATGTCTTTGAGGAGCTGAGAGAAGAAGGCTTCAGACGATCAAATTACTCTGAGCTATGGGAGGACATTCAAACCAAAGGCAAAGAAGTTGAAAACTTTGAAAAAAAATCTAGAAGAATGTATAACTAGAATAACCAATACAGAGAAGTGCTTAAAGGAGCTGACGGAGCTGAAAGCCAAGGCTCCAGAACTACGTGAAGAATGCAGAAGACTCAGGAGCCGATGCGATCAACTGGAAGAAAGGGTATCAGCGATGGAAGATGAAATGAATGAAATGAAGCGAGAAGGGAAGTTTAGAGAAAAAAGAATAAAAAGAAATGAGCAAAGCCTCCAAGAAATATGGGACTATGTGAAAAGACCAAATCTACGTCTGATTGGTGTACCTGAAAGTGATGGGGAGAATGGAACCAAGTTGGAAAACACTCTGCAGGATATTATCCAGGAGAATTTCCCCAATCTAGCAAGGCAGGCCAATGTTCAGATTCAGGAAATACAGAGAACGCCACAAAGATCCTCCTCGAGAAGAGCAACTCCAAGACACATAATTGTCAGATTCACCAAAGTTGAAATGAAGGAAAAAATGTTAAGGGCAGCCAGAGAGAAAGGTCGGGTTACCCTCAAAGGGAAGCCCATCAGACTAACAGCGGATCTCTCGGCAGAAACTCTACAAGCCAGAAGAGAGTGGGGGCCAATATTCAACATTCTTAAAGAAAAGAATTTTCAACCCAGAATTTCATATCCAGCCAAACTAAGCTTCATAAGCGAAGGAGAAATAAAATACTTTACAGGCAAGCAAATGCTGAGAGATTTTGTCACCATCAGGCCTGCCCTAAAAGAGCTCCTGAAGGAAGTGCTAAACATGGAAAGGAACAACCGGTACCAGCCACTGCAAAATCATGCCCAAATGTAAAGACCATCAAGACTAGGAAGAAACTGCATCAACTAACGAGCAAAATAACCAGCTAACTTCATCATGACAGGATCAAATTCACACATAACACTATTAACTTTAAATGTAAATGGACTAAATGCTCCAATTAAAAGACACAGACAGGCAAACTGGATAAAGAGTCAAGACCCATCAGTGTGCTGTATTCAGGAAACCCATCTCACGTGCAGAGACACACATAGGCTCAAAATAAAAGGATGGAGGAAGATCTACCAAGA
Source organism: Homo sapiens (assembly GCF_000001405.40). Classification (NCBI taxonomy): domain Eukaryota; kingdom Metazoa; phylum Chordata; class Mammalia; order Primates; family Hominidae; genus Homo; species Homo sapiens. The sequence goes on from NC_000008.11 coordinate 128,746,790, forward strand.
AAATGGAAAACAAAAAAAGGCAGGGGTTGCAATCCCAGTCTCTGATAAAACAGACTTTAAACCAACAAAGATCAAAAGAGACAAAGAAGGCCATTACATAATGGTAAAGGGATCAATTCAACAAGAAGAACTAACTATCCTAAATATATATGCACCCAATACAGGAGCACCCAGATTCATAAAGCAAGTCCTGAGTGACCTACAAAGAGACTTAGACTCCCACACATTAATAATGGGAGACTTTAACACCCCACTGTCAACATTAGAGACAGATCAACGAGACAGAACGTCATCAAGGATACCCAGGAACTGAACTCAGCTCTGCACCAAGCGGACCTAATAGACATCTACAGAACTCTCCACCCCAAATCAACAGAATATACATTCTTTTCAGCACCACACCACACCTATTCCAAAATTGACCACATAATTGGAAGTAAAGCTCTCCTCAGCAAATGTAAAAGAACAGAAATTATAACAAACTGTCTCTCAGACCACAGTGCAATCAAACTAGATCTCAGGATTAAGAATCTCACTCAAAACCGCTCAACTACATGGAAACTGAACAACCTGCTCCTGAATGACTACTAGGTACATAACGAAATGAAGGCAGAAATAAAGATGTTCTTTGAAACCAACGAGAACAAAGACACAACATACCAGAATCTCTGGGACGCATTCAAAGCAGTGTGCAGAGGGAAATTTATACCACTAAATGCCCACAAGAGAAAGCAGGAAAGATCGAAAATTGACACCCTAACATCACAATTAAAAGAACTAGAAAAGCAAGAGCAAACACATTCAAAAGCTAGCAGAAGGCAAGAAATAACTAAGATCAGAGCAGAACTGAAGGAAATAGAGACACAAAAAACCCTTCAAACAATTAATGAATCCAGGAGCTGGTTTTTTGAAAGGATCAACAAAATTGATAGACCGCTAGCAAGACTAATAAAGAAAAAGAGAAGAATCAAATAGATGCAATAAAAAATGATAAAGGGGATATCACCACCGATCCCACAAAAATACAAACTACCATCAGAGAATACTACAAACACCTCTACGCAAATAAACTAGAAAATCTAGAAGAAATGGATAAATTCCTCGACACATACACTCTCCCAAGACTAAACCAGGAAGAAGTTGAATCTCTGAATAGACCAATAACAGGAGCTGAAATTGTGGCAATAATCAATAGCTTACCAACCAAAAAGAGTCCAGGACCAGATGGATTCACAGCCGAATTCTACCAGAGGTACAAGGAGGAACTGGTACCATTCCTTCTGAAACTATTCCAATCCATAGAAAAAGAGGGAATCCTCCCTAACTCATTTTATGAGGCCAGAATCATCCTGATACCAAAGCCGGGCAGAGACACAACCAAAAAAGAGAATTTTAGACCAATATCCTTGATGAACATTGATGCAAAAATCCTCAATAAAATACTGGCAAACCGAATCCAGCAGCACATCAAAAAGCTTATCCACCATGATCAAGTGGGCTTCATCCCTGGGAGGCAAGGCTGGTTCAATATATGCAAATCAATAAATGTAATCCAGCATATAAACAGAGCCAAAGACAAAAACCACATGATTATCTCAATAGATGGAGGAAAGGCCTTTGACAAAATTCAACAACCTTTCATGATAAAAACTCTCAACAAATTAGGTATAGATGGGACATATTTCAAAATAATAAGAGCTATCTATGACAGACTCACAGCCAATATCATACTGAATGGGCAAAAACTGAAAGCATTCCCTTTGAAAACTGGCAAAAGACAGGGATGCCCTCTCTCACCACTCCTATTCAACATAGTGTTGGAAGTTCTGGCCAGGGCAATTAGGCAGGAGAAGGAAATAAAGGGTATTCAATTAGGAAAAGAGGAAGTCAAATTGTCCCTGTTTACAGATGACATGATTGTATATCTAGAAAACCCCATTGTCTCAGCCCAAAATCTCCTTAAGCTGATAAGCAACTTCAGCAAAGTCTCAGGATACAAAATCAATGTGCAAAAATCACAAGCATTCCTATACACCAACAACAGACAAACAGAGAGCCAAATCATGAGTGAACTCCCATTCACAATTGCTTCAAAGAGAATAAAATACCTAGGAATCCAACTTACAAGGGATGTGAAGGACCTCTTCAAGGAGAACTACAAACCACTGCTGAAGGAAATAAAAGGATACAAACAAATGGAAGAACATTCTATGCTCATGGGTAGGAAGAATCAATATCGTGAAAATGGCCATACAGCCCAAGGTAATTTACAGATTCAATGCCATCCTCATCAAGCTACCAATGACTTTCTTCACAGAATTGGAAAAAACTCTTTAAAGTTCATATGGAACCAAAAAAGAGCCCGCATCGCCAAGTCAATCCTAAGCCAAAAGAACAAAGCTGGAGGCATCACACTACCTGACTTCAAACTATACTACAAGGCTACAGTAACCAAAACATCATGGTACTGGTACCAAAACAGAGATATAGATCAATGGAACAGAACAGAGCCCTCAGAAATAACGCCGCATATCTACAACTATCTGATCTTTGACAAACTTGAGAAAAACAAGCAATGGGGAAAGGACTCCCTATTTAATAAATGGTGCTGGGAAAACTGGCTAGCCATATGTAGAAAGCTGAAACTGGATCCCTTCCTTACACCTTATACAAAAATCAATTCAAGATGGATTAAAGACTTAAACGTTAGACCTAAAACCATAAAAACCCTAGAAGAAAACCTAGGCATTACCATTCAGGACATAGGCATGAGCAAGGACTTCATGTCTAAAACACCAAAAGCAATGGCAACAAAGACAAAATTGACAAATGGGATCTAATTAAACTAAAGAGCTTCTTCACAGCAAAAGAAACTACCATCAGAGTGAACAGGCAACCTACAAAATGGGAGAAAATTTTCACAACCTACTCATCTGACAAAGGGCTAATATCCAGAATCTACAATGAACTCAAACAAATTTACAAGAAAAAAACAAACAACCCCATCAAGAAGTGGGCAAAGGACATGAACAGACACTTCTCAAAAGAAGACATTTATGCAGCCAAAAAACATATGAAAAAATGCTCACCGTCACTGGCCATCAGAGAAATGCAAATCAAAACCACAATGAGATACCATCTCACACCAGTTAGAATGGCAATCATTAAAAAGTCAGGCAACAACAGGTGCTGAAGAGGATGTGGAGAAATAGGAACACTTTTACATTGTTGGTGGGACTGTAAACTAGTTCAACCATTGTGGAAGTGAGTGTGGCGATTCCTCAGGGATCTAGAACTAGAAATACCATTTGACCCAGCCATCCCATTACTGGGTATATACCCAAAGGACTATAAATCAGGCTGCTATAAAGACACATGCACACGTATGTTTATTGTGGCATTATCCACAATAGCAAAGACTTGGAACCAACCCACATGTCCAACATTGATAGACTGGATTAAGCAAATGTGGCACATATACACCATGGAATACTATGCAGCCATAAAAAATGATGAGTTCACGTCCTTTGTAGGGACATGGATGAAATTGGAAACCATCATTCTCAGTAAACTATCGCAAGAACAAAAAACCAAACACCGCATATTCTCACTCATAGGTGGGAATTGAACAATGAGATCACATGGACACAGGAAGGGGAATATCACACTCTGGGGACTGTTGTGGGGTGGGGGGAGGGGGGAGGGATAGCATTGGGAGATATACCTAATGCTAGATGAAGAGTTAGTGGGTGCAGCGCACCAGCATGGCACATGTATACGTATGTAACTAACCTGCACAATGTGCACATGTACCCTAAAACTTAAAGTATAATAATAAAAAAAATTAAAAAAAACAAAACAAAACAAAAAACAATTAGATAGTATCCAAAATGAAGCATAGAGAAAAAAAATAGTTTAAAAAAACAACTTCAGGAATCTGTAACACAATATTATGCTGTCTAACATACATGTAATTGGAGTATCAAAGAGAAAAAGAAGAGAAGTTGCAGGAAGAGTGTTTAAAAATATACTGGCCCAAACTTAAAAAAAAACAATGAAGCGTATAAACACATAGATCAAAGAAACTCTGCATTCACCAAGAAGGATAATTGAAAGAAAACAAAACCAAAGTCTCTCATTATCAAATTGCTAAAGACAGAAATCATGAAAATCTTAAAGTAGCCAGAGTAAAAACCATACATTGTATATGAGATAAAGTCAAGACTAATCGCTGAATTCTCATCAGAATAAATCCAAGCCAGAAGACAACAGAATCACATTAATGTTTGAAAAAACAATAAAATATCATCAAGATACTATTTCATTTTATGTGAAAATATTCTTCATAAGTAAAAATTAAAACATGACATTTTTCAGGCAAACAAAAAACAGAAAATTTATCATCAGTAAAACTGCACTACCAAAAAATATTAAAGAAATTATTCAAGTTGAAGGGATATAATACCACATGTAAGTCTGGATCTACTCAAAGAAATGAAGGATACTAGAAATAGCAAACATGAGGATAAAGATTTTTTGAAATGGTTTTTTATAATGTTTTATATTATAGTTGTAAAAATGTATAACAATAGCACAAACTGTATGATGGAGAAATGGAAATGTATTGTGTAACATTCTTGTATTTCTTGAAATGGCAAATAGACTTTGAAGATAGTAAAGATTGATTATAACAAGTTAGAGATACATATTGTAAAGCCCAGAGCAGCCACTAAAACTTAAAGAGAGATATAGCTAGTAAATCAATAGAGGACACGGAATGAAATATTAAATATTAGTCAACACAAATAAGGCAGCAAAAGAGAAAAACGAGAAAAACTACAGATAAAACAAATATAAAGTAAACACTAATATAATAGCTTTAGATCCAACCATATTGATAAATATATTATATGCCAATGATCTAAAGAAAGACTCCAACTAAATGCAAAGGCACAACCCAATCATATTCTGTCAACAAGAAACACTCTTGAAATACAAAAACATAGATAAGTTAAAAATGATGAAAAACATATTCAATGCAAGCACTAGTCATAAGGAATACTAAATGGCTGTATTATTATCTTATAAATTAGACTTTAGATCAAATAATATTGCTTGTAATTCATTTAGATAATGGCATTTTATAACGATAAAATAGTTTATCAAGGCACATTCTTAAGTATGTGTGCACTTAGAACAATGGTTCAACATTTTTAAAGCAAAAACTGACCAAACTGAAAAAAGACACATCCAAAATGGTGGTTACACACCTGAACTCTTTTCTTGATAGGGATAAAAAAGTAGAAAGAAAATAAGGACAGATGTAGAACATGTGGGCAATGTTATTAACCAACCTGACATAACTGATATTTTTAGAGCTCTTCAAGTGTCCACTAACATTCACCAACATTCACCAAGATAAGTCATGTGCTGGGTCATAAAACTGGAATGAATTAATTTAAAGAGGTCAAAAATATACAGAGTATTACTTCTAGCCACAACAGTATAAAATTAGAAATATGAGAAAAATACATAAACATTTTTAGAAGACCCCAAATATTTGGAAATTCTAAAAAAATCTAAATAATTCTAAATTAGTTCATAACACTAAATGTTTTTGGTAGAAAACAAAGACAGATTTAAAGTCAATAATCTAAGCTTTCACATTAAGAAGCTATAAAAAAGGAAATTCAACCCCAAATAAGTAGAAGGTAAATAATAATTACAAAAATCAATGAAATACAAAATGTTAAACAATAGAGAATAGAAATAAAACAAAAATCTGTCTTTTTAAAAAGATTGGCAGTTGATATTTTTCTTAGGAAACTAAAAAGAGAGAGAGGGAGAGGACAAATAGCAATATTCAGAGTGAAATGCAGATGTAACTACAGATACTATGAATATTAAATTGTACCTGATGAATATTATGAACAATTCTATGTCAATAAATCTAACAATACAGATAAAATGCACATATTCCCTAAATGATATAAGTTATCAAAATGGATATAGGAAGAATAGAAAATATTAATATATCTATTTTTAAAATACAATTTGTGAACATGAGCCTTTCCACAAAGAAAATTTCAGTCCTGAGTATTTTCATTTGTCAATTTTATTAAACACTTTAAAAAGAAATTATATCCATCTTACACAATCTCAGATAACAGGGAAGGAGGAGACATATTTTAGTGGAATTTTTAGGCCAACATTACCCTAACACTTAAACTGAAAATAAATATTATATAAGAAAAGATAACTATAAACTAATACTTTTCATGAAGATAAAAAAGAAAATCCTTCACAAGGTATTAACAAATTAAATCTAACAAAATATAATACATCATGACCAACTGGGTTTTATTTTAGAAATACCAAGTTAATACGACATTTAAAAGTCAAGCAGTGTAATTCACCATACTAACAGAATAAAAGATAAAAATCATATGATTATTTCAAGAAATGAAAAAAAAACTATGAAAAAATTCCCAGCAAAATGCATCTAAAAAACCCTACAGCTATCATTATATATTACGGTTTGTGATTTAATGTTTTCTCTAGAAGAAGAGAAATAAGAAAATGTCCACTATCACTACTTCTATTCAACAACAAATTAGAGGTCCTGGCCATTGTAGTAGTGCGTGTAAGACGAAATAAAAGTTATATAGATTGGAAATAAATAAATAAAATTATCCTTCTTATGGACAACATCACATACATAAAAAGTTTTGTGAATTAAGTAAGGTTATACAACACAATGTCATTATACAAACATCATTTGCCTATTTACATACTAGTAACAAATTTTAGAAAAATGAAATTTAAAATTAAATTTTATAAAAGTTTAATAAAACATAAAATACTTAGGGACAAGTTTGACAAAATATAAATAATACCTGCACACTGAAAGCTATAAAACAGTATTGGGAGAACAAAAAGGAAGATATAAATAAATGAAGAAATATATCTTGCTCATGAATTGGAATACTTTATATTGTCAAGATGTCAATTTCTTCCAGGTTGATATACAGATTCAATGTGACCCCAATCCAAACCCTGATAGACTATCTTTAAATAAGAATTGGCATGCTGAGGGTGGAGCAAGATGGCTGAATAGAAGCCTCCACCAATTATTCCCTCTGTAGGAACACCAAATTTTAACACTATCTGCACACTAAAAAGCACCTTCATAAAAGCGCAAATCAAGTGAGCACTGATAGTACCTGGTTTTAATTTCATGTCACTGAAAGAGGAACTACAGAGGCTAGGCAAGAAAATCTTATATCATCAATGCCACTTCTCCCCACTCCCCAGGCAGTGACTATATGGCATAGGGAAAGAATCTGTGCACTTGAGAGAAGGAGAGCATATGAACTGGGGAACTTTGCATTGAACTCAGTGCTGCCCTGTCACAGCAGAAAACAAAATGACACTGACTCAGTTGGCACCTTTCCACAGAGGAAGCATTTGGACCCGACCTAGACAGAGGGGAAGTGCCCAACCCAGTGGTCGGTACCTGAGTTTCTCAACAAGCCTTGCCACTAGGAGTTAAGTGCTCTGGGGTTCTAAGTGAACTTGAAAGGCAGGCTAAGACACAAGGATTCCAATTCTTGAGAAGTTCTGATGCTGTGCTGGGCTTAGAGCCAGTGGACTGGGGCAGTGCCTGACCTACTGAGACATCAGACAGAGGGACTGAGGAAGTGCTATGCCACCCACCCAAAACCCTGTGCAATGCAGCTCACAGCAATGACAGTGACTGCTTCTTTCCACTCTAGAAGAGAAAAGCATAAAGAGGATTTTGTCTTGTATCTTAGATACCAGCTCAGCCACAGGAGGACAGGGCACTAGACAGAGTCATGGGGCCCCCATCCCAGGCTCTAGCTCCTGGACATTTCCAGACACACTTTGGGCCAGAAAGGAACCCACAGCCTTGAAGGGAGAGACCCAGTCCTGGCCGTATTCAGCACCTTCTGACTAAGGAATCCTTGGGCGCTGAATAACCAACAGTATACCATGAACCTTTCGTAAGACTTACTTAGAGATGTGCTGGTTTCAGGTACCAGCTCAGCCAAAGTAGGGTAGAGCACCAAGCAGCCTCTTGGGGTCCCTCGATCCTGACCTAGGCTGTTGGAAAACATTTCTGGACCTTCCCCAGGCCAGAGAGGATCCAACTTCCTGGAAGAGGGAGTTGAGGCCTAGCAGCATTAACCATGAGCTGACTGAAGAGCCCATGGAGGCTAAGTGAACACAAGTGGTAACCTTCCAGAACTCTCAGTGTGCCAGTGGTTGTGACAGCCATGGGGAGAGGCAGCACTACCTGTGGAAAGGAGAGAGAAGAGTGGAAGAACTTTGCCTTGTGGTTTGAGTGCCAGCTTAGCTGTAGTAGAATAGAATAGCAGGTAGATTTCTAAGGTTTTTGACTTCAACTCCTGCCTCCCAGACAAAAACCCTGAACCCACCTAGAGCATAGGGGAATTTGTTGCCCTGAAAGGAAGGATATAAACTTGGCTTGCTTTACCACCTGCTGACTGTAGAGCTCTAGGGCTTTGAGTGAACACAGATGGTAGTCAGGTAGTGGTTACATTAGGCCTTGGGCAGGACCCAGTTCCATGCTGGCTTCAGGCCTGACCCATGGTGGTTCCATTGGTGGTAACCACAGTGGTGCTTGTGTCACCCCACCATCAGCTCCAGATGGCTCAGCAAAGACACAGAGGAGACTCAGTTATTTTGGGAGAAGGTAAGGGAAGAGAACAAGAATCTCTGGTAATCCAGAGAATTCTTTCCAATCTTATCCGAGACCACAAGGTGGTACCTCTATGAGCCTGCAAAAACCACAACATTACTGGGTTCAGGGTGCAAGTCCCTTTGAATACCTGGAAAGTCTTCACAAGAAGAGCAGGCACAAACAAGCCAGACTGTGATGACTACAATAAATAACTAACTCTTAAATGCCCAGACACTGACAAATATCTACAAGCATCAAGATCAGCCATGAAAACATGACCTCATCAAACAAACTAAATAAGGCACCAGGAGCCAATCTTGGAGAAACAGGAATTATGTGAACTTTCAGATAAAGAATTTAAAATAGTTGTTTTGAAGAAACTCAAAGAAATTCAAGATAACACAGTGAAAGAATTCAGAATTCTATCAGACACATTTAACAGGAGTTAAAATAATTGAAAAGAGTCAAGCAGAAATTCTAGAGTTGAAAAATGCAATTGACATACTGAAGAATGCCATCAGTCTCTAAATAGCAGAATTGATCAAACAGAAGAAAGAATTGCTGAGCTTGAAGAAATAATATTTGAAAATACATAGGCAGAGGAGACAAGAGAAAAAAATGCAAAACAGTAAAGCACACCTACAAAATCTAGAAAATTATGTCAAAAGAGCAAATCAAAGATATTGGCCTTAAAGAGGAGGTAGAGAAAAAGATAAGAGGAGAAAGTTTATTCAAATAGATAATATTAGAGAACTTCCCAAACTTAGAGAAAGATATCAATATTGAAGTACAAGGTTATAGAAGACCAAGCAGATTAAACCCAAAGAAGACTATATCAAGGCATTTAATAATCAAATTCTCAAAGGTCAAGGATAAAGAAAGAATCCCAAGAGCAATAAGAGAAAACAAACAAATAACATACAATGGAACTACAAAACGTCTGGCAGCAGGCTTTCAGTGGAAACCTTGCAGGCAAGAGAGAGTGGAATGACATATTTCAAGTGTTAAAGAAAACAAACATTTACCCTAGAATAGAATACCTGGTGAAAATGTTCTTCAAACGTAAAGGATAAATAAAAGCTTTCCCAGACAAACAAAAGCTGAGGGATTTCAACAATATCAGATCTGTCCAACAATACATGCTAAAGGGAGTTCTTCAATCAGAAAGGAAAGGATGTGAGTGTGCAATAAGGAATCATCTGAAGGTATGAAACTCACTGGTAATAGTAAGTATGCATGAAAACAAAAATTATTATAATATCGTAATTATGGTGTGTAAATTACTCTTATATTAAGTAGAAAGACTAAATTATGAACCAATCAAAAATAACAACGATAAGTTTTCAAAACATAGACACTACAAATAAAACGTAAAGAGGAACAACAGAGAGTTAAAAAGCAGGGAGACAAAATTAAAGTTGAGAGTTTTTATTAGTTTTCTTTTGCTTGTTTGTTTATGCAATCCATTTTTGTCATCAGTTTAAAATAACAAGTTATGGCAGGGCACGGTGGCTCATGCCTGTAATCCCAGCACTTTGGGAGGCCAAGGCTGGTGGATCACCTGAGGTCAGGAGTTCGAGACAAGCCTGGCCAACACGGTGAAACCCAGTCTCTCCTAAAAATACAAAAACTAGCAAGGCATGATGCCTGTAATCCCAACTACTCAGGAGGCTGAGGCAGGAAAATCACTTGAGCCTGGGAAGCAGAGGTTGCAGTGAGCCGAGATCGTGCCATTGCACTCCAGCCTGGGTGACAAGAGTGAAGCTGTCTCAAAATAAATAAATAAAAATAATAAGTTATAAGATAGTATTTGCAAGTCTTATGGTAATCTGAAATCAAAAAATATACAAGGTATACACAAAAAATCGAAAGCAAAAAATTAAAACATACTATCAGAGAAAATTATCTTTACTAAAAGAAAGACAAGAAGGAAAGAAAAAGAAAGAGAAGTCCAGAAAACAATAACAAAATAAGAGAAGTAAGTCCTTATCTATTAATAATTACATTGAATATTCATTACCTAAACTCTCCAATAAAAAGACATAGAGTGGATAAATAAATAAAAATAAACAAGACACAGTGACCTGTTGCCTACAAGAAACATATTTCACCTACAAAGATACACATAGACTGAAAATAAAGGGATGGAAAATGATATTTCATGCAAATGAAAGCCCCAAAAAAGTAGGAGAAGGTATGCTTATATCAGACAAAATAGACTTCAAGAAAAAACTGAAAGGAGAGAAAAAGAAAGTCATTAAATAATAATAAAGGGGTTAATTATTCAACAGATATGACGATTGTAAATATATGTGCACCCAACACTGAAGCACCCAGATTTATAAAGCAAATATTATTAGAGCTGAAGAGAGAAATAGACCTCAATACAGTAACAGCTGGAGACTTCAACATCCTGCTTTCAGAATTGGACAGATCTTCCAGACAGAAAATCAACAAGAAAACATTGGACTTAATCTGCACTATAGAACAAAAGGACCTAATAGAGATTTACAAAACATTTCCTGCAGAATACACATTCTTTTCCTTAACACATAAATTATTCTCAAAAATAAACCACATGTTACGTCCCAAAGCAAGTCTTAAAAGATTCCAAAAAATTGAATAATATCAAACATCTTCTCTGACAACAATGAAATAAAACTAGTGATCAATAACAACAGGAAACTTGGAAACTATATAATCACATGGTGAATAAACAATATGTCCCTGAATGACCAGTGGGTCAATGAAGAAATTTTAGAAGAAAACTGAAAAATTTATTGAAACAAATGATAATGGAAACACAACATAACAAAACCTATGGGATATAGCAAAAGCAGTAATAAGAGGGAAATATGTAAGTGCCTACATCAAAAAAGAAAAACAAACTTTAAGTAACCTATTGATGCATCTTAAAGAACTAAAAAAAAAAGAGCAAACCAAACCCACAATTAGTAGAAGTAAAGAAATAATAAAGATCAGAGAACAAATAAATAAAACTGAATTGAAGAAAACAAAACAAATGATTGATGCAACCATTTGTTTTTTGAAAAGACAAAGTTGACATATAATTAGCCAGAATAACTTAGATGAAAAGAAAGAAAACCCAAATAAATAAAATAAGAGATGAAAAAGGAGACATTACAACTGATAACACAGAATTTTAAAGGAGTATTTGTGGCTACTGTAGGCAACTATATACCAATAAATTGGAAAATCTAGAGGAAATGGATACATTTCTAGACACAACCTACCAAGATTGAGCCATGAAGAAATTCAATACCTGAACAGACTAATAACAAGTAATGGGTTTGGGCCGGGCACGGTGGCTCACACCTGTAATGCCAGCACGTTGGGGGGCCGAGGCAGGTGGATCACGAGGTCAGGAGATCGAGACCATACTGGCTAATATAGTGAAACCCCATCTCTACTAAAAGTACAAAAAAAAAAAAAATTAGCCAGGTGTGGTTGCGGGCACCTGTAGTCCCAGCTACTCGGGAGACGGAGGCAGGAGAATGGCATGATCCCGGGAAGCAGAGCTTGCAGTGAGCTGAGACCGTGCCACTGCGCTCCAGCCTGAGCGACTGAGCAAGACTCTGTCTCAAAAAAAAAAAAAACAACAAAAAAAAACCAAACAAGTAATGGGTTTGAAAGCTGGAATAAAAAGTCTCCCAGTAAAGAAAACCCTGGGACCCAACAGCCTCACTGCTGAATTCTATCAAACATTTAAAGAAGAACTGATACCAATCCTACTCAAACTCTTCTGAAAAATAGAGGTGGAAGTACTTTCAAACTCATTCCTTTAGGCCAATATTACCCTGATACCAAAACCAGACAAAGACATATAAAAAATAATAATAAGAGAAAACTACAGGCTAATATCCCTGATGCATACTGATGCAAAAATTAACAACAAATATTAGCAAACCAAATTCAACAATATAGTAAAAATACAATTTATCATGATCAAGTGGGATTTATCTCAGGAATGCAAGGATGGTTCAGCATATGCAAATGAATCAATATGGTACATAGTTCAGCAGAATGAAAGACAAAAACCGTCTGATCATTTCAATTGATGCTGAAAAAGCATTTGATAAAATTCAACATTTTTTATGAAAAAAACCCTCAAAAAACTGGGTGCAGAAGAAACATACCTCAATATAATAAAAGCCATATACAACAGACCCATAGCTAGTATCATACTGAATAGGGAAAATAGAAAGCCTTTCCTTTAAGGTTTGAAACAATACAAGGATTCCCACTCTACCACTGTTATTTAACCTAGTACTAGAAGTCTTAGAGGATTCAGACAAGAGAGAGAAATAAAGGTCGAGGGGCAGCCAAGATGGCCGAATAGGAACAGCTCCGGTCTACAGCTCCCAGCGTGAGCGACACAGAAGACGGGTGATTTCTGCATTTCCATCTGAGGTACCGGGTTCATCTCACTAGGGAGTGCCAGACAGTGGGCGCAGGACAGTGGGTGCAGTGCACCGTGCGCGAGCTGAAGCAGGGCGAGGCATTGCCTCACTCGGGAAGCACAAGGGGTCAGGGAGTTTCCTTTCCTAGTCAAAGAAAGGGGTGACAGACAGCACCTGGAAAGTCAGGTCACTCCCACCCTAATACTGCACTTTTCCAACGGGCTTAAAAAATGGGGCACCAGGAGAGTATATCCCGCACCTGGCTCGGAGGGTCCTACGCCAACGGAGTCTGGCTGATTGCTAGCACAGCAGTCTGAGATCAAACTGCAAGGCAGCAGTGAGGCTGGGGGAGGGGCGTCCGCCATTGCCCAGGCTTGCTTAGGTAAACAAAGCAGCCGGGAAGCTCGAACTGCGTGGAGCCCACCGCAGCTCAAGGAGGCCCGCCTGCCTCTGTAGGCTCCACCTCTAGGGGCAGGGCACAGACAAACAAAAAGACAGCAGTAACCTCTGCAGACTTAAATGTCCCTGTCTGACAGCTTTGAAGAGAGAAGTGGTTCTCCCAGCAAGCAGCTGGAGATCTGAGAACAGGCAGACTGCCTCCTCAAGTGGGTCCCTGACCCCTGACTCCCGAGCAGCCTAACTGGGAGGCACCCCCCAGTGGGGGCAGACTGACACCTCACACGGCCGGGTACTCCTCTGAGGAAAAACTTCCAGAGGAACGATCAGACAGCAGTATTTGTGGTTCACGAAAATCTGCTGTTCTGCAGCCACCGCTGCTGGTACCCAGGCAAACAGGGTCTGGAGTGGACCTCTAGCAAACTCCAACAGACCTGCAGCTGAGGGTCCTGTCTGTTAGAAGGAAAACTAACAAACAGAAAGGACATCCACACCAAAAACCCATCTGTACATCACCATCATCAAAGACCAAAAGCAGATAAAACCACAAAGATGGGGAAAAAACAGAACAGAAAAACTGGAAACTCTAAAAAGCAGAGTGCCTCTCCTCCTCCAAAGGAATGCAGTTCCTCACCAGCAACAAAACAAAGCTGGACAGAGAATGACTGTGACGAGTTGAGAGAAGAAGGCTTCAGACAATCAAACTACTCCGAGCTACAGGAGGAAATTCAAACCAAAGGAAAAGAAGTTAAAAACTTTGAAAAAATTTAGACGAATGTATAACTAGAATAACCAATACAGAGAAGTGCTTAAAGGAGCTGATGGAGCTGAAAGCCAAGGCTCGAGAACTACATGAAGAATGCAGAAGCCTCAGGAGCCGACGCGATCAACTGGAAAAAAGGGTATCATCAGCGATGGAAGATGAAGTGAATGAAATGAAGCGAGAAGGAAAGTTTAGAGAAAAAAGAATAAAAAGAAATGAACAAAGCCTCCAAGAAATATGGGACTATGTGAAAAGGCCAAATCTACGTCTGATTGGTGTACCTGAAAGTGACGGGGAGAATGGAACCAAGTTGGAAAACACTCTGCAGGATATCATCCAGGAGAACTTCCCCAATCTAGCAAGGCAGGCCAACGTTCAGATTCAGGAAATACAGAGAACGCCACAAAGATACTCCTCGAGAAGAATAACTCCAAGACACATAATTGTTATATGCACCAAAGTTGAAATGAAGGAAAAAATGTTAAGGGCAGCCAGAGAGAAAGGTCGGGTTACCCACAAAGGGAAGCCCACCAGGCTAACAGCTGATCTCTCGGCAGAAACTCTACAAGCCAGAAGAGAGTGGGAGCCAATATTCAACATTCTTAAAGAAAAGAATTTTCAACCCCGAATTTCATATCCAGCCAAATGAAGCTTCATAAGTGAAGGAGAAATAAAATACTTTACAGACAAGCAAAGGCTGAGAGATTTTGTCACCACCAGGCCTGCCCTAAAAGACCTCCTGAAGGAAGTGCTAAACATGGAAAGGAACAACTGGTACCAGTCACTGCAAAAGCATGCCAAATTGTAAAGACCATCAAGGCTAGGAAGAAACTGCATCAACTAACAAGCAAAATAACCAGATAACATCATAATGACAGGATCAAATTCACACATAACAATACTAACCTTAAATGTAAATGGGCTAAATGCTCCAATTAAAAGGCACAGACTGGCAAATTGGATAAACAGTCAAGACCCAACAGTGTGCTGTATTCAGGAAACCCATCTCACGTGCAGAGACACACATAGGCTCAAAATAAAGGGATGGAGGAAGATCTACCAAGCAAATGGAAAACAAAAAAAGGCAGAGGTTGCAATCCTAGTCTCGGATAAAACAGACTTTAAACCAACAAAGATCAAAAGAGACAAAGAAGGCCATTACATAATGGTAAAGGGATCAATTCAACAAGAAGAGCTAACTATCCTAAATATATATGCACCCAATACAGGAGCACCCAGATTCATAAAGCAAGTCCTGAGTGACTTACAAAGAGACTTAGACTCCCACACAATAATAATGGGAGACTTTAACACCCCACTGTCAACATTATATAGATCAACGAGACAGAAAGTTAACAAGGATATCCAGGAATTGAACTCAGCTCTGCACCAAGCAGACCTAATAGACATCTACAGAACCCTCCACCCCAAATCAACAGAATATACATTCTTTTCAGCACCACATCACACTTATTCCAAAATTGACCACATACTTGGAAGTAAAGCACTCCTCAGCAAATGTAAAAGAGCAGAAATTATAACAAACTGTCTCTCAGACCACAGTGCAATCAAACTAGAACTCAGGATTAAGAAACTCACTCAAAACCGCTCAACTACATGGAAACTGAACAACCTGCTCCTGAATGACTACTGGGTACATAACAAAATGAAGGCAGAAATAAAGATGTTCTTTGAAACCAGCAAGAACAAAGACACAACATACCAGAATCTCTGGGACGCATTCAAAGCAGTGTGTAGAGGGAAATTTATAGCACTAAATGCCCACAAGAGAAAGCAGGAAAGATCCAAAATTGACACCCTAACATCACAACTAAAAGAACTAGAGAAGCAAGAGCAAACACATTCAAAAGCTAGCAGAAGGCAAGAAATAACTAAAATCAGAGCAGAACTGAAGGAGATAGAGACACAAAAAACCCTTCAAAAAATCAGTGAATCCAGGAGCTGTTTTTTTTGAAAAGATCAACAAAATTGATAGATTGCTAGCAAGACTAATAAAGAAGAAAAGAGAGAAAAATCAAGTAGACACAATAAAAAATTATAAAGGGGATATCACCACCGATCCCACAGACATACAAACTACCATCAGAGAATACTATAAACACCTCTATGCAAATAAACTAGAAAATCTAGAAGAAATGGATAAATTCCTGGACACAAACACCCTCCCAAGACTAAACCAGGAAGGAGTTGAATCCCTGAATAGACCAATAACAGGATCTGAAATTGAGGCAATAATTAATAGCCTACCAACCAAAAAAAGTCCAGGAAAAGATGGATTCACAGCCAAATTCTACCGGAGGTACAAGGAGGAGCTAGTACCATTCCTTTTGAAACTATTCCAATCAATAGAAAAAGAGGGATCCTCCCTAACTCATTTTATGAGGCCAGCATCATCCTGATACCAAAGCCTGACAGAGACACAACAAAAAAAGAGAATTTTAGACCAATATCCCTGATGAACATTGATGCAAAAATCCTCAATAAAATACTGGCAAACCAAATCCAGCAGCATATCAAAAAGCTTATCCACCATGATCAAGTGGGCTTCATCCCTGGGATGCAAGGCTGGTTCAATATACGCAAATCAATAAACGTAATCCAGCATATAAACAGAACCAAAGACAAAAACCCCATGATTATCTCAATAGATGCAGAAAAGGCCTTTGACAAAATTCAACAGCCCTTCATGCTAAAAACTCTCAATAAATTAGGTATTGATGGGACATATCTCAAAATAATAAGAGCTATTTATGACAAACCTACAGCCAATATGATACTCCATGGGCAAAAACTGGAAGCATTCCCTTTGAGAACTGGCAAAAGACAGGGATGCCCTCTCTCACCACTCCTATTCAACATAGTGTTGGAAGTTCTGGCCAGGGCAATTAGGCAGGAGAAGGAAATAAAGGGTATTCAATTAGGAAAAGAGGAAGTCAAATTGTCCCTGTATGCAGATGACATGGTTGTGTATCAGAAAACCCCATCGTCTCAGCCCAAAATCTCCTTAAGCTGATAAGCAACTTCAGCAAAGTCTCAGGATACAAAATCAATGTGCAAAAATCACAAGCATTCTTATACACCAATAACAGACAGACAGCCAAATCATGAGTGAATTCCCATTCACAATTGCTTCAAAGTGAATAAAATACCTAGGATTCGAACTTACAAGGGATGTGAAGGACCTCTTCAAGGAGAACTACAAACCACTGCTCAATGAAATAAAAGAGGACACAAACAAATGGAAGAACATTCCATGCTCATGGATAGGAAGAATCAATATTGTGAAAATGGCCATACTGCCCAATGTAATTTATAGATTCAATGCCATCCCCATCAAGCTACCAATGACTTTCTTCACAGAATTGGAAAAAACTACTTTAAAGTTCATATGGAACCGAAAAAGAGCCCGCACCACCAAGTCAATCCTAAGCCAAAAGAACAAAGCTGGAGGCATCACACTACCTGACTTCAAACTATACTACGAGGCTATAGTAACCAAAACAGCATGGTACTGACACCAAAACAGAGCTATAGACCAATGGAACAGAACAGAGCCCTCAGAAATAATACCACACGTCTACAACCATCTGATCTTTGACAAACCTGACAAAAACAAGAAATGGGGAAAAGCTTCCCTATTTAATAAATGGTGCTGGGAAAACTGGCTAGCCACATGTAGAAAGCTGAAACTGGATCCCTTCCTTACACCTTGTACAAAAATTAATTCAAGATGGATTAAAGACTTACATGTTAGACCTAAAACCATAAAAACCCTAGAAGAAAACCTAGGCAATACCATTGGCATGGGCAAGGACTTCATGTCTAACACACCAAAAGCAATGGCAACAAAAGCCAAAATTGACAAATGGGATCTAATTAAACTAAAGAGTTTCTGCACAGCAAAAGAAACCACCATCAGAGTGAACAGGTAACCTAAAGAATGGGAGAAAATTTTTGCAATCTACTCATCTGACAAAGGGCTAATATCCAGAATCTAGACAGAAATCAAACAAATTTACAAGAAGAAAACAAACAACCCCATCAAAAAGTAGGCAAAGGATATGAACAGACACTTCTCAAAAGAGACATTTATGCAGCTGACAGACACATGAAAAAATGCTCATCATCACTGGCCATCAAAGAAATGCAAATCAAAACCACAATGAGATACCATCTCACACCAGTTAGAATGGTGATCATTAAAAAGTCAGGAAACAACAGATGCTGGAGAGGATGTGGAGAAATAGGAACACTTTTACACAGTTGGTGGGACTGTAAACTAGTTCAACCATTGTGGAAGACAGTGTCGCAATTCCTCAAGGATCTAGAATTAGAAATACCATTTGACCCAGCCATCCCATTACTGGGTATATACCCAAAGGATTATAAAACATGCTGCTATAAAGACACATGCACACGTATGTTTATTGTGGCACTATTCACAATAGCAAAGACTTGGAACCAACCCAAATGTCCAACAATGATAGACTGGATTAAGAAAATTTGGCACATACACACCATAGAATACTATGCAGCCATGAAAAAGGATGAGTTCATGTCCTTTGTATGGACTTGGATGAAGCTGGAAACCATCATCCTTAGCAAACTATCACAAGGACAAACAACCAAATATCACATGTTCTCACTCATAGGTGGGAATTGAACAATGAGAACACATGGACACAGGAAGGGGAACATCACACACCAGGGCCTGTTGTGCGTTGGGGGGAGGGGGGAGGGATAGCATTAGGGGATATACCTAATGTAAATGACGAGTTAATGTGTGCAGCACAACAACATGGCACATGTATACGTATGTAACCAACCTGCACGTTGTGCACATGTACTCTATAACTTAAAGTACAAAAAAAAAAAAAAAAGCTCCTGCACAACAAAGGAAACAATCAACAAAATGAAGATGGAACCTACAGTCATAAAAGAAATGAGATTCCATTATTTGCAACAACATGGATGAAAATGGAATTCGTTAGGTAAAATCAGTCAGGAACAGAAAGACAAACTTCACATATTCTCACTTATTTGTGGGAGCTAAAAATTAAAACAAGCTCATTTTTTGAGGAAGATGATGGTGTATAGGAGACAGGGTTAATGTTCAATTTCCATCTGGATGGACAGAACAGTGTGTGGAGGCTCACACTATGAACATTTGCTCCAAGAACCACCACAAGAATGCACGAGGAAAACTGAAGGAATTCACAGACCCTTTGAAAGAAGTGTCATGCTGTTGCAAATTCCATGAGACAGGAGAAAAACTGAATTCCCAAAGTGCGAGTGGGGAAAACCTGCCTCAGAACATGCATCCTTACTGGGGAATCTGAAAATCCAGATCACAGGAGAAGGATTTAACCTTACCCAGAGCTGAAATGAATTTAGGGAGCTGCGCAAAATATGAAAGTGGAAGCAGCAGCAGGAAAAGCCTTGTAGGCATTCTAGGTCCCCAGCTCAAGCCCAGGGAAGCCATCCCTGACTATATTCCACTGGGGCCCTTGGAGAAGGCAGCCACCAAAATTAAAGAGGGGTCACAGGGTGAAAGAAGCTTCCAATTGAAATTTGGGATAATTTCGACTGGGCATGAATTTTCTTAAGCAGAATCCAGAAGCAAATAGGAACTGCTGGAGACATGAGTGCAAGAGTCCACTGCCAATATTGTGGGCAGATGGGGAGGGAGAGGCCTAAAAGCTGTGCTTGCTTTCTTAGCAGGGAAGCTTACTGTCTGGGGGAAGGTCTGAGCAGGGCACTGTGGAGCAAGGCTTCTTGCCAACCATGTAGGAACTGGGTAAGGCCTTTCATTAGTAACTATCCCCCAATTCCCTGGCAAACTATGACACTGCAGAGGCAGCCATAATCCCTTACGGAACTTAACTGTATTGGTCTGAGAGCCACCCCCTCCTACCTCCACAGTGGCAATAGCAAGCCCCACCCAAGGAGAGTCTGAGCCCAGATCTGCCTAAATCTGCTCCCACCTGATAGTATTTCTCTACCCACCCTGGTACCTGAACACAAAACAAATAAACTCTTCAGGGTCTTATGACCCATCACTTGAGAAACCAGAATACTCAACCTGGCCAACTTAGGGCAAGCTTAAGCTTAGATAGATCCCCCTACTACTACGGCAGCTGGTGCTCTCTTGAAAGAGTCACCTCCTTGCTGGAGGCCAACCAACTTAGGCCATTACAGCAACTCATGACAGAATAACCCTGCTCCCAGGAAGGAGAAAACAACAGCTAATTCTACTGCCTGCAACATCCTGGTTAACCAGAGGTCCTGAGCCTGTCTGTGTGACAACTTCACTGCTAGCATAGCCAACATTCAAGGAAGCCAGTGGACTAAACATATCTACAACCAAGGACTCTCACAGAGTCTATTTCACTCCACTGCCACCTCCACCAGAGCAGGTGCTGGTATCCATGGCTGGGACACCTGAAGACAGATCATATCAGAGGACTATTTTCAGACATTCCCCAGCACCAGCCCAGAGCCTGGTAGTCCTGCTGAATGGCTAGACCCAGAAGAGAAATAATAATCACTGAAGTCTGGCTCTCCGGAAGACCCATCCCTAGGGGAAGGGGAAGGGTACCACATCAAGGGATCATCCCATGGGACAAAAGAATCTAAAGAGCAGGCCTTGAGTTCCAGGCCTTTCCACTTAAATAGTCTACCCAAATGAGAAGGAACTAGAAAAGTACTCCAGTAATATGACAAAACAGGGATTTGTAAGACCCCCTAAAAGATAAAGATTACATTAGCTCCCCAGTAATGGATCCAAACCAAGGAGAAATCTCTGAATTGTCAGATAAAGAATTCAGAAGGTTGATTATTAAGCTACTCAAGGAGATACCAGAGAAAAATGAAAATCAACTTAAACAAATTTTTTAAAATGCAGAATATGGTTGAAAAATTCTGCAGAGAAATAGATATAAAGAAAACAACAATCAGAACTTCAGGAAATATAAGACACACTTAGAGAAATACAAAATGCACTGAAAAGTTTCAACAATAGACTTACAACAAGTAGAACTTCAGAGCTTAAAGACAAGGCCTTCACATTAATCCAGTCAGACAAAGACAAAGTAAAAAGGGTTTTAAAAAATGAACAAACCCTCCAAGAAACTTGGGATTATGTTAAATGGTCAAACATAAGAATAATTGGTGTTCCTGAGGAGAAATCTAACAGTTTGGAAAGCTTATTTGAGGGAATAATTGAGGAAAACTTCCCTTGCCTTGCTAGAGATCTAGACATCCAAGTACAAGACTCTCAAAGAACATTGCGGAAATTCATCACATAAAGATAATCACTTAGGCACATAAATCATCAGGTTATCTTAAGTCAAGATGAAGGAAAGAATCATAAGAGATGTGAGACAAAAGCATCAGGTAACCTATAAAGGAAAACCTATCAGATTAACAGCAGGTTTCTCAGCAGGAATCTTACAAGCCAGCCAAGAATTTTGTATTCGTCAATCTAAGTTTCATAAATGAAGGAGAGATAAAGTCTTTTTTAGATGAACAAATGCTGAGAGAATTCACCAATACCAAGCCAGCAATACAAGAAATGCCAGAAGAATTTCTAAATCTTGAAATAAAACCTTGAAATATACCGAAATAGAACCTCCTTAAAGCATAAACCTTACAGGACCTATGAAACAATAACACAGTGAAAAAAACAAGGCATTGAATCACAACTAGCATGATGAATAGAACGGTACTTTACATTTCAATACTAATGTTGAATGTAAATGGCCTAAAGGCTCCACCCAAAACAAGCTTGTCTAACTTGCAGCCTGCAGGCTGCATGCAGCTCAGGATAGCTTTGAATACAGCCCAACACAAATCCATAAACTTTCTTAAAACATTATGACTTTTTTTGTGATTTTTTTCTTTTTTTAGCTCATCAGCTATTGTTAGTGTATTTTATGTGTGGCCCAAGACAATTCTTCTTCTTCCAACATGACCCAGGGAAGTCAAAGATTAGACACCCTGAATTAAAAGATACAGACTGGCAGAATGAATAAAAATCCACTGGGCAAATATTTGCCTTCCTCAAGAGACTCACCTAATACATAAAGATTCACATAAACTTAAGGTAAAGAGATTGAAAAAGATATTTCACACAAATGAAAACTAACAGCAAGTAGAAGCAGCTATTCGTAAATCAGACAAATCAGACTTTAAAGAAACAGTTAAAAAAAAAGACAGAGGGACATTATGTAATGATACAGGGATTGGTCCAACAGGAAAATATCACAATCCTAAATATTTATGCACCTAACACTGGAGCTTCCAAATTCGTAAGACGAATATTCCCAGACCTAAGAAATGAGATAGAGGGCAATGCAATAACAGTAGGGTACTTTAATACTCCACTAGCAGCACTAGACAGGCCATCAAGACAAAGTTAACAAAGAAATAACGGACATAAACTATACCCTGGAACAAATGGACTTAGCAGATATTTACAGAACATTCTACCTAACAGCTGCAGAATATACATTCTTTTCATCAGCACATGAAACATTCTCCAAGATAGACCATATGAAAGGTCATAAAACAAGTCTTGATAAATTTAAGAAAATCAAAATTATATCAAGTATCTTCTTAGACCACAAATGGAATAAAACTGGAAATTAACTCCAAAAGGAACCCTCAAAACTATACAGATACATGGAAATCAATCTGCTGTTGAATAATCTTTGGGTTGACAATAAAATTAAGATGGAAATTTAAAAATTCTTTGAACTGAGTGATAATAGTGACACAACTTATCAAAATCTCTGGGATACAGCAAAAGCGGTACTAAGAGGAAATTTCATAGCATTAAATGCCTACATCAGAAAGCCTGAAAGAGTACAAATAGACAATTTAAGGTCACCCCTCAAGGAACTAGAGAAACAAGAACAAACCAATCCCAAACACAGCAGAATAAAAGAAATAACAAAGATCAGAGCAGAACTAAATGAAATTGAAACGAAAACAATACAAACAATATATGAAACAAAAAGATGCATTTTTTTAAAAGATAAACAAAATTGATAGACCATTAGTGAGATTAACAGAGAAAAGAAGAGAGAAGACAGTCTGTAGTGTTCTTTTAGTGTTAAGTCCTTTCCTGGTTTTGGTATTAGGGTAATACTGGCTTCATAGAACGATTTAGGGAGGATTCCCTCTTTCTCTATCTTTTGGAATACTTTCAGTAATATTGTGGCAATTCTTCTTTGAATACCTGGTAGAATTCAGCTGTGAATCCATTTGGTCCTGGCCTTTTTTTGTTGTTGGCGAATTTTTTATTACTGTTTCAATCGCACTACTTTTTATTGGACTGTTCAGAGTTTGTTGAGGATTTTTGCATCTATGTACATCAGGAATATGAGTCTGTTGTTTTCTTTTCTTGTTATGTTCTTCAGCATATCAAAAAGATAATACACCATAATCAAGTGAGTTTCATACCAGGGAGGCAGGGATGGTTAAATATATGCAAGTCAGTAAATATAATACAAGACATAAGCAGAATTAAAAACAAAGATCATATGATCATCTCAATAGATGCAGAAAAAGCATTTGACAAAATCCAGCATCACATTGTTATTAACAGCCTCAGCAAATTGGCATAGAAGGGACATACCTCAAGGTAATAAAAGCCATCTATGACAAACCCACAGCCAACGTTATACTGAATGGGGAAAACTTGAAAGCATTCTCCCTGAGAACTGGAACAAAACAAGGCTGCAACTTTTACCACTTATATTCAACATAGTACTGGAAGTTCTATCCAGAGCAATCATGAAAAGAGAAGAAATAAAGGGTATTCCAGATCAGTAAAGAGGAAGTCAACCCGTAGTTGTTTGCTGATGATATGATTATATACCTAGAAAACCTAAAGACTCATCCAAAAAGCTCCTAGATGGGATAAATACATTCAGTAAGGTTTCAGGATACAAAATCAATGTGCACAAATCAGTAGCACTGCTATACATCAACAACAACCAAGCAGAGAATCAAGTCAAGAGCTTAAGCCTTTTTATAACAGATGCAAAGATAAAATAAAATACTTAACAATATACCTAACCAAAGAGGTGAAAGAGCTCTGCAAGGAAATTTAAAATTTCCCATACTCATTGATGGGTGGAAACAATACTGTGAAAATGATTATACTGCCAATAGCTACCTATAGATTCAATGCAATTTCCATCAAAATGCCATCATCATTCTACAAAGAACTAGAAAAAATAATTCTAAAATTCATATGGAACCAAAAATGACCCCATATAGCCAAAGCAAGTCTAAGCAAAAAGAACACATCAGGAGGCATCACATTACCCAACTTCAAACTGTACTACAAGGCTGAAGTTACCAAAACAGCATGATACTGGTATAAAAATAGACACATAGACCACTGGAACAGAATAGCAAACCCTGAAATAAAGCCAAATACTTACAACCAACTGATCTTAGACAAAGCAAACAAAAATATAAAGTGAGGAAAGTACCTCCTATACAATAAATGGTGCTGGGATAATTGGCAAGCCACATGTAGAAGAATGAAACTAGATTTTCATCTCTCACCTTATACAAAAATCAATTCAGGATGGGTCAAAGACTTAAATCTAAAACCTGAAACCATAAAAATTCTGAAAGACATCAGAAAAACTCTTCCAGACATTGGCTTAGGCAAAAAGCCCATGAACCAAGAACCTAAAAGCAAATGCAATGAAAGCAAAAATAAATAGATGGGACCTAATTAAATTATAAAGCTTCTGCACAGCAAAAGAAATAATCAGTAGGGTAAACAGGCAACCCACAGAGTGGGATAAAATATTTGCAAACTATGCATCCAACAAATGACTAATATCCAGAATCTTCAAGAAACTCAAGCAAATCACCAAGAAAAAAACAAATATTCCCATCAAAAAGTGGGCAAAGGACATGAACAGACATTTCTCAAAAGAAGATATACAAATGTCCAACAAACATATTAAAAAAAAAAAAGCTCAATATCACGAATTATCAGGGAAATGCAAGTTAAAACCTCAACGAGATACCACCTTACTTTTGCAAGAATGGTCATAATTAATAAATAAAAAATAAAAAATGTTGGCATAGATATGGTGAAGAGGGAACACTTTTACACTGTTGGTGGGAATGTAAACTAGTACAATCACTATGGAAAACAGTGTGGAGATTCCTTAAAGCACTAAAAGTAGAACTACCATTTGTTCTAGCAATCCCACTGCTGGATATCTACCCAGAGGAAAAGAAGTCATTATGTGAAAAAGACACTGGCACATGCACCTCCACGTTTATAGAGGCACAATTTGCAACTGCAAAAATATAGAACCAGCCTAAATGCCCATCACCAATGAGTGGACAAAGAAAATATGATATATATCACATGTATGTGTGTGTGTGTTTGTGTGTGTGTTATATACACACACCATGGAATACTACTCAGCCATAAAAAGGAATAAAATAATGGCATTTGCAGCAACCTGGATGGAATAGGAGACCATTATTCTAAGTGAAATAACTCAGGAATGGAAAACCAAATATCATATGTTCTCACTTGTAAGTGGGAGCTAGATATATATTAATATAAAAATATCTAAAATGCCCTTAGCACAGTGCATGGTATATAGAAGATGCTTAATAATTGTGTACAGAAGAAATGCCTAGATGTGTCTATTAGTCCCTAATGTCCACTGATTCTCATTTATCCTGAGTGTGTAGATGCTTACATTGAGAAAAGGACATTCATAAAGAGCTTCTTTAAAGTTGCAATCTACCTTTTCTCCAATAAGACACTTCTCTTGGTCTGAAGCGAAGGCTGGGTAGGGGGACCCACTGGAAACTAATGCAGTTGCTGAAGCAGCAAATTAACCTACTATACAAGGAGAGGGGCCTCAGGGCTCGAAGCAGGGACTTAATAAGGTGAAATGTGATTAATAGATTGGGACTCAAGAACAAGAGCCTTCTTAATGCAAAGAAATGTCCTGAATGTAAGCTCAGAGTGAAATGGCCCAAAAGCTGCCAGTGATCTGAAGCACAGAGAGGAAAGAGGCTTTGGCTGGACCAGTGTAGAGCTCAGTCTTCCCAGGTCAATGGCCCTGCATGAGCAGAGCTGTGCTGCCAGAGCCAGAAGGGGCTTTCTGAAACTCCCTGATCAACTTCTGTTTAACAGGTATGAAAATGAAGACCTAAAGGAAGAGACTTACCCATTGGTGTGTAGGTATGTGGAATCAGAATTGTTTCCAGAGTACATAATTTGATCCTTGAACCATGCAGAGTTTAGGGGTGCTGACACCCTGCACAGTCAAAAATTCACATATAAATTTAACTCACCAGAAACTTAACTACTGATAGCCTACTGTTGATTGGTAGTCCTATCAATAACTTATACAGTTGATTAACATGTTTGGTGTGTTATATGCATTATTTACTGTAGTCTTACAAGAAAGTAAGCTAGAAAAAAAGAAAATGTTATTAAGAAAATCATAAGGAAAAGACAATATATTTACTATTCATTAAGTGCAATTAGATCATAAAGTTCTCTATCCTCATCTTCACATTAAGGAGGCTGGGGAAGAGAAGGTGTTGGTCTTGTTGTCTCAGGAGTGGCAGAGGCAGAAGAAAAGCTGTGCATGAGTGTAACCCTACAGTTCAAACTTCTGTTGTTCAAAGGTCAACTGTGTTTGCTTGTTTAGTACAAATGAAAATCAAACCACTTCAGAACTAGATGCATAGGCTCTGAAAATAAGCTCAATTTATCATGGGAGACCTGTTCTTTTCACTTTTCTCTGCTGTGAACTGAATTGTGGCTCCCTTTGAAGAATGAGGGCAAGAGCTCCTGGTGCTAAATAAGAAAATAAACTATTGATATCGTGTCTGAGGGGATTTTAACCAGCCTTTCCAGAATTGTTGCAGTGACATTTTGCCCATCAAAGGTCATGTATCCTGGTGCTCAAGACCCGTTGGCCTGAGCTAACTTGAAGGTGACACAAGCTGAAGTTGTGGTTTTTAGAATGTCAGTCTACTCCAAATATAAGACTGCATTGTTCTTTGTGGTCATAGGTGTCATCTGGCTGTTTGTCACTGTAATTAAAACCTAATTCTTGTATTTTGTTATAAACATCACACATTTATGTATAGACTTCAATGTACACACTCAGCTGCTCATGCACTTTATCACATCTAATGGGTACTATATATGGCTGAAGCCCTACTCAGCTCTTGCCAGACACCTGTTTATTTTAGAAAATGGTAGCCTTGGTATGGTTACAAAAATGCTTTGTTACATCTTGAGGACAGTAATTGCATCCTTTCCCTAAATTTCATTAAGAGGATTAAATGAAATTACTTAAGATTACTTGCTCTAGAAACATTATTAAAATTGTTAAAATACAGTCCATATCATAATTTTTAAAAATATTTCTCAAATTCTCTTATGTATATTAGCAGGAAGTTGTGTGTCTCCTCAAATTCCTGATCATTCTTTCATCTTGTCTTTAATCCTGTGGTATTTGCTCAGTTGACCAGACAGCTCATTTCGACTTCAATGGCACATGGAAGGGAATACAAAGCCTGTTCAGTTTCCATCCTTTTCCATCCTTCACTGTATGGGTTCCTGCGGCCAAGTGGTATCAACATTGTAGACTGTCCATGGACACTCTAATATGCCTTGGTCTTCACTGCTGTCATCTGGATTCTTGCCAGCATTTTAAGGGAGCTCAGCTGTGGTTCCCCAAAATACAAAACAACTACTGAGAAGGCTGGGTAGGAGGGTAGTTTCTTGTATCAGCCACTGGTTCTGCTGGAACTCTCTTTCATGTTTTTTTGCCTCTAAGTTGACCACGGATCATCAGTGAAGCTTTTTGAGGTTAATTTTATTCCAGAAGCCTGGCTGTTTAGTAGATCCTGTATCTTTATTAGAACCTCTCTTGACCTCTCTTATAGACACCTCCTTCCCCTTTACACTTTGTAAACTCAAAATCTAAGAGAGAAAAATAAGGATTGTCATTTATTTCCTTTCTGAAAACAGCTCTGATTTCCCAGACTAAATTGATCTACTTCCTGGCCAGTGTCCAGCTTTGTATAACATAGATTTTAGAAAACGGTAGCCTTGATATGGTTACAAAAATGCTGTGTTACATCTTGAGGACAGTAATTGCATCCTTTTCCTAAATTTCATTAAGAGGATTATCCAAGTGATCTTTTGTAGGATTAAGAACTTCGGGTTTTTTTTTTTAAATATAAAGCTGGATATTGTTGCAATAGATGATAGCATAAGGCGCCATGGTAAACTAAAAATACCCATGGATTAAGAATCAGGAGATGTTTAAGGAGGGTTGACATAGGTGATCCCTAGGGTGTCAGCAGGGGAAGAAAATCAAAACACCCATTGTTTACTAAGTGCTTGTTATGTATTCAACACCTGTTATATGCAGTTATAAACTTTAAGCAACCTGAAGATAGGTGACATCTATTTTATTTACTTTTTATGTCAGTGCTCATCACAGTACCTGACACAGTTTAGAAGTTCAACAACAACTTCTAGAATAATTTTCAGGATAAGTGAATGAACAAGAGGAGGTAATATTTTTAATTTATTTTTTAAAGTGGGAAATTAGGCTTAAAGACGTTAGGTAACTTGCTCAAATTTACACAACTGTTGTGTAGAAAAGCTTAGGATTTAATAATGAATGATCTCTTTGATTCTACAATATATTATCTTCCCTATGCCATGGGCTTTTATTCAACAGATAGATAATTATTTAGATATCTTTTAGTTTAGGGGAAGTTCGGTAGAATTGAAATGCAATGTAGGGAGCCACATTAATCTTAGTTATGTATTAAGTAGGTAACCCAAGCAGCTGTTTGGAGAACTAAAACGCAGCAAGCGTGAAAACAGATTCCATTTGGTAGGCTACAGCAGCTGTCTAGGCAGTATGTAATAATGGATAGGACTACAGTGACTACATTGGACATGGAGGAAAATAACCAGGTTTGAGATGTGTTATGAGATGAATTGAGGTGACTTGCTGATGGGCAAGAAAGAAAGAGAAGAATTAAGGAAAAGCCGGGCATAGTGGCTTGCACCTGCAATCCCAGCACTTTGGAAGGCTGAGGCGTGTGGATCACCTGAGGTCAGGAGTTCGCGACCAGCCTGGCCAACATGGTGAAACCCCGTCTCTACTAAAAGTACAAAAAATTAGCAGAGCGTGGTGGCATACACCTGTAATCCCAGCTACTCTGGAGGCTGAGGCAGGAGAATTGCGTGAACCCGGGAGGCGGAGGTTGCAGTGAGCCAAGGTTGCGCCGTTGCACTCCAGCCTGGGTAACAAGAATGAAAGTCCATCTCAAAAATAAATAAATAAATAAATAAATAAATAAATAAATAAATAAGGTTTTTTTAAAAGACTTTTGGCTTAAATACTGAATGGATGGTAATACCATTCCCTAAGTTATAAAAGTCTATGGGAGGCATAATTTTGCAGTATGGGGAACCAAGAGTTTTCTTTTGAACATATATTCTTTGATATGTATGTTAGGTAAGCAGGTAGCTATGTGAAGTAGGCTTCTGGATACATGATCCTGGACTTCTGGAAAGGGATGAGTGTGGGAGACATGTACATGGGAGTCTCTGGCTTGCATAGAGTACTTAAAGCCCTGGGCCCCTAACTGTAAAGGTCTCTTCAGCAAAGTAGCTCAGGGTAGCCAGAAAACCACAGCATACTTGGCAGGAACACTCATTATGTCCTCAAAGTGGCTTGAGTTGCTGGTTGCTCCCTAGGTTTGGCAGAAAGGTTGAAAGCAAAAACAGTCTTCACTGAGAATTCCCTGTAGCACAATATCAGATTTAAAAACTAGCAGGGTACACTCTGCTGTAGACATAGACTAAGCACAGACTCAACCACTACAAGTCCTAAAGAAATTAAAATGAGCTTTTGGATTTGTCAAAACACATTAACAATATCAAACGTTTAGATATGAGCAAGTAGGATCTGATGACTATTTTCTCCTATCCTAGAAAAGAAAACACACATCAACAGGCCACACCCTGGAGATTTGATGCACTGAAGCTTTCAGAAGTCTTGCATGCTGTTTCCACTGGAGAACTGATTGTGTCACATTGCCATGATTCATCCAGTGTCTGCCTTCCCTTATACTCTGGGCAGAGATGAACCCTTCTTTGCCATCTCTCCAGCCGCATAAAGTCACTGAAGCATTATATTGGCTCAGTCATTGTGGGTTGATGAATCCAGTGAGCACTTGAGAAGGTCCATTTTCAAAATATCTCACAGGACAACTTGATGGAAAATAAAAATAATTCTTTTGTGAAATTTCATTTCTATAAGCAGCAATGAGTCTTCATATTTGTTGAGTACTTATTTTCCTGTCACCAACATTTGCTGCAATTCCCTTTCTATAAGATCAAAGGACCATATATATATAATAAATGATCATAGGGTGTTTGTTTGTTTTGAGTTGGAGTCTTGCTCTGTTGCCCAAGCTGGAGTGCAGTGGCATGATCTCGGCTCACTGCAACCTCCGCCTCCTGGGTTCAAGTGATTCTCCTGCCTCAGCTGCCCAGGTAGATGTGATTACAGGTGCCCGCCACTACACTCGGCTAATTTTTGTATTTTTAGGAGAGACAGGGTTTCACCATGTTGGCCAGGCTGGTCTCAAACTCCTGACCTCAAGTGATCCCCCCTCCTCAACCTCCCAAACTGCTGGGATTACCGGTGTAAGCTTGGCCTGATCATACTGTTTAATTTTTTAAAGCCTAATTGTATAAAGCCCTGCTTTCATTCTAGCCACTTGGATCAAGTCAACTACTATTTGTGACTAAATCCAGTGATGCTTTTTGACTTCCATTTTACTGCCTGATACAGTTTGGCTATGTCCAAAGGGGGCAATAGCAGAAAAAAAGAAGCAAACACTTCTAAGACTTCAAATTGTGAAGCATTACGTTTGATCCTGCAACCTACATTAGCTCATGATATTACTACAAGAAATCCCTAGGGTAAGTATTTTTATTCCCATTTTGCAGATAATGCCCAGAAAACTTTACTTTTTTGTCTCAGGTCATGTAGTTTGCCGGAATTTGAAGGGCTGCCACGTGAAAAGGTAATAAACTTGTGGTGTTTTGTTCCAGAGGAAACTCCTAAAACAAATGAGTTCAAATTTCAGGTAGGAAGCTTAGGTATGATATCAGAGAGCAATATCTAACAATTAGAGCTATATTACAATGGTTTGGGGTTTTCAGAGAAATCAGGCAATAAGGTTAAAAAACCATTTATCAGAATTGCTGAAACTTCCTTCTGGGGTGGAAGAAGGAATTAACCTCTGAATCCAGCTACAATATCTCAATAGTCATACACCAGTTTCTTTACATATTTACTATATGTAAGACAACTTGAGAGAAACTTTCCACAAATTACCTTATTTAAACCTGCTGAAAACTCCACAAGGTAGATTATTTTCATTTTACATATGGGAAAACTAAGGCATAGGTAGGCAAGAACAATTTTCCAAAGCCACGCAGCTATTATGTGTTGGAGCCAGAATTTTAACTGAGTTTGCCTTACAAGAAGAGTTTCTCAGCTTCAACACTATTAAAGTTTCGGTTCAGATAACTCTCTATTGTGGCGACTGTCTAGTGTATTGTTGGATATTTAGCAGTATCCCTGACTTTTACTCACTAGATGCCAGTAGTGCCCCTTCCCCAGCTTGTGACAACCAAAAATACTCTAGACATTGCCCAATGTCCCTTAGGGGTAAAATGGTCCCAGTTCAGAACCACTGCCTTACCAGAAAGTATCCTACTCTGCCTGAGTCCAATGGTGTCATTTCTGCTCTTTGCACCCAACATTAAACACTTGTAAAGTCTATACTCATCATGAAGAATTTCCTTCTTTTCACTAAACATTTCCTTCAGCAATATAAAAAGCCTGCACTAGTTCTATAATTTTTTATTATTTTAACTAATTCTTCAAGAAAGTTTAGGAAGCCCTTCACATTATGGAAAAGTGAGTTCAAAAAGGATGATGTTCCATAGTTTACTGCTGTTATTATTGTTGTTCAGATCATTATTGATCATCTCTCCTATTGTCATTTTTGTTTTAATGTAAAAATAACCAGACATGACTTAATTTTACAGTAACAACATCACTTCCCATCTGATTTGAGTTCAATAGGGATCACCGTAGATCTGCACTTGGCTGTGCATTTGTCATACTGTGCCAGGAATAAGCTTCTTTCCTTGTCTGTCCACATTTGGCTGCAGAATCTTTGCTCCATTATCAGTCTGTGTCTACCTTTGTCTGGATAGCTATCTATAATAATATACGAACTGTTTTAACCTCATAAGTTAGTAAAGAGAGACAGAATATTAGCTGAGAATGATAGGGTCACACTATGAAATAAAAAATATAATTTGTTAAACAGTCAATGAAGACAACCTTACTTATGCAACTATCTAAAATATAAAATAATGGACACTTGGTGTTAATTTTTGCTTTTCCTGACCAAGCAACTTGAAAAATATTTGATCGAGAAAGGTGTCTTAGTCCATTTTCCATTGCTATAACAGAATACCACAGACTGGGTAATTTATAAATAATAGAGGTTTATTTAGCTCATGGTTCTAGAGTCTGGGAAGCCTGAAAACATGGCAGTGGCATCTGGTGAGGACCTTGTGCTATGTCAAGATATTGTGGAAGGCATTCCCTGATGAGACAGGACAAGCATGCTAGCTCAGGTCTCTCTTTTACTCTTTATACAGCCACGAATACCATCATGGGGGCCACACCCTGATGACCTCATTTTATCTTAATTACCTCCCAAAAGCCCCGTCTCCAGATTCCATCATCATATTAATCTGGGGATTAAGTTTTCAATACAAAATTTGGGAGACACATTCAAACCGTAGCAGAAGTCTCAGAAGAATGCCTCTGGTCTTTTCTTAAATGTGCTTTAAAAAACAAACAAATAATAATAAAAAAAAAACCTGAATTCCAAGACAACCACTGATGGTCTTTTGGGACACAATTTATATACATCTTTTTCATGATGAAGATCTTAAGTATAGTAAGATCTAGGAAAAATTAAATTGGGGAAATCAGACCACATAACATCAAACATACATTTCTGACAATTTTATACACTGGACTGTCTCCTTCTCAATAGAAAGTCTCATATATTTTTTTTGCTCAGAGTGGTAACCATCATGTCCTGAGAGGTGAGTCCCAACATTCATGCACTGGTGATCACAAGTTACTCTCCGCTGGCTATGACAAGTCCTACTAAACTCTGTCTCAAAGCTGTGGCAGTGCCAGTCAGTTCTTACCTCAAATAGCCTCATGATTTCAGTTTACTAGTCCAACATTCACTGAGCATTTTTGTAGAAGCTGAGAAGACATAGACTGATATAATATGGTCTCTGACCTCAAAGAGCATTCAGTCTGATCAAAACTGAAATAAAAACAGATAATTAAAAGTGTTTAGCCAATGTGATGGTGGAAGAAAGGATGGAATGCTGAGGGGTCCAGAGGAAGACATTCTCTTACAAGCCCTGAGAAGAAATTTGAGGAAGTTTTGAGGATTCTGAGGAGAGTCTAGAAGGACAAATGAGAGTTGGAAAAGGAAGGGGAGACAGAGATCCCAAAGGCAGTAACAAGTAAAGGTCAAGAGTATAATGAAAGCATAGTGCTGTGAGAGCCACAAGTAAGATAGAGAAAAGAATGGTGGTAGTGGGAGAGTGACTGCCTCAGAGGAAGCTAGGTTTTAACTGTGCTGTTTATGACTTCATCCCTGGTTCTTAGCATTTAGAAAAATGGTTTTCAACCTTGGCTGAATATTGAAATCATCTGTGAAACTTTAAAATATAACTGATGCCTATACCTCTACCCACAATTTTTTTAGTTGATCTGGAGCAAAGCATGAATATTCCAGAAAATAAATTCACATGACATGTTCCAAAATGGCGGAGTACTTAGAGTACTAGTTGTCTGAGATGTAAGAAGTAAAAAGTTTCTCTTTCTCTCTCTTCCTTTCTCTTTCCCTCTCCCTCTCACTTTCCATCTCCCTCTTCCTCCACCCTCTTTTTCTTATTCTCTTTCTCACTATCAGAAAGCACTTTAGCTCTAAGAACTCTATTGCTGAAAATCACTATAGGTTTCAGAACATTATTTAAATTTGTAAAAGGACAGAAGTGAAGAGCTATACTATGTATAGATTTAAAAGTTCAACAAAATATATTTATTTAGTCAATTCAATCAATAACTAAAGAGAACTTTCTGTGGTTCTAGTTACTCCTCTAGGCTCTCAGAATACAGGGATAAACCAAAAAGCCAAAAGTTTTCCTCTCTCATAGCTTTGATTTTAGTGGGAGATTCAGAAAACAAATAAACTAACAAATATATACTATATTGGATATTTTAGAAAAAGGTCTTGAAGAAAAATAAATCAGGAGTGAGGGAAAAGATAGTGACTGCAAATGTATTTCAGACTGGAATATCAGAAATATCCTCTAAGGAGAAGACATTTAGATAAAGTCTTAGATGGAGTGAAGGACAAGTCTATGACAGTATATGAGAGAAGATAATTCCTGGAGTAAGAACACTGAAAACAAATTCCCTAAAGTTAAAATTTGTTTGGCACATTTAAAGACTAATGAAGCCAGAGTGACTGGATACAGTGAACAAGGGAACAAGTAGGAGGAAGTGAGGTTGGCCATAACACGAAGGAACTTATAGGTCATGGTAAGATATGGATTCTATCTAAGCACGCAGGAAAGCTAATAAAAGATTTTGAGCAGAAAAGTGACACGAACAGATAAAATTTTAATGGATTACTTGGTTTTTTTATAATAAAAAATGGAATGAACTTTACCAGATAAGAGTAGAAAAGAGAGACTAGATAAAAAACTATTGCTTTGGTCTAGCAAACAATGACTGGTTGTGGAGTAGGCTAGGGAGATATTAAAGGAGATGGTGAGAAAAGGTTAGTCTTGGGTTATAGTTAAAAGTTAGAGCCAATGGGTATAGCTATTTGATGATGAATTTGAAAATAATATAGGAGGAGAGCACCTTTCAGTGTGGGGCATGAAGAGGTTAGTTTCGGATAAAGTAATAAGTAATCCTTGATAGGCATCCAAGTAAAGATGCCCAGTCACAAGTTAAATATCTGAATGCAAACTCCTAGAGAGATCAGAGCTGGAAGAGTAAATTTTGGAGTTATCAATTTGATAGATAGTGTTAAAAATCATGGACTTATATGAGGAGGAGGTCTGAAAACTGAATCTTGGAGTCTTTCAGTGTTTAGAAATTGAGAAAGTGAGAAGAAGAAATTGAGTGTAGAAGACTGGCAATGAAGCAGAAAGAAAACTGGGGGATGTAGAATCCTGGAACCCCACTGTCAATTGTTACAAAAAGGATGAAGAAGATGCAGACTAAGAATTAACCAATAGATCTTGGGATATAGAAGTCATTGCCTACCTTGATAAGAGTGAATTAAATGGAGTCAGAGTAATGAAAACCTAATAGGAATGAGTGTAAGAGATAATAGGAGAAGTGAAAACCAAAAGTATACACAAGTATTTTGTGAAAAGGAGCAGTATCTTGAGTAAGACTTGTCTAAAGGGAGCTTTTTGTCATTGCTGTTTATTTTATTTGGGAAGATATAATAGCATATTTGTATCCTAATGGGAAAAATTCATTTAAGAAGGAAAAAAATAAAGATACAAGGAAAGGAGATAAAGTGAAACTACAAAGACCTGTGTAGGCAAAAAGCATAAAATCTAGTTCACAAGTCTAGGAGTTGGTCTCAATTGGAGCAAGGGCTGTTCATCTATTTTAACAGTAGAGAAACAGAGTGCTTAGATGCTACTAAGGTGGTAAATATGTTAGTGAAAGGACTGGGAAATTCTCTTCTAATTGGTTCAATTTTCTCAGCCACAAAAAGAGAATAAAGTAGTTGAGTGCAGATGAGAATGGCGAGTGAATGAAAAGGTGGCATTTAAATGAGTTAATTTAGAATTGCAGAGGAACACCTGAGGTTCTCATGAGGTGAATGTCATGTTCTGTCATGTTCAGCTCCTGGAGTATGGGGCCAGAGTATGAGCAAGATTTTAATTTCACCAATGTGAGGTCTTGCCATTTGAATATTGTGGTAGGCAGAATAATGGCCCCATTAGGATGTCCATGTCCTATCTTCAGGAATCTGTGATTCTATTAGGTTATGTAACAAGGCAGAATTAAGGTTGCCGATGAAACTGACTTGTCAATCAGCTGGCCAGAAATGGAGGAGATTATTCTCTGTTATCTGACTTGGGCCAACGTAATCACAAAGATAACAAAGATGCTTATAAGTGAAAGAGAGAGGCAGAACAGTGTTGGTGTCAGAGTTATGTGATGTGAGAAAGACTTGATCACTCATCGCTAACTTTGAAGATGGAAGGAATGCATCAGTGCAGGCAGTCTCTAGAAACTGGAAAAGTCAAGGAAATGGATTCTCCCATAGAACCTCCAAAAAGGAACATAGCCCTGCCGACACCTTGATTTTAGCTTGTGAAACCCATGTATTTTTAAATTTCTGACCTACAAAATCATTAGGTCATGAACTTGTATTAAGCCACTAAATTTGTAGCAATTTATTATGCCAGCAATAGGAAACTAACACAAGTACCCTGGCAAGAGAAAAGCAAGCATGTGATTATAATGCCAGAATATTGGTCTAATATCAGATTGCCACCTGCACCATGCATTAGAGTTCCCAGTGAGGTGCAGGCATTTTAGAAAGGGAGTGCTAGAGAGTCAGAGCTGAAAAGACAGGAGGTGTCCATCAGACAAAGGAGATAATAGAAGCTGAGACTGTTTTCTTTTGTAAGGGAATAATTATAAGTAATAGTCAGATCTAAATCATGACCATAGGTTTGGATAAGTGTAGGTGGCAAGGAGAATAAGATCAGGAAAAGAAGATGGGCTACTGGATAGATCCATGTGCAAGAATATGAAAATCACCAATGAAGATGACAGCAGTAGTAATGGAGAGAAAATTTATGAGATATACTTCTCCTAGCAGGTATCAAGACTTACTTTAAAGCCACATTAATTAAAACTGTTAATTATAACATCAGTAGAACTCAATACATTGCCCAGAGATATACCCCTGCACATAAAGAAGTTATTGAGGTGACATTACAAATTAATAGGTGTAACAGGCTTTTCAAAAATAAAACAGGGACAGTGAACACTCGATTTTTAAAAAAATAAATCTCAAACTCATGCCATATTAAAATATGTATTCCAGATGATTTGAAAATTGAAGCTCCAAATGATAGAACACTTTAAAAGAATTTGAAAAAATACTTATGTACAGTGTGTGTAAGTGTGGGGGGTAGTGTATGTGTGTGTATGTGCACTTATGCATATTTTATTATTGGAAAAGATTCTTGGATGAGATAGAATATCTTACCTTTCAATAAGTTGGCCCTATTCAGTTGAAAAATAACATTCTTTTCTGGTGGACCAAAACTCTGAGTCTATGATGAAAAAAAATAGCTATATACATGAGGGGGATGTGACAAAGCATTTTCTCACCTCTTTTTTTAACCAGTGGACCTATCTCATTTCAAAGAGCAGTGTGAACACAACAGCCATAAATGGTGATTCTTTGTTGAATTGCTGAAGTTTTGCAGTGTATTAGTTTGTTCCCACACTGCTGTACATAAATACCTGAGACTGGGTAATTTATAAAGAAAAGAGGTTTAATTGGATCATGGTTCCACAGGCTGTACAGGAAGAATGGCTGGGGAGGCCTCAAGAAACTTACAATCATGGTGGAAGTTGAAGGGAAGCCAGCATGTCCTACATGGCTGGAGCAGGAGGAAGAGAATGAAGTGGGAGGTGCTACACACTTTTAAACAGCCAGATCTTGTGAGAACTCTATCATGAGACAGCACTAGGGGGATGGTGCTAAACCATTAGAAACCATCTTCATGATTCAATCACCTCCCACCAGGCCCCACCTCCAACATCAGAGATTACAATTCAACATGAGATTTGGGTGGAGAAACAGAGCCGAAGCATATCATGCAGCAAGTGAAATTTCCTTCAATTTCTGGCAAGAGTTTGAGAGTCCTGTATTAGGGGCTTTTCAATGAGTTTTTGTCTCTATATATCATCAGAATTACTTTGAGAGAAGACAGAAGAGAGTATGTCAAGGTCTCATATCATAGTATTATTTTAGAGCAGAAATACTCTGAAATGAATCTTGGAATAACCAGGGGTTACCCAGGTGAAGACAGGGATGTTGGGTGAAACAAAGGCATCTGTGAATTATCGGCCTGGATAAAAAGGAGGAAATGATGGTGGATGGGCTGATCCTTAGACAAGACCTATTGCCTCTTTTAGCCTTGGTTAATTAAATGGCAACATTTCTGGCCTCACCTAACCTACAAGGTTGTTTTGCGGGAGTCAAAATCGCTTTGGAAAATCACTGGTAAAACATGCTCACTGTTTGCAAAACAAGCACCTGGCACTGTGGTAGAAACCAAGATGAACAACACCTACCACTACCCTCAGCAGACATCCATTAGAGAAGTCGGACCTGGACAACTTTGCCAGGTAGCATTAGGTAAAGTACGAAATGAAAAGAATGTCATTAAGATAATGAATATGAAAGCTCTTTTTAAACCAAAACTCTTTCAAATTAAGGAACCATGATAAGTGATCATGATACTGTTATTTGTGCCAGCTGGCTGGAACATGGATATAATCTATAACATCTTTCTGTACTCTAAAATATCAAAAGACAGTCTCTTGAAAAGTTAGAAAATATAAGTCAGTTGCGTTTGGGAGTCAGGCCCAATAATGCACCTCACTAAGACCCCATGAAGGGAAGAATGCTGAGATGCCCTCATCTAGGTCAACCATACCAATTTCCCCTTTTGAAATATTGCCCTGCAAGAAACAAAGATCAACTTGACTGAAAACAGATCTGTAAATTTGCAAGGCCAAAATAATAATTTTATGAAAAGCCTTAGTCATCCTATTCAAACCACTAAAGTTTAAATAAAAATATCATATCAGTGCATCAGACATGTTTCTTACTCAGCAGTTAGCCCCTCACCCCCCTTTCACTTGGGCCAAAGGGACAATCTGTTCCCAACAGCCTGAGAAGTCTTTTTGTCATTTTGCAAATTTGCAAAAAAGACACCAAGTTCTTGGCTTTGTGAGAGAAGAGATTGTGGTGAAAATTTTCACACATTTTCCTCTCCTTGCATAAATTTTCAGTGTTGCACTATTCCAGGGTGGCAGGGAGTGAGGATTTGAGTAGAAATGCTCTGATTCTATATTGGCTCAGTAGTTCAAGCCAGATTACCTACTTTCATTTTACTTCAGTTTAGTAGATTCACAATGGGTCTACATAACAGTTTCAAGGACTGCGGCTGAAATAGTTCCTTGACTAAAAATCACATCTTCCCAATAGGATTGTTAACCTTCTTAGGGACAATCCTATAGCTTATGCTTATTTTAGTTCCTTTCCCTTTGCTTGCCAAGGTCTCTGTGTACGTATCGCTAGGGTTTAATGATGCCATTTGGCCGATAAACAGTGGTTGCCATTTGTATGATGTTCAAAGCACTAGGG
Source organism: Homo sapiens (assembly GCF_000001405.40). Taxonomy (NCBI): domain Eukaryota; kingdom Metazoa; phylum Chordata; class Mammalia; order Primates; family Hominidae; genus Homo; species Homo sapiens. The sequence goes on from NC_000008.11 coordinate 128,786,778, forward strand.
AGTATCACCTAATTACTTACTCAGGCTGACTCCCTCTAAGATTAACCTGATAACTCCCCAGGGTAGGTAAGAAAACTGAGGACTGAGATGCCCAGAATCTTGTCCCATGACCAGTTGTCTAGTTTGAGCAGAGAATCTAATTCTTTGCCTGTTTCTCTCTTTTCTCTTTTTTTAACCTCTCCAGATCCTATACTTTATCAAAAACAAACATATCTTCAATTAGTTCACAGTTCCCTTGCTTTTTCTTTCAATTTCTTTGATTTTTTGAAAGACATTTTTTGTGCAAGTCACACAGCAACAAATCACATTCTGCCTTTGACACTTTTTCAGTTATTGACTTGTTATGTAATAACTTTTTAAATGTTCAATATTTGGCTTTCTCCTGAAGATAGAAATCACGTCTTTTTTGTTTATTCTATATAACTTTGCAAAGTACTTGACAAATAATAAATATTCAAAAGTATTTATTGTTTGATAATATAGTCTTCTTTATTAACCCATGTTGAAGGACCTTCGAGCTGGTAACAGAAGAGAAAACTGAGTCCTACTGGCTTTCCACAATTCCCTTAGCCATGTAAGAAATATAGACATGGACTGGAATCTCCATCTTCTTACTTTCAACCCAATGCTTCTTTTATTAATTCCAATTGCTTCTGCAGTGAGTTAACCTGGTAAGGTTAGATATTTGCGGTTCTCTGGACTAATTCTCTGTACCTTCTGCTTCGTTAGATAAATACAAGGGAGATTTTTGGATTTGTCCTCGGGAATCTAGTTCTGATAATACCCATCATTAGGCTAAAGAAAGCTGTCTGCATCCAAAGACAGCTCCCAGGGTCAGGACACTGATACCCTTGGTTGTCTGAATACTGAGAGATCACTGGTGGACTCAGCTAGGGGCTCGTCAGACTCACTAAGCTGACTAGCAAGGCCCTCATTGTCTTTTTCAGCAACTTTGGCCCACAGCACTCTGATAACCAAGACAGGCAAGGAGAGATGGACGAGTCAGAGCTGGGGAATCCACAGCCAGGGGCCATATGGAAACGTTTGGGGATTAGAATCTGTGCCACATGTTCTCAGCTCATTCTGAGTGAGACATGTATACCCCTGCAGTGAAGAGGAAATGGTCTACAGTGACTCACTTCGTAGGAAGCAAGCATGGCTTGAGTCAAACCAGCCTCATCTGCATTACTTTCCGGAAATGGGCAGCTGTAACAACTCATCACAAATTAACCAAGGAACATGTATCCAGTACCATTTGTCCTAATAAAGCTTATTTTGATGGACTGGAGAAAAGAGAAGCTACCTTAAGTAAAGAGTGAACAAAGTATCCTCCCATCATAATGGGTCACTATTATAAGCTAGGTAGTTTGCATACTTATTTTCTTTAAAACATCCCTATAAAGTGGGCATTATCTCCATGTTACACATAAGAAGTCCTAGGACCATCAAGATAAAGAATCTATATAGAAGGTTAAAAATAAGGAGTGACAAGAGTGGGATTTGAACCCAGGTCCATTTCTCTGGCTCAAAGTGTGTGAACTTTCCATTTTCTTGAAGATGTGCCAGTGTCCAATCAGAAATGCAAAATTGTAAGTAATATAAATACATATATAATAAGGGATTCATTACAGGGATTTGACCTGGCACAATTGTGGGGCTGGTGAAGGAGTTTCTATAAGGTTCTTGTCTTTTCATCCAATGCTGCACCCTGAAGCCCATCAGGGAGAGAAGATGGATTAAAGTAGGAGAAACAAGGGCAAGCTGGAACCCACAAGGATGGGCCGAAAATTGTGTCAGTTCTTGCTACCTCTGTCCTTGAGGGTGTGGGTGTCTTATAGGAGATGTTGGCACTTTCATCACAGGGCTAACCATACACCTCTGGTCCAGGAGAGAGAGAAGTTGAAAAAGAAACCAGAGGAAGCTGGAGCAGCTTCCAGTCCAACTATTGCCCCATGCTGACAAAGTGAGCAAACAGGTAAGTGACATCCTTTGTCATCTACAAAATGGTGTTGGTACCATTAAAATATTGCTCAAGAATCTCTGCTGTGGCCCACGCTGTCCAGAAACGTGCTAGAAAAGGAATTCTGGGAAATGTAGTTCAGCTGAGCCAAGCTGACACATTGTAAAGCCACCATGATGTATTTGTGATAACAGGGGTGTGGTTTGGTCCTAAATATCTTAACCAGACCACATTGGAATCCCATAAACTTGATGTCCTGGTAGCTCTTCCTGAATCCTGAATTAAGTCCTGAATACTTTTACTTTGTGTTGTAAATGGTTTCTTTTGTTTTTCAGCCCTGTTTCCAATGTCCCTGGCTCCTGTCTGCTGCCTAGAACATTGCACATAAACTGTTCTATTTCTCTTCTGGTGTTCATCTCATTTTTCCTGTTAAGTTCCCATTTGCTCTGGGAGATAGTGGTTTGGGACTATTATTATTACTGTTGTTATTGTTATTGTTAGAGGGGTTGGTTCCTGAGAGACGTTTATAACCAACTCTGTATGATGCTGTTTGCTTTCTCTTCCCATTCCATGAAATAGAGAAATCCAGCAAGGAGAGAATGCAGTGTCGCTCCAGGGGACCAGTTTATACAGAGGAGTACAAATCCCACTTGTACTTCACAGAGGAACAAGTTTAAGATACGGCTTTTGTAAACAGACCCTTGGATCTCAGTAAGGGGATTTGAAAAGTCAAACATGCTGGGGCCATGACTATAAAAGTAAAATTACAAGGCTCAGGACCCTTTCCAGAGACAGGCTTATTTCAAACATTGCTATCTTGTAGGTGTTATTCTTAGCAGAACACGGGTTCGTGTCAGCTTTCCTTTTAACATCCAGCTGGGATGGGAGTCATGCAATAGCTTCATTAGGCTGCTGAGGAGTTCATTACCACAAAGTCCTGATTTTTCCTCAAGTCTTAGCATGACCTCTGAACCCACCCCTTTCTCTCATACATTTCTTTGTGGATTTGTTTATGTAGTCAGTAAAAATGAATCAGGTGCTTTACTGTGCCAGGCATTGTGCTGGTCCAGAGAATGCAAAGATGGATAAGACAGAGCCATCATCTTCAAGGACTTACAAATAAGATAGACAGAAGGTAATCCAACACACTTACTGTGCTACAGAGGCTACAACAGAAGTCTGGATGAGGGAACCATGGGAACACACAACAGGGAAAGAATAATTCCCCAGAGATGAAGAAGGGTGTAGTTCAGCCTTCATCGAGGAGGTGGACTATAGGCAAACACCTAATGATTGGACAACCTTATTGAATCAGACAGATCTCATACTCTGAAGCCTTCTGATTAGGAGTTTGGGGTTCTGTCCTTGTGCTCTCAAATCTATGGCGATGCGATATACCTATGTTTTCACAACTGCCTTTTCTCATTACCCTCTACTACTCTTCTGCCTGAACTTAGTAACGTTATAGGAAGGGCAGCTCAGCAAAGTGCCTGTGTTCAAATCCTAACCCTACCATTTACTACCAAGTTACCCTGAAAATGTATTTTAACTTCTTTGTGCTTTGATTTCTTCAGATGAAAAAATCAACCGGGCGTAGTGGCTCATGCCTGTAATCCCAGCACTTTGGGAGGCCAAGGCGGGTGGATCACGTGAGGCAAGGAGTTTGAGACCAGCCTGGCCAATGTGGTAAAACCTGGTCTCTACTAAAAATATAAAAATTAGCCAGGCGTGGTGGCATGCATCTGTAATCCCAGCTACTCAGGAGGCTGAGGCACAAGAATCTCTTTAATCAGGGCAGCAGAGGTTGCAGTGAGCCGAGATCATGCCGCTGCACTCCAGCCTGGGAAGTAGAGTGAGACTCTGTCTCAAAAACAATAAAGAAAGAAAATAAAAGACGGTGCCTACCTTATAAGGTTGTTGAGAGGATGCATGAAAGGTAAATGCAAGCACTTAGAATATCAATGGCATCAAGCAAGCACTGTAGAAATGTTTATTATTCATAACACATTTTCCTCTTAAATTTCATGTAGAAACAAAAGCCATATTTTAGAATTAAACTTTCTACTATTCTCTTACTTCCAAAATTGGAAAATTTCTAAGAAGTATTCTGATTTGGGGCAAGTCACATGGTATCTTAGGGCTCAGTTTACCCACCTGTATAAATTATTAACTCAAAGAGTACCTGCTATGTGTCAGGTATTCTTTAAACTCTTCATAAACACCATCTCATTTTATTCTCACAACCTCCCTCAATGAAGTGAATTCTGTGTTTACCCATGTTTATTTTTTATTTAGTTATTTATTTTGCAAATGAAAAAAATGCGATATAGGTTTCTATCTCCAGAGACGATGAATTTAACCACTCCACTACCCTCTTTCTGGGAGAGCTAGACTCTGTCTTTTTTTTTTTTTTTAAATCCTACTTAAGGGGTTCTGTATGTAATGATTTATATCTAATTTACACCATAATGGCTTACATTATTCAATCATCAGAACATCATCCCCCTTACACACAAATGTTGGTATTTTTGTCCTGTTTTATAGATCTGTAAACTAAGACAGGTTAAGCTGGCTCTCTGTAACAAAGTTAATGACTGAGAGATACCATGTTTGCACCTCGGCTTGTCTCAGTGCAACACTAGCATCTTCATCCACTGACTTGTACTATTTATCTGCAGGTAGGGGACAGTGTAGGGGGAGTGATCATATGCACACACATCTCCAAACAATTCTGCCAATAATCTCAGGAGACTTACAAGTCCTCCAAAGGCCATTTGTAGTACCAGTTATGCTATCATGGAGTCCCCTATAATGTGCTTTAATTTCAACTGTTATATAACTTTAGCCAAAGAACTTTTGTTAAGCTTTACTCTACTGATTTTGCTAGGAAAGCAAAAGGCATATTGGTGATGATATCTTCAAAGTTAGCCCAGCTTTCTTTAAGAGATAAGCCCCAAAGCTCATCATTCCCAGTCCTTCCCTAATATTGCTGATCTCTAGTCAATCTGTTTAGGTTTACAGCCCTTGGACTAGATGAAATCTAAAGGTGTTTTAGACCATAAATTTTTGTTTCTCGAACTATAGGATTCCTCCATGTCTAGTGCATTAATCCTCCACCTTAGCTGTACCATGTTTACATCCAAAGAAGACCTCCTTCCTATATTTTTAACTTTAGATCAGGGGTGTCAGTCTACAGCCCACAGGCTAAATCTGATCTGCTGCTGTTACATTTTTGCTTTTTCTTTTTTAAATAAAGGATTATCATATTGAAAAACAGTCACTCTCATTTGTTTATGTATTGTCTATTGGTGTTTTCATGCTACAATGGCAGATTATTTGTGAAATAGACCGCATGGCCAAAAAACCTAAAATATTTACTAACTAGCCTTTTACAGAAAAAGTTTGCTAACCCACCCCTTACCTTAGATTATGAGTTTTGCATGGCTGTATTAGTCACGGTTCTCCAGAGGGACAGAACTACTAGGATAGAGGTATATATGAAGGGGAGTTTATTAAGGAGATTGACTCACACAATCACAAGGTAAAGTCCCACAATAGGCCATGTGCAAGCTGAGGAGCAAGGAAGCCAGTCCAAAACCCGAAACCTCAAAAGTAGGGAAGCCAATAGTGCAGCCTTCAGTCTGTGGCCAAAGGCCCGAGAGGCCCTGGCAAATCACTGGTGTAAGTCCAAGAGTTCTAAAGCTGAAGAACTTGGAGTTTGATGTTCAAGGGCAGGAATCATCCAGCATGGGAGAAAGAAAGAGCCCAGAAGACTCAGCAAGTCTAGTCATTCCATGTTCTTCTGACTGCTTTATTTTAGCCATGCTGGCAGCTGATTAAATGGTGCCCACTCAGATTAGGGGTGGTTCTGCCTCTCCCAATCCACTGACTCAAATGTTAATCTCCTTTGGCAACACCCCTCACAGACACAACTCAGGAACAATACTTTGCATCCTTCAATCCAATCAAGCTGATAATCAATATTAACCAAAACAATGGCCCAGAAATGAATGAAATTTGGGAGACATTGCTGTCAAATTGTTAAGATTCAAATATCTAGAATCAGACTTCTTTTAATTGAAACAACAAAACAACGCTTTGCTGGTACTACCAGCTATGAAATTACAGTAACATCTCAGAGTCAATTTTCTTATCTGTAAAGTGGGACTTAAAGATAGAGACCATGTGGGAATAATGATGATGACAGTGACGAGGTTGACGTGTGAGCTAAAGATGGACATGCATAGAGAACAATCATTATGGAGACATAGAAGGCCTCTCATCATATTAGCTATTAGTATGGTAATACTGAGTCATTGCTGACACAGGTCTTGAACTTGCTTCCTCTTCATTATTACCACTGTTACCCTTTTTCAGGCCTTTCATGTCCCTACCCCCTTTGTCTTTTGCCTTGGTCCAATCCATTCTGGAAAACACAGTGAGTTTAAATCTTAAAGCATAACCAGTTGCTTCACTCCAGGCTTAAGAAACTTTACTAGCTCCACACTGCCTAGAGAACAGAATGCAAATTTCTCAATGCATATTCCTCTAATACATGAAAAACTGCAGCCTGCTTTCCCTGACTACACCTCTACTCTACTCTCTTCCATACACAAGCTCCCAAACTCAAGCTATGCAAAGCATTCATGATTCCCCACTTCAATCCTGTTTGTATCCCTAGGTTAACCTACTTTCTCTGCCTGAAATGTCCTTCTCACTTCCCTTGGTCTGCCTTTTGAAATCTTCCCTGATCTAGATAGTCCCAGTATTGATTACACGTGGAGGATGGAGGAAACTGATGCTTGAAATGCCATAAAAACTAAGTGTATCTACAGTTGGCGTTTAACAAATGCTTTCTGGATAAAATTTAAGATGAAATAAGGTATTCTAACAATCAGGACCCGGAATCTCTGGGTTATTTTCTCCTAATTAAGGACCATCACCCACTCTATATTTTCCACAATATTTTCACAATAATTTCACTGTAGGCGATACCTTCCTGTCTTTCCAGAAATTCTTTCCTCTGCCTAGGACCCTTTTTCTATGGTTTGAATGTGTTCCCCATGTTTCATGTGTTGGAAACAATCTTCAAATTTATATGTTGGTGATATTTGGAGATGGAGTCTTTGGGAGCTAATTAGGATTAGATAAGGTCATTAAGGTGGCTCCCTGTGATGGGACTGGTGGCTTTATACAAAAAAAGAACTGAACAAGTATACACACTCTTGCCCTCTTGCCACGTGGTGCCCTCCACCATATCATGACACAGCAAGAAGTTTGTCCCCTGATGGGGCCCCTTGACCTTGGACTTCCCAGCCTCCAGAATTATAAGAAAAAAATTTTTTTTAAAATAAATTACCCAGTCTCTGGTATTCTGCTATTGTAACACAAACAGACTGACACATTTCCTTTGCTGAAGCCCTGCTCTGCAGTGTGGAAGACACTGTGTTTTGCCTCTGGATGCTAGGGGCAGGCAGCATGTTTTTTGCTGCAAAGACACAGAATAAATTATTTATTGCCTTTCTTCAGAAAAATTCATGAGATGGGCCTATGTGTTTAGCAGATGGGCATCTGGACAAATGAAGGAAGATAGTCACCTTTTGTTAGTAAATTAAAATAGGGAAAATGGAGCAAAAGGTGTAGAGAATCCTCCTTCCTTGTTTCCTAAGTCTAGAAATCCCCCACCCCAACCCCCCCATTTATTTTACTTATCTGAGAAAGATTTGTACTTTGGAGCTAGTGGATCTGCTTGGCAGGTAATGGGCTGCCCATCCACCAGCTGCTGCCTTGGCAAAAGGCACATCACTATTGCCATGGCAACCCACAGGCAGGCAAAGGGCGCACAGCCCTGGCTGGAGGCCAAGGTAATCCAGTGGCACTGGGCTTTGTTAATAGAAAGAGAAAAGCAGGCCAGAGCCGCTTCCTTCTGCCTTTGCCAGTAGAGGCTGGACAGGAGCAGAGTGCAGAGCTAATTAACCGGCCAGACCAGCTGTTGGCTGCCGCTTGCCAAATCCGACAAGTGGCCCAGGGTTCCTCTATTCCTAACCCTTGTCATCTTCCAGGGAGGCTGCGCCCGGGGGAAACAAGAGCCTTTTCTCGGTGATGTCATCTGAGTATTTGTAGAATTTCCTTTTTGTGGGAAAATTATCTGGCAAAGTATAAAGGGATTTGATTTCTCTCAGAAGACCCCTTGGCCTTGGCCTTTTGAATTTTAAAGAAAGATTTTTCTAGATGAGAAACAAATCTTTGAGTTACAGGAGGAGGTGGGTGGTGAGGGGGATGGGTTATCCATGTTTTAGGTCATGTATTAAGAGCCTAATCTAAGGCAGCTTTCACTCACGGAGGAACATTAACATTATAAAATCCCACACCAGATAAAACAAGGCAAGGCATTATCTTCAATTAGTAAAAATGGATATCTTGGAAAGGCTATGTTGCTGGGGAAAGAGAGCTAACATATTGAGTCCCCAGTATATGATAGATAGCTCATGTATACAAAATCCTTGCAAGGTGTGTTGCAGTATAACAATTGTGCAGATGAAGAAACTTAAGTCTGCAAGGCCAAGGAGCTTGCCAAGTTTGCATAGCTGAACTGAGCTACTATGAGGCCCAGATGAGATTGAAGCCTAGCTTGGTCTACATTGCACATGTGTTCCATTGGCCTACACTGAAGTGACCACAACTACACTCAGTATTATTGACATCCTGAAAATTTTCTGGTTTAGGAGGAATAAATAATCTGACAAAGGATTTTTAAATTTACCAATATATGCATAGTGAAATCTTTACAAAGATAAATAACAATTTAGCTTTGCACAACCTTTAAGACAATAATAATTCTAAATTGAGTCTTGTGTGTAAGGCATTTTATATACATTATCATTATGCTCCAGAACAGGACTTCTAACCTCATTTTATGCACGAAGTAACTAAGGCTTAGAGAACTTTATGGGAGCCAGTGGGTAAAAACTACATGATAATATGATTGATCAAACTAGAATATCTGGGACACACGGTGGCTGTATGTCTATATATTCTTGAAGTCTTAACAAGCAGGTACTTGGAATGAAGATGGGAGAGAAGGGCAGGGTTCCTGTGATTTAGCAATGGAATGAGGACAGGAGGGAGGAAGTATAGGGTATAAAACAGGCTGACTTTTTGCCCCAGAAGTCCAACGCACATTCAGAAAACTTGAAGGACTTATCTCTGAAGCTGCCTAACATTTTCCCAAATAGAAATATTAATTCCATTGAGAAAGAGGTCACGGAAGAATGGAGAAGGGGTCATAACAGAGAGAGAGATGTTCTAGTACTTTCCATGGCCTCTACTTGAAGCACTTACAGCTAGAACCATGGAGTGCTATAGCTAAGGAATGCAAGAGCAGGATTAGTATTTATCGGGGCACCTAATTAATGTCAACTGTTCTATCTTCCACGTCGTAGTTAATGCATATGGTGTCTCCATAAGATAGAAATTATAATACCCATGTCACATGTGATGAATTGAGATGCAGAAAATGATAAAGTGAGTTACTTTAAGGAGGAATTGGAGAAAGAAGACAAATCTTCTTGCCCTTAGTCATTGTTCTTTCTGGCTTTCCAGAATACCACATACAGATCCTGATACACAGGCACGTGTCACTTAACCATGGGCACAGGCATGTACCATTTAACCATGGGGATACATTCTGAGAAATGCATCATTAGGCCATTTTGCCATTGTGTGAACATCATGGAGTGTACTTACATAAACCTAGAAGGTATGGCCTACCACACACCTAGGCTATATGGTATAGTCTATTGCTCCCAGGCTACAAACCTCTACAGCATGTTATTATGCTGAATACTGTAGCCAATTATAACACAATGGTAAGTATTTGCATATCTAAACACAGAAAAGGTACAGTATTATAATCTTATGAGATCACCAGGACATATATATGTCCTATTATTGACCAAAATGCCATTATGTAGCATGTAACTTTAGTTCCAAGCTCAGAAATGAGGCACAGTGATACTAGGCATGAGTTAAACTGGGCACAGGACACGGGAAGCCTAGAATGAATAGGAGTCCAGGAAAACATGCTAAGCAGTCAAGTGGAAAAGTCAATTCCCTCTTTGGTTCAAAGGTCAAGAATGAGTTTAGGAATTGAAGCCATCACTGAGTCAGGGATAAAATAAATTTAGGGATGCAGCAAGAAACAAGAAACAAAATCATAACTGAGGTGTAAAGTAGATTTTAAAGACAATATTCGTATGGACTGGCATGGTGCATGAGAGCCTGCTGCCAGGGCAAAGGGCTTGGGCAGCAGACAGACTCAGGTTTGAATATCAGCTTTGCTATTTTCAAACTTAGGCAGCATTTGCCCAATGTCAGGCTATATATATATATATTTGTATATATATTCACACAGAATCCTCTAAGTAACCCTATGAAATAATCACGATGATCTACTTCTACAGTAGGAGTAAAAAAACTGAGGCAGGCAGAAATTAAAGAAATTGCTCACATTCCCTATATTGGTTACCTGATGTTGCATAAAGAATCATCCCAAAATTTAGAAGTTTAAAACAATAAATATTTATTATCTCACATTTTCTGTGAGGTAGGAATCAAAACATGGCTTACCTGGATCTTCTGCTTCAACGTTTCTCATAAGGTTGCGTCTTTGTCTATTTTGTGTTGCTGTAACAGAATATCTGAGGCTTGGTCATTAATAAAGAAAAGAGGTTTATTTAGCTTATGTTTCTATAGGCAGAAAGTTCAAGGACATAGCCCTGGCTTCTGGTGAGGGCTTTCATGCTGTCTCATAACATGGCAAAGAAGGTCAGTGAGGAAGCAGATATGTGCAAAGAGACAAAACCCAAAGAGTGTCTTGACTTTATAACAACTAACTCTCAAGAGAGTGTGAACTTGCTATCGTGAGAAGGGCAGCAAGCTATTCATGAAGCATCTGTCCCCATGACCCAAATACCTCCCCGCTAGACCACCTCCCAACACTGCCACATATGGGAACAAATTTCAACATGAGTTTTCATGAGCGCAAATTCAAACCTTAGAAAGGTGTAATTAAGGCGTCCTCTGAAACAGGTTACATTTGAAGGCTTTACTGGGAAAGAATCTGTTTTCAGGTTAACTCACATAGCTGCTGGAAGAATTCAATTCCTCATGGGCATTGGACTGAAGGCCCTCATTCTTCACTGGCTGTTGGTGTGAGGTACCCTCAGTTTTTTGCCACAAAGACTTCTCTCACATGACAACTTGTTTAATCAAAGCCAGCAGCAGAGAGAGTCCACTAGTAAGAAACCACAATCTTTTGTAACTTACTCAACAAAATGACAGCCCCACTATGTTGCCATATTCTGTTGGTTACAGGTAGGTTATTCAAGAGGAAAAGATTAGAAGAAGTCCATGAATAACAGGAAATGGGGATCAACTGGGGCCATCTTAGATGCTGTCTATTTTCCCCCACTAGCAAGCAGCAAAGCTATGACTTGAACACAGGTATTCTGTTTCCAGAGTCCATGCTCTTAACCATTAAACTCTACAGCTACTGTGCCATGGGACCATGTGACCTGGGACTAAATAATTTACTTTGAGTCTCTGTTGTGTTTTTCTGTAGAAGATTCATTGATAATATCTGCATTTCAAGATTGTTGCTGGGATCAAATATAATGCATTCAAAATACCTAATACATTCACAGCTCCTAATGTATTGAAATGCACTCAAATGAACTGAAGTGTTGGTTAATATGGATATTGCTGTTTAATCAGAGTATCCCAGCATACCTGGGAGGATGAAGAGGGACTAGAAAACTCCTATTTTACAACATAGGAGCTATACTGACCTGTGCTGAGTCATCTCTGGCACTTTGGATTTTCCTTTTGCTTAGAAACTCCACTTAATTCCCAGTGTTTTCACTCTTCCCAGAAAGTGGGGCTGAATCTCTCTTTATAATAGGATTTCCTCTGTGACTAAAATGGATCAAAGCCTGCATGCATGGCCTATCGATGGAACATGGTTAGGAAATCAAGACAGACTCGGAATATTTCAGAACACTCTTTTAAATTCACCCTGTCACCCTTCATTTTTCCTACCTTTATTCCTTCCCTCCTATTGCCTCACAAAGTTGGGGGAAAATAATGTACAACCCTGCCTACCTTCTGACCAACTTAAAAGCTGTTTCTCTACAGCATGCTGAGGTACATGTCCTGTTCTGCAAAAACGTACTGAATAAAGTTGCTTCATCTTGTGGAAGCTTCCACTGCTCACCATTCTGCTGTAGAGACTGTCTTACTGTTCCTCTAGAAGAAAACAATGTAATGCACTAGTTTGTGTTGAATATTTCTCTGTCACCCCATCTCTCCTCACACTTTTGTTAAAGAGTAAAAAGAAGACAATCTCCAGGTGGCAGGGAACAACGTCCTATGAAGACCTTGCAAATCTAGAACTAGTTGATCTTACCTTTACTGCTTTCACTCTTTATAGACCCCATAGAACTCCCTCCATGATGATTCCTGAGAAGCCCATATTCTCTGCATTGTTCCCTGTACCCACCCTTCACAAACACATGAGAATACAGGTGACCAAACCTGAGAAATACAATTTTTGGTCACTGCATTGGAATCAGAGTTAAAATGAAAACGTATGACTTTACAGATCCATAGAGTATGTTTTAGCTGAATTTCTATTTTATGGATAAGAGCAACAAGAGACCTGCGTTCTAGTCCTGGTTGTTAAGCCATCAGTAGTTCATTACACAGCTTTAAGTAAAACCTTTTCCCTTACCAGAAATTAATACCCTCATCTATCAAATGGAAAGCTTTAATCGGACCCTATAAGCATCCTGGAGTTGGATTCTGAGACCATTTCTTTCTTTGCATTTGTCCTTGAGTTTCTGTGTAAAATGTAACTTGAGGAAAACTCCTTGAATCTGTACTCTAATCTATCCTAAATATGGCAAAGCAAAGCCATTTCCTGTTAAGTTTCCTTGGAAGCATAAAAAACAGAGATTGTGACTTCTCAGCTAAGTACATTTTTTCCTCCAGACCTACTTGAGGGAGGATGCGATGGGAACACTGTGTCAGACAAAATCAAAACGTACCACACAAGTGGAGCCCTCAGCTAATCCAAACAAAATGACGGGGGTGGATGGTCAAAGTCTGAACAATTTTAATGCAGGCATGAAGATAGGCCACACAGTTAGATCAGAATTTAAATAACCTCACTTCACATGTTGCATTTTAGAGCTCCCTTCTTGAGCCCTCAAAAAACTTCCAAATGTTTCATTTTGGGAAGCAGATGCCCCTGGAAATGAAGACCATTCCTCCATTGTCTTCTCCTTTCTCCCTTCCCCAGGGTTAACTGCTTGCTGTCCAGGACTGAGAATCCTGGCAGATGATACTTTCTCTGTAAAGACAGAAAGAGGGGCTCAATGTTTTGGCATGGCTTTCTTAGGAAGAGTGACATGGGTTTGATAAGTAACATGCTCATGGGAGAGGCTGAGGCAGAGGGTCCCAAGTATAGACCAGGCCATGCAGATGTTTGTCAGCAACCACCCATGGCACCACCCAATCAGCCAGACACATTAAGCCCTTCCTTGACCCCAGACACCATCCTACACACCAGGGATAAAAATGGTGAGAAAAACTGTAGTTTCACCTGGCAAAGTGGTGCCAATTCACTTATTCAAAGTAAGAGGCGAGACCAGAAGTGGACAAGGAGTTACAAAATTAGAAGTGAGCAGCTTGTTGTGAGATGGAATGCCATATAGCAGAGCAAGCTGTTCAGAACCAAGACAGAGAATAATGTGCGGATGTTGGAGGCTCACTTCTTGCAGAATGGACTGAGTGATAAAAACAAGATTGCTTTATTTTAAAGGACTCTGTTGGATAGAATAACGGACAGCTGACAAAGACTTGCTTTGTCTTTTGTTCTGCCAAACAGTATTCTTGAATATTTTTCAATATTCTTGAATCTTAAAATTGTGTATTTTTAGATTGCTTCTTTTGATATCTTTATATTGATCCCCCTTCTTTCCTCTCTTTACTCTTTGGTACTCATCTTCATATATACAGTTCAAATCAATGCCAGAATATTTGTTTAGTACCTAAAATCTGCTCCAGGTGTCTTTGTGATGACATTTTCATGGGTAGTTTAACATCAGGTACCATTTTTATAAAGGGTTTTGGTAAAAAAAAAAAAAAAAAAAATACAACCAAAGGAAAGGAAATAAGACAAAAGATGACTTGAAAATGGTCATCACCTCAAAAACTTTGAAAAAGTGTCAAAGATGGTGCATGAGGAAAAGAAAATTTTAGAGATTTGGAGGCGATACTGAAGCACGGCAGCTTCTTTTGAATAAAAAATGGGATGGAAAATGAGTTAGGGGTTAGTCATATGAAGATGATGAGTGAGGAATCGGAAGGAGGAAACTATGGACTCAACCTGACATAAAAGGTACATACAAAAACAGATGCATGGGTGGAGGGGGTGGGGGTGGAGCCAAGATGGTCGAATAAGAACAGCTCCAGTCTGCAACTCCCAGCGTGAGCGACACAGAAGATGGGTGATTTCTGCATTTCCAACTGAGGTACAGGGTTCACCTCACAGGGGAGTGCCGGACAGTGGGTGCAGGACAGTGGATGCAGCGCACCGTGTGTGAGACAAAGCAGGGTGAGGCATCGCATCACCTGGGAAGCGCAAGGGGTCAGGGAATTCCCTTTCCTAGTCAAAGAAAGGGGTGACAGACGGCACCTGGAAAATCGGGTCACTCCCACCCTAATACTGTGCTTTTCCAACAGGCTTCACAAACGGCACACCAGGGGATTATATCCCACACATGGCTCAGAGGGTCCTATGCCCACAGAGCCTCGCTTATTGCTAGCACAGCAGTCTGAGATCAAACTGCAAGGCGGCAGCGAGGCTGGGGGAGGGGTGCCCGCCATTGCTCAGGCTTGAGTAGGTAAACAAAGCCAAAGGGAAACTCGAATGGGGTGGAGCCCAACGTAGCTCAAGGAGGCCTGTCTGCCTCTGTAGACTCCACCTCTGGGGGCAGGGCACAGACAAACAAAAGACAGCAATAACCTCTGTAGACTTAAATGTCCCTGTCTGACAGCTTTGAAGAGAGTAGTGGTTCTCCCAGCACGCAGCTTGAGATCTGAGAATGGGCAGACTGCCTCCTCAAGTGGGTCCCTGACCCCCGAGTAGCCTAACTGGGAGGCACCCCCAAGTAGGGGCAGACTGACACCTCACACGGCCAGGTACTCTTCTGAGACAAAATTTTCACAGGGACGATCAGGCAGCAGCATTTGTGGTTCACCAATATCTGCTGTGCTGCAGCCTCAGCTGCTGATACCCAGGCAAACAGGGTCTGGAGTGGACCTCCAGTAAACTCCAACAGACCTGCAGCTGAGGGTCCTGACTGTTAGAAGGAAAACTAACAGAAAGGACATACACACCAAAAACCCATCTGTACGTCACCATCATCAAAGACCAAAGGTAGATAAAACCACAAAGATAGGGAAAAAAGAGAGCAGAAAAACCGGAAATTCTAAAAATCAGAGCGCCTCTCCTCCTCCAAAGGAATGCAGCTCTTCAGCAACGGAACAAAGCTGGATGGAGAATGACTTTGACAAGTTGAGAGAGGAAGGCTTCAGAAGATCAAACTACTCCGAGCTAAAGGAGGAAGTTCAAACCAATGGCAAAGAAGTTAAAAATTTTGAAAAAAAATTAGACGAATGGATAACTAGAATAATCAAGGCAGAGAAGTCCTTAAAGGACCTGATGGAGCTGAAAACCACTGCATGAGAACTACGTGACAAATGCACAAGCCTCAGTAACTGATGCGATCAACTGGAAGAAAGGGTATCAGTGATGGAAGACAAAATGAATGAAATGAAGCGAGAAGAGAAGTTTAGAGAAAAAAGAATAAAAAGAAACGAACAAAGCCTCCAAGAAATATGGGACTATGTGAAAAGACCAAATCTATGTCTGATTGGTGTACCTGAAAGTGACGGGGAGAATGGAACCAAGTTGGAAAACACTCTGCAGGATATTATCCAGGAGAACTTCCCCAATCTAGCAAGGCAGGCCGACATTCAAATTCAGGAAATACAGAGAACACCACAAAGATACTCCTCGAGAAGAGCAACTCCAAGACACATAATTGTCAGAGTCACCAAAGTTGAAATGAAGGAAGAAATGTTAAGGGCAGCCAGAGAGAAAGGTCGGGTTACCCTCAAAAGGAAGCTCAACAGAATAATAGCAGATCTCTCGGCAGAAACGCTACAAGCCAGAAGAGAGTGGGGGCCAATATTCAACATTCTTAAAGAAAAGAATTTTCAACCCAGAATTTCATATCCAGCCTAACTAAACTTCATAAGTGAAGGAGAAATAAAATCCTTTATGGGCAAGCAAATGCTGAGAGATTTTGTCACCACCAGGCCTGCCCTAAAAGAGCTCCTGAAGGAAGCGCTAAACATGGAAAGGAACAACCGATACCACCTGCTGCAAAATCATGCCAAATTGTAAAGACCATCAAGGCTAAGAAGAAACTGCATCAACTAATGAGCAAAATAACCAGCTAACATCATAATGACAAGATCAAATTCACACATAACAATACTAACCTTAAATATAAATGGGCTAAATGCTCCAATCAAAAGGCACAGACTGGCAAATTGGATAAAGACTCAAGACCCATCGGTGTGCTGTATTCAGGAAACCCATCTCATGTGCAGAGACACACCTAGGCTCAAAATAAAGGGATGGAGGAAGATCTACCAAGCAAATGGAAAACAAAAAAAAGGCAGGGGTTGCAATCCTAGTCTCGGATAAAATAGACTTTAAACCAACAAAGATCAAAAGAGACAAAGAAGGCCATTACATAATGGTAAAGGGATCAATTCAACAAGAAGAACTAACTATCCTAAATATATATGCACCCAATACAGGAGCACCCAGATTCATAAAGCAATTCCTGAGTGACCTACAAAGAGACTTAGACTCCCACACAATAATAATGGGAGACTTTAACACCCCACTGTCAACATTACATAGATCAACGAGACAGAAAGTTAACAAGGATATCCAGGAACTGAACTCAGCTCTGCACCAAGTGGACCTAATAGACATCTACAGAACTCTCTACCCCAAATCAACAGAATATACATTCTTTTCAGCGCCACACCACACCTATTCCAAAATTGACCACATACTTGGAAGTAAAGCTCTCCTCAGCAAATGTAAAAGAACAGAGATTATAACAAACTATCTCTCAGACCACAGTGCAATCAAACTAGAATTCAGGATTAAGAAACTCACTCAAAACCGCTCAACTACATGGAAACTGAACAATCTGCTCCTGAATGACTACTGGGTACATAATGAAATGAAGGCAGAAATAAAGTTGTTCTTTGAAACCAACGAGAACAAAGACACAACATACCAGAATCTCTGGGACGCATTCAAAGCAGTGTGTAGAGGGAAATTTATAGCACTAAATGCCACAAGAGAAAGCAGGACAGATCTAAAATTGACACCCTAACATCACAATTAAAAGAACTAGAGAAGCAAGAACAAACACATTCAAAAGCTAGCAGAAGGCAAGAAATAACTAAAATCAGAGCGGAACTAAAGGAAATAGAGACACAAAAAACCCTTCAAAAAAATCAATGAATCCAGGAGCTGTTTTTTTGAAAAGATCAACAAAATTGATAGACCGCTAGCAAGACTAATAAAGAAGAAAAGAGAAAAGAATCAAATAGACGTGATAAAAAATGACAAAGGGGATATCACTACTGATCCCACAGAAATACAAACTACCATCAGAGAATACTATAAACACCTCTATGCAAATAAACTAGAAAGTCTAGAAGAAATGGATAAATTCCTCAACACATACACCTTTCCAAGACTAAACCACGTAGAAGTTGAATCTCTGAATAGACCAATAACAGGCTCTGAAATTGAGGCAATAATTAATAGCTTACCAACAAAAAAAAGTCCAGGACCAGATGGATTCACAGCCGAATTCTACCAGAGGTACAAGGAGGAGCAGGTACCATTCATTCTGAAACTATTCCAATCAATAGAAAAAGAGGGAATCCTCCCTAACTCATTTTATGAGGCCAGCATCATCCTGATACCAAAGCCGGGCAGAGACACAACCAAAAAAGAGAATTTTAGACCAATATCTTTGATGAATATTGACGCAAAAATCCTCAATAAAATACTGGCAAACCGAATCCAGGAACACATCAAAAAGCTTATCCACCATGATCAAGTGGGCTTCATCCCTGGGATGCAAAGCTGGTTCAACATACAAAAATCAATAAATGTAATCCAGCATATAAACAGAACCAAAGACAAAAACCGCATGATTATCTCAATAGATGCAGAAAAGGCCTTTGACAAAATTCAACAACCCTTCATGCTAAAAACTCTCAATAAATTAGGTATTGATGGGACGTATCTCAAAATAGTAAGAGCTATCTATGACAAACCCACAGCCAATATCATACTGAATGGGCAAAAACTGGAAGCATTCCCTTTGAAAACTGGCACAAGACAGGGATGCCCTCTCTCACCACTCCTATTCAACATAGTGTTGGAAGTTCTGGCCAGGGCAATTAGGCAGGAGAAGGAAATAAAGGGTATTCAATTAGGAAAAGAGGAAGTCAAATTGTCCCTGTTTGCAGATGACATGACTCTGTATCTAGAAAACCCCATTGTCTCAGCCCAAAATCTCCTTAAGCTGATAAGCAACTTCAGCAACATCTCAGGATACAAAATTAATGTACAAAAATCACAAGCATTCTTATACACCAACAACAGACAAACAGAGAGACAAATCATGAGTGAATTCCCATTCACAATTGCTTCAAAGGGAATAAAATACCTAGGAATCCAACTTACAAGGTATGTGAAGGACCTCTTCAAGAAGAACTACAAACCACTGCTCAATGAAATAAAAGAGGATACAAACAAATGGAGTAACATTCCATGCTCATGGGTAGGAAGAATCAATATTGTGAAAATGGCCATACTGCCCAAGGTAATTTACAGATTCAATGCCATCCCCATCAAGCTACCAATGACTTTCTTCACAGAATTGGAAAAAACTACTTTAAAGTTCATATGGAACCAAAAAAGAGCCCGCATCACCAAGTCAATCCTAAGCCAAAAGAACAAAGCTGGAGGCATCACACTACCTGACTTCAAACTATACTACAAGGCTACAGTAACCAAAACAGCATGGTACTGGTACCAAAACAGAGATATAGATCAATGGAACAGAACAGAGACCTCAGAAATAATGCCACGTATCTACAACTATCTGATCTTTGACAAACCTGAGAAAAACAAGCCATGGGGAAAGGATTCCCTATTTAATAAATGGTGCTGGGAAAACTGGCTAGCCATATGTAGAAAGCTGAAACTGGATCCCTTTCTTACACGTTATACAAAAATTAATTCAAGATGGATTAAACACTTACATGTTAGACCTAAAACCATAAAAACCCTAGAAGAAAACCTAGGCATTACCATTCAGGGCATAGGCATGGGCAAGGACTTCATGTCTAAAACACCAAAAGCAATGGAAACAAAAGCCAAAATTGACAAATGGGATCTAATTAAACTAAAGAGCTTCTGCACAGCAAAAGAAACTACCATCAGAGTGAACAGGCAACCTACAAAATGGGAGAAAATTTTTGCAAGCTACTCATCTGACAAAGGGCTAATATCCAGAATCTACAATGAACTGAGACAAATTTACAAGAAAAAATCAAACAACCCCATCAAAAAGTGGGTGAAGGATATGAACAGACACTTCTCAAAAGAAGACATTTATGCAGCTAAAAAACACATGAAAAAATGCTCATCATCACTGGCCATCAGAGAAATGCAAATCAAAACCACAATGAGATACCATCTCACACCAGTTAGAATGGCGATCATTAAAAAGTCAGGAAACGACAGGTGCTGTAGAGGATGTGGAGAAATAGGAACACTTTTACACTGTTGGTGGGACTGTAAACTAGTTCAACCATTGTGGAAGTCGGTGTGGCGATTCCTCAGGGATCTAGAACTAGAAATACCATTTGACCCAGCCATTCCATTACTGGGTATATACCCAAAGGATTATAAATCATGCTGCTATAGAGACACATGCACACGTATGTTTATTGCGGCACTATTCACAATAGCAAAGACTTGGAACCAACCCAAATGTCCAACAATGATAGACTGGTTTAAGAAAATATGGCACATATACACCATGGAATACTATGCAGCCATAAAAAATGATGAGTTCTTGTCCTTTGTAGGGACATGGATGAAGTTGAAAACCATCATTCTCAGCAAACTATCGCAAGGACAAAAAACCAAACACCGCATGTTCTCACTCATAGGTGGGATTTGAACAATGAGAACACATGGACACAGGAATGGGAACATCACACACGGGGGACTGTTGTGGGGTGGGAGGAGGGGGGAGGGACAGCATTAGGAGATATACCTAATGTAAATGACGAGTTAATGGGTGCAGCACACCAACATGGCACATGTATACATATGTAACAAACATGTACGTTGTGCACATGTACCCAAAAACTTAACGTATAATAATAAAAATAAAAATAAATAATAATAATAATAAATAAATAAAAATAAAAAAACAGATGCGCAATGCTGTCATAAGTTGACTTGGGAAGTAGGATGCTTCCACATAAACACAGCTTGAGAAATAATGTGACATGTGACCCCTGTGCTGCACATTGGATTGGCCACCCACATCTGCCTTTAGGGAAGTACCTGTAGCCCCAGCAATAAGCCCTTTTATGAACTGCCTCAGTTCATGATTATATTCACCTCACTCAAGGTCGTACTCCTTCTTAGGATAGCCTAGATTTAATGACTGAACAATGTGGGACTATAAAGGCCTCACTCAACCTTAAAGAACTCTGGATGTCTATTCTAGTGCCTTCATATTTTATCTGGTCAGCTTAGGCTTTTGAGACTCTATTGCAGCTTGACTTTTTCCTCTGCCATTCTATATTTTTTTCTTTCTCATCAACAAGTATTGATTCCAAGGACATGACTTAAAATACTCTGTATGCCTACTCTAACTCTGACAACCTACTTCCCAGGAAATCCAATTTGCGGCATCATCAAATGCACTGGATTGAATGTTCATTTTCCCCAAAAACTCTCATTTTAAAATCCTAATCCCTAAGGTGATGGTAAGAGGAGGTGGGACCTTTGGCAGGTGATTAGGTTATAAGAGAATGAGATTACCAACCTTATGAAAGAGACCACGGAGTAATCTCTTACCTTCCACCATATGAGGTAACAGTGAGAAGAAGGTAGCCGTCTATGAGAAAGCCGGACATCATCAGACACCAAATGTGTCAGTGCTTTGAAGTTGGACTTCCCAGGTTCCAGACACAGGTTCCAGAAATGTGAGAAAAAAAAGCTCTGCTGTAAATAAGCCACCAAGTCTATGGTATTTTGTTATACAGCCTGAACAAACCAACACATCCACTATATCAAAAATAAAAGACATTTTCTTTGTCGGTTACTGCTATTATTTGAACATGATTGAGAAATCAAGGACTATTTTTTTCTGACATTCTTTAAAGGCTATGTCCCGTCCTCCTTCCCTTTATTCTCTCTTTTCTTCTCCCTTTCCCGTTGTCTCTCCTAACACTCCCCTTTTCCCACTTGGTTCAAGATTACTGAAACAAGATTGAACAGGAGCCACCTTTATCCCAGGACTACTAGAACAAAACATATTATAGCAAAAGCAACTTTCAGGACCTTGGGCAGCAGCACACATAAGACCCCTCCCCCAGCCACAACATTTTATTCTCTCAATAGCTGTGCCAAGCAGGATCTAGAATATTCTTTGTCAGTGAAGTAGAAGCTGTTGAAGTAACTTCTGCAATAGGACAGGTAGATTAGAACTCTGAGTTGGTATCCAACTTTAACAGTTTTTTATTATTTTGTGCTTGTATTTTTCTTGCATCCTCTAGCCCTGACAATGTCACTACTTTTCCTTAGCAGCATATTTTAAGCTTGCTCAGGTATTATATTTATGTATTGATAAAATTGGTCATGTGAATGTCTCTGTTGAACAAGCTGTATTGAATCACTGCAAACCATTCATGATCCTCTATGTACTTTGCTCCCTGGCTTATCTAACAAGAAAATACAGCTAAAAGGTAAACAGATACCTTTATATATTCTATATAAAGCAGTTACATTTCTCACCCTGACTAATTTTAAAATGTAATATTTGCCATATTCAAAAATTACCTATGGAATATATTTGGAACTTTCTTTTCCTAGTGCACCTTTCAAACAAACATTGGCTTTTTAATTTAAAATTTCAATCTAGGAACTGTTTATAAAACTTCTCCCATAGTTTTTGCTTAAATTTAAGTGAAATGCACCCCAGAGAAAGAGAGAAAGCACCCTTAAAATTACTAGTGTATAAGCTCAATGAGGGCAGAGGTCTTATTCTTCTTGTTCACCACTGTATCCCTAGAACTTCCAGGAAATTGAATGTTTAGAAAAACAAAACAAAACAAAAAACCCTTAAGTCAAGTAGAAAAGAGGCTCTAATTGTAGGAAATAAAGCAAGAAAACTCCTTCCAAGAGAAGTTCCTTCCCACTCAGAGGGAGGAAATTGAATTTCTCTGCCAATGATGTTAACACAGAGTTTTCATAGAGTGCAAACTCAGAGTAAAGAACAAAATAACTCTGTCCTCCACAAGTAGCATTTGTGCTTCCCCTGACAAAGTGCTGCCTCAGACTTCAGAGAAGATATTACTTCTGCCCAGGGGATTGGAAACTGTCCTGGAGGGCAATGAAAGTTAACTTGAGGCACTGTTCTTATTGATTCTCTTTCCAAATGCATTAAGAAATGTTTGGAATGACTTGCCTTGAGTAAAGGCACAAAAAAAGAATGTCTTTTGGGAGTTTCCCCCTGCCCCTATGCCTTGGGTTATAAAGACAATAAATATAGTAAAGTCAAGTTA
The DNA here is from genome assembly GCF_000001405.40 of Homo sapiens. Classification (NCBI taxonomy): domain Eukaryota; kingdom Metazoa; phylum Chordata; class Mammalia; order Primates; family Hominidae; genus Homo; species Homo sapiens. Next base: position 128,809,783 of record NC_000008.11, read on the forward strand.
AATAGACTCTGCTTCAATACAAATAATAATAATAATCATAATAATCATGGCAAAACAATGGCAAGAGGAAAATAAGAATTATAATAACGGCTTTCCTATTTCTTTCTTTTGGAATGGGAATGTCTATCCTACGCCTGTCTCACCATTGTATTGTGGAAGTAGATAACCTTTCTGATTTCACAGGTTCAGAGGTGCAGGGAAATTTCCCTCAGGTTGAATCATACCTTGAGTCTCATACGTCTGATTCAGATGAGACTCCGGACTTTAGACTTTCGAGTTGGTGCTGAAATGAGTTAAGACTTTTGGGGCTATTGGAATGTGATGAATATATTTTGCATGTGAAAAGGACATACATTTTGAGGTTCAGGGGTGAAATGCTAAGGTCTGAATGTGCCTCCCAAAATTATATGTTGTTATTTAATCACCAATATGATAGTATTCAGAGATAGCACCTTTAGGGGATGGTTAAGTCATGAGGTCATGACTAATCCCTCAGGAATAGGATTAGTAACTTTATAAAGGAGGTTGAAGGAAGCACCCAGTTCCTTTTTATGACCTTCTGTCCCTTCCTCCATGTAAGGACATAGTGGTTGTTCCCTCCAGAGGGCACAGCAACAAGGTTTCCAAACATCTTTGGAAACAAAGACAAGGCCTTCACCAGACACCAAACCTGCTGTCACCTTCATCTTGGACTTCCAGCTTCCAGAACCATTAGAAATAAATGTCTGTTCTTTGTACATTACCCAGGCTCAGGTATTTTAATATAGCAGCAGGAACAGACAAAGATAGCATGAGTTACCAATACTGAAACTTTACATATACTCTAAGACAAAGTGAATAAGTAAACACATTATAAATAATTAAAGCCAGGTTTCTCACTGTCAGAAAGAATTGACAATGTAGAAAGGAGGAAGGCAAGAATAAACTCTGTGGTATGAAACTCAAATCTAAGGTATTAGTGTGACTTCATAGTTTTTAATACAGATAGATGATTGATAGATAGACAGATGATAGATAGAAACAGAAAGAGATATAAACATTTGAGCAAATGAGATGCATATATATTTTTTTTCTAACTATGATCTCTGAAAGAATCTATATGCAATGACATTCCAATAGCAATTAGCACACTTAGCACTCAGATCTTGGTTTCTAAATTTTCTGGGGGGAAACCAGTACTCTACCAGCATGTCACTGTCACGTGGTGGCAGAGTATAAATGTGCTTTAAAAATTATAGTGTTACATCAAAGGAATCCACAAATCAATGTGAAGAAATTCCTAAAAGCCTAATCAAGGCCAATCTATACTATAAATACAAAAGTTTATAACTGGTTTAAACCAGTTTAATGCTTTATAACTCTAATAGATGAAAATAAACATCTGAGAATTCATACTGACATAAATTTAATAATATGAATAAAGAAATAAATAGGGGAGAAGGAAAAACTCTTCCTTACAGTAGAATTCTAATTAATAAATGTAGAAGGGATAATATAAATAGAAAATCAACATTTGGGGACACCACAGTAATAATTGTTGCAAGGAAGAACCATTAACAGATAATAAAATTAATGGATAAAAGTATGATGAGAATCGGATTATTTTCACAATCTCAAAATATCTACCCACAAAGTAATTATTAAATACAAAGGGTAAATTGTAACTTTACAGGAGAGGAACCTGTCAGACACATTCTTACACAAATGTTCTCATAAAATTGTTAGTAATAGAACATCAGCATTTTGTACCTCCTGATAAGATACACCGAGAAGGTCACAATATTGCTTTGGTGATGACTTTTTTTTTAACCAAAAATGCACACCTGAATTTAATAATGGGGAATACTATATAAATCTAAATTGAAAGGATATTTTACAAAATAACAGGCCCATACTCTAAAAATATCAAGTCATGAGTAACAAAGAGAGAGCGAGGAAGTCACACATTGAAGGAGTCTGAGAAGACATGAAATCCAAGTACAATGCAAAATCTAGACTGGATCCTGGACTAGAAAAGGGACAATTGGTGAAATTTACATAAGGTCTGTAGGTTAGAAGAAACTACTGTATCTGTATTAACTTCCTGGTTTTGACCATTTTTTAAATATGTATACAGAAGATTAACATTGAAGGAATCTGAATGAAGAATAGATGGGAAATACACAAAATTTTTATAAGTCTAAAATTATTTTAAAATTGAAAGTTAGACTTTTTTTTTTCTTTGAGACAGGGTCTCACTCTGTCACCCAGACTGGAGTGCAGTGGTGTAATATCAGCTCACTGCAACCTCCGCCTCTGAGGTTCAAGCGATTCTCCTGCCTCAGCCTCCTGAGTAGCTGGGATTACAGGTGTGTGCCACCACACCCACCTAATTCTTGTATTTTTAGTAGAGATGGGGTTTCGCCATGTTGGCCAGGCTGGTCTCAAACTCCTGACCTCAAATGATTCACTAACCTAGGCCTCTGAAAGTGCTGGGATTACAGGCTTGAGCCACCTTGCCTGGCCGTATTTGTTAATTAAATGAATATTTTTAAAAGTTATTAATAACCCTCTCCCAGATATCTTGCTTTAGAATCCCTTCGAGATAAATAACTACTACTTGGTATAAAGTATAAAATTTGGTATAAAGTATACAATTAGGTAGCTTCTAATAGGTATATATATTTTTTTACATCTTTTTTTTGTTGTTGTGTCTAAAGTCTAAGAACACAGGCGTATGTTGGTTTTATTTATTGCTAAGTCCTCAATACCTAAAAGATTCATCACTGGAACCATCTTAATACACATTCATTAAGCAAGTTAGCAGTAGATGTAAGTTTATCTGTTAGTCTTGTCTTTTGCTAACTGTGATTTTTAAAAAATTTGCTTAACTTTGCAGAGTCTTGGTTTCCTCATCAGCAAAATGGGCATATCCTTGCCTACCTCTTGGAGGTATGGTGGGGATTAAATGAGGTGGCATGTAGAAAGCATGTAGCAGAGTCCCTGGTACACAGTAAGCACTGAATTAGTGCTGATTCTCCTTTAACTCTCCATCAAAACCATTCTAGCTATTTTAAAGGGCTCGTATCTCTTGTTAATTTATCCAGATTGAGGAGCACTCCTGAATTGGAGTCTGCCAAGTTATTTTTAAAATAGTAACTTACTTGCTTCAGGTAAAGTTCTCATGACATGAAATTTATTTTAATTTTCTTTCCCTGAAGTTAAAATGCTTCAGTAACCCTTAACATGTGAATATTTGGGAATCTAACATTTACCAACAAGGTATGGCATCTTTAAATCATGAAATATGCAGACACCTTTCATCGCTGATTTTGCAAGTACTGTTTACTTTACAGACTTCATTGGTCCCCACAAAGTGTATGAAGAACATGGTGCTCCTTCACATATACATGAAGTCAGAGTTCTATGATTCTGTAGGTTCTGGCTTACAAAATACTTTCCATCCAGGACCATTTGAAGAATTGGGAGATGGAACAGAGAACCATCATTTATCAGGAACTTCCTCTGGAATGAGCCTGCTAATTTACACTTAATCTTTCAATTAATCCTATGAAATTTAAATGATGCCCATTTTATAAAATTCAGGAAACTAAATGTTAAGCAGGTTAAGTGACCTAGCAGCATTCTAAAACACTAGAAGATAAAATTGAAGAATTCATAATTAAAACATAAAAATATAAAGTAAAAGCACTTGAATAGAAAAAAATTAGTTATTAATCATAGTCTGTATTCCTCACATCAATAAAGACAGGAAATTTGTTTTTTCCCACACCTTTGCACAGACCTGTATGTCTCTTCTTTATTAACAAAAACATTTATCATGGCCCTACTGTGCCTGTGTTTGGGGGAGCACTATGCTGCTTACAAATGTCATAATGATTCCCTCCATTTGATACACTGCAGCAGAGACCCACCTAGGGCAGCTTTTGACTCAGGGCTCTACAAGTAACATAAATATTTTTAAAAGATGGTGACGATGGTGAAAAAATTTACCCCCGTCTTTCATCCTACTTTTCATTTCTCTTATTAATGAACTTCTTCTACCCCGACTCACTTCCATACTAGCCAGTAGAGATGGTTTGAGCTGAAGACCCCAGGTGAAAGATCTGTAGCCTGTAGCCTGTGGGGAGGGTGGATAGGGAGTGGCTTTTCTGTGCTGGGGCTGTTCACTCCCCCGCCCTCTGTCCTCCCTTCACACTCAGTCTCACTGATCTGAGGCTGTTTTCCCTACTGCTTGCCTTGAACATACAGCTGTTATTTATAGCCTTCTTTTATAGTTCACAAGGCCCTTTCCACATCCTAGCACATTCCATATGCACAAGCAGCCTGTGAAGTAGTTATTATGAGCTGCATTGGGTAGATGAAAACATGGAGCCCCAGAAAGCTGATAATTTTGTCCAAGATCAATGGTTCACAAATGGACAGGCGGGACTTGAACTTGAGAGTATTGCTCTTTCTAACACACCATGGCCCTCTGATTATAGCTACCTTACAATCCACCTACGGCAGGCATCACAAACTCATCTAAATGACTGGTCTGGCCCCAGAAAGCAGGTGAGTTTTCAACACAGCCCTTTGTCTCTCTCTCTTCCTCTCCCTGACAAAAGTATAAGTTTCAAGCTACAGAAAATTTGAAGCTAAGAAAGATATTTTGAAGGAGCAATTATAGCCACTATACCTCCAGTTGGCCTCTTGGTTTTGAGAGTAGTTTCAAATTGATTGTCATGGGCTTTATTCAGGTCTTATTTTTCTGTTTCTTGCAAGAGAAAAGACGAGAAAACTCGTATGCAATAGACTGAATGGTAAGTCACGCAAGGAGATAGTTACAGGCTTTGGCTCTCCAGATCTATTCTATCCTCACCAGGGAGAGGATGAAAGGAAACTGCTAGAAGTAGGAAAGGGACCAAATTGAAGAGAAACTGCTCGGCATTCAGGACCATTAAAGATACCAAGGGAAATTCTGATATCCTTGCCCTGGTAACCTTTGGGGAAAAAGAGTTTAGCTGATGAGATAATTATTCATGCTTGAGCTATTTTCCCCAGTACTAAATAATTAGTTCTAATGAGTTTTCCAAGGGAATATTTTTTTCAGCACTGAAGAAAACGAGGGATGGGTTCACAGAGAAAATCCGAGCAGAAGTTGAATAGAGGGTTATTGAAAGAACTGAAACTCAAGGAGCTTCAACTTCACATTCAGTCTGCCACTCAGAGACAGGCTGGCCTTTGGATAGGACCCCTCTGCCACCCAGCTTCATCAGGTCAAAGTGCCTCAGAGACACTGAAAGTGAAGAAAGACATACTTTATCTAACACATCCTCATTTCACCTGGCAACTTGGCCACTAATTCACTGTTTGAACAATTAGCAGGAATAGCAACTGTGATGGAACCCATGGAAAAGATATTAGTTGAAGGAACAGATTGTAATGAATAATCCAGCCTTTGTCATCGCAGCCCTAGGGAGAACTGTGCACACTGGCTCTTGCTAATCCTGGAAATAATGATTTTTTATTCAATGATCTTACTTAAGAGAAAGCAAATTTTCCACAGAGCATTTTGAGTGGGGCTGATTGGGCTCAGCATTGCCTTTTGAAGCAAAATAGCTTATGAGGTCTCTGAGTCAGATGACTGGCAGATTTTGCATAGGGCTTCTGTGTATGAAACAGAAGAGCCACTGGAAAGCCCTTTATGTGAGCCACACTGCTCAGTGGGTGAACGGCCAGGATTGTGTGTATCCCAATATTACAGCTAGCACCAGTCACTGGGAGCTGGAGAAATGAGACCAGCAGCACTTATTAGACTGTCTGACGTCTTCAATTCAGCTCTTCATTTTTTATTTCAGTCCTTAATTAGTGAAAGTGTGTCCCTGGAGAAGGTATAAATCAGCCCCACAGATGAATGCAGCACAGAGGCATGGGAACACAAAGAAAGCAGACTGTGACCGTGTTAGCATCAGAGGGAACATGGACCAGACTTACTCCCCTTGTACTTCCTTATAAGGGTATGGCTGACCTTGGTAATGACTGTGAGGTTTAGTTTAGTTCAGTTCAGCAAACATGGATTGAGCTCCATTATCTGCTGGGATCTGAGCCGGGATCTGGCAGTAATAGTATAAGAATAGATAAAGATAATAATGAGTTAGCACTTTCAACTTGCTGGACAAGACCAAGAACATTGAATGTGCTTCCTCATTTGATCCTTACAACAACCCTGGAAGAGACATCCTATTAACATCTGGGGAGACTGAAGATTACAGCCACTAAGTGCTACCCATGTTTATATATCTCATAAAAAAGAGGGACCAGGATTCTATTCCAGATCTGATTTCTTAGCATTGTATGTAGTCCTTGTGGCAGATCACTCCTTGTTCACCAAAATCCATTTTTATATCTTCCTAAGCACATAACAAAACTACATTTCCCAGCATTTTTTTTTTTTTTGCAACTACATATAGTGATATGTGCTTTCTTATGGGTGGATTATAAGTAGAAATGGGCTGTTCCACTAACCTCGAGGCTTTAAGGAAGATATATGCCTCCTCCAGGAATTTTTTCTGAGTCTATATGTTGAATACCAATGCAAAAGAGTACTAGGGGATAGTAGATGACAATATGAAAGGAACCTGGGCCCTTGAATCACTTCGTGATGGAAAAACACATATCAACCAGGAATACTCACTTTGGACTGTTATATAAACAAGAAAAAAAATGTTACTCTAATCAATACACTGCCCAATGTAAATTTAAATAAATCATAGCTTCTATCTTTTAGTCAAAGCTAGTGATCAGATGTTTTTATCTTTTGTATATTTTGACAACCAACATCTATTTTTTGGTTTTGTTCTCTTGGTTTTGTCTTGTTTTTACCTCAGAAATGGGAAATGAGATGCTTTCTCCCATCAAAGCCTTCAGTACCTGGAAGGTAAATTCAACAAATTTTATAAAAGGAATATTTGAGGAAATAGCAATACTAATATTGGATAAGACAAAATAGAAATACGGTAGAAGAGCTATTATTTTCAAATGAACGGTTACCAAATGCAAGACACTTTAGCCTTAGTCTCTGTGTTCCTAAGGAGCAAAATTGGGACCAGTGGATAGAACATTTAAGAAGTCAGGCTATAGTTTATTTTGTGAAATATATATGTTCTATTTGGCAAAGTGCACAAAGGTAAAGAGGGTACCTTCAGAAGATAGTGAGTTCCTTATCATCAACTGTCTTGAAGACATAGTAAGATTGGACACCATTTAGTACAAATACTGTGGAGCAAATGTGGGCAGTGAATGTGGACTTTCAGGGCAGCCAGGGTGTCCTTCAATCATCAGACCTTGTGATTCTAAGAACATTTGATTTTGTGAGTCTTAAAGTCATAGTCCACAATTCCATATTTCCACATCTCTAGGTATCCTTCTGATATAACTTTCGATGTGAATGCATTCCTCTGAAGACAAAGGAGAATATAATGGATAGATTCTCTTGGCTCAAGGACTGCTTTGGTTCAAATCCCAGCTCCTTTCTCTCTAGATGTGTACCTTGAACTAGTTGTTTTGTTTTTCTGTACTTCAGATTCCTCATCTGTAAATGCAGATAATAATATCTATCAGATTAGGTTTTTGTGAAGATTAAACTAGCTTTATGTTGAGCACTTTGAACCACCCATGACACATCATAAGTGCAGAATAATGTGAGCTATAATTATCATTGGTTAAGTGCCATTTATGCTAGATGTTTTCTTGTCTCAACACTGGCCAGTCCATTGTTCTATTCTCCTACTCTGCACTAGAATAATAAACACAGATGCGTCCCTGTGCCCTGGAAACATTTCCTCATTCTAATAGGTAGGTATGTAACGTCAAAGTCAATGACCCTAAGGAATGACTGTTCAAATTTCAGGTAGTCATAGCAGGCTATGAGGAACCACTGTGAATTTGAAAGAAGCATCTGAGACATTAAGATAATTAGGGATTTTAGGACTGTACATGTGTCCCTATCTCTGGTCCTCAGACTCCGCATCTATGAAATAGACCCTCTGGACTCCAGCATTTCTCAGCTTCCCTCTGACTCTCCTTAAGCCGAGGTGCAGCCCTGTTCCTGATACAGCTGACACCATTACACGGACTTTGCCAAGTGTAAGGACTGAGGAAACGCTTGGCCATGGGGGCCCATTTTGTTAAATCAGATATGTGTCCTCTTTATTTGTATTGAAATGAAAACCTAGGGAATAGCATAATTGGTCAATAAGGAGAAGCTGTCAGAATGAGAGCAGAGCTAAAGAAGTTGCATGTCTCTGAAACATCTAGTTCACATCTTCAAGAGGTGTTTACACATTTCTTGAAAGAAGTTTCCCTACCCTAAGTAGCCCATCTTCCAAGGCTTTGAAGCAATACCTGCTTTTTTTTTTTTTTTTGCTTTATTCAGGATTTATTTAATAAACACCTGAACCTATGTTATCATAAAGTTTTATTTCCTAGCAGACATTACAGTTTTATATTACATTTTCTTTTCTTTCACATTCTAGATTGCTGTTTCCCCCCTCAAATTCTCACTTCCCTCTCTTTCTCTCAGTCTTTCTTTCTCTTTCTTTCTTTCTCACTGAGTCAGAAGTCACAAGTTAGTCCTCCAGAATCCAGAAATAGACTTCAAGGCACTGTAGCTAAAATAGTCTGGAGCCACAGGATGAGTACGACAGACACTAAGAGTTAAGTTTAGGCATTAATCCCAAAGGTTCAGAGGAAGAGAATAAAATAAAATTTAAAAAAAAAACTGACAATGAGAGGCGAGGAATATTAGGGACAGAAGTAAATAGAGGCCCTAGTAATTACTCTAACAGACACAGAGTTTCTGATATTCATTTTATTGGCCTCTAGATGCTTGAGTTTTGAGTGGGTCAGCACTGGTGATAATTCAAATGTTATGGATGATGTGCTATTTATTCATTCATTCAACACATATTCAGCCAGCACCTATTAGGTCCTAAGGATATGATGGTGAGCAGAGGTATTATATCCCTGTCTCAATAGAGCTGATATTCTGGGAAGGGGATGGCAACCAATGGGGGACAATGAAATAAAGTATTTATATGGAGATCAGGTCTCTGAAGGCAATAGAGGTTAAGATGACACAGACTGACTGGATTTAGGTTGGGGGTGTTCTAGATGGGTGGATCAGATGTGGAGACTTTTAAGCTGAGACCTCAAAGATGAGAGGAAACCAAAGCAGAGGTAAAAGCACTCTAGGGAGAGAAGGGCAAGTACGGGTCTTTGAGGCAGAAATAAATACACGTGTCACTCAAGAAGAGCCAGAAATGTGAGTGGATTGGAATGTGGTGAGGGATGAGGAGCTGGCACCAGTAAGAAACAGAGGGGATAGAGCAGTGCAATGTACACAAGGCTTGGCCAACTCTGGGAAAACTTGTACTGAAGCATTCTATCTCATTTCTTTCTCTTTATATTATTTAGTTTTGCTCAAAGTGAAACTTTTGTATTTGACTTTTATTTACCTTTTATTTTCTTTCTCTCTCTCACTGCCTTTCTTTATATCTCCTTTCTTGGCAGAGGTTTGCACTAATTTCTTTCCCCCTCTATTCTACAAAATGAATAACTGTAAGTTATTCATCAGTTACAATGAGGACAATATCTGGAAGGCATTCCTCCACTTCCCCAGTGTTTGTGGATCTGACCTGTAACAGAAGCCCTGTTGCCCCTGCCTCCGACAGGGAATTCCTCTTTTCCACTAAGCCTGAAGTCTTACCTCTCCTCTAAGTCTCAGCTGAGTGATTGACTTCCCTTTACTGGGTATTGAAGTTAGTCATTCGTGACCTTTCCCATTGGGGTTCTGATTTCGCAAACATGCATTGGGCTCTTTAATGCATATTATCTCATCTATTGCTCACAATAGCCCTTTAAGGTCGGTATTATTTCCAGTTTTACAGAAGAGTAAATGCCCAGATGATTGCTCAATATTACACAGGTAGTAAGCTGCAGAAATGGGTTATAAATGCAGGTGTTGTATAATATTAGGTTGGTGCAAAAGTAATTGCTGTTTTTGTCATTACTTTTAATGGCAAAAACCACAATTACTTTTGCACAAACCTAAATACCTTTGATGTTCTCTCTAGCTCACACTTAAATCTTATATTGCATTTTAATATCTAACTTATTTATTTATTTATTTATTTTTGCCAGTCTACCCAGTTTGGCAGTCAATCTTGAGAGTGGATGCTGTGCTGTCTCTACCACTTTTCTTTCTTAGCACTGAGCCTTCCCCATGAATCCCTCTCTCCCTTTTTCTTGTATGCTTGGCTTTCCTGCAGCATTTAGTAAGGTGATGAGCTCTCTGAGATCCTTGCAACTCACCAAGAAACATTAATTTCATCTTTCTCTGTGTTCCCTACATGCCTTCTACCTCCCCTATTACATCACTATAATCATTTATTCAGCTCTCTTTCTTTTCCAATTAGTCTTTAGCCCATGTTGTTCAAGGATAGACAGTAGCTAGCCATGACTCTCAAGTAATTGTAACATGGCTGGTATGACTACACAACTGGATTTTAATTTTATTAAAATTTCTTAAGTTTTTTTGTTAAATCGTAAGTCGCATATAAATTGCAACTGTGACTTGCCTACAGATATAAGAATTTAGAAAAAAATCAACAAAACATACTGTATGAATCAATCTACTATATAACATTTACAATGAAAAGTATTATATATTTTATTACTGTTTGTAAATTCCATCTACACATTCTTTATATCAGTACAATTTGTGTGTGTATGTGTTTCTTTTTCAGAGAGCTAGATGTGAATATTAACCAGTACACCACTAGATATAGACTATAATATCATGTGACTGAAAAATCAGAAGACCAAGGTTTTAGCTTTGCCAGTAACTAGTAGCATGAATAAGGAAAAGTTGCTTACTTTTTTTTGTCCACTTTGGCAAAACTACAAGTAGTAAAGCTCTTCCAACTGAAAATTTCTATTTATTGCATAAAGCTTATCTCAGTCCCAGTTTAAAGACAGGAGGTGAGAATATTAGGTTGAACAGATATAAAAGACTATCATCATGAATTTTGCTTACCTCCCTACATTCCATGTTAAGTTAAATTTAAAAACTGAAGCAGGGTATTTTCATTAGCCACAACTTTATTATTTTTCTAAGAAAATGTTTCATTTTAACTGTTGCAAATTTAGCATTTGAATTGAAATGTACTGTAAGTATAAAATACATAGGGATTTCATAGACTTAGTAAGAAAAATAATGCAAAATATCTTAATTTGTTGTATTGATGACATGTTCAAATGTTAATATTTTGGAGATATTGAGCTAAATAAAATATATTATGAAAATTGTTTTTAATTGTTTATATTATGTTTTTTAATGTGACTACTAGAAATTTCAAAAATTATATATATGGCTCTCCAGGTACTTATATTGAATGGTACTGCTATTGACACTCCAAAGACAGGGACAATGTTTCATTTGTTTTTGTATGTCAAAACTCTATGGTGCCAGGTGCATAAGTGCTCACAATAAGTGGTATGAATGAGTGAGTCAATTATTTGAATCACCTTTTAATATTTTGCATGCTGACTTGCACATAGAAGGCAGTCAATAAGCATTAGACTTTCAGTTGATCACTGATCTAGATTTAAAAATGTTATCCAAAGGAAAGCATTCTTTTTATCCCTTTCCTTTTGACACTATTTGGGACTTCCAGGTCTTTTGTCATTTTTTAGAAGGAATATAAATAAAAACTCAGAAAAATGAAAAGAAAAATAAGAGTCAAAATCATAAGTTGCTACAGTAGAAACTCAGAATTTTCTTTGCCCTTATTATTCAAGCAAAATATGAACTTTTGAGGAACTTACCATTTACCTTTATTACATGGTTCTAACATGCATTTTTTTTTCAAATTTTAATTTGTCTGATAATTAGGCTGCCTCTTACAAATAAGGAATACATTTAATATGGTAACAGTGATCATTTTACTTACTTTTATCCAGAAAAAAGCATTTATTAAATCAAAGTAGTTTCTTATGATCATTGGCATCATAGAATCATAGAAATAAGGATAAGATCAACAGAATTCAAGATCAGTATGTTTGCATAAGCGTAGAATAATATTTTTGAGGTAGCAGATTGTTCAAGTGAGTTGTTCTTTCAGGGATACTCTAGGATTTGTGTGTGATGAGCATTATATATGCATGTATATATGCATGTATATATGTAAGCTTAGTTTAGTGTGATCTAAAGTAGATCAATGAAAGGTAGGATGAAGACTTAAAAAGAGCTGGATAAGTTTAATTGGCACAGACTTGTTAGAAGGAGTGACTTGGTTGCTTTAGAAATCCTTTTGGTGTATTTCCAATGGACAAAGTTCAAACTGGAGCAAGCATCTTTAGAATCTGATTCTTTGGGCGTGGTGGCTCACGCCTGTAATTCCAGCACTTTGGGAGGCCGAGGCGGGTAGATCACGAGGTCAGGAGTTCAAGACCAGCCTGGCCAACATAGTGAAACCCTGTCTACTAAAAATACAAAAAAAAATTAGCTGGGTGTGGTGGCAGGTGCCTGTAAATCCAGCTACTAGGGAGGCTGAGGCAGGAGAATTGCTTGAACCCAGGAGGCGGAGGTTGCAGTGAGCAGAGATCGTGCCGTTGCACTCCAGCCAGGGTGACAGTGTGAGACTCCATCTCAAAAAAAGAAAAAAAAGAAAGAAAGAATCTGATTCTTACCTGCTTCTTGATCTCTTGCCACATTCTCTACCTCAGACTCTATGTTTGAACATACCCTGTTATTTATAGTCTTCAAATGCATGTAAAGATTTCAAACTATTTTGTCTGGTCATATTCTCCCTGTCCTGGAAGAGCCTTTCCTTTGGTCAGGCTGTTAGAAAATTCTTTCTGTTGCTTGGAGAAAAAGTTCAAGCTTTGCTTCTTTTATGAAGCCTTCTCTGAGATCTTGGATTAGACTCACCTGGAACATATGTCTATTATAGGTCATCTGTAAGTCACTTTTTTCACATCTATCTTACCAAAAAACTTTGAGTTTCTTGAGAACAGGAGCTTTGCCTTTTTCAAATTGCTATCTCTAGAGCAATTGTTCCCAAACTGGCTTCACAGTAGAATCACCCAAAGATCTTAAAACAACCAATCAACAGACAAACATAAAAAAATAAAAATAAAAAATAAAACACAACAACAAAAAACTATGCCTGAAACCCACCTGAGACCAGGTAAACCAGAATTTGTAGAGGTAGGGCCGAGAAATCAATACTTTCAAGTACCCAGAGTGATTTCAATTGCAGCTGGATTAAGAAGCATTGGTCTATATGTATATTCACTGAATTCATGCATATTCATTTATTTGAATTGGATTGAAGACTAACGGGAACTATAGTAAATTATAGTGGAAATTTAGAATAAAGCAAGCCATCTACACATTACAACAAAAAGATTTCTTATTTGCACTAAGATAACTAAAATTCCAGATTTCTGAAATGCAATATTCTAAATATCACCTACATTATAAGCACTGAAATAATAGAACTGAGAATATTTTCATCTGTGAAGTTAAGGCCTAAACATTTTGGTTTCTAAAACCCTTTTCAAGTCTAAACAAATAATATCAAATTCACAAAACTTATGAGATAGAAAGGCTCTTAATGATTTTCCAGGTCTCTTATCTTACAGATGACTTCATAACTTCTTGTACAGAATGCTTCATGGTTTTCAAGGCACTTTCATGACAATCATTTTCAGAAAAACCCACTAGGTGGATTGATCACCCTGTTTAGCAGATAAGGAAACTAAGGTTTGCAAGAATTATGTGATGGACCAAAGAGCATACAGATAATTATGTCCTGTCTTCCATGTTATTTGTATGTCCAAGAGGAAAAAGAGAAAGCCAAGGAAGCTCTTGACATCTTTTAATAACAGAAATATGAGGGTGTCAATTTTTCATTTTCAGTGTGGATACAGTTGGAGAAGTGATGAGATTCATTATCAACACCTTGCCATATTTGTAACTTTCTTCTCTTCTTCAAAGTGTTCTCTTCCTTGTCCCTACTCCTCTCCCACTCCATTTATATCACCAAGATCTAATCATGACTTTCTTATTTCATTTTTCCTAGCTCTTATCAAAATACACTTATCAATACTTATACATGTACTTTGCAGGTGACACATGTACTTATTCTCCTGTGATACAACTCAGAGGAGCCATATAACAACTTTTGTAGAAGGTGTTATTATTTTTAGCACAATTTTATAGACAAGGAATCCAAGGCCTAAGGAAGTGAACTGACTTAAACACAATCAAACACTAGCTTCTCATAGAGCTGAAGCTCTAACTCATGTCCTCTGATCAGAAGTTCGAAGTTCTATCTTTTCTCTATTGTTCTATACTGTCTCAAGGAAGAGCGATAACTGAGAAGATACATACTTGGCTTTGAGAAGATATTTTGGTCAAATACAAGTAGTGGAGCCAAATTGTAGGTCTCAGAAGATTTGTAGGATTACATGGGCCATTTAGACATGCATGTAAGTAGAATTATCATTTGGCCCTATGTGATAAATTATTTTCTCATTTTCAAATATTCACTCCCCTCTCCTTGTAGAATGAAGGTATTTCCCACTCCACTGATATTGAGCCTGGCTGTTTGACTTGTTCTAGCCATTAGAATGTTAATCAACTTTTTACACGCCAGGTTTTGGTTTTAAATGTGACTATGCAGCTTTTTTTATCTTTATGCCTTTTGCCATGAGTGTGGCATGTACCAGATGTGGGCTGTTCCTTCACGTAGGACTCCAAAGTGCTAAGACATGTGGAGCATGAGCAAGCAGAATTGGAGCAGTTACTGACACGTAATCTGATCCAAAAACAGAGAAGAAAAAGTTTGTTGCCAGGGATGTTGGCTCATGCCTATAATCCCACTTACTTAGGGTGGCAGAGATGGGAGAATAGCTTGAGACTAAGCATTCAAGGCCAGCCTGGGCAACATAGCAAGACTCCTATCTCAAAAAAACAAAACAAAACAAAACAAAAACAAAAGAAACAAACAAAATGGCAAGTTTGTGGCTATAAGCCATTAAAATTTCAGGATTGTTGTTAAGCAGAAAAACTGACTTACACAGCCTACTTCTCAAGCAGATCTTCAAACTATATGATAAATGTGAACATAAGCTATTTTTTTTTTTTATTTTTTTAAATTTATTTTTTTATTGATAATTCTTGGGTGTTTCTCACAGAGGGGGATTTGGCAGGGTCATGGGACAATAGTGGAGGGAAGGTCAGCAGATAAACAAGTGAACAAAGGTCTCTGGTTTTCCTAGGCAGAGGACCCTGCGGCCTTCCGCAGTGTTTGTGTCCCTGATTACTTGAGATTAGGGATTGGTGATGACTCTTAACGAGCATGCTGCCTTCAAGCATCTGTTTACCAAAGCACATCTTGCACCGCCCTTAATCCATTTAACCCTGAGTGGACACAGCACATGTTTCAGAGAGCACAGGGTTGGGGGTAAGGTCACAGATCAACAGGATCCCAAGGCAGAGGAATTTTTCTTAGTGCAGAACAAAATGAAAAGTCTCCCATGTCTACTTCTTTCTACACAGACACGGCAACCATCCGATTTCTCAATCTTTTCCCCACCTTTCCCGCCTTTCTATTCCACAAAGCCGCCATTGTCATCCTGGCCCGTTCTCAATGAGCTGTTGGGCACACCTCCCAGACGGGGTGGTGGCCGGGCAGAGGGGCTCCTCACTTCCCAGTAGGGGCAGCCGGGCAGAGGCGCCCCTCACCTCCCGGACGGGGCGGCTGGCCGGGCAGGGGGGCTGACCCCCCCCACCTCCCTCCCGGACGGGGCGGCTGGCCGGGCGGGGGGCTGACCCCCCAACCTCCCTCCCGGACGGGGCGGCTGGCCGGGCGGGGGGCTGACCCCCCCACCTCCCTCCCGGACGGGGCGGCTGGCCGGGCAGAGGGGCTCCTCACTTCCCAGTAGGGGCGGCCGGGCAGAGGCGCCCCTCACCTCCCGGACGGGGCGGCTGGCCGGGCAGGGGGGCCGACCCCCCCACCTCCCTCCCGGACGGGGCGGCTGGCCGGGCGGGGGGCTGACCCCCCCACCTCCCTCCTGGACGGGGCGGCTGGCCGGGCGGGGGGGCCGACCCCCCCCACCTCCCTCCCGGACGGGGCGGCTGGCCGGGCAGAGGGGCTCCTCACTTCCCAGTAGGGGCGGCCGGGCAGAGGCGCCCCTCACCTCCCGGACGGGGCGGCTGGCCGGGACAGGGCCGACCCCCCCACCTCCTACCGGACGGGGCGGCTGGCCGGGCGGGGCCGACCCCCCCACCTCCTCCGGACGGGGCGGCTGGCCGGGCAGAGGGGCTCCTCACTTCCCAGTAGGGGCGGCTGGGCAGAGGCGCCCCTCACCTCCCAGACGGGGCGGCTGGCCGGGCGGAGGGCTGACCCCCCCACCTCCCTCCCGGACGGGGCGGCTGGCCAGGCGGGGGGCTGACCCCCCTACCTCCCTCCCGGACGGGGCGGCTGGCCGGGTGGGGGGGCTGACCCCCCCATCTCCTCCGGACGGGGTGGCTGGCCGGGCTGAGGGGCTCCTCACTTCCAGTAGGGGCGGCCGGCAGAGGCGCCCCTCACTCCGGACGGGGTGGCTGGCCGGGCGGGGGGCTGACCCCCCCACCTCCCTCCCAGATGGCACGGCTGGCCAGGCGGGGGGCTGACCCCCCCACCTCCCTCCCGGATGGCACGGCTGGCCGGGCGGGGGGGCTGACCCCCCACCTCCCTCCCGGATGGGGCGGCTGGCCGGGCGGGGGGCTGACCCCCCCCAACCTCCCTCCCGGACGGGGTGGCTGCCGGGCGGAGACGCTCCTCACTTCCCAGATGGGGTGGCTGCCGGGCGGAGAGGCTCCTCACTTCTCAGACGGGGCAGCTGCCGGGCGGAGGGGCTCCTCACTTCTCAGACGGGGCGGCTGGACAGAGACGCTCCTCACCTCCCAGACGGGGTCTCGGCCGGGCAGAGGCGCTCCTCACATCCCAGATGGGGCGGCGGGGCAGAGGCGCTCCCCACATCTCAGACGATGGGCGGCCGGGCAGAGACACTCCTCACTTCCTAGAAGTGATGGCGGCTGGGAAGAGGCGCTCCTCACTTCCTAGATGGGATGGCGGCCGGGCGGAGACGCTCCTCACTTTCCAGACTGGGCAGCCAGGCAGAGGGGCTCCTCACATCCCAGACAATGGGCGGCCAGGCAGAGACACTCCTCACTTCCCAGACGGGGTGGCAGCCGGGCAGAGGCTGCAATCTCGGCACTTTGGGAGGCCAAGGCAGGCGGCTGCTCCTTGCCCTCGGGCCCCGCGGGGCCCGTCCGCTCCTCCAGCCGCTGCCTCCCGGGCGGCGCTCGCCGGCACGGCGGCAAAGACTCTGTTTTTGTTTTTGAGAGGGAGAGTTTCGCTCTTGTTGCCCAAGCTGGAGTGCAATGGTGCGATCTCGGCTCACTGCAACCTCTGCCTCCCGGGTTCAAGCCTACTATTTTCTTCTAAGAGTTGTTTAGTTTTAGCTGTTACCTTTAGGTCTTTGATCCATTTTGATTTCATTTTTGTATGTAAGTTAAGGGTCCAACTGCTTTTTTTTTTTTTTTTTTTTTTGAGATGGAGTCTCGCTCTGTCGCCCAGGCTGGAGTGCAGTGGTGCGATCTCAGCTCACTGCAAGCTCCACCTCCCGGGTTCACGCCATTCTCCTGAACATAAGCTATTTTTAAACATTGACTTGGTATATGAATATAGGAAAGTGACATCACTATTCTGTAATCCCATTTGAAATGTTAACCTTTTCAGTTATGGATGAGAATTAGGAATAAAAAGTAAAGAGTGGGATGCATCTTCTAGTTCTTAACAAATGTTAATTAAGGCTTCTTGGCTGCAAAGCAAGCATTATGAAATGTGAAGCTTTCTTAGGAATGATAAGCTTGAAAAAATCACCATTATAACCAGAGCAGTTTGAGGCTGAACTTAGTAGAAGATTAAAATTTCCTTTTAAATCATCCTAAATTTTAAAACTATATCATTAGCATGGTATTATCCATATGCTTTCCTCGACTGTTTAATTACAGAGGAGGCAGTTAAGCAGATCAAGAGACTCTATTAACAGACAAACCCAAAAGCAAATATGATGAAATGTAATTACAGGGAGTAAATGATCTGGAGTCTCCCAGAGCCTCCCAGAACTCTAAGAATATTCTAAACATGATTTATGCCACCACAAAGTGAACCCATACTTACCATCCATTTTCCCCACAATCTGCTTCCTGTACTAGATAGAGAAAGCACACACATTCAGATAAAATAACTGTCAATTTGCACAATGATATAGGACTTTTAAAGCCACTTCCTGCTTCCTACTCATAGGATTTTATATTATACTTGGTAGCTCTAGAAAGGTTTTATTTCTATAACCTATAAAATGATGGCCACACGCATGACTAAGATGCCAAGACCCCTAAAATAGTGAGGGAAATGCTAGAGAATTAATGTGATTCAGGTACTTGAAGGAAACGTCCAGTCATCCAACTCATGGCATTCAAAGGTCATATAATTTGAAGGGCTAGGACTGGGCTGGTGCTGATAGTTAGGGATCTCCAGCAGTGACATATTCAGGTAGATAGACTCACAATTCCATGAAAATCTGTCTGATTTGAAAAGTAGTCTCTATAAACACAGGGTAGGCTTCAATTTATTAGATGTGGTGGTATCTTGAATACAGGGCACAACACTGAAGAAACAATTCCTCAATTCCTACATGGCTTCTAGGTATAAGGCTCTTATGCAGCAAGGCTTGGTGTGAATTAGCTCATGCTCTGGATAGGAGTTGGTCTATAGGCAGATTATGGAGTACTCAGAGTTGGGTGGAGCTGGAGATGGACAGAAAGAACTAAAGAACAGTAAAATTAAAGCTAAGTCTTCTGTTTACAAAGGGGAAAAAATCTTTGTTCTAGACTCAATCCGGTCAAATATAAACATACTGGATTTTTATTTGCTCCTCTTTCTCATACTCCACTATATTCCTATAATTCAAACAGATTCAACAAACGTGTAATAAACTCTGATTTTCAAACACATTCACATGTTACTTAACCTTTACAACTGTCTCGTGAGGCTGCTTTTATAACACCTGTTCGTGGTTCACAAAAAAAAAAAAACTGAAGCACAGAAAGATTACCCTAAATCACAGTTAAGTAACGTCAGAATCAGAATCTGTATGCACATCACTGAAATCCAAGTTCATAACCATGATATAAATGGTGACTTACATCTGCATAGCAAGTTAGAATTCTTAAACCACCTTATCAATCCATAATCTCATTGATCCTACTAGTGATTTAGTCAGGAAGAAACCAAGATATATATTAACCGTATCTGTTATTTCATTGCCTTCTGCCTAGTAGTGTGCCATGCACATAGAAGGCACTCCATAAAAGTTTCTTGACTTTCGAGTCCGAAAGTTAGAGGTTATCTAATTGAAAATTATATTTTTAAAAACTTCCTTTTGGTATAAAATGAACTTCTATGATAGTATTAATTTCGGAGTTTCCTGGCTAAGAAAAAGAGTATTTGAAATAGGGTTAGAGTCCATAAAATACCATCTTATAGTCAAAATACATTATAATTTTTAAATTTTCTTTTCAATGCACCAGATAAATATATAAGCTTCAATATAGGCCATCAGAGGATTAAGAAGAAAACCTTGGGTTTCAGAAACATCAGCTCAGTTTTGAGTCATCTTCTGATAGACTTTCTTTTTTTTTTCTGAGACAGAGTTTTGCTCTTGTTGCCCAGGCTGGAGTGCGATGGTGCACCTTGGCTCACTGCAATCTCCACCTCGCAGGTTCAAGTGATTCTCCTGCCTCACCCTCCCGAGAAGCTGGGACTACAGGCACGCACCACCATGCCCTGTTAATTTTGTATTTATAGTAGAGATGAGGTTTCTCTATGTTGGCCAGGCTGGTCTCGAACTCCTGACCCCAGGTGATCCCCCTGCCTCAGCTTCCCAAAGTGCTGGGATTACAGGCGTGAGCCACCGCACCCGGCCCTGATAGACTTTCTAACGCACATCTACATAGAACACATTTCTCTTCTGACTTGTTCATCCAATTTGCTCTGTTCCTTTATTTTAGTAGCTAATGACCAGTTGTAAGTATGTAGGTATACTCGTTAGGTCTTCCAGATAACACAGACCTAACTTATTTGTCAAATGATAAAAAGAGGAATAAATGAATAGCTTAATGGTTGGATCAATGACTAATAAACTCGTGCATATCATTTGTGTTCATTGTGAACATATACATATTCCTATACATGTATATTATATGTACATATATTTGTGCATTACATATAAGCATACACTTAAAAGTAGAATACAAAAAAAGTGTGTTAATTGTACTAATATCAATGAGCTACCTTATGCTTCCATTATTATGATTGTTATGTTTCTAAAAAGTTTAGCTTAAATTGCTTTCACACATCAGTTTTAAATGAAAAGGGTGAGGTTACAATAAACATGATAGTAAAATCATAGGATATTAAAATTGGAAGAGACCATGAGGTTTCCCTAATTCATCTACTTACTTGAGAATGTTTTGTAATGTATACTGGGAAAATGGCTGTTTGTTCACTATTTAAATAATATGTTCATCCCCATCAAAGGCAGCCTGTTCACTATAGGGCATTAGAAACTTATTGCTCACATTGAACCAAATCAGTCTGTTTGTAGCCCTCACCTGGTGGGTGTAGTTATCTATTAAGAAGGAACACAACTTCTCTATATTTTATGCAAGGATTTTTCTTAGTTTTCTATTCAACAATAAACTTTTCTATTTCCTTTACTCCTCAAATATCATTTATTATATAAATAATTTGTTTAAAAATTATTTTTATGAATTAATAATTACTTTATAACATACTTTATATGTTTGTCTATGAAACAAACTAATTACAAGTTTGCAATTACTTCAAAATATCTTCTTCATGCTAATCAATGAAATCTTTAAATCTTTAAGAGGCTACATCCTATTCTTAAATTCTCCTTATTCTTTTTAATTGTAGATTTTATTCTTTTTAAACCGCACATTCTTAGGGAACCCTTTTTATACTTTTCTCAGGGCTCAGGGTAGCAAGCAGAAACCACCACATGTGTTTTTAAGAAGAAAGATATTTAAAACAGAAATAGCTGCTTGTACACTTCCTGGAAAGACCTGAGGAATAGTCTCAACAGTGGAATGACCTGCTAAGGTAAGCATTCTAAAGTGACACAGGAAGGGAAAGGATAGCCCACTGCTACTGAGTTCAAGAACAAACTGCCGTGGCTCTGATCAAGATCAGGAAGCTGCAATCAAGAAATCAATGCCAATGCCAGCACCTCTGCATGGACACCGGAACTCAGAGTCCTTCCTCCTCTGCCACCACAGCTGATTTTCAAGATCATGAAGCTGGAGAATGGACACCGATTCCTCCACAGCCTTGCTTCCCAGCAAGAAATATTCCAAAGGCTCTAGGAATATGCCCTCTACTACAATTTTGCCTTCAAAACTTGCATAAGTGCATTGAATAAGTGAGAATTAACTTCCATGCGAACCTGAGTTTGACGAGAATGTTGGAAAGGTAGATTCCAGCCTTCTATGTTCAGCAGCATAGGCTGATACCCTTAGAAGATGGTGAGAATGAATCCAAAGTGCCAACTGTTCATATCCTGAGAAATACCTAAGCTTTCAGTATTGCTAGAAAAATGCAACTAACTTTTATTGAATATCAGATATATTTGAAGTATTATGTTAGCCACTTTGTACACACAAGTTCATTCAATCTTCAAAATCCTGTTGCTTATCATCATCATCGTTTTGTAGAAAACAATACAGGCTCAAAGAGGTTAAGTAATTCGTTCAGGTCCACATTGCTACTAAATGTTGACCCCACGGTCTCATTTGTCCCTTCTTCCTTCAAGTTCAAAAATATTTGTCTTCCATCTTTTTCTTTTGAGGAAGAACTTACTTAGAGTGTTGTAAAGCATCCTGAGCCATCACTGGGCAGTTTGAACTGTTATAAAGTTCTTTATTATTACTGTACCTAAACCTCATTTTTCTACACTCCACTCCTTCGGAACAAATTCAATGATTCTAGTGTACCTTGTACAGAGTAACACTGTGTGTGGATGTGTGCTTTATCAGTTTTACTCTTTTTCTTTCCTTTTTTGGATGTTCTTCCAGACTACTTTGAGCTAGGATTACAATTAATGCTATAAATAAACAAGCCCCACTAATGTTTTCAGCCCAAGTCCATGTTTACAAGACAACTCTTTATTATGAAGTATGGTTGTTCTTAAGTTATCCAACCAAGGCAAGGCAAACGTATAAGGGAATTCGGGGAGACAATGAGTATAAAACAAACCATTGATTTCTTTTGTAAGTTATTCAGAGAAGATGTATTGTATCTATTAGAGGTTATAGCCCATTGCACTGTAAGCTTTTCCAAGAGAGAAAGAAACAACAACAATGATTTGTTCCCTGGAGAAAAGTATGCCCACCAGTGACTGGTAGAATGAGCCACATGATCACACTCCTTTTCTCCCTGCAATTACAGTACAACAAATGCTCTAAACTAATCAGCAGACAAATGACTGTTACAATCTGCTTCAGCAGCCTACATTTCAGAGCGAATATTTAAAGCCTTGGTCTTTTCTAGGCAAATTCTTTTGAACTTCTGTCCTAAGCACAGAGCTGTTAACAGTTTCCCTAGATAAATAAGATCCTGATGTGATGGTAATACCATCACTGTGATATATTTATTGTTCAATTTTCCTAGACCATTTCAGGCAACGAGTTTATAGAGCAGTCATATTATTGCTTATGTGCAATAGGCTAGCATACGTTTTTTACATGCTTGTCACCAACAAGAAGATGCTGTTTCATTCTTTTGTACTAGAAATTGTTATTCTCTTTAAATTGGGGAAAAGTAAACAATAGAGATGAAGAGCTCTTGAGTTGGTAAAGGAGAGTTTCCCAAATCACCCTGTTCTGTTCTTTAGGTTTACAATCCATTTAAATTCTCCATTACAAGTATATATCCTTACAAGTATATAGGTATATAATACAGCTCAGTGAAATTAAGTGACTAAAACCCATGCTGCCTGATACTGAGATAGCCAGTCTTGCATAGAGAAGCTAGAGTTAAATGGCGTCCATGCGTATCACCAAAGGAAAATGTGAATATTGAGAGCTAGATCTGCATGAGTTTAAATTTCAGTGAGAGCTTCCACTATCCCAGAATTCTTGATATTTTTATTGGGTTAGGAGAAAAATAAACTTTAAAGGTGTGTGTGTGTGTGTGTGTGTGTGTAAAGTGGAAGAACAGAATTCACAGAATAAAGCTTCAGCAGAATATGGAGGTGCTAACTGACAACTCTGAGAAAAGGAAGCTCAAGGGACACTAAAAACAATCCCATCTGCCTTTGTGAAAAAGTGAATCTGAATGAAGGAGCAGTCAGGTTTCAATGCTCCATGAGCCAGAAGAACCCCATCTCTGGTGCCTGGTCTCTGAGAACACTTAGCAGTGACTAGATTCCCCCTATACATGCTCTCTCCATTACTCCAGTAACTGGAGCCAGCTTTTATGGCATGAGAAGAGCGGCATCCAGGGTAAAGCTGTGCTGGGTCCCACACTAGCTGGGGACTTGCAAATACCATTTGACATCTGTTTTTGCTCTGTATAGCATGCTCCTGTGTGTATATTTCTAGTATACGCTAGGGTTTAGTATCTGCTGTTGGGATAGGGGAGACACTTCTGGTGAAAAAAAATAAGAATGAATTATTTAGGGAATTTCAGAGGTAAGCTACATAAGCAAATGTGTATACATATATATATAATAGAGGTAAGCTACATAAGCATATACACTATATATATATATATATATATATATATATATATATATATATATATATATATATATATAATAGTTCTCTGGCTTGCTGAAACAAAATAAAAGTTAAATAATTAGCTGTAGAGAAAAAAGAGCTCCAGAATTGGTCTAGGGATCTAGTTGGAAGGATCCAATGAACAGTTATTTCAGGACACCATGGATGAGATAAATCTATGATGGGATTTCAGCATTTGTACCACTCCATTTAAGGAGAAAGCATTTTATTGATGTAGCTTGGACACCCAGCCCACCCGTTTTCTGGAAGAGGTCAGGCCAACTTGATTGTCTTTCCATGGTACTATGGTGTAGGGCAAGCTTATCCAACCCATGGTCTGTGGGCTGCGTGCAGCCCAGGATGGCTTTGAATGTGGCCCAACACAAATTTGTAAGCTTTCTTAAAACATTATGAGATTTTTCTCTTTTTTTTTCATATTTTTTTCAGCTCATCTGCTACTGTTAGTGTTAGTGTATTTTTTGTGTGTCTCAAGACAATTGTTCTTCCAATGTGGCCCAGGGTATCCAAAATTGGAAACCCTTGGTATAGGGGGAATCCCTCAAGTGACACACAATGCACTGAATAAGAAAAGGGGTAAAGGATGCTAGGTAGAAACAGAGAAGACATCATGGTCATTAGAGGAGTGGAAGATATGGTACTTAGTACAGATGAGGCAAGAAAATAAAAGCAAAACATAAAAACAAAAGGAAAAGATGAAGTATAAAGAGAAAACCAAGAAGACAAAAAGAGAAATAAAAGAAAATAGCTGGAAAAGTAGAAAAGAATAAAGAGGAAAAAGCCATTGAAAAGAGAACCATTTACTCTAATCCTTGGTCAATGACTGACATCAATATTATTACTTTCTTTAACTGAAGAAATTGAGGTTTAGTGAATATGAGTGACTTGCTAATAAGCACACAGAGTAGAGTTGGCAGAATTGGTCAAAACCAAGAGTTTTTCTATTGTAGAATTTTCCCCTTGCAATCATCTTTTTGTCCAGAGACTATGAAAGAGATCTCCACCAAGCCCAAAAATGTTTTAATAATCAAAGAGAATTACCCATTTTTTACAGTTATTGTGTACTAACTGGAAGGCAGGCCACACTGGTCAAAAGCCAACTCAATTCAATTCTGTATTAAAGGACAAGCCATGTGCTGCTGAATTACAGGGACAGGGAAGTCAGATGTCAAATTGGGAGGGGCTAGAGGGAATCAATGCAGTAGATTTTTAAGACTGAGTTCTCCAGGTGGCAGCCAGCAGACAGAAATAGCCTGTTTCTAACTTAAGGAAATTTATAGCCCTAGGGGACTGCATATCAGAGGTTAACTCACATACATGTCACAGGTTAATGCTATAAAACGGTGGTTTGGAATCAAGAACACAACTGGACATGCTCAATGTGCATATGGCAAAATGCTACAAGATGCCATTAATATATTGAATGAAATAATCAGAAACCCAATGACTTCTACATCCAAAAAAAAAAAAAAAAAGAGCCAACTATTAAAAGGAAGCATGAAGTAGGGCTCTCAGTAATGTCCTAAAATGAGATCTTCCAGTTTTGGGTCTTAGAGAAATCCAAGATCCATATGCACTCATGGTGTAATATCGCTACCACAAAACTAATTTAAACTAGGCTTTCAACTAAAGAAAACAAATGTCCACAATTAAGGAAGAAAGAGTCTACCACCCTTGCAGGAGTCCTGTTAATTAGCTACAGTTACGTCCCTTAAATGATTTGAACAATAACACCCTTCTGGTGTCATAGCACTTTATCTCCTTAAAGTGTGATTTCCAGCCAAGTACCTAGAATTGAATGAGAGTTCTCTGTTAGGAAGAGCAACACAGAAGAAGAAGCTACCATGAGCATAAATTCAACCTGGAGGAAGTCTGATTTGCTGCATTTTTTCGGGGGCTACAGTTGGTCTTCAAGCACCTGGGATGATTGAATTGGTTCTGTGACGTCTCAGCTGCCCTCCTGCTAATGTTGAGGGATAATCTACACATATTTAGAAGAAGAGACCCAGAGAAATCATGTCATCCAACTCCATGTTTTCTGAGAAAATAGAAAATCGAGGAGAAGTTGCTTCCTGACCACTGTAGAAACAGAGGCTAGAATTTTGGCTAACTTGAAATTCAGTGCTCTATTACTTCACTCTTTCAGCAACATCCTCTGCCTTGAATGTACAGCCAACTACCTGGTTATCGCTTTTTCTGAATACAACCAAACATATACGTGTGACTGGCTTCACAGATTAACCAAGCAGAAGTCAACACACCAGATTTCTTGATTATATTACAGAAATTCTTCTCCTGTTTAGCATATAAAGGCACTCTCTCTATTTCATCAGACTATACTCAATGCAGATTTTCTACAAATGTCCCAGGCTCCAAATAAACCTGATTATATCCAGTGGAATATAGGTAGTTTATCTAATGAAAAGCAGGTAGGGAAACTAATGGAAATCAGGAAGCCATTTTAAAATAAATGAATTGGTTTTGTTTCCTTTGGGTTTCGATTTCAGCAGAGGAAATATTTGGAAAGCCACCTTGATCTCTGTAAGGCTGCTTCCTGCTGTAAAGTATTAATGTGTCCCCATCTCTTATTCCACTTGCTCTCTCCCCAACCCATTTATCTGCCTAGATCTCTTTCAATATTCAAAACTTCTCTTAACTGTTACTACTCCAAGAAAGCCTCCCTGGTCCTCTTTGAGTAGGGCAGAACTTCCTTTCAGACCCTCCCATTTTCCTTCAATGGACTTGCTTCAGTTTTTGATTTTTATGTAGTAGCTATATTTAGTAATTAATGTTCCTTTTTGTTTCCCCAAGATTACAGTCCATGGGAGGAAAAAGACTGCATATCTCTAGTACAGCACTATCTCCCCAGCACCTAGCACAGTTCCAGGAGTAGAAGCAGTTTCATATAGGGCCAGGCACAGTGGTTCACGCCTGTAATCTCAGCACTTTGGAAGGTTAAGGCGGGTGGATCAGTTGAGGCGAGGAGTTTGAGACCAGCCTAGCCAACATGGTGAAACCCCATCTCTACTAAAAAGACAAAAATTATCCAGGCATGGTGGCGCATGCCTGTAACACCAGCTACTCGGGAGGCTGAGGCAGGAGAATTGCTTGAACCCAGGATGCCAAGGTTGCAGTGAGAAGAGATTATGCCACTGCACTCCAGTCTGGGGGACAGAGCAGACTGAGTGAAAGAGTAATTAAATCAATTAATATGTATGCTTAGACACATTTTCTTTCAAGCAATAGAAAATTGTGTCTCACAGCAAATTTATTGCTTTTATTTTTTAAATTAAAAAGATTAAATCACTGCAGGTAAGTAAGTAGAAAGATCAATGATAGACCCAGTCACAAAATATTTATAAAGCCACATATTTTGAAGTAATGTTTATTCTATGTATTTATCTTTAAAGATAACATTTATGTATGAGGGATATTAATAAGAGTTATTTCAAGAAGATTTATTTATTCAGCCACTCCGTCATTCAACATTTCTTTGGTAACTTATAGTGTCAGGCTTAATATTGGGCTGCTAAAAATACTGAAATTAATAGACTTGCTTCCCATATTTGGGAGCTCACAGTTTGCTTTTGCCATGGAAGAGTAAATTAATCATAATAATAGCAGTTGATGAGGGTACTATAGGTCCTATACTATAGGTACTATAAGTCCTATAGATAAGGGAGGGCAGAGATGGAACATGGACGAGGGTCCCCCTCCATCATTCAGTCTAGAGGTAGAAATGAAGGTCAGCTATTTCCATGAACAGCTGATGCTTAAGAAGGGTCTTGAAACACAAAGGAGAGTTGTTATGGTTGAGGAGGGAGGGGTGTTCTAGGCATGATGAAAGGCAAGGAGGATGAGGAAAACTTGGAAAATCCTATGATCCATAAGCTTGTTGGTATGAATTAATTCCAAGGAGATGTGTGGTGTGAAGAGAGAAGAGAATAGAAAGGGAACTAAATCTGACAGAAATCTCTGTGCCAACATGATGATGATCTTTAATGTGTGTGTGGCCATTGGTCTGGTGCTTGCTCGATTCCATCGGTTTCTTTCAGCATGCAGTAACAGAATACAGCATAACTCTATGTAGACACTAATGTCTGGTGAGCAAAAGCATAAGAACTTAGTTCCATTTAATGAGCACCTAAAATGTGGACATTCAGTCATAATCCTCACAACCACTGCAAGGTGGCTGGTATTTATCCTATTTTACCAAAATAGGAACTAAGGTTCGGGTAAGTTACACAAGATTCTTGAGGTCACACAGTGGGTTAGGGACAGGGCAAGAAAGAAATCTCAGGTTCATGGTAAATCCAAAACTCATGCTCCCTTTTCTTCTACTCAGTGGTGATGAGTCAGCATCACACTAGGGATGGTTCTGATTACTCTAGGCTAAATCTGAATACATATTTGCTTTATTTAATCAGCCTACACAGAGGTTTCTTTTCAGCACAAAGAAGGGCCATTTGAAGCCATCCAAAAATAATTCCTTTTTTCTTTTGAGAATTAAGTTATTGGATCACCCTAATAAAAGCAAAGCAACAAAACAGAAAGATGTTCAGATTTTTCTCTTTTAAAACTAGGATCAAACAACATAAATAATCCATGGAAGATGCAGGATCCAACTAACCTAATGTCTTCCAAGTTGATCTTCTCTCTTTCTAAACTGGTTACTTTCTCACATTAATTATATTTGGCACTGCCTCCCTCAATGCATCCATTGGCAGTGCATCCACTGATGGCACTTAAAATGAAGAGCCTCATGAGGTCAGGGATGTGGGATAATGATTTGAACTATATTCAACTTTGGGAGTTCAAACTTTTTAAAATCTGCCAACCTCACAATTGGGATTAAAAGGCCAGAAGATCTATCATAAAAGAAAGTGAGCCTGCTAGAACTTTTATCAATTCACCAACAGGGCCTGAAGACTGGATGGAAGCAAAGGGGAGGTGTGATACAGGGAATAGTATTAACAGCTAGCACTTGAATATAGGTTGATCAGCTCTCCTAGTGGGATTTGTAAATAGTTAAAGAACAAGGTATGATCATTAATTTTACATGTCAACTTGGCTGGGCCATGGGGTGCCCAGATACACTGAGGGAGGCAGAATGTGGGCTCAGTCACCACCAGACTCACTTGTTGGTGATATCAAACTTTGGATTCTGACCCAGCCAGGATCCCTGTTGTATGAAATCTTAAAGTCATAGAGTTTGAGTGCTAAAGGGATCTTACAGGACTGATGTCTTCTGTTCCCTTAACCAATGACACATCACAGTCTTAATTAGAAGCTGAATTGCAACAGCCACAAATACTGAGTTACAAAGTCCTTACTGTGTGCCAGATGCTGTGTTCAGTACTCAGAAGATTTATCTTATGAGGTAAGTTCTATGAGGTATATGTAATTAAAATCCTATTTTTAATGATTTTAAGATGTCAAGAAAGGTTAAAATAATTGCCT